>NC_000013.11:101252979-101877979 GCF_000001405.40 Homo sapiens
TAATAATAAGAAAAATATTGCTTATATTTTATTTCTTAAGAAAATAATATATATTTTAAAATGTAATCATGTTCATTATAACATATGATTTAATGTGCAATAATAATATATTCTCTTAGATCACAATGAAAAGTTAAAATTCTTACAGAGGAAAATAAACTTTACCTTTTTCTGTTTATGCATAGGCTACAAAAGAGGTAAACTGTTTCCTGTTTCTTAACTAATTCTAAATGTAGGTTAATTAATCCAAAGTAACAAAACAAGTCCCCAGCTTCACAACAGAAGCTAAGTATCTTAATTTATTCTTAAAGGGTGATTTTTAGACTGTGAGTTGGCTCTTAATGGGTAAAGTGCTTTATTTTAGATTTTCTAAATAATTTATTCTGGAATATGTGGGAACTTAAAAAATAACTTCTTTAAAAGCTCATGACCTGTTGTGATCCATTTTTAAAATAAACTTTTCAAAATATTACATAATGCTATTGCCTTACATACTGCATCATTATAGTCTATAAACTTGAATTGCTGTTATTATAACTATTTTGAGAATTAAATGAGACAATGAATTCTTTTAAAGCACTTAGAACATAATGGGCCCCCCAAAAATCATAGCTTTATTGTTGTCAGTATTAAAATATTTGACTTTAACACAAAATGTTATTATTTATTTGTATTTTAAATAATTGAATATAATCCAATATTCAATTATTTGACATTGCTCTCTGTTTCTATAGCTTAAACCAAGATCCATTTTTGTAAATAAAGTTTTATTGGAAAACAACCATTCTGAGACACACTCACTTTTGTACAATTTCAGAGTTGAGTAGTTGAGACAGAGAGAGGGTGGTCTACAAAAGGCAAAATGTTTACTATCTGGGTCTGCAAGAAAGAGTTTGCCAAACCCTGGCCTAAACTCAAGACATCTTTATAAACTTTATAAAAATAGAATATATTATGAAAAAGTAAGTTTAATTAAAGTGACTTTTTCACATTCATTTGAAACAAATCACTTTGTCTCATGTATAAGTTTCTGATACAAAGAGAAATGGCAATGTAATCTGAATAAAAACGAAACATACTTGGGGAAAGTCAAACACACAAAATCAAAAACAGAGTGGAACGGCCAGGAGTGATGGCTCACGCCTGTAATTCCAGCACTCTGGGAGGTCAAGATGGATGGATCGCTCGAGCCCAGGAGTTTGAGACCAGCCTGGCTAACATGGCGAAACCCCATCTCTACTAGAAATACAAAAATTAGCTGGGTGTGCCTGTTATCCCAGCTTCTTGGGATGCTAAGGCAAGAGAACCACTGGAACTTGGGAGGCAGAGGTTGCAGGGAGCCGAGATGGTGCCACTGCACTCTAGCCTGAGCAACAGAGTGGGACTGTCTCAAAAAAAAAAAAAAAAAAAAAAGGAGACAAAAACAACAACAAAAAAACCCCAAAACCTAGAGTGGAACAAATTCAGAATGCTTAAGTAGTTCAAGAGTACACTGATGGGGTCTATCTGGTTGTTTAAGTCAACAAAATCACCACTACCTAGTTTATTTATTTATTTATTTTTCCAGGATTTCAAGTTAGTTTTTAGCTGGTTAACTGATTTGCCGCTTTGTTAAGAATGAATGACATGTGGCCGGGCGCGGTGGCTCACGCCTGTAATCCCAGCACTTTGGGAGGCCGAGGCGGGCGGATCACGAGGTCAGGAGATCGAGACCATCCCGGCTAAAACGGTGAAACCCCGTCTCTACTAAAAATACAAAAAATTAGCCGGGCGTAGTGGCGGGCGCCTGTAGTCCCAGCTACTTGGGAGGCTGAGGCAGGAGAATGGCGTGAACCCGGGAGGCGGAGCTTGCAGTGAGCCGAGATCCCGCCACTGCACTCCAGCCTGGGCGACAGAGCGAGACTCTGTCTCAAAAAAAAAAAAAAAAAAAAAAAGAATGAATGACATGTTAAAAGCTGCATTCATGTAATGTACCAATGTGATGAACTTGGGAATAAGTGTACCCCTGTGAAACCATTACCATCAATGCCATTGACATATCCACCACCTCTCAAAGTTTCCTCCCACACCCTTTCTTATTATTATTGTCAGGGGACAACAATTATTGGACACATAATATATACTGAATTCCACCATCCAATCCTGTCTGTCTGTTGTTGAGGTTGTTTTTATTTTTAATATTATATAAAAAAGAAAAAAGACAAGGATTTACCAACTACCCCTGGACTCTACAATACACTTAAATAGTAACCAGTCAACTCTACAACATTCAATTATTTGACATTTTGTTGGAATTTCTTAAGGTATGAGGATAAATCATCTACCATACATAAACACATTAGGAAAGGATCAATTCTGTACATGAAAAAGTTAGGTAAAATTTACTAAAGAATTCCCTTCCCTGCTGTTGCCAGTGTGGAGGGCCTATTCACTTATGCTCCAGGACTGATTTAGTGTGACCACCTGCCCACCCTGTGCTAGATCACAAAAGCAATGTTACTGTAATCTCTAATGTCAAGATTCCCTCAGGAGCAGATGCAGATTCCTCCTCCCAGAGAGATAAGCATAACTGTAATCTCTTGTGGTCATTTCTGCTTTTGTTTCCTGGCATTTTTGCCAGCAAATCTTTACCTACTGATGCTATTACTCTTGTATCATTCTTCTGTCTCATCGATCTTCCCACTTCTCCCTCCTCAGAGCCTTGAACTAATCTTTGAGTCTCTCCTACGTTAAATAATGTCCTCTACATTATCAATCTCTGTTCCCAGAATCTACTTTCTGTCTGTGCCTCAACTGATTCTCTCTCAAATACATGAGTTACCCCTGCAGCCCTTTCCAGCCCTTTCTAGTAGAACATGTAGACGAGGAAGAGGTGCCCATCCATTACTCCTTGATACTCCTTTGCAACGTATTCCATGAGGTTAAACCATGCTGTCACCCACTCTCCCTGTAGCTGTCTTCTGTCCTTCTGTCAATCTGTTCATCAGTCACTCGCTCATTCCCCGTGACTTTGCTCCCTGACTCCACTCTTCTCTCCAAGAACTGGCCTCACTCTGAGTGACTTCAATGTCCATGTGAAGACTCAGCCAGCGCCTTAGCTTCAACAGTCGTTTCCATTTCTGCCTTGACTCCATCAATATGTTTAAGCCACCCACATTCACGTGACACCCTAGATTTTATATTTCATTACTTAGAATTACCCTGGAATTGTAAAATCCTGGACTCCACTCTCTGATCATAACCTCTTCTGGTTCTATTATTCCATCACTTTGGTGGTACCCGTCCTTTAACCATATAGAGACCATTGATCCTTCACCTTCACTCCTCCATTCTCCTCCCATTTCCACATCCAACAGAAACCACAGGGTCATCATTTCAACTCCTTTGCCAGCAATCCATCTTTTCCCCTTGTTTCTCAGTTCCCCTAACCTGAAAAAAATCCCTAAAGGTGGATTGATTTAAATGTTGCTTTTCCCTCTTCTTATACAGGGCTAAAAAGTCGCAGAGCTATCTGAATTGGTATCACTGTAAATCCATAGTCCTAAATGGATCTTTAATGTTGCATTTGCTGTATTGTTAATTTTTTGCCTAACCCCAGGCACCTCTTCCCTCTCCCCTTTCTTTGCCAACTTCCCACTTCACTGTCTCATCATCTGGCTGGATGCAGACCTTGCTTCCTACTTCCTGGGAAAAACAGAAATAACTTGATGAGGCTTCCTTCATTGTTCTTTCCCTGTGTTAGAAATTTACCTGCAAATATTAGTATCAGTCTAGGCTTCTTTCTGCTTTTTTTTTTTTTTTTGAGATGGAGTCTCACTCTGTCACCCTGGCTGGAATTCAGTGGTGCGCTCTTGGCTCACTGCAACCTCCGCCTCCCAGGTTCAAGTGATTCTCCTGCCTCAGCCTCCAGAGTAGCTGGGATTACAGGTGCCCGACACTACACCCAGCTAATTTTTTGTATTTTTAGTATAGATGGGGTTTCACCATGTTGGCCAGGCTTGTCTCGAACTCCTGACCTCGTGATCCACCCGCCTTGGCCTCCCAAAGTTCTGGGATTACGGGCGTAAGCCACCATACCCGACCTTCTCTCTGCTTTTATTGACAATCCATTCATCGTGTGCTGGATTTTCAGCAAAATTATACCTATTTTTCAGAGGCTGGGCTGGATATAATTTCTTCATCAGCCCCTGTCATTAGTTCTCCATAGCACAAAACTCTTATTGTTTATTGTTTTTTTTTTTTTTTTTTGCTAGATTGTAAGCTCCATATACCAGGTGGCCATTGGGCAAATGTTGCATCACAGAGACTGTAGCCCAGTAAAAGTTTTGTATTAACGGTATTTTGTTTCAGGAGACATACTTCCATGAAGAGGAGAATTCAGAAGCGACTACTTAAAAGTTTCTTGATATCCACGTAGATGTCTATGCTCGTTAGGTACATGCAATCAATTCTTTTTCAGAAAAGCTTGTGCGTGGGTAGACTAAATTTTTATTAACCAAATCAATTTTTAAATGTACTGAGAGAATTCTAGGAATGTAATAACACTTAATTATATGGCAAATTGATTTTTTTTATGTGAAAAATGCTTTGGTAAAAATAATAAAATTGTGACTTTTTTCTGTCTTTTCAGTTTACTTTTTCATAGGTTGGATTTATTGAAGCGTTGTACAACTGTGTATGTATACCTCACTCACACAATGAATGGGTTTCTACGTTGTCAATCAATTTTTTTGTAAATATGTAACCATTGAATTCTGAGATATATTTTAGGTAAGTTTTTACATTAAAAAAACAAAGATCTTGGAAAATTATTAAAATGCTTTAATATAAATGCAAAATGCTTATTGAAAGAAATAAAAATTAAAATATTTTAAGAATCAGGTATTAACAAAATTACCTTATCAATAGGAAGTACTATTCCAAAACTGTAATATGATATGTAGAGTGCTAGGGAGATGCTTATTTAATCATGAAACCTACCTTTAATTGGTGTCTTTAATGTAGGTTGTAACACCCGTTTCTAGAGGAGTAATTTATCATTACCATCTCTCTATATGTCCTTCCAGCCCTCTTCTACGTATTGCTGAGCTGACCAGCTTATTTATGATCTTCTGAATCTGTGCCTGCTTGTACTTAGTAGGAAACAAACTAATGTACGCTGAGAAAGGGAGAGATAATAAGAGGTGGATAGGAAAACAGCAAGATTCTAGAGTAAGACCCAGGGGAAAAGGGTTACCCTGGCAACGTGACATACTGTGAGGAAGATGACTCAGGCCCGCGGTGACAGGAAATGAATCAGGCCACACTGTGACCAGAGGAACCACTTAAGAAGCAGACAATGATTCAGCTTTGGTGAAAGTCAAGTAATGAACAGGCTACACTTCACTTTTGCATCTCTAAGAGGCACTGTCCGCGGTTCACCTGCTCCTTGCCCAGCGATCTGCACGGTGGAGAGCTGCTTACCTCCGCCAGGTAGAACTCGTCGTACTGCCTCCTGAAGTTTTCTCCTTTGTAGTAGTTGCTAGCCGCCACGATCACGTCCACGGTCACCATGCTCAGGATGAACATGTGGAAAACGGATGACCGCATCATTTTCTGAGGGGGCGAAACAGACAGACTCTTAACAAAGAAATAAACCTCATGATTAAGTGTAATTGACTTAGTCCTTGGCTGACAGCACCTTTGTGATGTGCTGCTATGCAAAACAGGGCTTCCAAGATAAAGCCATCCATGTCCCACACTGCTGAACTGGGCAGGCAAGGGAACCTTTCTTTCAGGCAGCTAAACAGTGACTAGGAAGATGGTTTCAGAGACTTTTGACTAAAAATGGAAAACATATATCATTTGTGTATGGCTTGCATCTTAATTTTTAATTGGTTGGTTGGGTAGTATTTATCCTTAATTCTGACTGTATGGATAAATGGCTTTTAAAAAGCTAGTAACACAAAACAAGTATTTCTTTATTCTGTGTTTAGGGAGAATACTGCAGATGAAAATATTTTAGAGATGATTATTATACAACTGGAAAAGTAAGAGAAACCTGAGATTTATTTTTTACTTATTACTTCCATAAATATTTGTTGAAAATTTTACTACAACTTCTAGTAAGTGACATGTACATCATACTTGCTCTCTACCTGGAGTTTTTCTAGGTGCTTTACATAAATTAACTCATAACAGCCCTAGGAACCTATTCTAATAAGGAAACTGAGGCTCAAAGAGGTTAAGTAACTTTCCCACTGTCAAACAGGGATTGAAGATGGACTCAATACTGGAACCCAAGTCTGGTCCAAGTCTACTGCCTACATTAAGATAAAGATAATTAAACATTAAAAAATAATGAGTATTATTTATTATTATTATTATTATTTTGAGAAAGAGTCTCGCTCTCTCGCCCAGGCTAGAGTGCAGTGGCGTGATCTTGGCTCACTGCAAGCTCTGCTTCCTGGATTCACGTCATTCTCCGGCTTCAGCCTCCCGAGTAGCTGGGACTACAGGCGCCCGCCACCACGTCTGGCTAATTTTTTTGTATTTTTAGTAGAGACAGGGTTTCACCACGTTAGCCAGGATGGTCTCGATCTTCTGACCTCATGATCCGCCCGCCTCGGCCTCCCAAAGTGTTGGGATTACAGGCATGAGCCACCATGCCTGGCCATAATGAGTATTATTATAAAGGTTATCATGTATTAAACGGTTACTATGTTCCAGGCCATATTATTCACATTAAAAATATTTGTGGGTACATAGTAAGTGTATATATATATATATATATACACACACACATAAATATATATATATACACATATATATTTATGGAGTACACAAGATGTTTTGATACAGGCATGCAATGGGGAATAAGCATATCATGGAGAATGGGGTATCCTTTGAGTTACAAATGATTATGTTACACTCTTTAAGTTATTTTAAAATGTACAGTTATTATTATTGACTGCAGTCACTGTATTATGCTAGCAAATAGTAGGTCTTATCTATTCTTTCTATTTTTTTTGTTCCCATTAACCATCCCTGCCTCCCCCCGTCCCCCCAGTACCCATCTCAGCCTCTGGCAACCAATCTCTACTCTCTATGTCCATGAGTTTGATTATCTTGATTTTGTGATCCCACAAATAAGTGAGAACATGTGATGTTTGTCTTTCTGTGCCTGGCTTATTTCGCTTAACATAATGATCTCCAGTTCCATCCATGTTGTTACAAATGACTGGATCTTGTTCTTTACTATGGTTGAATAGTGCTCCATTACGCATATGTACTGTATTTTCTTTATCTATTCGTCTGTTGATGGACACTTAGGTTGCTTCCAAATCTTATTGCAAACAGTGCTGCAGCAAACATGGGAGTGAAGATTTCTCTTAGATATACTTATTTCCTTTCTTTTGGGTATATGCCCAGCAGTGGGATTGCTAAATTACAGCAGCTCAATTTTTAGTTTTTTGAGGAATGTTCAAACTGTTCTCCATAGTGATTGTACTAATTTACCTTCCCACCAACAGTGTAGAAGGGTTCCCTTTTCTTCGCATCCTCACCAGCATTTATTATTGCCTGACTTTTGAATATAAACCATTTTAACTGGGGTGATATGATGTCTCATTGTAGTTTTCATTTGCATTTCTCTGATGATCAATGATGTTGAACACCTTTTCATATGCCTGTTTGTGTCATTTGTATGTCTTCTTTTGAGAAATGTCTATTCAAATCTTTTGCCCATTTTTTGATCAGATTATTAGATTTTTCCTATAGAGTTGTTTCAGGTCCTTATATATTCTGGTTATTAATCCTTTGTCAGAGGGGTAGTTTGCAAATATTTTCTCTAATTCTGTGTGTTGTCTCTTCACTTTGTTAATTGTATCTTTTGCTGTGCAGAAGCTTTGTAACTTGATGTAATCCCATTTGTCCATTTTTGCTTTGGTTGCCGGTGCTTATGGGGGTATTGCTCATAAAATCTTTGCCCAGTCCAATGTCCTGGAGATTTTCCCCAGTGTTTTCTTGTAGTAATTTCATAGTTTGAGGTCATAGCTTTAAGTCTTTAATCCATTTTGATGTGATTTTTGTACCTTACAGAGATAGGGGTTAGTTTCATTCTTCTGCATATGGATGTCCAGGACCATTTATTGAAGGAACTCTCTTTTCCCCAGTGTATGTTCTTGGCACCTTTGTTAAAAATGAGTTCACTGTAGGTGTGTGGATTTCCTTCTGGGTTCTCTATTCTGTTTCGTTGGTCTATGTGTCTGTTTTTATGGCAGTACCACGGCGTTTTGATTACTGTAGCTTTGAATTATAAATTGAAGTCAGGTAATGTGATTCCCCCAGCTTTGTTCAATTTGTTTAGGATAGATTTGGCTCTTCTGTGGTTTCATATAATTTTAGAATTTTTTTCTATTTCTGTGAAGAATATCATTGGTATTTTGATAAGGATTCAATTGCATCTGTAGACTGCTTTGGGTAGTATGAACATTTTAACAATATTGATTCTTCCAATCCATGAATATGGAATATTTTTCCATTTTTGGTGTCCTCTTCGATTTCTTTCATCACTGTTTGATAGTGTTCATTATGGAGATCCTTCAATTTTTTGGTTAATTGCAAGGAATTTTATTTTATTTGTAGCTACCGTAAATGGGATTACTTTCTTGATTTCTTTTTCACACTGTTTGCTGTTGGCTTATAGAAATGCTACTAATTTTTGTATGTTGATTTTGTATCCTGCAACATTACTAGGTTTGTTCATCAGTTCTTATAGTTTCCTTGTGGAGTCTTTAGGTTTTTCCAAATATAAGATCATATCATCTGCAAACAAGGATAATTTGACTTCTTCCGTTCCAATTTGGATGCCCTTTAATCTTTCTCTTGTCCTATTTTTCTAGCTGGGACTTCCAGTACTATGTTGAATAACAGAGGTGATAGTGGGCATCCTTGTCATGTTGCAGGTATTAGAGGAAAGGCTTTTCAGATTTTCCCCATTCAGTATGATACTAGCTGTGGGTCTGTCATATATAGCTTTTATTATGTTGATGTATGTTCCTTCTATCCCCAGTTTTGCTGAGGGGTTTTACCATGAAGAGATGTTGAATTTTGCCAAATGCTTTTTTAGCATGAATTGAAATGATCATATAGCTTTTATCCTTCATTCTGTTGATAGGATGTATCACATTCATTTATTTGCATATGTTGAATCATCCTTGTATCCCAGGGATAAATCCGACTTGGTCATAATCCACATTATTCAAATGTTATTTGTTTTATCTACTTTAATATCCACCATAGCTCTATATGGTGAGATATATTACTCACATTTCACACAGTTCAGAGAGACTAAGTCATTTTACCCTAGTCTATTTAAAGTCCATTCTGGGGCCCGCTGCCCACTGTGGGGTAGAGAATACTTAAATGGAGAGAGTGGAGGCTGAAGGCCCTGGGCAGCAGAAAGAGGAGAGAGAAGCAGACCTATGGAAAGGAACTGAGCACAAACAACACACCACTGAGCCACATCTGCCCAGGGACTAGCGCCACCACACATCCTCTTTCTGAGGTTTCATTTCTTCTGGGTATTTATTAACACATGCCCTTACTGTCTGGTCTGACCTGAGAATCCTTTAGTCCTTGCAGCTCAAAGAGCTATTTTCCTTAGCTGTGGATTTATGTCTTAAGCAAACTGTTATTACTAAAATGGGGTAAGAGAACAAGAACTGCCTCTTCTGAGCACTGCCAATGTCTCCATGACTCTATGTATGTGTTTCATGGGGTCTTCCTTATCCTACATCAGGTGCTCTGGGCCAAACTGCCTGGAGCCGTAACTCCACCACTTACTGGCACTGTGGCCCCAGGGGAGTTACTTAAACCTCTGTTTTCTCATTGATAAAGTGGAGAAAATAGTACCTACTCCAAAGACTTGTTATTAATTTTAAATGAGTCAATATATGTAAAGGGCTTAGAACAGTGATTACACTTACAAATATTCTACAAAGGTTTACAGAAAAAAGGAATGCAATTTTGTGAATCAAGCATTTTTCTGTTCGGGAATGAGAAATTAATTACCCGAGGTTGAAGAATTAATTATGTTGCATATCAGACTCAGCCCATAGTCTAGTGAGGTAAGTAACATTGATAAGGATCTAATAATTTGAGACATGCCAGTGACATCGGGAAAGTAGACTTTTATTAAGGCTTCCTGTCACCGTGGCTATTGATGCATATCCGTTTCCCTTTGACTTTATTTTACAGGTAATACAAAAATCAAATTCCAGAGCTGCCAATCAACATGTTTATATGCACATCAATTTACTTGCAGAAATGACTGACCTTCATAACACAGATAGGCAAATCATCTGGCACATTTCTATGCTCATTAAAATTTTTATTGTTATTTAGTCTTTCTTGCATTGTGAGAGTTAAATTCCATTACTATTATTCCTTTTCTATACTCCTTTCAGCATAATGTTCTATTAGAAATATTTCTGCTGATTTCCATTTCATCTGCATGGCAGAAAAGCCACAACTTTCTTTTTCTATTTTCCTTAGCTGTGGATTTATGTCTTAAGTAAACTGTTATTACTGAAAGATCCAAACAAAGCTTTTAGCCATGGCTGTCAGGAAACTTTTAAATTGGTTTTGTAACTGTCACAGCTTCACTTTGGTGCTGTCATTATAATTAGGTTGTTTTTTGTCTGAATGTCTACATGTCCCTGTTGGTTCAGAGTTATTAAAATAATCACTTACAATGGATTTTGATACACTATAATCACCATTGCTTAGCTGACTTTCTCCAAAGCAGTAACTTTCAAATATTAAATAAGAATTAAGGTGATAAATATGTGCAGTACCTACATTTAAATATTAAAATCAGTAACTCCAGCTTTAAAGTTAGAGCTAGTGGCATGGCCCACTTCAACTCAATTCACTTCAGCCAGTGCTTGAAACTGGCTATCAGTTTCTTTAATGTAAAAAGGCTGATGACATTACATTTAGATTCATCCTTGTATCTACAGGAAAGTCCAAATTTATACTTTTCAATTTTTTATTTTCTAATAAAAATTAATATAAAGGAAAATGTTAAAGCTGAGTCAGTACCACAAAATATTATATGACTTGAGGTCTTCACAATTGCATTATTTAATATGGATGCATGATCTATCCCTCTACCTATCTATGTAGACAGATGAACACATACATCTCTAGTATATGTGTATGTGAGTACATACATATGTGGATTCACATATGTGTGTGCATATTCTTTTTTATTTATATATTTTAATATAAGGTCCTTCAGACTCCACATACACATTTGATTTTTTAAAGTTTCCTTTAATTGCAATGTCATTTTGGTTTACATTTTTTAAAAGCAGAGGAGTTTTGGATATGTTTTTAGTTTGGCTTTGATCCAAAAATTACTTATCTGTGTATATGACAGCTGGAATTTTCAAAATACAAAGAGTCTATACTAGATTAATCCCCAAGGCAGCATTATCTGTCAGGAATGAGCATTGTTACTCAAAGTGTGGTCCCTGGACCAGCAGCAACCTGGAAGCAATTATTAAGAATGCAGGATCTCAGGCCCCATCCCAGGCCTACTGAATCAGAATCTGTATCTTTAACACGGTTCCCAGGTGATTCGTGAGCATGTTGAATTTTGAGAAGCACTGTTGTAGGGGATACTCCTTAATAGCAGGCTGCACTGGGTGACCTATAAGATTATTTGCAACTTCACAGTTTCATGATTCTAAAAGTCTATAATGACTAGAATAGAATACCACAGATGCTGGCTGGAATGTAATATGTTGGACTACACTAACATAAAAATGGCTGCCAACCTTGTCCCCATACCCCAACTCCATGGTCAAAAATCAACTAAATCTGTTTGGCTTCATAAAAACAAAAGCATGTGTTAGTTTTGCAACCATTTGGAGGCATTATAAAGACATCATTACAGACTCTCATAAAGTTAAGAAATGCAAATGCAGGTGGCCTCCAGGATGTGAAAAAAGCAAGGAAGCCATTTCTTCTCCAGAGTCTCCCAAAGCAATGCAGCCTTGTTGATACCTTGTGTTTAGCCTAAGGAAGTCCATTTTGGACTTCTAACTGCAGAGTTCTAAGAGAATACATGTGTGTGGTTTTAAGTCACTGAATTTGTGGTTATTTGTTACAGCAGCAACAGGAAACTAACACAGCATTGTCAACGATTTTGACAGACACCAGCTCAAACTGTCTTGTATACCAGCTCAAATCACCTTCTATGAAACATGATTGTATAAAAGTGCCCAGGGCTACAAAATGGTACCTGACCATAGGGTTCCACACAAGGTGACTTGCCAACGTGGGGTCTCTGTAACTTTGACAACTACAGATATAAAACTCATAACAGCAACCAACGCTTTCATCTTGCTTTGTGTCCAAAAGTGTAATGAGACAATGAGTCTGGAACAATGGGACTGAGTCCAACCTCAAGCAGAACAACAAGAAAGGTCACTTTTTCCCGCATTGATTCTGAGTCCTGCCATGAAAGCAAACCTCCCAGGAGACTGTGGAAGTCTAAGCCAAACACGGGGAGGGCTTCTCACGCAATTAAAATGGACACCAACAGGATGGATTATTGAAATAAGAGCTACTGTTTTCTGGAGTGCTTGGTTTGTGCCAAGATTCATTCCAAAGATGTTGCTTGCTCATGTAATAACATCTTTAATCCTCAACAACTCTGTGAGGTAGATACTTTTGCATCCCCTTTTACATATGGAGAAACAGGCTCAGAAAGTCTAAGTAGATTTCTAGGCCCACAGAGATAGAAACATCTTAGACATTGTGAGCCCAAACCAGGTAGTCTCTTGCCTTGTATCAGACAGTCAAAATTCATCAGTCAACATTGCTCTATATATTAAAAAAGAGTGACAGCAGCTTCCTCACCAAGTATTTGTGGTTGGATAGAAGGTATAAGTACATGAACCCTAAATCTGAAAGCTGAAGACAATCTGTTTTTCACAGAAAGATTTAAGATTGCCATGGTTTAATGGAATATCAATTTTGAAGACAGGATGAACTGAGTTTAAATCTTGTCTCTGTGCTGGATTTCACCTTTCTGTGACTCAGTTTTCTCACAGAGGAAATGAGTATGATGACATCTACATCTTTTGGCTGTAAAACGAAAATAAATGAGACTTCAGTGTAGAGTCTAGCCTGCAGTGGACACCGTGTGCTCTGTAACTCTCATTATTTCAGTCTTGGAAAGCACTCTAAGGATTTGAAAGTAGAGATGCAGTCAGTTGCTTACAGGGAAGGCCTGAAGGTGTAACATAAGAAATCAGGTGGAAGAGATTAGTAATCTTGAAATGGACCGTGAACATTTATAAACTTTCAAAATGATCTAAAGCTATCTTATCTTTTTTTGTGGTATAAATGCTTAAGTACTTCATAAAAGCTCTTTCTATTAAATTTCTCCAATAATTTTTCCTATGAAACAGTAACTTAAAGATTCTGAAGACTGTAGGCAAAGAGACAAAATAGTGGTCTCAGAGGTTGCAATAAATATAAATTAGGATAATGAATAGTACAGCTCAGAAATGAAATCTGTCTTTAAATTGCTGCTTGAGTGAGTAAAACAACTCAACTTAGTAAAACAAAGTCTCCTCCACTGAATACTGCATCAGCCATGTACTAAAACTTGTGTTTTAATTGGATTTTGAAATAAACTTATTTGGAGAACAATGCAATTACATGATGAAATTCTCAGAAACCATCTTGCATATGAGCCATGAACATAAGAACAAGGACACAATGTAAAAGACCAAATGCATAAAACCTAAAATAAATCTCCCATTTGCAAGTGGGACATCTTTTGCTTCCCTTATTTAGAAGACATCTGGATATTCATTACTTCTACTATCAATGTACACAATTATTCTGTCCAATACAAAGAATTTATATGAAAAAGGTAACACTTATATCAACACTGAAAACATAACCAGTGGATATCCTTAGAGACTGCCTTTCCCATCTGTCTGTTCCTGATGCGTCCTTAGAGAGTCAGGACAGAAGGGAATCCACATGTCCATCTCCACAAAGGTACCAAGAGCCTATGATTTCAGTGGACACCCTGCCAGCTGCCACGCCCTATCAGTGGCTGGCTCTCTTTATTGGAATGGAGAGCCGAGTAAGGGAATCCTGGACAGACCCTTTATCTCTAGGCCATGTGAGTATAGCTTTCACTCTACTCTGTAAGAGTAAGGTTAGATGTGAAATCACAAATCAACAAACACATGTGGATGTTATTTTTTTCAATCACCAGCTCCTCTTGACTTTACAACACAAACTAGATTTTAACAAGAAGGAAAAAGCACCAGTAATGGCTGGTGTGAAAGAAATCACCTCTAAGCAGGATTGATTATGATGCCAAGCCAGTGATTTTCAAATTCCTCTTAGCCTGTGTGAAAAAACCCAGTGGCCTCCAATTGAATTCACCTCCCTGTATCCACACATCCTTGGCAGTATCCTCCACACCAACTCCAGACTCAGCCATGTGACTTATTTTGGTCAGTGAGATGGTAGCAAAGGTGAAGTAAGCAGAGACTTGGAAAATACTTGTGTATTAGAAATTACTCTTGCTGCTCTTGGAACCCCGAGCGACCACATCAACCCTGCAGCCTAGCCTGTTGCATGGTGGCCAGGTGGCCATGGGCCCTGCCATTCTCTTCATTCCAATTAATGGCGAGCCACACCCAAAATCAGAGATGCCAGCTGACGAGTGGCTGACCGCAGAGGCAGGGGTGAGCTCAGCTGTAGTCAGCTGAGATTGGCTCAGACTAGCAGGGCTGTTCAACTGATCCGCAAATTCATGAGCAAGAGTTAGTGTCTGTCCAGGCCATTAAGTTTTAGGATGCCTTGTGGTTTAGCAAAAGCTATTATACCTACCAAGCTGGTTTCCTCTTCCTGGCATATAGCTCATCTACATCACTCAGCTTACTATTACTGAAGTGGAGCAATGTGATTGGTTCTCACAACCAGAACAGAAATGGAAGTGATGCATCACTTTGGATGTGTCACTTTGAGAAAGGGTGTGCCTTCTCGAAAGTCTCCCTCTCTCTTTCCCTCTACAGTGATGTTGGAAACTAGGTACTTTGGATGGAGGCATCAAAAATTCCACTTTCTGCAAACAAAATTTTGCAACGTGTTTACATAGACATGTATGACATGTATGTATGTATATGCCATCTCTGACTGCAGTGGGAGTGCAGCTTGCCCCAGCTGTGGTGTGCTGGAGCTGCAATCACATCTCTCTCCACCTTCATGTTTACTGATGTCATGTTGGTGACTTGAAATTGGCCATGGTGGGAGCATTTACATTATGGAAAGCAGAAAATGCTAACAGTCAGGACTCCTGGACTTCAACTTGATTGTTCACCACCCAGCTCCCCCAGCTCTTATGGCATCTCTGAGTCTGCTGTAGGGTATTTGAAAACTCATACATTGATCATAAATAATAACCCTTGTGGGAAGGGGAGACTATTTTCTGGGCTTTTCTAAGGTGTTTAGCTTTGTTACTCTAGTCTGGGTCATATATATTACATATAGTCCTTTTCTGCTGTTTAGAGACTCCTTATCAATCATAATGCCATGGCAGTCACATAGCTATGATGCCTTACTAAGCACTAGGAGCACACAAAAGCCATTTCTGGGCATTGGGATACTGCCACTAAGACTACAGAGATACAAATATATCAGTTAAAGTAAGAAATATTTAAAACAGAACTTTTCCTATATCCTGCCCAATAAAATCATCTGTCTTGAATTGATTTAAAACATGGGAAATTTTCTTTATGAAAGCTTCAATTTAGGACAACATGTATTTCCTAGAGTACAATGCCATAATGGATATTCACAATTTAAACTATCTTATAGAACACTACTTAAAATCTCCTGGTTTCCTCACACTTTGTGGCCTACATTTATGGATTAGTAGGAGAAAGGAAAAGTAAATGATGACATGTACAAAAACCTTTCAATTAACTAACCTATAATTTATGGATTAAGAACTCAATACCCCTGCATGACTTCATTATTGACTTGGAAGAAAAATTAAGAATAAACATGCTAAAATCTTGGCTTTTCAACAATGAAGTGTTCACTTTGCTTACTTGGCTGGACATGGGTAAGAAAAATAAAAAATATTAGTTATTCCGCAACACTTTTCTTTCATGTTCCTTGGTGTCCAGAAAGAGTAGAAAAAGCTCATATATATATATATATATATATATATATATTTTAGCCTGGTGTTCCTAAGCTTCAGTACTCAGTTCCTGCAAGGCTGGATTCATAGTAGATTCAACAATAATTTTTGATATAACTTAATTTCCTCCATGTACTCAATTGGCCATGGAGCATCTTCTGCCTCCTTCTGAGGAAAGTAGCCTCGGGGGTGAAACATTTCTCTATCTCCTGTATTAAATGAAAGTAATGTTGGTACTGTTGACATAGTTAACTGGACCATGAGCCAGGCTTCAGAAAGGCAGTTTCCCCTGAGGTGTCTTAGCAAGGACTCCTAAAAGAGGGATGCTGTAACCTAGATGGTGGTCCCAAGACCCTTTCATCCCCTTCCCTATCTTTGGCATGTATTAATACAAAGTGAGTAAAACAAATTAGGACACTAGAGTTCAAGCAATACAATCTTGTTGCTTCAAGTAATATGATCTCCTATTCCAGGAAGCCACACCATTCTGCTTTGGGCACAAGAAGACCCAGGGTGATGGTCAACAAAGGAGGCCTCACTATACATGTTCCAGCAGTAAGTCTCAGCCTGTGGCAGTCACCAGGGCTGTCCCTTCTTCATGACCCTCTGATTCTGACATACACTCAAGTGTCAGTGAAATACTAGAGTAAAAATTAAGAATGAAAATGCTAAAATCTTGGCTTTTCAACGGTGAAGTGTTGACCTTGCTTACTTGGCTGGACATAGGTAATAATAAAAATAAGAATATTAGTCCTTCCACAATAATTTTCTCTCATGTTCCCTGGTGTCTAGAAAGAGTAGAAAAATCCAACCATTATTTTTTTTAGCCTGATGTTCCTAGACTTCAGTACTGAGTTCCTAAAAGGATGGACGCATTAGATTAAACAATTTGAATATACATGATGTTTTATATTTTTCTCACTAGTACTCCGCCAACCACATAGTTACTGAATAATCTCAACAGACTTTGACAAAAGGTGCTTTCTTAGTTACCTGTATTGTTGTGAGTTTTTCTTTATCTTTGTCTTCATGGGTAAGTTAGTGAGAAGTCAGGAAGGACTACAATAGGGCTGCTAGACAGGTGACACGACGCCATGATGGTTTTGAGATGTCATTGACATTCCCACAGCTAATTAAATTCCTACATCTAGAATCACTTCAAATTGACTTTTATGTTCATCTTTTATTTTTAGTATTAAACGGTGGGCAGTTGAACACAAAACTTTTGTTTTAAACTCAAGAGACAAATTATGAATTCAAAATTGAAGCTAGCTGTCCTTTCTAATACACTGCATTTCTAATGCAATGCAGGACCTCACTTGTGATATTTAATAAATGCATACATAAATAAAATAATTTTGAGCTATGTAGAATCTTTAAGGAAAGACTCATTTTGAAATATTTAGAGTATTTAGGAAAAACATTAAAACAAATGCGAAGGACTGAACTGCCTGATACACAAAGTGACTTACATTTTAGATTATGTCTAAACCTGTCAGCAGCTTTAGAGTGCATAAGGCATCATATTGCTGCTCCAAACCCTTCTACTGCAGATTGTGTTGAACACTGAGAAAATACACAGCACTTTCAAACCCTGGGTTTAAGTCTTAAAGAAGGCTGTGTATTTAACCTGGAGATCAAGACTTGCAAAACCAAACCAAACGAACAAACAGAAAAACTCATCCTTCATTTTTGCCAAAGGTGACAATGCAACAAATCTTTGGTGATGGAAATTTGTCTCCAATGGACATTTTAAAAATGCTTGGCATAAGTTAGCACATGTCTCCTAATTAATATAATTGTAAACATTCAAGAGTTATAGGACTGATTCAAACTGGAGGATGAAAATATAATAGGAGACAGGAATTTAGTTTGAGATAATGTGGCATGCAAATAATTTTAAAATGTTCTGCATATTTCTTCCAGTGAGGTTTAAAAATCAAAGAAGCAAAACTGTTTAATTGCCAGTAAGACAGATAAACAAATAAATAAAAATAACACTGATATTTTAATCTTATTTTTTATTATCCTATGCCTGGTCATCTGGTGTCTATTCTAAATATAATTATTATTTGAAATATAATCAGGATATATTAGATACATATTGAATATATATTTAAATAAATATATATGGGATATTTAGAACTGAGGATTTATACAATTGGCCTCTCTGTTTAGTTTATTTGGCCACTGACTTCAAAATTACAATAGGCCTTTTTCAAGTAGCATTTTAGCTACCCCTTTCTACATGTAGCTATTTTATTTTTCCTGGTTTTAATATTTATTCCAGGTAATTACTGCATAACCATTTTTATATTCACTTTTTCCTACAAACTTTTCCTCCAAGCAGTTGTTTTATATTCCCCTGAGAAATTGAAAATGAATGTGTGTGCGCCTGTGTGTGAGTGTATGTGTGTGTGTGAGGTATGTGCGTGTGTATGTGTGAGCATGCATGATTATGTACAAGTGTGTTTGTGCATGTGTGTGTGCATGTGTGCATAAGCATGTAAATGTCTGTGTGTCACTGTGTCACTGAGTATGCGTGAGGTGTGTGTGTGTATAAGCGTGTGTATGCATGTCTGTGTGCATGCATGTGTGTGTGTGTCAGTGTGTCACCGTTTGTGAGTGTGCATTGTGAGGTGTGTGTGAGCATGCACGTGTGTGTAGCCATATGCATGTGTGCATATGTGTGTGCGTGTGATTGTGTGTCACTGTGTGTATGTACGTGTGAAGTGTGTGTGCATGAGCATGTGCGTGTAGATATGTGTGTGTGCCTGTGTGCATGTGTGTGTCTGCGATTGTGTGTCACTGTGTGTGTATGTACATGTGAGTTGTGTGAGCGTGCATGAGCATGTATAAGTGTGTAGGCATGTGTATGTGCACGAGTGTGCATGTGTGTGTCTGTGTCACTGTGTGTGTTTGAGGTGTGTGTGCGTGTGAGCATGTGTGAGCCTGTATGAGTGTGTGTGTGTACACATGCATGCTGTGTTTTTGACTGTGTGTCTCTGCATGCATGTGTGAGCCTGTATGAGTGTGTATGTGTGTGTACACATGCATGCTGTGTTTTTGACTGTGTGTCTCTGTTTGCGTGCATGCGTGAGCATTTGGGGGAAGTATCGTTTGACACCTGCCTAAGGGGAGAGTAAGAATTTGGGTCTGCTGTGTGTGAGGCTATGTTTTCTGCACGTGAACGCAGCTGGATATGTACAATCACGTATAATTCAGAAAATTTTTGGCAAATGCCTATCGTGAATGAAGCAATAGAGAAGAAAGAGAAACAAAAAAGAAAATGACCAAATATAATCAAGGAATCAGAGATCACTCTGTTGAGGAAGCACTGACCTGATTTTGAGGGCAGGAATATGAAGATGGAGTGGAGAGAATGAGTCAAAAAATATCAAAATACTGAAGTAATGACAGAATTGAAGAAGGATCAGATTGAATTTGGAGAGGACAAAAGGAGAAGCATAATGGGTTGGTTTGGAGGTTTCTGGAAATGCAGGGAAAACCTAGTTTCTTTGTGGGAATGGGCTGGGGAGAGAGCTGCGTTCTGGAGGGAACCTACATTCTCATGGGCTCCATCAATTCTTGAAATGATCTGCCAGTTTGTGGGAAGGTTCACGAAGAAGACAGTTTCAGGAGTGCCTAGGATGTCACTTTGTCACTTGAAATGCTCACATCACACAGGCCACCTCCCCTCAATCTTAGCCTTCAATGGAAATGTTTTCAAAGAGCATTAAAACACTGAAGGAATAATTTCGCCACCGTTTGACCTACTTTCAGCAAGCACCTGTTACCTCCCTCTGTTCCTCACAGGAGGCACGCGGTGGAATATGCTACCAGAGGGAAACTGACATCCATTGTACCACGTCTCATGCATATGTACTTTCATTCTCTTGTCAGAGACTTTCCTCATGGTAATAGAGCACGGGGGTGTGTTGGAAGATGGTTCAAAAGTGTGCAGCCACATCTGTCAAAGTGTCAAGAGATGAAAACTCCTACCTGAGCAGCAGCGGGAAAACGGCTTGTCACAGCAGCCGCTGAGGAATGAGGGTCCAATTGAATAGACTTCTATTTATCAAGCACTGGAGTGACCCTTCCCACAGCTATGGCTTATGCTAAAATAGTATTTAAACAGCTATATACCTGCTTGGTTTGGTGCTAAAAGAGTCAATTATAACTTTTCACCTTTCTAAGACTCACACTTAAGCACACAACGAAGCAACTTTCTAATCGGTTTCTTTAATACCACATAAAAGAATTGCCTTATTGACTAAACATGGGAGAGATGAAAAAGGCACATGTGTCAAGCATTTAATATTTTAGATTTGTCTTTATATCTAATATCTTAAATTTTTATTTAGAAAGAAACAATATACCCTTTAGAAACACTCAGAATTCCTGAACATCACTTAGAAAAATCAACAGATAAATGGGCAAATGAGATAAACAAGCAATCTACAGTCAGGAGATCGAGACCATCCTGGCTAACACAGTGAAACCCCGTCTCTTCTAAAAATACAAAAAATTAGCCGGGCGTGGTGGCAGGCACCTGTAGACCCAGCAACTCGGGAGGCTGGGGCAGGAGAATGGCGTGAACCCAGGAGGCGGAGCTTTCAGTGAGCCAAGATCACGCCACCGCACTCCAGCCTGGGCGACAGAGCAAGACTCCATCTCAAAAAAAAAAAAAAAAAAAAAAAGAAAATGTGTGGCCCTTGAACCTAAAAATGTTCAACATCCATTAATCAGGGAGATCAGGGAGATGCAAATTTACATTACAGGACACCATTTCGTGTCATCTGGTGTAAAAGCCTGATAACATCAAGTGCAGATGAAGATGTAGACAACGAGCACCCTTACACGTTTCTAGAAGGCATACAAAATAGCCCTATCATCCGGAGAGCCATCTGCCATATCTCAGAGAGTCAAAGGTGCTCATATCCTTTAACCCAGAAATTGCTGTCCTAGCTATATATGTTAGAACACCTCTCTCACGTGTGCATACAAAGGCACGGATAAGAAAGGTCTTAGAAGGTCTGCAATAGCAAAACAATCAAGCTCAATGTCCATCGATAGTGGAATGAATAAATGAATGAAGAAACTGGGTTATTTTCACAGTAGGGTAATACACAGGGGTGAAAATGAAGTAGTTAAAAGTATAACGTGGACTGCCTGAGATGAAATCCCCATTCAGTAACTATGTGACCTTCATCAAATTCCTTATGCTGTCTGTGCCTCAACCTCCTCTTTTGTAAAACAGATCGTATTAGTACCTACCTTTATGGTGCTGTGAGCATTAAATAATTTAATACCTAATAAAACACACAGTGAGTGGTCCATAAATATTAGCTATTATTATTTCTGACAGACACATAGGTATTTTTTATCTGTGTTTCTAAATTATTTCAGAATATGTATTTTTTAAATGCAAGGAAATCGACTTAATATTATGTTGTAAAATAGCACCAATTTACAAATTGTCCATTTGTAAGTTTATAGTAACTACGTGGTGTTTCTCTAAAGAAACTATCTTATACAGCATGATTTGAGCTTCAGGTGAGACTGTAATAGCCTATTTTTTTAGCTCTTAATAAACTTCTCAAGTCCTATAAGATTTAGAAGTTTGACAGGAAAAATGATCCCTGAGTTGTAAGTACTGCAGTCAAGTCTCACCACTTAGTATGGCCAAAGAGTTGTGTCCTCTCTCCTCCCATTCCATGAAGCTAAGGAGGGTGGTTGAGTAGTGGTTCCAGCAGAGATGGGGCAAGGCTTTCAGAGAGGATTAAAAAGGGCGGTTTCAAACGACTTTGGGTTTGCTCTGCAGGGAAATCCAATACTTGGCTTCAGCAGACCTGCTCTTTCCTTCCATTTGCACTCTCCTGACCTGCTGCTCCCGGCCACGCCTCCTGTTTCTGATGCCCCCACGCAACTTCATTTTTTCCCAGTGCACCTTCACCTTTGGGTGTTTTCTGGGGAGTCTCGTTAGGGCTTTTGATTGGGAGGTCATTACACCCAGTCACAATCAGCCATACTTGGGTAATATGCAAGGAGAGAAACAAACCAAAACAAAACAGAATAAAGCCAGTGTTCAAGGTGAGAAAACAGAGGCAGGCTCACAGACAGAAATCATGTGGCTCAAACGGAGAGTGAGAGACAGGCAGAGAAAGGCCGAATGACACTTGCAATCAATGTTCCCTTTGAGCAGATGGTCTGTTCCTTCCAAATAATTCTTTACTAAGTCATAAATACTCAATAATTCTCTCAAACCCAGGAAAACTGCATTCTCATCCCCATTTTCCATAAACGTGTCCTGTCGCGTACCACTGGTAGGTAGTGTAGCTGAAATATGTTTCCAGAGTCTTATCTCTAACAGACCACAATAGCGTGTAGTCTCAAAACAAGATGTTGTGTTGGGTGTCTATGCATCAGGTGAAGATAAGGAGATCTGTAGCTGGGGAGGAAGAAGGGAGAGGTGAGGAGGTCATGTTGGGAGATGCGCATTTAGGCAGTTGTAGCACAAAAAGGAAAAGAAACCAGGTATGGGGCTTGGCTTATCTATGTTCCTAGGCTTTTCTTTTTCACCACGAGTCATCTTGTCCCCACAGTATGGACCAAAAACAGGAAAAGGCAGGCAGATCACGAGGTCAGAAGATCGAGATCATCCTGGCCAACGTGGTGAAACCCCGTCTCTACTAAAATACAAAAAATTAGCTGGGCATGGTGGCGGGCGCCTGTAGTCTCAGCTACTCAGGAGGCTGAGGCAGGAGAATCGCTTGAACCTGGGAGGTAGAGGTTGCAGTGAGCCGAGATCGCACCAATGCACTCCAGCCTGATGACAGAGCGAGACTCCTTCTCAAAAAAAAAAAAAAAAAAAAAAAAAAAAAAGGAACAGGCACGAGGGGCCCCTAAGTGACAAGCACATCAGCAATGCACAGAGATGAGAAAGAGCCAGAAAGACATTGCAGGCATGACAGAGGATGGGAGGGGGTTTTTCAGGGGTTCTAGGACATTCGCTTACTCGTTTTAACGTGAGGATAAATTTATTAGGAATTGCACACATTTACCATGCTCAGTATCTTATTAAACTCAGCCTTATTAAGCATGGTATAAATTTCATTAATAACTGGATAAACATGAGAAATGTCCTAGACAAATTAATATAATTAAGTTGATTAACAAAAAATTTTAACAAGTGGCGTTAAAGAGCTCACCACATATAACTTACCAAGCTAACAATACCTTTCTGCTAGTCCTCCTGCTCCAAACTTGTGGTCTTGCAGTTAAATTTACAAGTATGTGCATTTTCATTTATTATAAAAACAGAAAGATCACTTCAAGGGCACCAGATTGAATCGTTTCCTTGCATGCCTGCATATGGTTCCTATTCTAATTATAATTATAGCTATGATTGTAATTGTAATTTGTGTTTCAGAACACAAAATAAATTTGTGGTTTCAAACTGCAGACAAAAGATGCCTATATTCTCCTCCACAAATGGCTCAATAGAGCCTATTTTTTCTGTAGAAGAGTAAGAAGATCTTTTATGTGCCCTAATTCATTGACTATCTCCATAAGCAATATTTGAAAAGAGGAAACAAATACCATAATAATGGAAATATTTGATATAAGGTAAAATATGTATGTGCACATGTGGGAATGTAGGAAAACAATTTAAAATTAGTTGCTAATGTGTGATCAGAATCACTGCCCATTGAAATATATAAAATCCTAATAGTTTTATGCCAGCAATGTTTCTATATATATGTATATACACATATACATATACACACATATGCACTTATATATGTATATATAAAAACGTGTGTATATATATGTTTGTGTATATATACACACACATAGAGAGAGAGGGAGAAAGAGAGAATAAATTATTACTCGTAAAAAACTCAGCATCACAGAAGCATTGGTTACTTCATGTATTTAATTTAATAATGGTGAGGAAAATTAAGCCACCTTAATCAATCTTGTTTTATTAAATTACCTAATTACTTATAGTAACTGGATGAGGATACAGAGTAGAAAATATGGTGAAAAGTATAATACATAATACCAATGGAGACAGTTTTGATTTTTTAGTACATTTCATTTATAAGAGAACTTGAGCCAGCTTCCAATTATGCTGAGTTATGATTTTAACATTTTAAAATGTTAAAAACATAAAATATATGAAAATACTATTTTGGAATCACTGAAATGTGTGGACTAATTGTTATTATATAATCTTTGTGATCTAAAGTTACATTATTTTCATTTATTCCGTGAGTCACCCAACCAAGTGCCTCCTGAGACCTAGCAAGTAACATAATGAGAAAACTAGGCTTAGGGTTACATATTTAACACATCGGAATAACTTTTTTCTTAAAATACTAGGTTCATTTCTCATTGTTTTCTGTAATCACAGGGTGCTTTTAAAATGCCTTGTATTTATTCTTTATTCATTCATCCATGCATTTGTGTATCTTTATACATTTATATATTTATGAATTTATTACTTGTTTATTTATTTCCACACGATAGAGTCACGGACAAAGAGAAATCTTTCTCTACTCTTAGAAAAATAAATGTATGAATTCTTGGGTAGGTAAAACACTCACCTCCAGTGCTGTGGAGACAATATGGAGAGTTGGGAAACTGAGGCACAATAAAGCCTCTCTGCCTCTGCTCATGTGGCAGCCACCACTCAGCTCTGGCCAACTCTAGCCAGGTGGAAATGAGAGCTCTTTATTGCCAGATCATTCTCTTTTACAAGATGGGTAGGACGTGTGGGTTTTTATGTAAAATACTCTGGTTTTTAAACTTTGGGTCAAATTTAAAAACAAAGTCCCACTTTGAACAAAATCAACAGTTCCCAGTAGTTAAATGGGAACTCAAACATCAGTTTGCTGTCTCTCAGATATTATTGATACCTCATTTTTTCTAATTTATTTCAACAGTTTCAAAATTACAAAGTACAGCCGTTCAAATGTTTCATTCCAATAAACTCTGTTTTCTCATTAACATACAATTAGTTTGGGTTCAGCTGGGCACAGTGGCTCACACCTGTAATCCCAGCACTTTGGGAGGCCGAGGTGGGCGGATCATGAGGTCAGGAGTTCAAGACCAGCCTGACCAACATGGTGAAACCCGGTTTCTACTAAAAATACAAAAATCAGCCAGGCGTGGTGGCGCATGCCTGTAGTCCCAGCTACTCTGGAGGCTGAGGCAGGAGAATCACTTGAACCTGGGAGGCGGAGGTTGCAATGAGCCAAGATTGTGCCACTGGATTCCAGCCTGGGCAGGAGAGTGAGACTCTGTCTCAAAAAAAAAAAAAAAAAAAAAAAAGAATGAGTTTGGGTTCTTTTCAATGATGCTATTCCTAACACTATATTTCTAAACATAAGACAAATTTATCTTATATGCTTACAAGATGAAAAGAGTTCTGAAAGAGGTGAAACATAACAGAAGTCAGGGTTATGTCCTGCCAAGGCTCTGCCACCACATATTAGAGGAGACATCCTGGCAAAACTATCCAGAGATATCCAAAGTCCTACAACCTCTGCGAGGCACTTTCTGGAAGCAAACTCCAAGTGTACTGCTTGCTTTAGACTCCAACGACATGCATATAGAAATAAGTGTTCTGTATGGAAAAGGGTGTTATTGCCACAGTCTATTCAATTTCTAGTTCTTACAGACAAGACCAGGAGGACAAACAGAGCAGCTTCTAAGCGAGAGGTCAAATAAGTACTTTCATAAGCCAAGAAGGTACTGCCTCCTTCTTTCACTGGACTGTTCTCGGTTAATAAACATAATTGATCATCTCTCATGTCTAAAGCACAGTTGCAGAAGTGACCATGACTGGTATGGTCTCTAAAGTAATGGAATTTCCCCTGGTTGGAGAAGCAGACATCAACAACTAATTATATCCTTAATTTATTTTATTAAAATTATGACAGACATAAAAGAAAAGTGTAGGATGATATGAAAACATGTAACAGAGGTACCTGGCTTATTTTTTGAGGATAAGAAAGTGATGTTTGAGCTGAGTTCTGAAGGATGAGTGAGAAGGAAGTGGTGTAGGAAGAGGAAACATTCTGTGAAAATGTCAGTGCTTCCTGGAGGCAGAAATGCTTTTTCATGTGAGATAAAATGCATAAATGCAGGAGTCTGAGAAGAATCGACTCAACATTAACCTCCAAGTTACTCATTGGAAGAAGAATGAGGAAGGATACATTGAAAGAAGATTTCAAGTAAACTCTTCCTTTTAATTTTATTTCCATATTAATTTTTTATGAGAACATGTTCACATTTTGCTTGTTTTAAAAATAAAAAGGGCCGGGCGCGGTGGCTCACGCCTGTAATCCCAGCACTTTGGGAGGCCGAGGCGGGCGGATCACGAGGTCAGGAGATCGAGACCATCCCGGCTAAAACGGTGAAACCCCGTCTCTACTAAAAATACAAAAAAATTAGCCGGGCGTAGTGGCGGGCGCCTGTAGTCCCAGCTACTTGGGAGGCTGAGGCAGGAGAATGGCGTGAACCCGGGAGGCGGAGCTTGCAGTGAGCCGAGATCCCGCCACTGCACTCCAGCCTGGGCGACAGAGCGAGACTCCGTCTCAAAAAATAAATAAATAAATAAAATAAATAAATAAATAAATAAATAAATAAATAAATAAATAAAAAGAAGTGGTATATGCTCCTGTTCAGCCTTGAGGGTAAGATACCATGGTAGTCCAAGCCAGGGAGTGGAAGACTGAGATGAAAGTTTTCCTGTTACCCAGTTTTAGATGGCATTAATCATTAGTGAAAGCCATCAAGTATTTCAGGACCATTTTATCTTCAATATATTTTTACTTAATTCTTTTCTTTTAATTAATTAATTATTTTCTTGCTGAGACATAGAAATGTATTCTCTCTCTAATCACAGCTCCTGCCCGGTACAAACAGATAACTTCTTGGCCATCCCACTTTTCTTCCATGCACTCTTCATTGCTGCCTCTGGAAAGCTTTATTCAGGGCCAAACACATGAAGTTGAGTGGAATGAAACTTGTGTCACACTGAATTACCTGACCCCTTTCCCCCCAGTTTCTAAGCATATGAGTCACATTCATAAGATGTCATAAGCATGCTGCTATATTCATAACACATATCTCATATAGGGGTCTCTGAGATGCCACATCTATACACTTCAAGCCCAACATCTATCCCCACACCATTCCAATCTTTATTTTACTATCTCCTTGCTCGATTTTGTCATCACACTTCACCCTGTCATTAATCCCTTGTTATTCTCAAATCTTTGTGATAAGGAGGCTGACTTGCCTCCTAATTTCAGATGGCCACCTTGAGGCATCTATTAACAAGGATTTAATAGATTTTAAAGCTCTGGATACCATACGACTCTGATTTGGCACTCAGAGTAGCCCTGATAGTTTATTTCTCTATCACGAACTTATGATTACTTGCATATTTTTTTCAGCTGGATAAAGCATGGGGCTAGGAGCCATAAGACCCAGCCATTAGTCCTGGGTTCTCCCTCTGGTTGAATGTAATTCACATCCCTATGTTCTCTGAATCAGCACTTTCTCCTATAAATGGCTGACCAGGCATGTAGGTCTTTCTACATCACAGGGTTGTAGTAAACCTCATCCTTAGTCATTCTTTTCCTCATTCTCTCTCTCTCTTTTTTTTTTTTTTTTGAGACAGAGTCTCACTCTGTTGCCCAGGCTACATTGCAGTGGCACAATCTCAGCTCACTGCAACCTCCACCTCCCGGGTTCAAGTGATTCTTGTGCCTTAGCCTCCCAAGTAGCTGGGATTACAGGCGTGCACCACAACACCTGGGTAATATTTGGATTTTTAGTAGAGATGGGGTTTCACCATGTTGGCCAGGCTGGTCTCAAACTCATGACCTCAGGTGATCTGCCTGCCTCAGCCTCCCAAAATGCTGGAATTACTCAAGGTTTTGATTTTAAGATTATGCACTAAAACCTTCCCTGACCTCTCAAAGCGGACCCCAATTTATATATTCTCATTGCATCTTGCATTACTTCTTTCAAAACCCACATCACTCTTGTGATTGCTAGCTCAATGCTGCCTTTTTCCCTCCCACTCTCAAGCATACTGTAAGCTCTATGAGTGTGGAGACTGTGCATGTTTCTTTCAAGACTATCTTAGTGTCTAGCACATAGTTGGTACTCAGTAAATATCAGTTGATGGATTAAAAAATAATGTCAATAAAAGTGCTTTTTAGGTAAGAAGCTAGTACTATAATCTTTGTCATTATTGTTATTACTATTAGTAGTGATAGTAGGAGTAAAGGTAGTTGTAGTAGTTTTATATTAGCAGCATAGTCAACATCAAATATAGGATGGAAGGAGGACCACAAAATAATACTTATCAATATTCATTGTAAGCTTTTCTACTTATTGCCCTCCATTTTTTTAAACTGACAGAAATAAATAACTAACAATAAACAAAATGAAAAGGCAGTCTATGGAACAGGGGAAAATTGGAACACCATATTTCTGAAAAGGAGATAATATTCAAAAGATGCAAAGAACTCATACAACTCAATAACAAAAAGCCCCCAAACTAAAAAACAAAAACAAACACAAAATGCAAATAATCTGATTATAAATGAGCAAATTCTGAGTAGATTTTTTTCCAAAGAAGACATATGAATGGCCAATAGGTATATGAAAAAGTGCATACGATCCCTAATTATCAGGGAAATACAAATTTAAACCACATTGAGATATCACCTCATATCTGTTACAATGGTCACCATCAAAAAGACAAAAGATAACTATTTGGCAAAGGCATAAAGAAAAGATAACCCTTTTACACTGTTGGTGGGGATTTAAATTGGTAGAGCCATTCTGAAACGCAGTATGGAGGTTTCCCAAAAAATTAAAAATAGAACTACCATATGATCCCACAATCCCACTTCTGGATATATGCCCAAAGGAAATGAAATCAGTATCTCAAAGAGACATCTGCAGCCCCGTGTTTACTGCAGCGTTATTCACAATGGTCAAGACAGGGAACAACCTAAGTGTCTACTGATGGATGAATGGATAAAAAAAATGTGGTATAGACATACAATGAAATATTACTCAGCCATAATAAAGAAAAAAATCCTGCCATTGACAACTATATGGATAAGCCTGGAGGACGTTATGCTAAGTGAAATGAACTAGACACAGAAAGACAAACACCGCATAATCTCATTTATATATGGAATCTCAAAAAGTCAAATTCATTGAAGCAGAGAGTAGGATTGTGGTTACCAGGGGCTGGGGACAGGGGGTAGAAATGGGGAGATATTAGTTATCAGTCAAAAGATGGCCAAGTTCTCAGGATCTAATAAACAAAGTGATTCATTAATGGTTAATAATACTGTATTGTATACATGAGATTTGCTAGGAGATTAGATCTTAAGTGTTACCCCCCACCCCACACACACAGAGGTAACTACTGAATATATGCGGTGATGGGTGTGTTAATTAGCTTGGTTGCAACAATCGTTTTACACTGTGTACATATATCAAATCATCACATTGTATACCTTAAGTATTTACAATTTTATTTGTTAATCACACCTCAATACAAATAGAAACAAAAAGAAGTAAATAACTCTATGGTAAAATGGCCATATAAACATAGCCCACAGTAATGGCTCAGAGTACAATTTTATTTTTCATGTACCCATCCTTGAGTTGCATAAGAAGTCCCTATCTGGAGAAAGACCCAAAAGAAAGAAAAGAGATACAGTCTCATCCCACGGCAGATGTGAACACTTCTCCAAATTATGAGGGCAGGATATAAACAACTATGGAAACCACCCCTTGCGAGAAGAGGATTTGTCACTGAAAACCAAAAAGGCTAAAGAAAATAAAATTCTCCAGGTGGAAGAATCAATTCTCCGGTCCTACGAGTGGGCTGCTTGGAGGGAAAATGAAAGTGAAAATATTATGGAAAGTTAGGGGTGCTGCTCTTGGTAAGGTGACATTATTTTGAATGAGTTACTGATATTTAGGGGGCAAGGAGGGGAAACCAAGGAAGAGAAGATGTCAGTATGGCCCCCTGAAGAAGAGATAAAGGAGTTTATTGGGCCTTATTGTTATTATTGTTATCCATATTGTTGTCAATGGCAGCTTGGAGAAGATGGTTTTTCCAGAAAGTTCACAGGCAGGGACGTGAGACTCCATCTTCTAATCACTGTGAGAATCTATCTCATGAGGACTCTCAGGCCCCACCTGCAATCCTTATGTTTGCTATCAGTGCACTTTGCTAAAGAAACACCTCTACATTATGTTCCTCTGAAAGCTTCCAAATGCAGAAAAACAGAGAGACTATGTATTAACATATTTTTCCCAGTTACTCGGGGAGGTATGAAACAATGAATTTGCCCACTGCCACATAACTCAGTCCTTCGGTAAAGAATATTTTTATAAGATTTCACATGTCAACAAAATTCTTCATTGATTCAATACCACTGAAATGCTCTTACATGCCTGCAGCCATCAGAAACTTATCAAATCCCTATTGTGTATGTTAAAAAAAAAAAAGCTAGGTCCTGGGAATAGAGGAAGGAGTGAAATACCATCTCTAACTTCAGGATTTTAAATTTGGACAAATCTAGAGCTTAAAGAGCTGTGGATTTTCTTGGATGAAATAAAATTCAAAGACCTTTGCTGGGCGATTTTTAAAAATGTCATTGTACTGCACCTGGAGGCAGGCTGGGGCGCGTCCCTGGGGCTTGTTGACATCCACAGCTACCAGCTGCCAACCTCCAGCAGCATCTTCATGAAACATCTTCAAGACAAAGAAGGGAGATGAGTCAGAGACATTTAATATGGAACATTGAGAACTCTATGTCTCCAGCTTTGTATATTTTTATGTTATCAAAAATTTGTCTTCTTATGGATTTATATTTGGAATGAAGTCATTTCAATTATAGTTCTTTAACATTGAAAGCTTAAATGAATGAAAAAAGAACAATGATAATAACTTGAGTTTATTGACTACTTGCTATGTCAGGCACTTTCTGTCTTGCATATGCTTTGCATATAATTGCTCAAATATTCTTCTCCACAAGAGAAATACTTTAGTATTTTATCCCCATTATATTGATAAATATCTATTAGATCTGGGAGAAAATGAAAATCAGAATTTAAAAGCATTGTGTCTGGTGTGTTTTTACTATAGGTTGCAAATTTTTATTTTTATTTAGTGGACAGTCTTCCACTCCCTGGCTTGGACTACCATGGTATCTTACCCTCAAGGCTGAACAGGAGCACTGACCTAATAAAAATATTCTCAGGATCCATAAAATAAGAAGTGTGCGTGTGGCATAGGGAAAGAACTGGTGTTATTTTAATGGTAGAAGATTGCCACATTGCTTAATACACTTTGTGTAATTATTTTAACTAGGCAGCAATTAACCTGCTCAGCAGAAATTTTATGTACGTATTATGAAGGGAACAAGTAGTTTCTTTTGGATTAAAGACCCAAGTGATGAAATTCAAGATGCTACAGGCCCACTAAATCTGAAATCCATTGAATTAGATACCTAGGTTATTATCTCCTAGGTACCTATTATCTCCTAGGTATCATCACATATTACCTATGTGTCAATATTACACCCAGCTGGAAGACATTTCCCACTTTCACGTATTTTCCCACTAACATATTTTTCTTTCTAGTTCTTAGGAGCGAGTGTGTGTGTATGTGTGTATGGTAGGAATAGGGCAAAATTAAACATTTTTGTTTTTCTAAATAATGATACTAACTACAAGTGCTCACTGTTTCATTCCTACCTGAGGTCGCTGTTTTACAGAAATAAATGTTTCCTTTGTCACCCTTATTTATGTCCTCCTGTTAGTCTGACCCTGTATTCGAAGGGGTAACTGCTGATGGAAATACGAATGAGATGATGCAAAGATCCCATTACCTAGGATTTGTAATTAGAGTTTCAAATCCCTGGTAGTAGTGGTGGTAGATCCTTTGTGGAAAATAAACTTGCCTTCTATAAAATGAGTGAGGTGGTGAGAGACAGTTGCCAAAAATCACAGTCCCTATATGTATTTTTATTATTTATTTATTTTTGGGGGGAGATAGAGTCCTGCTCTGTCGCCCAGGCTGGAGTGTAGGGGCGTGATCTCCACTCACTCCAACCTCCACCTCCCGGGTTCAAGCAATTTTCCTGTCTCAGCCTCCCGAGTAGCTGGGACTACAGGCACCCGCCACAATGCCCAACTAATTTTTGTATTTTTTTTTTTACTAGACAGAGGGTTTCAGCTTGTTGTCCAGGGTGGTTTTGAACTCCTGAGCTCAGGCAATCCCCCAGCTTCTGCCTCCTATATGTATTTTTAAATGACAAAATTAAGGTGCACATTTACATAAAGCTCCTTTGACAAAGATGCCAACTGCAAATTGCTCATCTCAGCTGTCCATTTACAGGATTCTGATTTTCTTTAGAATAAACTGCAAAAACTCTTTTTGGGGTGAATCAAGCATATTCTTCCTGAATAGCTCATTCTGAGAATATAGACATCAGTGGAGATGCAAACCTGTTATAGGACCTTGTAAAGTTTCTGTCAAAATTCTGGAAGCCTCATTTTAAGGATAAAAGACAAAACCAGCATTGCCAGTCACCAGTTATTAATAAAAACCCTCTGTTGATACATCCTATACTCTCTAATTGTGGCATAAAGGATCCCTGGGGCATATATTGACTTTGATCAGTAGCAGACTAATTTTCTCTCTTAAATTTTTTTTTCAATAGACCAAAATCAAAAGAATCAATTTAATTTTCAGTAAAAGTGTTCTCCCAAGGTCACTTATTTGTATGAAATAAGTAAAGGAAATGCAAAAACGTTCAATTTCTCTTTAATCCCCTGAATTATACAACATTTAGATTGGTTAATATTACAGTAGATCTTTGAGACAGAAGCTGGGCTAGCTAGCAGAAGCCAAGAATCCTCAGAGACTCAAATCCTTGCGGGGAGCGTGGCAGGGACTGCCAGTCTTTCCTTTGTATCTCTTTTCCCTGTTTTACAAAGAGAATCTGTATGGGGCCACTAGGCTACCAAGAAAAAAGGCCAGTTCTTGCCCTTTTTTTGAAGCTGAGCTTGACCATGTAACTACATACAGGACTATAGGATGCAAGCAGAAACCCTCTTTTCCTGTATTTCCTTCTTCTTCCTGCTCTCTGGGATATGGATGTGAGGGTTAGAGCTACAGCAGCCATGCTAGTCTACAAGGTGACTGTGGTAATGGGGGCTGTGCAAAGTGGAACAGGAAGGAAGGTGTCTGGATCCGTGGCAACACAGACAACCATACCATGCTGAATGAGCACCTCCAACTTTATATGAGAGAGAATGGGATTCCTCATCGCATACGTCACCTAAGCAACTTATTTTGGGCTTTTTTGTCCCTTGCAACTGAATGTAACTTAACTAGTATACGTGGTTTCTGTTAGAATGTCCATTAATTTTTTTTTTCATTTTACTGATGTAATTTTCCTTTCTCATTCTATAATTAAATATTTTACTATTAAAGGCTTAGAAAATGAGGATGAGTTGCAAAAGAAACAGCTTAAACCCATTCCCCAGAGACACCACCACTAACATTTTACAGTTAACATTCCAGGTATTATACACACACACACACACACACACACACACACACACCTGCATCCCACAGACAAACATAGGATCTTTTTTTGTACTAATATGTCATCAGCATATCTTCACATCAATAAAGTTCAATTCTTATTTTAATGGTTTGCATTTATTCCAATTTCATAATTTATAATCGATAACTTATTGCTAGAGACTAAGATTGTTTCCATTTTTAAAAAATTGCCATAATGCCTCATAAACATCCTCAAACATATGCCCTTGGCTACTGCCCCCAATTTTTCTTAGGATACATTTCTAAAAGCGGACTTTCTTGGTCAGATAGTATGTATGTTTTACTTTTGGATACATATTGCCAAACGGTTTTCTGGAAAAGATGTTTTAATTCATACTCTTGGCAACAATGTATGCGAATGTCCCTTTCAGCCAGCAATAAATACTGTCTTTTTTAAGAAAAGAAAAGTTAACATGAGGCCAGAACAAAGACAGCATGTTGACAGCAGGGCTTGTAATGGCTAAATTGAAAGGTGGTAGCATCTCATGCTGAATAAAAAGGCTCTTGCAGCTGAGCAACCTGGTTTTGAGTCCCAGTTTTACCACTAGCCAGTTATATAACATTGGGTTAGATAATTAACTTTCCAATCATTGTCATTTTTTACATGCAAAGTGGAGACATTAATAGTGCCCACTTCACAGTATTATTATGAAAATTAAATAAGACAGTTTGTAAAGCCATTAGACTAGTGCAGATCTCAATATATGGGAGTGACTGTAAGAAGATGTTCTGAATTAGTAGAATCTCACCAATAACACAAATGAATTTCCATGGCACTCTCCTCTTAGCACAATCATTTGGAAGCGCATGGAGATTTCAACTTTGAGAATTCTCTCAGGCCTGTCCATTTGCAACTGCTACAGTTTTATAACTGGTCGGTTGGTTTGTAAAGTAGCTAAAAATGCTTCTGGGATTGTTCCATTATAGGCATAATATCATCATCATCAACAACATGAATAACAGGTTATCTAATGGATAGTGGTAAGAGAAAGAATCTTGGTAATGGAGAATCACTAGCAGCTGAATTAGAATTCCAAACTCAAGACAGGCACACACACATCCACATACACAGTAATGCAGAGAAAATCTAAAATTTACTTTGCAATTTGCATGCTCTTTGGATTCTTTGAAAATTTATGGTTTTTCAAAAAATAGCTAATAGTCACTATGACAGAAAATAGTGAAAGTGGATACCTGGCTTGATTTCATTACGAAATAATATATTCAATGATGCAACCTCACAAAATTTAATTCTCATTTATGGTTTCCTATGATGATTGTACTATTCTATTATTATGGTTTCTTATTAGAAGGCACTCATTATTACACCATGCTAGAAGCACCCTTCCCTGAAATGCATTAATTGAATTGTTTTCTCACATATTTTAATGATGTATATTCATGAGGAAATAAATGGTCTTGGAACACAGTAAACACATTTTTGCTAAAGTATTTTCTTTGAGCATTAAGTTATATGTAGCTTTCTTTTTGGAGGAGAAATTCTTTCCATTTTGGATCATGTGTCTTTTCATCCATTTTTTCTCTACTTTTTAACCCAGCACTGAACATTTATGCACAAGTTGCTTTAGGCATTGTATAACCCATATTCTAAGAATGTTGATGGAAACCCAAAGGAGAAAAACTCAAAAGTGCCCATTCTTCCCACACCAGTTCTACCTTTATCAGTCTTCTCTGTTAATTAGGGGATATTAATTCAGAAAACACATGTCAGCAAGAGTGCTCAATCAGAGATAATAACAGACCCAGAAATGATTGCTGTCTTTGTGCAATCAGAATATTTAATTATTTACCAAACCTTCAATATGATCCTATTGGATTATGATTCATTTATAAAAGTTAGATATGTATTGACTGTCAGAAGCCTGCTTTCTGTCTCCTACCATTTTAACAGAAAAGTAGCCTTGTGTGGCTCTAAAATTTAGCAGTTCTTTGAGTTCTACTCAAGGCAAAGTTGGGATAAGCTCATCTCCATCATGAGCTAGTCTAGATCAGAGGACCATGGGGCTCATAACAGGTATCTGAAGTAAAGCATCTAAATAATGGGAGTAAAGGTCTGGGTTAGTGAGATACGGTACTCAGGACTTCGTCTTTCAGCTCACCTGCACATCCCAACATCCAGTCATGGGACATCACTAAAAAGTTGTGGCCTGGGTAACCCTATAGTGGATTAACAAAGCAGGGTATTATATCATGGGTGTATGAATCACTTATCCTTCAACCCAATCCACAACTGAGCACAAGGCAATAGTTACCCACGTCTAAGAATCAGGCAGGTATGAAATCACAAGGCTCTCAGAGGCCAGAGTCAATATTTAGTAATTTGAAATTTTCTACATCATTTTCCTTCTGTTTTCCAGTTACATGTTATATTATGGTCTCCTAAAGACCCTTGGCATTAATGTCTCTGTAATTTGTTCCTATGCTGTGTCTTGGAGGCATTTGGTGGTGACCATTCAATTGAAAAATATTGCTTCGTTATTTTAAAGAAACAGTTCTCATCACAGATTTCCTTTCGCCTCCCTTGAAATGGTCCCTGTCAGAGCCAGTTCCTAGTGAGCTGCCTAATATAACAGAAAGCCCCTTCTTTGTTCTGAAAATGTGCATATATATATATATATATATATATACACATATTTTCTATACACATGGCTGTTATGGGAAGTCTGCAGACTTAGACATCAACAAGTCCAACAAGCCCAGGACCCTTTAGTCCTTTGATGAGAATAGCCTATATTTAACAACTGCAAATTTTCCATATGCTAGAGAAAGGCAAGAATGTACTTCCATGTTTGAAAAGCTGTGTGCATTATAATAATCATCTTTATTTTATTTCCTTCAAATTAGTAACTTGTGATCTAGTGTTTTAAACCACTGAATGAGAAGTCCCTGTTCACGGAATTTGGTCATATTTTACAAACATAATAGCATCATGGCAAATTATGTCTCTCCCTTCTCTACACATAAAAGCATCAGAGGGCCCACTCGCAAGTGGCTAGCCAGGGTGGGCGGGGCCTGAAGCTCGTTGCTAGGCTGCCTGAGTGGTGTTTCACCCAGAGGCTGACAGCAGGAGCTTTGGTTGCTTAGCAACCAGGTCCTCAGCTATAGCATTTTTCTTAATGAAGGTTTTTCACAATTCTCTGTATGATTACCACTGCTGAATATCTAGACGCATTACCTCTGAATTACCAATTTATTCCTCTTGATTAAGTACAATTTTGCATCAAAATGATTCTGTACAACTTTGTTCCAAGTCTCTTCACATTTCCCTTTCTATTAGAACCATTGCCTGACTTGGTGGTGCTTCCAAACACTATTTTTTCCAGCTGTGATTTTATACGTGAGAGTTACTCCATAAACATACTATGGTTTTAAAGGAATCTTAGGTCATCTCCAGGAACACTGCATGTGAGTTAAGGGCTGAGATCATAGTTCCATATTCCATTTAGGTCTCAAAGTCATAACTGAAAACATGTCCTTCTAGAGGCTGCCACCTCGGAATGGACCGGGAACTTTCTTATCTCTCATAGTTTGCAAAAAGAGAGGAGAGAGGAGATGAGAACTTGCTATGGTTGATTTCTTGAAGGCTTTTCTACATGGCATTTCTGATATAACCTGGATAGCATATTCAAAAAACCTTTCATGGAAGTTTGAACAGTTGTTTGTAAAAACTGAATAAGACTGACACTATTTCATCTATAATGAATTGACTGGACAATTCAGACTTTTACAGCATCATAAAGATGCCTCAACACCACCAGGCTTTTCCCAAATTAGTGTGTTTAATTGCATTTTAACAAATAATTATTAAAAGCTCAACTTGAGGGTTTTCAAAAGTAAAATTTGTACACCTCGGCTCCTTGATAGATACCTTTGTCTTAACAGTATTTGTAAGTGTTTACAAAGTTGTTAAATATCCTTTAGAATTTAATATTATAATAATTACAAGGCATTATATCATTTTATTCCTGATTCTGGAATTTATATTTTCTCTCTCTTTTATAAAGATTCACGCTAGAAGAAGATACACAAATCTGCCCTTCCTTTTTTTAACACCACAAAAACACACACGTGAAACAAAACCAAAAATAAAAACAAAGGCATTGGATCTGAATTGCCCTCTTTTGTAATAACTGCCCTGCTGCTTTTAGCAAATCTGTAGCCCACCTTCAAATTCTCAGGAGCCTTATGGTTTTATGGAAACAATATTGCTATGGAACTTATGGGAATCCTTCTGAATATATAGGGATTCTTTAAAAAATCACAAACATGCATTTGGGGTTGAGGGATCTTTTTCATAGTTTATTGTACTGTGGTTTGTTCTGAATGAAATATATTTTCCATTACAAAATTCTAATCCTACACATAGACATTACATAGGCTTGCAAGTACATGAATAAATACCCATAAAAGTAAGAAATTCCATAGTGGTTGCATTTTATCCACAAGCCATTTGAGGATTTGTGATGTCAGAATCAAAGGTATGTAATAAATGTGGTTGACGATCTTGGTTTTGTATCAAAACCACCCACGGAGCTGTTACAAAATATAGGTGTCATTACCTCACTGCCTGGAAGCTCTGATTTGATTGTTCTGTGTTTGGGCCTTTGAACCTGTTTTATTTTATTTTCTTTTATGTTTTTTGGGGATAGGATCTTGCTCTGTCACCCAGGCTGGGGTGCAGTGTTGTGATTGCAGCTCACTGTACCTTTGACCTCCTGAGCTCAAGTGATCCTCCCATCTCAGCCTACTGAGTAGCTGGGACTACAAGCTCATGCCACTACTCTTGGCTAATTTTTAAAATTTTTTTGTAGAGACAGGGTCTTGCTACATTACCTAGGCTGATCTCAAACTCCTGGGCTCAAGCAATCCCTCTCCCTCAGCCTCCCAAAGTGCTGGAATTACAAGCATGAGCCACTGTGCCTGACTGGCAACTGTATTTTTAAACAGCTTCCTGAGTCAGACTATAGAAGCCCATCATGCAAGAGCTTCCCCAAGGTCCACTGATGGTGAGGGTGAGACATGTGCATGCTCGAATGGGTTATAACATCCTCTTGCTGATAGCGTACCTGGGTGGTGGCTGTTGAGGTAGTGCTGCTTCTCGATCCCCACATTTGTTGAAACTGTACTCTGATTTCTGCAAATGTTTCAATGATAACAGCAATAAACACGTTCTGAAAAAAATCACAAACCACATTTACCAAAGTCTAAGAATGACAAAGCAGAGGGCAACCAAAACCAAACAAAAGATCTGCAGAACTATCACAGAACATAGACTTTCTTAGTACAATTCTTCGCAGTACCTTCACAAGCCAGGCGAGGAAGAAAATGAGAGTGATGAAATAGAAGTAGGAACGCCAACGGGGAAAGCTGTCAATTGCTCTGTACATGAGGAACACCCAGCCTTCCTGTGAGGCGGCCTCATAGACGGTGAATATACTAGTTCCTGTCATGACAGAGGAGGACAGACTGAGTCACAGCTGACTTTTGAAATAAGAAAGCATTTTCCAGAAAAACAATCAATATTTATCCATACTTATTTTCTCAATGACAAAAGTGCTTCAAAAATTGATTAGAATCACATGCAACACATTTTACTGTTCTCTTAAAATTTTAATAAAGTTGTTTCTGACTTCAAGCCAGGGTAATTTCAACATCTAACAATAAAATAATTTGATATTATACCTTTAGCTGTTAAATGCAAATAATAATGTGGAAAAGGAAATAAACAGTCAAACCAAGTATATATATGTATAATTAAAAAAAGGATATGTACCATTTAAGCTTGCCACTTGGAGCCTAACACATTCAATAAGCTGAAAAGCACCTGCTATAGTTTTAACCAAAATGAAATAAATGGGAGAACTGAGTTTCATTTGAAATCACTTTCTCACAGGGAGAGTAAAGTATCTCAGGCTCCACAATTGATATGATGGAGCTTGTCTTTGGATTCCATGGTGTTACCGAACACCAGAATGTAAGGCAGTGAATCACCAAATAGGACTTTGTATTTTCTGGGAGAATTACCTCATAGAAAGTACTTCTAGTAATGGAAAGAAAGGAAAGCTAAAAATATGTGGATAGATTTTTTAACATTGGTTAAGAGAACCTAAAATGCCATGTAGGGAAAAGATGTGTTTAATCCTAACAACACTATAAGATGTTTTACAGACAGGGAAACTAAAGCATATAAAGATAAAGTGACTTGTCTGAGGATGCAAAGATAATAATTAAGGGAACTGGAATTAACTCAGTCATTCTGGTACAAAGCCCCACACATCCAACTGTGATGATATCTTGCCTCTTTAATAGTCTTTCTGTAGTTAGTTTCTCCATCTGTAAAATGGGAAATAACACAGACTTTACTGTGTTGTAAGGATTTAATGACTTAATTCCTGTAAATCACAGGGTAGGTTCTTAAGATATTTCAGGTATCATTTATGACTATAAAATTGAAAATAATTGCTCAATATGCTTTTGTGAGAAAACACACACACATATACCATTGAAGTTGTTTATAAAATAAATATAAGTTGTTATTCATAAAACTGGTAAACATTTGTACCTCAATAAATTCTACTTCTATAAATAAGTTTTATTATTACAGAATATAAAACCAATCTCCACTCATACATGTTTTAGTTACACAGAAATTTAAACTAGAATGTGCATATGACCAAGTATCCAAACAAAGAGGAGAGTTGCACAGGTTGGGGCAGCCTCACTGTTTCTTTGAGCCTGTGCATGAGAAAGCAGAATCAGAGCAACAGCAAACACCAAGGCATGCAGAACAGAAGGCAAGTCCAGCCGCAGACTTGATGACAAGGGAGAAAAAGAGGCTGGAAAGAAAAGCTAAGAGAAAGAAGCAAAGTGCAGTCCTATCGCCTATTATGCATTAATGTGTGCTAATATACTTTCTATAGAATATAACTTCATAAATGTCCTGCCTTTCATTTTAAAAATCATATTTTGTACATTGGTACTGTAACTCCTTGTCATACAGCTGGTATTTGTAAAGCATGTTGAGTTTCTAGCCTCTTTAACACAACATGCTAAGGAAATCTCTGTCTTATTAGCTAGGCAAATGGCGAAGTGGGGATGAGGGCAGATATTATCAATACCATCTTACAGAAAAGAAAAGTGAAGGTCACTGGTTAATGAAGGTCTCCAAGGTGGAAAGTGGTAGAACCAGAAATTGAACCCATATCATCAGGTCAAAAAAAATTTTTTTTTACCATGCTATTTATATTTCTCTTGATTGAGACTGGGGCTTTAAAAAGAAATTATTAATGGGTACAAACATAGAGTTAGATAGAAGGAATAAGTTGTAATGTTCCATGGCAGACGAGGGTGATTATAGTTAACAACAATGTATTGTGTATTTCAAAATAGCTAGCAGAGAGGCCTTGAAATGTTCCCAACACATAGAAATGATAAATGCTTGAGGTTATGGATATCCTAAATATCTTGATTTGATAATTACACATTTTATCCATAAAACAAAATATCACAGGTACCCCATAAATATGTACAATTATTATGTATCAATAAGTATGTTAAAAAGAGATTATTTTCTCTTATTATCCTTAAATATAGTTAATGTTTTTCTGAGGGATTATAATGGCTAAGTTTATTGTTTCTTTTTTTTTTTTTTTTTTTTTTTAGTGAAAGCTGGGTCCAGGGGGATCACTGCCTTCTGGTCCTGTGATGCCGCCAACGTACTGGATATACCAGCATTTATTGTTAAGTTTAGTGAGGGTGGGGGTAGTTTAGTGAGGGATTTAGAGTCATTTGATTATGAAGTGAGATGGTCACATGGGGATGAAGTAATTCTTTAACATAATATCTGTATGCAGAAGTACAGTATACAGAGATAAGAATTTACAATATTGTGTGCATCAGCAATTTCTAACAGAGCCTTAAAACAGAAAACAGTCTTTCCATAACCTATGATTAGCAAGGTATTAATCAGCAGTAACAGTTGCAGCAAAAGCTGGTTACAAACAATCCATAGAAACAGGACGTGAAGCTAGACAACCGGTTACAACACAAATTCTCAGAAGGGAGTATGCCTTAACCCTAAAGAGGCCTAGAAGAGCCCTGGCAAGATAAGGGCATTTATAGCCCTATCTTATCCATATGAACAGGCGCCCCCTCATGCATCTGTTCATAGGCTCTCCACAGTAAACTTATAAGTTTCTTAAAAGTTGACTTTTAAGAAAAAGGTTCAGAGAGGAACAACACATACATAAAATGTCAACAGCAAACAGAAGCAACTGTTTTTATTGATGATTCATAGGTACTAACACTGGACAATACCTTTGCTTTATGTGCACTGAATATGAAACATATTTTTAACATTAAACAAACAATTTATAATGTATATCCCTTATTTTCCTCTAGGTTTTTGAATGAAACCAAACAGTGGCTACAGAAATCCACTATTATCTACCATTCAAGTTTAATAGCTGTATTAACTGAGCATTTTCATGTAGAATATGGAGCTTGTCACTATAAGATTAAATTTGAGAGGAACATTGAAAATTATCCTCCCTCTCCCTGTCCAGATCTTTCTTAATCACATCTGCAAGCAAGATGTCATTTGGAGTCAAGTAAAAAAGAGCACATTGAACTAGTAGCCTTGAAACTTCTACTCCATTTTTTTTTCTAATTGGACAAAGGAAAAAAGGAAAGAAACAGAAACCCACAGTACAGCTCAAAGAGAAGGGTTTGTTGACACAAAGAGGTGAGACATTCGTGAAAGTATAACCAAAACACTCCCCAGGAAGACGCTGACGATGGAAAGAAATGTTTCCCATACGTGAACTACACTGGGTAGAAAGGCTGTGAAGAAGTAACAGTTACAAAGGCAAAGGCAATGGACGAAGATGGTCCTTCCTCATCTCTTTACTACTCCTGGCTTTGCCAAACATAGCAAAAGAAATCACTTTTCAAAAATGGTTTTCCAATGGTCGACCAATATTTAAACTGACAAAAATCAAATGTATGTTCCTTTCATTTTCTTTGGGAAGTGGAGGACCCTGAGAAAGAAACTGTAGCTACTGAAACTTCTTTTGCACAGTCCCGCTCTCGCTGCTGGCCCTGCACTGCTTCCCTCTGGCCCTCTTGACAGACTCCTGGGCTGCCCAGCTCAGCTCCTCTGTGCCCTCAGCTACACTAGGCAATGGCCCTTAGTACTCCCAGAGAGCCTCCCATTCAACTGTCTCATGTCACTCGTCATACTGAATTCTCTACCTTGTTTGTTTCCCTCAGTAGGTGTGAGCACTCTAAAGTTAAAACTGTATCTTTCATTTCTGTACCAGACACTGAGGAGCACTCAAAGATTGTTGATAAATTAAACAATGATTTTGTAGCCTACAGACATAGGAAAGCATTTCTCAAATATTTGCTTTTTGATTAATTCTTCCTCAATATTAATACTGCACAGATAATTTGGAAACTATTTTGTAGTGAATTGACTTTGCTTTGCTGATTTTCAAAATTCTCTTAAAACACCTGCACACTCATATATAAACATAAAAACCCATGCTATACACACAGAAAAGTCTTCATCTACTGTTTGATCCAACATGGAAAATTTCTAGGAAGAACATTGATACATTTAAAATATTTTTTCTAGATGTGCTACAGAATATTTTTAGTCCATTTTAATTATAGAACTAAAATTTCTGGCTAAACGACCATATTTTTGTTAAATGAAAAATGATGCTACAACAGCACCTGGGAATATAACGCATTAATTTTTTAGAGAACAATAAGGCCTGTTCCAAAAATATCCCTGGAGAGCTCTTGGAATAGCACTACTTTCTCAGACCCCAAACTCTCAAGGCACAAATTAAAGCTGTGCAAGAAATGCAATCACAACAATGATACTCATGATAATCAGTTCTCCTGATTTCATTCATTCTTTCTGACCTCTTCCACTGGTGGTTTGAATTGATTAAATAAGAAGACCACAAGTCTATGTTTAGAAGATAAATACTAACCTTGAAACTTTCTACACACTGCCTGTATTGAGAATAGTAGAGGATATTTTTTATAGCTCTGAACAAAATTATATTCCCATCTGTTTTGATTACCTTTAGGATTTTATTTACCGCTTTGCCCTCTTCTGCTGACTCTTTTCCCATGAAAAAAGAGGTGAGATATTTGTGTTTTGGGAGTACTCCCATTTGTTTCTTCTAGTCTTAGGTTACATAACCACATTGTCATTCCACTCTCAAGTGAGAGGGTCATAAAATTGTGATGATAACTAGCAACACACTACAAACCTGGGGTCCTACCACTAAACCTCTCTCCAAACACAAAATACCTATAGTACTATTCTAACAATGGTAATACCTGATCTGCCATGACAGAAGTTGGGAAGTTAGAATTGGAGATGTAAGCCCGAGACAGTGGAATAAGAATGAGTCAGTACCCAAGGGCTTGGTCTGAAAAATCACCTTCACTCCCACACTCAGAATTTTTAAAAGAACAAAGAGGATTTATTTTATGACCATCCATTTCTTTCTCTCTCCCAGTGTTTGGATCCTCAGCAATGTTCTTGAACTTTAACCCCTCCAGGGATATGGAACACCCCATCTTCTGAGACAGCTCCTTACCAGGTATGCTAGAGCCCATTCACTGGATGCTGCCAGGCTTCAGTCCCTTTGGGAACCTCTCTTGGGCTTGCAAGGCACAACAAGCTATAGGAGTCTGCAGAATTAGTCCTTGCACCCCCTTTGCGTGAATCATCCTTTGTGTTACTCGGGTCATCCTGCTACAGGTGCTTGTTTTCTTATCTGGTCCTTTAACTCTTCCAATCTGATCTACTGTTTATGAAATTGGCCTGATTATCCGGCTTCATTTACTGTCTGGGAATAGACTTTCATCTGTGGTGAACAAAATGGCAACTTTCTTGTTACTCAAGATCATCAGTTTCCCTCAGACTTTTCTAAATGACTCTTTCTGATCCTCCAGCTGACTCTGATCAGACATCACCCTTTTCAGAGAGAAGCTGATTGACTTTGTCCTGGTTAAATCTCAGTTTGAGCATCCCCTTCAGTTGGAAGGGAAAAGAAACTTACACGTTACTCAACCACTATACATGGATGACTATGCTGTATCTGTGTCTCAATGAACTGTCTACTGTCAGTCAGTAGATTTAACTGTGGAAGTGTATGATCCTAATCCTAAACTCCAAATAGATACTTATTTGCTCAACTACATTTGCAATGACTAAATATTCAATCCTGAATGGTGGTCAAATAAGAGCTTGATGTTTTCACATGTGCATGATTAGAAGTACAACTTGTTCAAGATGGGGTGGGTTGTGCTATATTGGTTTTTATTTGTTTCTGTCTTTTTATGTTTACATATATACAACTTGCCTAATCTCCAGCTATTTTTTTTTTTTGAGACGGTGTCTTGCTCTGTCACCCAGGCTGGAGTGCAGTGGCTTGATCTCAACGCACTGCAACCTCTGCCTCCAGATTCAAGTGATTCTCCTGCCTCAGCCTCCCCAAGTAGCTGGGACTACAGGCACATGCCACCACGCCTGGCTAAGTTTTGTATTTTTAGTAGAGACAGGGTTTCGTCATGTTGGCCAGGCTGGCCTCGAACTCCTGACCTCAGGTGATCCACTCACCTCGGCCTCCCAAAGTGCTAGAACTGCTCCATAGGGCAATATTCTTATTAAACTGCAGAACTAATGAAAAAAGAGAGCGATGAATAGTTTAAGAGAGAACTTGCTGAAGCTACACAAAATGTAAGTTTGGTACTAGTGACATCTGCAGGTGGATGATGCTTTAATGGGAAGGTCTGTCCTATGCATTGCAAGATGTGTAGCCACACCCCTGACCTCTACCCACTAAATTCCAACAGTCCCTGCAACCCCCAACCAAAAATACTTGTAGACATTCACCAGTGGCCCTTGTTGGAAAAATTGCCAATTGAGAAACACTTTTCTAACTTGACAGCCTCTCTGATTCTTCAGCTTTTGCCCTGCAGTGCCTAGCACAGGGTCTAGCATATAATTTATATTAAGTATTTTTGAAATGAATTGAATCTCTTCACTTGAGATCAAATACAAGACTTAAAAATGACATTTCATTCTTCTTTAAAGATTTTTGAAGGCTAAAAGCCTAGATCCTAAGACATTGCTTATTTGTATAAAGTATTTGCCACACAGTAGACAGCTCAATAGTACCATTACATAAATTTTTATCATTTTGCTGTTTTAACAACTAGGCACTGGAAAGAAAAGCTTATTTCTTTTTAAAATTCCTGCTATGTAGTAAGATGACTGTATACATGCATATCTTAGAATTTGGGGGAAGGGAGGCTATCTCTGCTTGCGGAATAAGCCATTACAAAAGTACATTAATTAAAATCGAAAATAAATTAACATATTTTGAATGAAATAAATAGTGCAAAATGTTCCCAAACGAAATTAAATGACTGCCTTCTGAACTGTCCCAAGACAAACCACACACAGGGTTTTTTTTGTTTGTTTGTTTGTTTGTTTGTTTGTTTTTGGGTAAGCTTTCAGGTTTTTCTTCTGAATCAAGATGAGACATTCAGTATATTCATAGAAAAACACAGAAGAAAACAGACTAATTCTTAATCCACGTTGGTAGACTCTGGTTCTGTCTGGATCATGAGACAGATAATACAAACTTGCAAAACAGCTCAGTAGCCTCTACAATGAAACCTAAGCAGCAGCCACCAGATTAAGAACAAAGTGGCCACCTCTTCAATTCAGCTACAAACTTGCATTTGAGGTCACTTTTGATGGCAAAATCTATATTGCAATTATTAGTTTTTATTTTTGGTGAACTCTCAGTTTCTCTCATCCTCTAATAATCTCTTCACTCAGATATACCATCTGTTATGCAGATTTTAGCCACATATTAAAAAAAATTTTAGCCAAAGGTCAGTAGTGAGATTGACTGTAACTTACTATAATGTTTTTCTTCACCAAATTTCCCCACACCATCTCAGCACTTTCTTCTTAACTGAGAGCTGGTTCTGTGGTAAGAGTAAATTGTACCCCAACAGTAGTTATCATAAAGTAAATGTATTTAGTGTGACATAATTAAAAAAAAAAAGCAGCAGCGAGGGGTGTGTACTCTTAAGGTGGACATCTGGACTCAACATAATGAACATTTGTCACGGTGGCTGGATGATCCACATACATGAAATAAGATCATGTGGATCAGCAGACCAGCAACAGCAAGAAAGGTGCATCCTGAATTGCAGAGATTTACTAAACGATAAAGCAGCTAGAACTAAATTACTTGGGAGGATGTTACCATCCTAGTGAATAAAACCTCTGTAAACCATGTTTTCTCCCTCCGATCCTCCTTCCTTCCTTCCCTCCTTCTTCTTCTTCCTCTTCTTTTCCTTCCTTCCTTCTTTTTCTTTTTCTTCTTTCTTTCTTTCTTTCCTTCCTTCCTTCCTTCCTTCCTTCCTTCCCTCCTTCCTTCCTTTCTTTCTCTTTTTTTTCTCTCTCTTTCTTTCTTCCTTTCCTTTTTTTCTTTTTCTGAGATGGAGTCTCGCCCTGTCACCCAGGCTGGAGTGCAGTGGTACAGTCTTGGCTCACTGCAGCCTTCACCTCCTGGGTTCAACCAATTTTCTGCCTCAGCCTCCCAAGGAGCTGGGATTACAGGCATAAGCCACCACGCTCAGCCTCAAAAAAATAAACTTAAGTATTTTTCCCTGATAGACTGTGCTGTAACATTGTGCCTGTAATAATAATCTTCAACACAACTTGTCCACACACTCAAGTCATGTGCTCCACACACCCAGCCTGAGGCTTGCCACGTGGCATATCAAGGCAATAAAACAAAATAAAGCAAAAACCACATTTTTTATTTGCTATTCCAGAACATGGGACAAACATAAAAGGACTTTTTTAAAATTATAAATGCCTTAAAAATATTTATAAACTTTATGTTTTTGAGCTACTTTAATTTTGATTTTGGTTTCTTTGTTTGTTTTTTACACTTAAGCACTCTTTTGGCACAACTTGCCATATTGGTAAACTCACTTTGTTACCTTAAACCATACACATGTTTACATATATCTTCTAAGTTAATTTTTTATAAGTAATAAAGAATCATAGTTGAAATATGTTTCCTTAAATGTAGAAAATTTCTAAAGTTCCAAGTTCTGAACAGAGAATACTTCAAAGAAAGGAGAGGTGAAGGCTTTCACTATAGTATTCACAAATGGAAAAGAAGTGTTGACAAGCCGGATGCTGACATTGGCAGGAAAGTGTAGGTACTACAGCAGAACAGTTCCCAGGACGCTCAGTCCACACGCCAACTACAGCACTCCCTGCGCCCCCTGCGCTCGGCAATTTCCAGGTAGGCTGAGAGTAAGGGTAGCAAAGAAACCTGGTCAGATACCCCTCAGCCTGTGAATCAGCATTCTGCCTTTGAGGAGCAGTGAGGTCAGGTCAAAAGAGCTTCTTGGAAGTTTATTTTCCATTAGTTGTCTTAAGAAGAAAAGAAAGGCCGGGCGCAGTGGCTCATGCCTGTAATTCCAGCACTTCGGGAGGCCAAGGCAGGTGGATCATGAGGTCAGGAGCTTGAGACCAACCTGGCCAACATGGTGAAACCTTGTCTCTACTAAAAATACAAAAATTATCCAGGCCTGGTGGCATGTACCTGTAATCCCAGCTACTTGGGAGGCTGAGGCAGGAGAATTGCTTGAACCTGGGAGGCAGAGGGTGCAGTGAGCCGAGATCACACCACCGCACTCCAGCCTCGGGGACAGAGCAAGACTCTGTCTCAAAAAAAAAAGACAAGACAAGAAAAAAAAAAACAAAACCCTACGCTTTGCCACAGTTAGCTGTCATTTACAGTTCCTAACATTCCAGTCATCCATTACTTCTTACCTAGGTAACCTGTGTGAGTCAGTACACCCTGGACCTCAACTTCCATGGATGCACTAGGGCAGTGATGATACTGCTGATCACCACTAAGGCGCTAAAGAAATGTTAATTAGAAGCTTTTCAATTGTCCTAAAGAGTACACAAAATATGTCATACCAGAAATATGTTTCCTCTGAGGGTCTTTTAGTTTTGTCACCCATATTTTAAAGATTTATTGGAAGGAAATCTTTTCAAAGGAAATTGAAGCAAAAGGGCTAGAAGTTCGCATAATGTTAAGATAATAGTTATGACATAAAAAATTCATAATAGTCCAAAAATTAGAACCAAGCATTTGGCAAAAGTACTAAGATATTTTTCCTCCTATTCTGAGATATGCACATGGTTCATATCTGCATCATCATACATATTCAATAAAAATGAAAATGCAAAAATTAACAATAAGGTAGACCTGGTCAGTCTACCTCAGAAGAGCTACAAGAGCAATTATTTATTTATTTATTTATTTTTAATAGGAAGGCTGAATGAACTAGTAAATAATCTCGGAATAAAAAGATCAACCAAGATTGGAAATAAATAATTGACGTTTGTTTATAAAGGCAGATTAAAATCCAATTTTAAAAAATCCGATTAGGTCTACGTGGGAGGGAAGAAACATACCTGAGTGATAGGGACCAAATGTAATTTTAAATAAATGTGAGATAAGAAATACAAATAACACATGGAATTAACTAAAAATAAAGTTCTTATTTGTATTACGATAAATACCAAATTTACACTGAATGTCATTAATTTAAATATTTATAATACAGCACTAAAAGCAAAGATGTGTTCTAATATCATTTGTAATAATATTACAACTTAATGGTTAAAACTGAATAGAAAATGTTAACTAACTGCTAAAAATTTGAAGCTTGTACATGGGGAAATTGTTCTGTCTTATAACTTCACGTTTACATATGTGAATAAAAATATTCACAGAATTTTTCCTGTATTTGCTATCCACATTCTTCAGTAAGCTTCCAAAGCCTGAAAACATGTTTAAAATTGAAATTTGTTCAACTGGTTTAGGTTTTTTTTTTCCAATGTGCTACAGATTCCAGTTTAAAGGTTAAACTAAAATTAAAAATCATTTTTCATGTATTAAGTTATGCTGCCAAGAAAGCTCTGTACTGTATATTCCTACTTTTCCAGCATTTCCAATGTAGACCAGAACTCTACAGAGGTGAGAGAAGAATATGAGAAAATTGTAACCAATTAACTTTTAAAACACTGTTGATTTCCAGTTACTGACTTTCAGTGTGCTCAGCATTTTTCTTGTTATGAAGACAGGATTGATAACTTCCAAGCTCTTTACAAGCAGAAACAGAAACCAGAAGTCAAAAAAGCTTCGTTTTGATTTAAGATATAGATCAAAAATAGTACAGATAAATGAACATATTTGATTAGAACGAGTTTTAAATTAATGTCTACAAAGACGTGGTTCTCTGCTTACATGTGGTCTAGTCTGCCTGGTCACAATTTGGCTTATGCATCACTAACAGCACAGGATGAAAAGGCCGTCATTAGCACAGAGAGAGGCTGAATTGTGATGGGGCGATTCTCCTGGTGGACCCCAAGACATTATGTCAGAATAATGCATTATAAGTCATTTTCCCCACCAACAACTTTTTCTATTTACGTTTTAATATTTGCCTGTTTTCTTTTCTGCTTGATTTTAACAACTAACTGCAAGGCAACATTAGATACAGACAACATACTTAGAATAGTGGCGAAAGAGGAAGGAAAACGGTCATTCACGGAATATGGTTCAAGTACCCATTACATAATAGCACAACAAACTTAATCAAAGCCAGAGAGCTTTGGGCAGCTGTGATCTGGCCTGCTTATGCCTGGAATAAAATGTCTTTCCGCGCTCTCATTAGGCACATTGGCAAGACGGCTGCACCAGGCCAGAGCTCATTTGGCCAGCAATCATACCTTTCTAGCAAGTATCTGGGCTAACGACCTCAAGAGAGCAATCAGACATTTGTGCTGTGGCTGATGGAGTAATACTGACTGGCTATTCCTGACTGGGAGGAATACAGAAAAATCATCCCTGGAAACACTAGCTAAACTCTAACATGCAGAGAAATATGGAGCAATTGGCAATTATTTAAAACTTTAATAGTATTTTATTTAATTCACTATTCAGAAGGTATAACTCACTGTTCTTGTTCATCAACCAATGCAGGGTATTCATAAGTCTTTTTGTAGAGTGTAGGTGTTCGTCTTACAAATCACTTTGCAGCCAGGTGTTTGAGCTTCAATGACCTCCATTTAAATCTGAGGAAATATCTAAAATGATTTTTATTTTAAGTTTTTGTACTTTAATTTTATTTTTAATTTTAAGTACACTTATTTCAGATGTAAAGACTTTTTTGTTATTTTATTATGTTATTATTTTTATTTTATTTTTAAATTTAAGTTCTGGGATACATGTGCAGAATGTGCAGGTTTGTTACATAGGTATGCATGTGGCATGATGGTTTGCTGCACCTATTGACCCATCATCTAGGTTTTAAGCCCCACATGCACTAGGTATTTGTCCTCATGCTCTCCCTCCCCTTCCCTCCCACCCCCTGACAGGCCCTGGTGTGTATTTTGTTATTTTTTGAGACAGGGTTTGGCTCTGTCACCCAGGATGGAATGCAGTGGTGCCATCTCGGCTCACTTCAATCTCCGCCTGGGATTACAGGCGGATGAGGAGCTGGGACTACAGGCACTCACTACCACGCCTGGTTAATTTTTGTATTTCTTGTAGAGACCAGGTTTCGCCATGTTGCTCAGGCTGGCCTTGAAGTCCTGAGCTCAAGCGGTCCACCCACCTTGGCCACCTAAAGTGTTGGGATTACAGGTGTGAGCCACCACACCTGGCCTGGAATAATTTTTTTCTTTTCTTTTTTTTTTTTTTTTGAGACGGAATCTTGCTCTGTTGCCAGGCTAGGGTGCGGTGGCTGGATCTCAGCTCGCTGCAATCTCCGCCTCCCGTGTTAAAGTGATTCTCCTGCCTCAGCCTCCCGAGTAGCTGCGACTACAGGTCCCTGCCACCACGCCCAGCTGATTTTTGTATTTTTAGTAGAGATGGGGGTTTCACCATGTTGGCCAGACTGGTCTTGATCTCCTGACCTCGTGATCCGCCCGCCTCAGCCTCCCAAAGTGCTGGGATTACAGGCATGAGCCACCGCACCCGGCCTGGCCTGGAATAATTTTTAAAGAAAAAATTATTGTTATTGTTTGTTGACAAAATCCGGCATTATATACCTGACGGTTTTTATGAACCTCTGTACTAGATTCATTCAACAAGATTAGGAATGAGAGGGCAGGTCAAACGTTGTCTCTTATTGGGACATGAAGAAATGGAGTTGAATGTTGTATCCAACTCTCTTACTTGGTTAATCTTGTCACTTTCTGCCTTCTCATCACTGGTGGTTACTTATTGGTTGGAAGGAAATAAGTATCTCCTATGATAGTTGTGTTTCGTAATTCTCTTATAGTTGAATAAATTTGCTATTGCCTAATGGACGCTTATAAAATATCCAGCACAAATCATTGAAGTTAAAGAGGCACAAGGACATTTTATCATCTACATAGACATTTTAGCAAGACAATTCTTTCATTTGGCCTATTTAATTTTTCCAGCCTTTTAACCCTTATGTTTTGACCTAGAATTCACAACTACCTCATACTGCAAAAAGAGACAACAATCAAAAGGCTAATATTCAAGGTTTTAATCTTATTTGCACGACAAATTCAAGTCCAACAATACCTCTTGTCTCCTTTTATCTCAAAGCTTTAATTTTAGGGAGACACAGATTCTGTACAATGTAGGTTATACCATTGTTTATCTCATTTTATTGGAAAAATGCAGTATTTATAAAAGTTTGTCCAAATTTTAAAGTTTAAAGTTGTTTATCCTTTTTGTCCCTTTGTAGATTGTAAACTCCATGAAAGCAGCCACTCTGTGTTGGTCACCACCATATTCCTAGGGCCTGGGCCAGTGCCTGGCAGATGAAACACAGGTATGTTAATCTGGACAAAACATAAAATGTAGATTAAATGGGCAAAGGAAAGTAACAAAGCAGAGAGAGGTCAGGGAGAGGGGCTGGTGGAAATATTCAAAGAGGAAACACATGTAAAAGGGAAGAGTGTGTTGGACCATGTGAAGAGCCACAATTATAGAGGTCAGCAGACTTTGAAAGCCGGCCAGTCTGCTCATCTGCCATCCTGGAGGGTCTCCAGGAGGGGACTATCCAGATTAATTTCCATGAATGGTGCCCGAGGCCAGTTGGTGACCCACACCAGCTGCCAGAGCTCCCGAGGCTGCAGACCTGCTTTGCTGACTAAGGATGCCCCAGGCCCTCATTGCCAGACTCAGCCACCTCCCTTGAGAGGTGCTGCATTCCCCACATCCCTTCCCACAGTATCTATCACGCATTGCTAGCTCAATGGCTCCACTTGTCTCCAGACACTGGCTTCCATTTCCTCTGCAGATGCCCATTTCATGGCCTCATGTGACCCTTCTCCCACGTCGGTCCTCAGAAATGTGGGCCAATGGGTTGTTTTACCCTCTATGTCGAGAAATTCCTCTAGGTCCAGCCGTGCAGGCACTGACAAAGCTGCTTTGGCCTCCCCTCTGCCCTGCCCTTGTCCTGGTGATTCTTTTATACCAGTCCTGATGCTGGCTTTGACTTTAGAGCCATTGCTTGTGTAGCTTCAGTGTTCACATGGCATTTGCAGGAGGTGGGACACCATCGTCCTCCACCTCAGCATCCCAAACGTTAGAATATCATCACATTCATTAAAGTGGCTGAGACTTGTCATGAATTGCTGTGGGTCAGGCTTGGCTCATTTAATCCTCACTGACACCTTAGTACTACAAACACCATTTTACTGATACAGAAAGCGAGTTAAGCCATTTGCTAAGGTCGCATGGCAAGGAAGTGCTACTGTGGGTTGGATCCTGCCCTCCATGCAAGCTTAATCCCCTGTCCCTATCAGGCTTTCTTTGTGTGGAGGAAGTTCAGGTGCTATTATCAGGTGCATTTTCTTGGACTCTGAGAACCCAGGCTCCTTCCTGCGGTTTCTGAGGTAAGGGGTGGGGCTCTGAGATGCCTTCAGTCCCTGGAAGAGCCAAGCATAGGCTGGGTTTGAAGTTCATGTTGTTGCATGATTATTAACCACAACCAATAGACATGAGCATCTTGTTTGGGGCCATTATTGTTATGAACTTCTAAGTCAGGGTAAGGTCTCAGCTTCATTTTCCTGCTACTATTATGGAGATCCTTGGGTGCTTAGCCCCTCTTTGTCGCTTGGAGAAAAACCTCATGTTTTGGTATGATTAGCTTCTGAGCAGAGCGATGGTGGTCTGGGCCCCATTAGACAGCTCCAACCCATGGAAGCCACAGACAACTGTTGGCCACAAACCCAGAACAGTCATAACTTTGAACTTCCTAGGACTGTCACAGATTACACAGATGGAGAGAAACATCCTGTTACACACCAGGCCTTTCTCTATTTCAGTTCTCCACCAACACACTGGCAAGTCGTTCTTATCACTCTTACATTAAAAATGAAAAGACTGTGGCTTAATGAGACTAAACACATCCCTGAGTTCACCCAGAGTGGATGTCTGGAGCGGCATTCCAATGAATCCGTGCTCGCCTCCACAGACTATGTTCTTTCCACTCTGCCATGCATGTCTGAACTTTCTGAAACTTTTCTTGGCTTGGTTTTGAGGAATTTGAACAAATTCCTGTCTGGTATACTTTGTGAGAGCAAAAATTCTGCTTTTAAAGTTAAACAGACTAGCCCAAGAAAAGGGAAGGGAGGAGGGGTGAAATTTCCTTCCTGCATTTTGGATTAGCAATAGTTCTTCTGTGCTTTTGCTTGGGTTGAGGAGAACATTTCTCTGCCTTCTCTGCACTCTTAGCTCCTCAAATGATTGTCCAACAAGAGTAGGTAAAGATAGTTTTAAATATTCTTAGAGTTCTAACCAAAATCCGATATTTAAAATTTAAAAAGCAGCAAGATTTTAATTATTTTCACTAATCTGTTAGGTAAATCAGAACAATATAAAATTTAGCAGTGACTCTGGTTTAGCTTTTGGGTGTATTGGGTGTACCTTTTGGATATTCCATACGATTACTGAAATTCTAACTATGGCTTTGTTCTGTGTTAAAAATGTAATCATTTGAGAAATATAAAATAGAGAAATTAGTTTATAACAATAAATTTGTTTTGACTTCAATAAATGAAGTCAAATTTCATGGCTTCATTTTTGGAATATATTTATAATGGACTGGGCATTTTGTCCTTTGGTTATTTAAGCCTGTAGTAGATATTGCTGCTTGCGACTCTAGACTCATTCTTCTCTTCTTCCTGGGCGCATGGCTGCTCAGTGAGGGAATATGTTTCCTAGAATTTCCTGCAAGGAGTTGTGGCCTTGTGACAAAGTTCTTCCTGATGTATGCAACTCCCAAGCCATCTACAAAAACTCCTTCCCTGGACTCATTTTTCCCTTCCCTTCCACCAGCTAGAAATAGAGAAGCCAAGGACAGACTTGGAGAGTAAGTGTTGAGTTTGGCAGAGATGCCACAGAGGCCTGCACTTTGGGATGACTTCATGGGGCCCAGCTCATCCAAATACCCACATACCCAGGATGGCAGCTTCAGAAAGAAATCAACTTGTGTCTTGCTTGAGCCATTGTGTTGTGAGTTCTCTCTTTAAAGCTTACTTTACCCCAACTATTACATAGACTGAGACTCAAAGTAGCTATGGTCCGTGGGCCCAGTTCTCAGAAACGGCTGATGTTCACAAGGATGTCTGTTTGGAAAAAATATGCTAACTAAAAATTATTGACATACAGACATTTTAGGATTTCACACAAGTATATGAAGCAGATTGGACGGTTCAGGGAAACAAAACAAGGCAAAGTTCCAACTGATGTCTGATAAAACAGCTCTTTTTTTCTCACAAAAGCCACTCTACTAACCTTGCCCTAAGTTACTGGCATACCAAGACACAGAAATTCACACTTCATACCTACACTTAGCCCGAAGAATGAACTCCACCCATAGATCTAAAATAACAAGGTAAAATGTACAATTTAATGTCACATAAAGATTTGCTTAAGATTCTTTGAAATGTTCAAAGGAGATACTTTGAATATGAGATTGTTACTTTTTAAATATAGGGTTTTGGTTTCATGACTAATGGTATGATTCAACAACATGGAGCAATAAATTATTTCTCAAGAAAAAGCATTATACTTTAATTTGTCCCATTTCAAGGCTTTAAAAATCTTGCCAAAATAATGCTATTTTTACCAAATAAAATGTTAAAATACAGGCAAAGTCTTAAGAATAATACACACACACACACAATTCAACATTACTAAACTCAGACATACCAAAGAAATTCACATTCTTGAAAGGACTACCAAGCCTGCATCTTGTTATTCTAGGCAAACAAATATGAGAAATATTTAGTACTGGAATAGGAAGTATTTTGGCAAGTTTTTGCAAGTGCTTTGACCTCACAGTTCATGACCATAATGAATGGCCACCTCAGTGATATAAATCAGACACCACATAGTTTGATAAAATGTAGGGATACATTTCCTCATCTGTCAATCAAAGCATGCTCATTGGCCACTTCAGCACATCAACCACCCCATATTCATTTTGTCTATTGGCAAATAATTCCTAAGACAGTCTGTCTTAAATTTCAGCAAGACTCTAGTGTAATGCCTTGTGGTTTGAGTGAAATTCACATCATGTAACCAAGCTTTTGCAAATTTGATCATTTTACTTTATGGAAAATATTTTCATCTCAGCCATTGTTGACTTTGTATTCTTGACAAGAATTAAGCAAGTCTCATTGATCCTTTACTGTGTCAAAGAAAACAATTTTAAAAAAATTGAGCATGTGTAGTTTTCATTATTCAATCATGTTTTCTGTTTTGACATAAAAAGTGAAAAAATTCTACCAGCTATAGCATTTTCAATCTAATCACATTACTGGAACTTAACATGTAATGAAACCGAGATCCTCATATTTCCCCTCAAACATGCTCTTCTGGAAGTTAATGGCAAGTCTATCTAATCACTGAGGCCAGAAGCTTTAGAATGATCTTTTCCTTTTAACACACAGCCAATCTCTTAGTAAATCCCATAAAGTAAACATGAACACTATATTCAGCATCTTCTGTGACCTCCACTGCTACCACCTTTGTCCAAGCCACTGCCATCTCTCGCCTGGACTCTTAGGACAGTCTCTTCTGTCATTGCTTCCCTTGATTCTATTCTCTGCCCAGCAAGCAGAGTTGTCCTGATCAGTTTTGTCTCGCCTCTACTCAAAATGCTCCACGGGCTTTCCATCTCATTTAAAAGGAATAGCCAAGGTCATTACGTTGCCCTGGAAGGCTCTACGTGATCCATTCCTTGTTACCTTTCCAATCGTATTCCCTTTCTCTTTCTCCATAGCTTCATTCAAGACCTGTTGGCCTCCTCATATGAGGAGGAGAGCATGGGGCATGCTTCCTTCTCAAGGCCTTTGCAAGGGCTGTTCCCGATGCCCTGCACACTCTTCCCCAGAGAGCCATGTGACTTGCCCCTTCCCAACTACTACATTTTCCTTGAAGGGACACCTTCATGGCCACCTTATCTGAAACTGCAATTCCTGCTCACACCTTCCCCTCTCTTTGTCTGCTTTCCTTTTCTCCTTGACACTTATTACTACGTAGCATGCTATTTATTTTACTTACTTATTTTCATTATTTCCTGTTTCCTTTGGTAGAATTTGTCAACTCCATGAAAGCAAGGATTTTTTCTCTGTTTTTCACTGTTGTGATCAAATGCCTAGCACATAGTGGGTCCTCAATAAACTATTTTTGAATATTGAATGGATAAAATATTTTCCCATATAATCAATTGACCAGGAAGGAAACTGATAGAAAAATAGTAAAGAAACACATTCACATATAATGGAAATAAAGTCAGAACTGAATCAGAAAATAGGATATTCACATATGGAATGTGTAAAAAAATCTCTTGATGGGGATGGCACTGAATCTGTAAATTACCATGGGCAGTGTGGCCATTTTCACGATATTGATTCTTCCTACCCATGAGCATGGAATGTTCTTCCATTTGTTTGTATCCTCTTTTATTTCATTGAGCAGTGGTTTGTAGTTCTCCTTGAAGAGGTCCTTCACATCCCTCGTAAGTTGGATTGCTAGGTATTTTATTCTCTTTGAAGCAACTGTGAATGGGAGTTCACTCATGATTTGGCTCTCTGTTTGTCTGTTATTGGTGTATAAGAATGCTTGTGATTTTTGCACATTGATTTTGTATCCTGAGACTTTGCTGAAGTTGCTTATCAGCTTAAGGAGATTTTGGGCTGAGACAATGGGGTTTTCTAGATATATAATCATGTCATCTGCAAACAGGGACAATTTGACTTCCTCTTTTCCTAATTGAATACCCTTTATTTCCTTCTCCTGCCTAATTGCCCTGGCCAGGACTTCCAACATTATGTTGAATAGGAGTGGTGAGAGAGGGCATCCCTGTCTTGTGCCAGTTTTCAAAGGGAATGCTTCCATTTTTGCCCATTCAGTATGATATTGGCTGTGGGTTTGTCATAGATAGCTCTTATTATTTTGAGATACGTCCCATCAATACCTAATTTATTGAGAGTTTTTAGCATGAAGGGCTGTTGAATTTTGTCAAAGGCCTTTTCTGCATGTATTGAGATAATCATGTGGTTTTTGTCTTTGGTTCTGTTTATATGCTGGATTACATTTATTGATTTGCGTATGTTGAACCAGCCTTGCATCCCAGGGATGAAGCCCACCTGATCATGGTGGATAAGCTTTTTGATGTGCTGCTGGATTCGGTTTGCCAGTATTTTATTGAGGATTTTTGCATCAATGTTCATCAAAGATATTGGTCTAAAATTCTCTTTTTTGGTTGTGTCTCTGCCCGGCTTTGGTATCAGGATGATGCTGGCCTCATAAAATGAGTTAGGGAGGATTCCCTCTTTTTCTATTGATTGGAATAGTTTCAGAAGGAATGGTACCAGTTCCTCCTTGTACCTCTGGTAGAATTCGGCTGTGAATCCATCTGGTCCCGGACTTTTTTTGGTTGGTAAGCTATTGATTATTGCCACAATTTCAGAGCCTGTTATTGGTCTATTCAGAGATTCAACTTCTTCCTGGTTTAGTCTTGGGAGGGTGTACGTGTCGAGGAATTTATCCATTTCTTCTAGATTTTCTAGTTTATTTGCGTAGAGGTGTTTGTAATATTCTCTGATGGTAGTTTGCATTTCTGTGGGATCGGTGGTGATATCCCCTTTATCATTTTTTATTGCGTCTATTTGATTCTTCTCTCTTTTCTTCTTTATTAGTCTTGTTAGAGGTCTATCAATTTTGTTGATCTTTTCAAAAAACCAGCTCCTGGATTCATTAATTTTTTGAAAGGTTTTTTGTGTCTCTATTTCCTTCAGTTCTGCTCTGATTTTAGCTATTTCTTGCCTTCTGCTAGCTTTTGAATGTGTTTGCTCTTGCTTTTCTAGTTCTTTTAATTGTGATGTTAGGGTGTCAATTTTGGATCTTTCCTGCTTTCTCTTGTGGGCATTTAGTGCTATAAATTTCCCTCTACACACTGCTTTGAATGTGTCCCAGAGATTCTGGTATGTTGTGTCTTTGTTCTCGTTGGTTTCAAAGAACATCTTTATTTCTGCCTTCATTTCATTATGTACCCAGTATTCATTCAGGAGCAGGTTGTTCAGTTTCCATGTAGTTGAGCGGTTTTGAGTGAGTTTCTTAATCCTGAGTTCTAGTTTGATTGCACTGTGGTCTGAGAGACAGTTTGTTATAATTTCTGTTCTTTTACATTTGCTGAGGAGTGCTTTACTTCCAACTATGTGGTCAAGCTACCAATGACTTTCTTCACAGAACTGGAAAAAACTACTTTAAAGTTCATATGGAACCAAAAAAGAGCCCGCATCACCAAGTCAATCCTAAGCCAAAAGAGCAAAGCTGCAGGCATCAAGCTACCTGACTTCAAACTATACTACAAGGCTACAGTAACCAAAACAGCATGGTACTGGTACCAAAACAGAGATATAGATCAATGGAACAGAACAGAGCCCTCAGAAATAATGCCACATATCTACAACCATCTGTTCTTTGACAAACCTGACAAAAACAAGAAATGGGGAAAGGATTCCCTATTTAATAAATGGTGCTGGGAAAACTGGCTAGCCATATGTAGAAAGCTGAAACTGGATCCCTTCCTTACACCTTATACAAAAATTAATTCAAGATGGATTAAAGACTTACGTGTTAGACCTAAAACCATAAAAACCCTAGAGGAAAACCTAGGCAATACCATTCAGGACATAGGCATGGGCAAAGACTTCATGTCTAAAACACCAAAAGCAATGGCAACAAAAGCCAAAATTGACAAATGGGATTTAATTAAACTAAAGAGCTTCTGCACAGCAAAAGAAACCGTCATCAGAGTGAATAGGGAACCTATAAAATGGGAGAAAATTTTTCATCTGACAAACGGCTAATATCCAGAATCTACAATGAACTCAAACAAATTTACAAGAAAAAAACAAACAACCCCATCAAAAAGTGGGTGAAGGATATGAACAGACACTTCTCAAAAGAAGACATTTATGCAGCCAAAAAACACATGAAAAAATGCTCATCATCACTGGCCATCAGAGAACTGCAAATCAAAACCACAATGAGATACCATCTCACACCAATCATTAAAATGTCAGGAAAGAACAGGTGCTGGAGAGGATGTGGAGAAACAGGAACACTTTTACACTGTTGGTAGGACTATAAACTAGTTCAACCCTTGTGGAAGTTGGTGTGGCGATTCCTCAGGGATCTAGAACTAGAAATACCATTTGACCCAGCCATCCCATTACTGGGTATATACCCAAAGGATTATAAATCATGCTGCTATAAAGACACATGCACATGTATGTTTATTGTGGCACTATTCACAATAGCAAAGACTTGGAACCAACCCAAATGTCCAACAACGAGAGACTGGATTAGGAAAATGTGGCACATATACACCATGGAATACTATGCAGCCATAAAAAATGAAGAGTTCATGTCCTTTGTAGGGACATGGATGAAGCTGGAAACCATCATTCTCAGCAAACTATCGCAAGGACAAAAAATCAAACACCGCATGTTCTCACTCATAGGTGGGAATTGAACAATGAGAACACATGGACACAGGAAGGCGAACATCACACACTGGGGACTGTTGTGGGGTGGGGGGAGGGGGGAGGGATAGCATTTGGAGATAGGCCTAATGCTAAATGACGAGTTAATGGGTGCAGCACACTAACATGGCACATGTATACATATGTAACAAACCTGCACGTTGTGCACATGTACCCTAAAACTTAAAGTATAATAATAAAATAAAAAAATGTATATAGGGAATGATTAAAAAAACTGTCATTAGGCATTAGCTAGCTGCATCAATCAGAGACACGGAAAACAAACATATGAGTACATGTGAAATTTTGGAGCAAGGGCCAGACTAATGTAGGAATAGGTGGCATTTTCCTAATATGCTTATTCTATGGCAGATGGTTCCTATATTTTACAGCCTGAATAGTTCAGTCACTGTGAATTCTCTATCTCTAGTAAAATACAATCATATTTGGGGACTAGCTGTACATACCACAGCACCTCTTATTTCCACAATATCACCCACATAAACCCAGGAATCACTCAGTTCTCTATTCTCGATATTCGAACAAATGCACAGGACAATTTTTCAAATGAATACAAAATGCAAATTATACTGAACAAAAAGAATTTCATGTCAAAGATCCTCCCACTAATAAGGCTTTGATTCAGCCTTTAAGTTTCATTAAAACCCAGCAGCAGCAGACTCCTGTACAAAGGCAGGTGAGCAAAGCTTTGTATTTAACGTGTCATTTGGATGCATATGAAATCTGTTGACTTGCCTGTACTTAAGTTCATACCTGAGAGTGTACTTGTTAGTTGGTTCCCACTGGCGGGAAGAGGACAATGCTGGCGAGATACTAAAGTGATGCTGCCTGAACGTACCTCCAGTGAGATGCTAAGGAAGGGCTTACAAAGGAAAAGGGTTAACGATGGAGAGAGGCTTTAAGGAATAAAACGTAATACAAAAATAAATAATCATTATTTGTTTAATTAATATGTTTAATCATTATTTAATTACCAGTAAATTAACGAACTGTAATGCTAGGGAAAAATTGGTCAAAATGAGAAATATGATCATATTCACAAAATGCCAATGTGGTTTTAACTTAGAAAGAAAAATTGTCAAAACGATAAAATAATCATTAATTCTAGAAAGTCTAGATAATCTGAACACCCTTAAAGAAGAGAGCGAAAACTGTCAAGAGCCAGCAAAGGCTCACTGGGAAGGCATCAGTTCCAACCAGATTTCTTTTCCTTCTTAAAATATTTATGTATGTATGCATGCATGTATTGATATTACAGGATCACTAGCAGTATAGATCTAGTAGCACTTAATTTCAACAAGATAGTTCATATTTTATTCTTTAGAGGAGATGAAGAAATGGTAGTAGGCCTAGATGAATTCACAGCTGACTGCACAAGCTTATCTATACTAAGTTTCTATGTAGAAATTAAGGGAGAAATTCTACATTAATTTAAGATATAAACAGCAGAAAACTTTCTTAGTAAGAATGTGTACACCACCCATTTAATATATAATCTCTCAAGAAAAGTCTTTAATGAAACTAATCTATGCTTTTAAACTAGTGTCTAATCATAATGATTAATATCAAGTAATCATTAATAAGAATTGATCTAATGGTGTTTCTTAAATATAGTAAACACAAACACTAGAAAGCATATACTTAGAAATACCAGACTCTTTTACCCTAAGAGGGTAAAAATGAAACATCACTACTGAGGTGAGTGTTCAGAGTTGGTAAGACTTGACTCCTCCTTTTAAGCTACCAAGCCTGTTTTTTTTGTTCCTATCTGATATGCTCCTGATCTGTCTTCAGTGCCAAAATCTCCCCTGAAATGACCAGTGATGGGACAAGATATATTCTCCTCTTCCTTGCCTTCTTTCCATGTTATGCAGTGTGTTCGACTTGGAAGAGAAGTCAAGTCACCCAATACTCAAGTGACAGTTGTAGCTCTGTCACTAATGAAAGGAAAGAATCAAACTTAGTCTATAGACTAAGATACTTAGATCATATATGAGAATCCACTCTTAAAGTGTACAATGCTATTCAATAAATGTCCTTCTCATCAAAACTTAAATGCCTTGTCCTCTTCCTCTCCCACACAGCAACAGATGACAATGGTCTAATTCATCATGCTAATTAGCAAATAGATTAAATTATGTACTAATCCCTCTCAGTTCGATCAGCCCTCAATCTAACTGAAGGTCATTTATTGCCTAGAGGAGTCCTAAGTACCCAGACATTTTATGTTCATAAGTGAGAGAGACCTCACTGGTTAGGGCGACCTCCTAGGATTCCAGATTTATTCTTCACCTACAGAGCATACTGGCACCACCCACTGTATCTAAATTACCTATTTATTTCATGTGTTCAAGAACATTTTGTTTCCACATTCATCTTTCCTGACTTTCTGTCATTACTGAAAATATTATGTGAGGTCCAGCAAAGAAAGTTTCCATTTTCTTAAGTTCAAACATCAAATTTTTCTTGGATGGAAATCTTAGCCATCTGTCAGCACTCTGATTCCCTGTCAAGAATATACCCTTTTATACCTGTACTCTGGAAAATTCTTTTTTAAATTTCTTGTATACATTGCAAGGAGAAAATTAATGTTCAGTTTATATGTTCCTTGCTTTTCAAATGTTCCAAAGGTTGGGACCAGGTGACCATCCACTCTAATCCTTACAAATTTTAAAATTATGTCTTCCTGTAGATTATCATAGAACAGATTTATGAGAAAAAAAATGCTTCACTGATAGGTGCAGATAATTAAGTACTTTCATGATGCTAAATATAATGTATTTGATGTAGTTTTTAGATTGTTAAATGCCTTTTCATTTTAAAAATAAATCTATAATTACCTTGTATACTTAACCTTAATTTTCCAGCTATTCTGTAAATTCTTTATTGAAATGCACAGTGTTCAATATATTTTTTTTAGCTTCATCTCCTCATCTTAGGATTTTCTAAAAATTAACCAAAGCCAAATTTTGTTTTCGAGGGATTAAATGGCTATTTCCTGAAATTGTTTAGTCAAATATTTAGAAAGTTGTTCTGAATCATTTAAGTTTGCTTCCACTTATTTTACTGTACAAAAAAGTCTTTTTAAGAAAATATAATTATTTGTATAAATAATAATGTTTGATATAGAACATCTTTACAGGTGAGGACATAGAGATAATTTTATGAGATGAAGGCAAGACATTTTACTCATAAACTAGACATCCTCTGGAAATGCTATGAAAGTCAAGGAAGAATTTTGATCTGATTCACCCTCCTTAGCCATTGGCTTGCCAATCTCCATCTGAAAAGTGCACACCAAGGACATTGTCCAGAAAAGCTAACTTCTCCCTCGTAAGCATCATTGGTTTAAACCCATAAGGTATGGTAACCATAGGGGATCCCTGATTAATTTCCTATTGTACTGCTCAGGATGGCCTCTGTGATCCACCTGATCTGGTCAATTGCATCTTCTAACATCACTCCAGATTTCCTCCATATAACCAATTAAACTACTCCTTTAGCGACTCCTGTGATTTTGTGGTTTCTCAAACATGGACGCCCTCTCTTCCTGTTCTTTCACACCCTTACCTCTACATGGGCCAAGAGCCACTCTGAAAGCCTCAGAGATTTAGGAAGGTTATGTTTCCTCACCAGTGGCTCATCAGTGTTTGCTTTATTATAATGCTTACCTCTGCTTACATAACCCACATAAATGTTATGTGCATTTATTCTTTATATATGCATAGATTATTCCACTTTTTTTTAAAGCTAAAAACATTATCTACTTATTTTTTAACGTATTGAAATGTCAGTTCTTCCGGGATGACCCTGTGATAATAGAGGAGGGAGATCCTTTCTTTGTGGTTTTGTAGTATACAAAAGTACATTATTTACAGATATACTTGCTCAACTGGGTTTTAAATTCCTTAATCTGCTCTATCCCTTCATTACCCCTTTTCCCATTGTCACAGAATCCTTAGGGTGTCACTTCACCAGCCGGAAACCTCTGTAGCCAGTGGCACGTTTGCCCAAGTTTTTCTCACCCGCTGGGCTCGTTCTGCCCACCCGGCCTGGCAGGCAGCATTTGACTTTCACTACCAGCCTGGATCCCATGCCCACCAAGGTTGAGCCAGGTGGGGAGCAGTGCGGGGTGCATGAGTGAGTGAGCATGGAGTCTGGCCATGGTGCACAGCCAGACACGCTGGCTGCGGTGGGGTGGTCAGCTCTGGGAACTGGCATGGGCGCCGGCTCCCTGCTGTGGCTAGACCAGGCATACTGCAAGTGGTTTCAGGATCCCTAAGCATGAACATTATTAGAACACAGTGAAGCTGCTGCATTTGGAATTTTCCATTGTCATCAGAAACTAATATTTCTGAATAGGGGGAAATCTTAACTATGTGAAGAGACACCTAGCACTTTCAGCTATGGAAGACCTATTTGACATCAATTTCTGAAAATGACTTGGCTCTTGAGCAGAAAAATGTAATTAATTCCCAGATATGTGTACTTCATGTCCCTTTTATCCTTAGTAGGCTGAAGAGGCTAGAATTATATGCAACTAAGGAAATCCACCCCAGGGAACTTTTCAAGAAAGCACTACAATTATTGATAATTCACCAATAAGAAAGCCCTAAAACTCAAAACTGATGTTTAAATTTTTAAAACCTTTGTGGATACAATTAAGCATGATGTATTTTTAGAATAATTATGACACTGCGCAAGATTGTCCTCACATCTTTTTTTTAGTGAAGAAGACTTCATTACAGCTGACAAGTGACTCATAAAAACAGAAATCCCTGCCTACTCTTCAAACTCAATAAACCTGGACAAAAGAAATAAAAACCTAATAAACACCCACCTGTGGGTAAAGTGCTGCTGGATGTTGTTATGAGTTGAATGGACTAGAAATAATAAACTGGGTACCACTGGAGGGAAAATACCTGCAGCTCAAATGCATCTCAAGGGGCACATGAATGAGAACTGCAGTATATTTTGCAGAATCTCTTAGCAGGACTGTGGATGAGCCCAGACAAAATGGAGGAAGTCCCCCAAGGTACAGCCAGATATAGAAAGTGCTCAGAAACTCTTTCCTCTGTTGGTCACAGGGCTTGTCTAGTCCTAACCTGCTATAGTCAGGGAACCTCATTATCAGGACCTCTCTGCTCCTCCTGCAGCCTCTCCCACCTATTGTTCTTGGCCCCTTTAGTTTGATGTTCTTGCTTCATCCTGTGCCAAACCTACTGATAGTGGAAGCACTGATTTGACTCAACCACACAGGACACCCAGGCTGGAGTGACACTTCTGAAAGATGAAACCTTCTGCTTTAAATAATGAAATACTCAGAAAACACAATACCTTCTGAATCAAAGCGATTTTATCATAGTCAAAATATTGGCCTAAATATACTTTGTTATATTTGATTACATGTTTTTAGAAGATACGTAAACCATGATTTTGAAGTGATTTTTTTGGTACATACGTTCCCATTTTCAAACATTTATGAAATGCATGTGTTTTACCTTTATGATGAGAAAAAAAGGTAAAAGATTTTAAATCAACAAGTCATGTATATTTTATATACAGCCATTTGTTGCATAGAAGAAGGATTTTCTTATATATGTATAATGAACAAACAAGGCTGAATTTAGATGGCTCTGAAAATGTGGACTCATATCAGGAAATATATCAAATTATCATTTTACTTTTATATAAAGTTGATAATTCACTGCTGTGAAAACTAACCAATATAAAATTTATGAATTAAAAAAATAGCTATTCTATTCCCTAAGCATCTGTGGATTTTTAAATAGGTCTTTTTCTTTTAAAAATCAATCTCAAACACACAATCCCTAAAGCCAAATTCTTCTTATGTTTCCCATGATAGTTAACTAATCTTGTTCTTTCTGCCCATCTCATGTCTCACTCCTGGGTGATCAGAGCACTTCCTGGCATCCCAGTAAGTTCTATTGTCCATCTTTCCTGCCTATTAGCACAGAATGAACATCATGATTATTTAGTGTACTAAAATCTACCTTCAGGTATTCAATTTACAACAACAATAACAAAGCAAGTCTTACACGTATGCGACAACTTTTCAGGTATAAAGGATCTTAGAAAACCATGAGTTTCCTCAAATTACAACTCACTAAAATTAATACAAAGTCAAGAAATTTGCTAAGCATTCTGAAATAAAATATAAGCTAGAAAACCTCTGGTTGTCATTTTAAGCTGGATTTTAGATTAAGGTTGTTTTTGCTTCCCCTATATTTCTGTTTTAGAAGGAAAATTAAAAATTCTGGGACATTTTCCATTCTGAAGTCATTTGGTTGTTAGCTTTGTACCTTTCAGACACTTGAGATGCTCAATAATACTGCAAAGTACAGTTCTTGCTGTGTGCTATTATTTGCAGTGCCATATAAAGAAGGTTTTTAAAATAGGAGAATATTAGAGTGGGGGAGGAAAAAAAGACTCTATTTTTATATCCCATTAGACAGTTTACTGCCTTTCAAGACACCGAGTATAAGGAAGGGTCCATTACCAGTTTTTCAGGTTCTTGGAATATGTCTCAAAAGGGTTTTTGTTAGTGACTGCAGTCAGCTTTCAGAGCTCTATCCTTCCTTGTTCCTGACAGATGCCCACAATGAACTCGCCTATTATTTTTTTGTTTTTTATTCTTGGAATGGGGATAGCTATAAAATCTGCTTCTCTTACTACATCTATCCCTCCTTTTATTTGATTCTAACACCCTATTAATACAATATCTTGTCGCATATCTTTTTCCATTGTAATAATACTTTCCCAGGGTTAGAAGAAAGGGCAATGAGATTTGCCAGTCTGCAGAGCAACACCGTTAATTTCTTGATCATGGTATAGGTGACAATACCATTCAATGATGCCGATGTTATGACAAAGTCATTCTTGATTCTCTATTGCCCATAAATGTCTGTGAAATTCCACATTTTTCTTTTGTCCCACAAGCCAAATCCTTATTTAGAACATGGCTTCTGTTTAGAATCCTATGTACGATTCTGAATTCTAGGCCTCCAGCATTTTATCCTTTCATTAACTCTAAAATCCTATAACCTTAAAATAAATAATAGACAAAAGTCAAATATACCAATATATGTAAGAAAAAGACACACACACAAGTCCAGAAGGAAAATGGGCGAAGCATGTGAACCAGCAATTCGTAGAAGAAAAAAACCTGAGTGGCCAATAAACATATAAAAAAATGCTTAACTTGATTATAACCTCATCAGTTACTATAAAGGAATAGAAATCACACTCATTTAGTTGGCTAAAATTTACAAGTTTCATTATATCAAATATTGACATGCTAAGAGGAAAACAGATACATTCTTAGTACTGGTGGGAGTATGCAGGAACAATTTGGAAGTATATATTAAAAATTAAAAATGTGCATACCCAGTAATTCTATTTTCAAATACAGAACTATTCCCATGGTACACAAGGAGACTCATGCAAGTATATTAATACTCCAGTATTAGTAATCACACACACACAAAAGGCATCAATCAATTGTAGAATGACCAAATAAAATACGTGATAGTCACCACTAAATTACCTGGAGTAGGTGTATATTTATTCATATAAATAATATGTAAACAACACTCCATATATTCTATGTAAACATATGTATATACCCATATGAAAGTGAGTTTCAAAGTCAAAAATGTCATACATTAAACTCATAATAATGTTATCTTGGAGATACCGGAGAGAGGACCGGAATTGTAGATAATCATAAAAAAGACTTTGCTGTCTTAATAGTTTAAAGAAAAGAATTAATGTATTTCTTATGTAATTGAGTTTTTTAAATTCAAGAAATATATGAACTGTAAGGCAGACACTCTTTATTACTAAAGTTTTACTTTACAAGTCAAACATGGAAAAAATAAAATATCCATTCTTAGATTAATTCATTGGGAAAACTAGAGGCTTATAGGATTTTTTTCTAATGAATTTCTCCTTTAAAAACCTTTGTATTCATTAACTGGATATCATTTCATGGGGTGTATTTGTGTGGGTATATATGAACATGTCCATGCATGTGGAATATAGGGAATTCACACAGATCTATAACTGTGTGACTCTGGTGTGCAATGTGCAAATCAACTGATAATGCACAAATATATATGACACAAAGTACGTCAATGTGAACAATACAGATGTGTAAATGATCGTGTGCAAATTATTTGACAATGTACAATGCACATTTTTAAGTATAACATACACATGCTAGGCTAAGCAGTGTATAACTTAATCAGTATAAAATTCCTTACTTTAAAGTATATGTTTTTATATTAATTCCAAAAGAACAGCAATTTTTAAAATGTTTCCAGTTTATTAATTCAATATTTTTAAACAGACTATCAAAGAAATCATCTGGTTAACGTTTGATGTGCTTTTCATTTGAAGTCTAATATCGTAGCAGAAGGTTGGACTTGATGATCTCATATGTTTAGTTTCATCTCTAACCTCTATCATTTGTGATTTAAATAGAAACCACTTGTTTTAACTATTATAGAAGTATTGAAACTAATTTAATTTAAAAATCTCTAAGCGTGGTTTTTTTATTTTTTATTTTTTTGAGACAGAGTCTCACTCTGTCGCCCAGGTTGAAATTTAGTGGCATGATCTCGGCTCACTGCAACCTCTGCCTCCCGGGTTCAAACAATTCTCCTACCTCAGCCTCCCAAGTAGCTGGAATTACAGGTGCCCACCACCATGCCTGGCTAATTTTGTATTTTTAGTAGAGACAGGGTTTCACCATGTTGGCCAGGCTGGTCTCAAACTTGTGACCTCAGGTGATACTGCCCGCCTTGGCCTCCCAAAGTGCTGGGATTACAGGTGTGAGCCACTGCGCCTGGCCCTAAGCATCCATTTTTAAGTAAGATAACTCTATTTTGTTGAATAAACCTTTAAAAATTCTAAAAAATCACTTCAACAAAATAACAGTCATGACTTACCATTATTAACATCTTATAATCCAATAATAATATGATTTTATTTCACATATGTATACTTAATATAAAAAGTTTACTATTAATTGTATCAGTATATAAAACAGTCAATTAATTTGGAATAGTAGGTAGAGACTGATGAATAATGAACTTGCCAAATTTCTTAGCTTAAATAACTCATAATTACAGACCTTAGCCATTTGTATTAACTAGAATAAATGTCTCAGCATTGTCAAGATTTGCCAAACAAATTACAAATTTTACGGCATAATCTGTTGACATTAACAAACAATCTGTACTGAATTTGCTATGTGAACGACACAATGCAACTCTATTAATTCAGCATATGTACAATATGTTCTTAGATTCTATTTCCACAGGTCCCCTGCTATAATTCCATCTTCTTCAAAATTTATTTTAATATTGTATTTCCTCAGTGCATGATTATTATTTTACAGTCAATAACTTTTGAAAATTACCCTAATCCAAAGAGCAGAACATAAAGTCTGACATGTAAATCTTATCCTCTGCCTACAGCCTCAACATAGTAAGCTCAATTATTGGTTAGAATTTATAACCTATACAAATAGAGGTTTTATAATGGAATCCAGTAGGAAGAAAAAAATAAGTCTCATGATTTTCCATGCATTCAGGATAAGACAGGGAAACAGTCACATGTACTAACATGTAAGTTATGCATTTATGCAATCTCCTTTTCTGGAAGGCAAATATTGTGCACTGCCTGTCTGAAGACTTCTGTTTGGAAAATAAGGTATTTTTTCAAATGGGTAACTTTTCTTCTGCCATTTTGTTGTAGAGTAGTACAGGAGTCACTGAGATAGGTTCCTCTATGTAGAGAGGCACTGAATAAGCAGAATAAACACCCATCACCCAGAAAACCATGGGAAGCAACGTTTAACTTAGTAGCAATTTCACATGACATTAACATTCAGAAAATATGCATTATTAGTATAATTCTATTTAAGTATGCAACCAGAGGGTAAAAAAATTTACTGTGAAGGTTAGAATGGCTTGTATACTTCATAATTGTATGACATTTGGTCACCGCCAATTAGAATATTTTGAGTCCTCGTAACACGTCTCAACTGGCTTGTAGAAGAGTAAATGATAGAAACAACTCATACTACTGTGCAACAAGTATTTAACACTGACGAAAGCAAAAAATATAATGTCAATCAGTTAACATTTTAGTGGGTTTCTGTTTTGTAAAAAGAACAAAAGAAACACTAAAACTTTGTAACACCAGAATTTAAAATATTTTATCAGATTACACAATAAATATATTTTAAGTACAATTTGTTCCCCAACAACTTTAGTTTTTAACAATTGTCGAGCAGTGGTTTGTAGTTCTCCTTGAAGAGCTCCTTCACATCCCTTGTAAGTTAGATTCCTAGGTATTTTACTCTCTTTGAAGCAATTGTGAATGGGAGTTCACTCATGATTTGGCTCTCTGTCTGTTATTGGTGTATAGGAATGCTTGTGATTTTTGCACATTGATTTTGTATCCTGAGACTTTGCTGAAGTTGCCTATCAGCTTAAGGAGATTTTGGGCTGAGACGATGGGGTTTTCTAGATATACAATCATGTCATCTGCAAACAGGGACAATTTGACTTCCTCTCTTCCTAATTGAATACCCTTTATTTCTTTCTCCTGCCTGACTGCCCTGGCCAGAACTTCCAACACTATGTTGAATAGGAGTGGTGAGGGAGGCCATCCCTGTCTTGTGCCGGTTTTCAAAGGGAATGCTTCCAGTTTTTGCCCATTCAGTATGATATTGGCTGTGGTTTTGTCACAAATAGCTCTTATTATTTTGAGATACGTCCCATCAATACTTAATTTATTGAGAGTTTTTAGCATGAAGGGCTGTTGCATTGGGCTTGCTATCCTTTTCCTTAAAGGATTAAACTTCTGGACAAGCTGGTTCCTGGCAATACCAAAACTTCACCTGTCTGTTCATAGCTTCTCAGTGGCTTAAATCCGTACAGGGTTGGTCAGTTTGGAATACTATCAAAAGGCAAGCATCTTCCACATGAAACAGCACATACTACAGATAAAGTAACAAATGGGCTGACTTTATGAAATATCTCAAACAAGTGTATAAACAGAGATGACCAAAGGAACTTCCACTTGCCAACCTAGTACACTTGAGCTGTAGGAGCCAAAACACTGAAGGGTTTCTCTGCTTATTAAGTTTGTTGGCCTAGGTGAAAGTACCCCTCCAGTGCTTGGCAATTTGCAATGTGGGCACTGAATGGATGTTGATTTTTCTCTCCTTATTACAATAGTTAATGGTCACTGTAAATCACAACGATTCACAAATCCTCTTGAATTTTGCCCCTTACACAAAACAGCCAGCTGCTGTCCCTTGATTTTGTACTGTCTGCCATCAAGACTTTCTTCCCAGGTCCCATTTTCAGGGGGCAAAGGGCCTCTTAAGCCCTCCTCAAAGGTCAGCAAAATGTGCTTTTCCTCAGCAGCTGCTTCTTTTCTTTGTTCATCATCCAGGCTAGTGCTAGCTGCTTTCTTACGGCTGATATCCGTTTTATCCTCTGCAGACTAGTCACAGACAGCTGCAAGCTAATTAACCCCTCCAGGTGTCTCTCCTTTTAGGTTTAAACATGGTGTGTGTGGCTAGGAGACAAGATGGTAAGAATATGTAAGAGGTGTTATCATTATTTTGACTCAATTTCTGTTCCTTCTGGCCTCATTTCACAGAGCTTTATTAATGTTACCAACACCAAGAAAAATTAGCACAAGGTATTCCCTTTTAAACTGATTAACAGAAGAAAACAGTTTAGTTTAGAAATTTGCTTGAGACTTGAGAGTTCAGTCAAACTCTGTTAATGCCTCAACTATCTTTAGTTATTACCATAATTTAGATTTTATTTATTTTGGTTTTTGTTTCTGCCTACAAGTTTCCTTTTTTACAAAAACTAAACAGCAAACCTGTTTGACAATTTACTTCTTGAAATCTAGCACTATGTTTTAAGCTAGACAAAAATTTAAGGACACAATTGGAGTTCTAAAACTTGAAACAAATCAGCTCTTAATAAGGTAGGTAATCAACTTATAAGCAAGAATAAATTTGTAATCAAATGAAAATGCAATGCCATCCATCTCAGGTTCTGTGTTTGTACTTACCTGGTGCCTGCCTTCCAGTGGTAAACATAGTGCCTAACATATAGTAGATCTCAATAAATATTTGCTGAATGAATGAATGAGTGAATGAATAAACTTAAAACACTGCTCAGAGATGTGACTGCACATCTCAGGTTTTCCAAAACATTCCTGATCTCAAAAATCCCAACAAGTGCAAAATACTGGTTGAGAAAACTCTACTTCCCAGACGACTACCTCTGTCTTCAGAAATGCTGATGACACAATCTAATTAGTTTTTGGAAAATACAGAGTATAGTACAGGGCATTGATTTAGAGTATACATTTTTAGTTGGAATGATTTGCATCTAAATCCCTGACTTGCCATTTACATTGTGGGTTTAGGTAGTTGCTTAATGTCATGACCCCCCTTCTTTGGTAAAATGAGGGTTTTTCAATGATATGTTGCCATATAACAAATCACTGCAAAATATGGTGGGTTAAAGCATCTGCTATTTATTGGCCCGTGGTTCTGCAGAAGGCAATTTGGGCTAGGGTCAGATGGGTGATTCTTCTGCTGATCTCAGCTGGGTCTAACAGGGCCAAATAGTCGGAGAAGGCTTTGTTCAGAAGTCAAGCAGCTGGGGCTGGCTGACCTCAGTTCTCCATGTGGCCTCTTCTCCTTTTCTAGGCTAGACTGGGCTTCTCTCCATGGTCATCTTAGGGCAGTACTCAGATAAACAAGAGAGAGAGCCGCAGGGCCTCGTGGGACCTTAGTTCCAAAACTTGCACAATGCCACTCTGCCATTATCTCAAGGGGAAAGAAAGTTATAGGCATCAGATTTAAGGGGAGGAAAAATACATTCCACTTCTTGGTGGAAGGGAGGCAATGTCACATGGCAAATGGGTTATGTGTCCAGAGAAGCGACGATTCTTACTCTACCCTTGCAAATAATCCACTAGAGAAAGTAATCAGTGGGTTATTTAAACATTAAAAGTGCTATCAATGATAGCGCTTTTGCATGTTTATTGTATTTTAACAAATGATAGTTTATTGTATTTAAATAAATGATAGTTTATTGTATTTTTATTAGTTTTCTGTAAGATAATTATTTTTCTCCTTCTCTGGCTCATTTTCAAGTAATTTTTCTAGCTAAAACATTGGGGGGGATGATATTTAGTATTTTGATTCTAATTTTTTAAGCAATTTCTTTAATCATTCAGGCTCATGCTTCCATTCTAAAGAATACTCACTGATTAAATTTAACCCAGATTCAGTGAATTTTATGTCTAACCTATTATCCACTTTTCAAAAATTCCTTAAAGTGAATGACAGGTTTAAGGCACATAGCCTGTGTATTTGTGAGAGGCAGCAGAAAGGAGGTGACTTTCAGGGATATACCCATCCCAGGTAATCCTTCTTTTAAAAATTCATGTTTAGAGTTCAAGGAACATCGAGTCAGGGAAAGAGGGCCAGAACTGGATTTGTGAGAAATGGATTCTCACAAATCTAGACAAAATTAGAGATGTGTTATAGCCTCTGAGCCTCCTAGGATAAAGACTGCAAAGGATTCTAGGCAGCTGTGGGAAGATAGAATCAAAAAAGAAGCTTGGGCTGAGTGGTTTTTCCTACCTTTATTCTAGTCTGGGGGTTGGCTAACTTTCCGTAAATGGCCAGATGGTAAACATTTTAGGCTTTATGGGCCTCAGGGTTTCTGTTGGAACTACTGAACTTTTCTGCTGTTGGAGAAAAGCAGCCACAGACCATGTCTAAACAAATGGGCAGGGAGTTGCGATAAAACTTTGTTTACAAAAACTGGCAGTAAGCAGGATTTGACCCACTGGCCATGGTTTGCTGATCCCTGCTCTAGTCAGTTGTAAATACACAGCTACAGCATTGCTTTAAGTCTTTAGAAGTCCTGCCAGGACATAGCGTCTCAGCTTAGAAATAGCTTTGCTGGTAGTATCTCAAAGCAGTGCAAGAAATAGTAAAATAGTTTCAAACATTTTATTCCCAATGAAAGTCTCCATGCAAGAGAGCATACACCAGTGAATACAGCATATACTAGCAAAGTAAAATGTGAGTACTGTATTTTTTTTTCTTTTTTGAGACAGTATCTCGTTCTACAGCCCAGGCTAGAGTGCGGTGGCGTGATCTCGGCTCATTGCAACCTCTGCTTCCCAGGCTTAAGCCATCCTCCCACCTCAGCCTCCCAAGTAGCTGGGACCACAGGCATGCACCACCACACCCAGCAAAGTACTGTATATTTTTAAATTACATTGTATAATCATGAGTGTTTTGCCAGACTAAAAGGAGGCAATCTAAATCTAATGCCATGGAATGAATATAGACATAGGTTTGTCTCCTATTTTTCCCACTTTCTATCTGTGTGACCCTATGACTATTTGCTCTATAATTCCTTAATTTATTTACTTAATTATGTATCTAGTAAAGATAATTATAATCAGTTAAATATTGAGAACTCATTAGGTGTGAGGATGAGAATAGTCTACTTTAGTCTTCCTATGACACTCTGTGATATGTACCATTTTTATCCCTATTTTACAGGGCAGAAGAGGTTAAGTAACTTGTCCAACATTCCCCACCTAGTAAGATGCAGACTATGTCCTGAAACCAATTCCTTCTTTTATCTGGATAGGACCATCCACAGAATACTCACTATTGTAGCTCTACCCCATGACAGGTGAATATAATCATCACTGAGCCCTGTCTCTGTCCCCTAAGAGCTGCTTCTGTTCTCTGCATCTCAACATCTGTACCATTAGAATAAGTTAATAACATGTCACACCTGGGGTTGATGTGAGGACTAGGTGACTTTCCTTACATACAATGTAAGGATCCTAAGTATCTTTACAGGAAAGCCTCTTTCAGTTCAACTTCAATTTGGTGTCAAGATTTACAATCACCGCTAGTTTTTAAATGAGATAATATATCTGTATGCACAAATATAGGTTATTGTTTTACTGGACATAAGATGGTAAGAATTGCCTAGGACAATTTACTTGTTTTATATTTAGGTAATTCTGAATTAGGGTTTTTATTTCATATTTTGCTTATTTGCTGAAGTACTTATATGGAAAGTGAAAGCATTTGAATATTTGCTGCAATTAATATTAAGAAGCTTAAGCATCCCAAATCTTAATCCACTGGAATTGTTCTCAGTACTCAATAATTATTATTGCTGATTTGCAGTCTTGTCTCATTCTCTTGCTCTCTAATATTATTTTGTCTTTACACAAATTGACTGCTGATGTGTTGTCTTCCCAGGCTGCACAGAGGTTGGCATAACTATTCAGCAGCAAAAAAATACTAAAAATAATAACACCGAAATGGAATATTTGTAAAATTAAAAGTTCAAGGAAATACCAACTTTTAAGAACTAATGCTTAATTAATAAAATGCATTTTATATATAAGTATAAAAATACATTTAGAATATAAAATCATAGATGCATCATATCAAAGAAAGGAAAATTGCATCATTACATGGGAATCCTAAAAATATAAAAACATAGGCTGGACACAGTGGCTCACACCTGTAATCTCTGCACTTTGGGAGGCTGAGGTGGGCAGATCACCTGAGGTCAGGAGTTCTAAACCAGCCTGGCCGAAATGGTGAAACCCTGTCTCTACTAAAAATATAAAAATTAGCCGGGCGTGGTGGCTCACGCCTGTAGTCCCAGCTACTTGGGAGGCTGAGGCATGAGAATTGCTTGAACCCGGGAGGAGGAGGCTGCAGTGAGCTGAGATCATGCCACTGCACTCCAGCCTGGGTGACAGAGAGAGACTGTTTCAAAAAAAATTATATATAATATATATATACATATATATAATGTTATTAGCAGCATATATATATATGGGCTTTAGGTCAATGTGTTGGACTATGCTTATTTAGACACCTTTTTCCCTTACCCTCCTCACCCTATGCCAAATCAACACAAGGAAATAGATAAAAGAGAGTAAGTTTTGAATGTATAAATTATCTCAAAGCTACATGAGCAAACTATCCAGCGGTCAGAGAGTTTGGGAGAATATAAAATCAGAGCTGTGAGCAGCAGCTGAAGCCAAATGGTTCACAGATGTACTTGGAGTCAATATAAATCTTCAGGGCTTCTGGGTCCCAATAGAGAGAGGAGTTGGGAGGCACCTAATATAAGACAGTAAGTTGGAGCTGAGGTGTCTCTACAAAGCTGGGTGTTACAAAGGATTGTTCTGCATTTTATCTGGACTGGAAGAACCCTGGCCTCCAGCTCAGAAAAAAGCAGAATGTTGCTTGACTTCTGTCCAGATCCATGCGGGGCAAAAGAGTCTCCTCAGAGAAATCAGAATCCAGACCTGGGCCAACTGAAGTGTGTAGTCTAATTTTACAGTGCCCCCATAATGCAAATAGTTCAAGGACCTCTCCTTCCCTGATATGGTTTAGCTGTGTTTCCACCCAAATGTCATCTTGAATTGTAGCTCCCATAATAATCCCCATGTGTCCTGGGAGGGATTCAGTGGGAGGTAATTGAATCATGGGGGCGAGTCTTTCCTGTGCTGTTCTCATGATGGTGAATAAGCCTCACAAGATCTGACGGTTTTATAAAGGGCAGTTTCCCTGCACAGGCTCTCTTGCCTGCCCCCATGTAAGATGTGCCTGCCACCAAGTAAGACATACCTTTACTTCTTCACCTTGTGCCATGATTGTGAGGCCTCCCCAGCCATGTGGAACTGTGAATCTATTAAATCTTTTTCTTTATAAATTACCCAGTCTCAAGTATGTCTTTATTAGCAGCATGAGAACACATTAATATATTCTTTAAGCCACAAAAGTAACACGAGTATCAGTAAGAACGGCTGATATCCATGAAACTGCAGCAAACACAACCCCAGTCACAGTTCAGGCCAGAGTACCCCTGAAAAATGAGCTCATAGCCAGTGGAAATGAGCTCATAGCCAATATTATAAACCACACAAGAAAATGAACTATTGTAAAGGAGAGTTAGAAAATATGGAAGCATTAGAAACAAATTCTAAAATAAGCATGTTTAAAATGTTTGGTGAGATGAAGAAAAGATTAGAAAGAAAACAGCAAGAACAGGAATCTAAGATAAAAGAACAGGCAGGTTTGAAACAGAATTAGATAGAAATATTAGGTATAAAAATTATAGATGTTGGAATTGAAAATTCGATAAATAAATAGCAGTCTAGACACACTGAGAGAAAATTAAGAGTTCAGCAAAGAATTTGAGCTTGAAAATACGTAAACAACTCTTGGAGGGACAGAGAATGATAGAAGATTCCTTGTGCAACTAATCAAGGATCAAGAGTGTAACCCAGGGTCCCTGGGTTTTTGGGTACACACTGTGAAGAACTATCCACTTTTAACTGTTGCACCTTGAGTTTCCGTTGTTTAAAAGTGTTCTAGGAAGAAGCCGAGCCCCTGCAAAACAAAGAACAAACACAAAAAACTGGTCCCAGGCATCCGGGGATGCCTGAGCTGGAGATGAACTTTGGAGACCTCTTCACCTTACCATACTAAATGCCCTGCCCAGGGAAGAGCTTATGTGCCATTTTCTGTATGGGCAACATATGAAGAAGCATGAACAACAGCTGTGCCTGCCTGCACTCCACCTCTGCACACAGTGACTCAGCTAAGCAGCCCCCACAAAGCCCTGTTTCCACCTGTGTCTGGGGAGGCACTGCTTTGGGAACTATCCCCAGTGTTCTACTTACTTGTTGCCAGTAATGAAATCCCTTGGTTAAATCCTCCTTGGTTGTGGTCATTGGACTCCCACCTGCCAAGCAACTGAACCCGCCCATTGTGTGGTAACAAGAGAAGTCAAGAAAATAGAGGGAAGTTAGAAAGCACGATTTAAAGACATGGAGGATAGAATAAAAAATATGATAAAAACAAATATTAATCAGTATTCCAGAAAACAAAGAATAGAGAGAATGGAGAAGAGAGCTGTTTTGAGAAGATAATACCTAAAAACCTTCCAGAATTGAAGAAAGGCATGAGTCTCATATGCAGAGAATGAGTTCACAGTAGATAAAAAATAAAAATCCATGCCTAGGCACAGGATACTAAGACCATAAGACAGCAAAGACAAAGGGTAAATCTTAAAAACTACCAGAGAAAAACGATGTTAAAAAAAACCCAAATTCACAAAGCCAAAAAAAAAAAAAAAAAAAAAAAGGAAAGCCTTAAAATTCGACTCACGGTAGGCTTGTTATTGGCAGTAATAGATTCCAGAATACAACGAACATATCTCAGGTTTTATGTCCAATCAATACCAAAGGAGAATTCTGCACTAATTGAAGCTAATTATCAAAAATAAGACAAATTAAAGCCATTTTCAGAAAAGTACACAGGAAGCAGAAATATTTAGCCAGCTACAAAATGAAGGTGGCACACTTAACTTATGCTACTGTAGATCTTATTTAACAAAAGCAAAAATAAAAACGTAATTCTCTAAAGATTATTTTGCATTACCAGAACTAATAAAAACATTTGTTTCAGAGGTTAGACAAGTTACGTAAATGTGAGAAATAAAGGAAATAGGGGAAGTGAGACTTGCAGCAAATGTGGAGTGCTCACGCTTCACTTTAACAAAGTTATAGTAAAAAAGTTTGGAAACAATGTCTGTACACACGCACACACTCAGACAGGGATGCCTGCATCCAGCACATGGCTGTAAGAACTACTACAAGTTAATGATCCATCGTTTCTTCTAAATTTATTTCACCTTCATTTCTTGTTTTATTTTAATATCTCTGTTTGAGGGCTGTTCATATTTATTAACATCATTCTATTTTCAGTACCTATATAGAGTAAGTGCAAAATAACTGTTTGTTGAATATATTATTTATGAGTACATCTCATTCTTCTGCTTACTGTGAGAAAGTATCTCCTATTCTTTCAGAATGGTTACATTCTCAGAAAAATAGAAATACATCTCACTTTTCTACTTACCTAAAAATAAAGCTGATCAATAATAATCTTTATAGTAGCAATTGTGGTAGTGGTTGTTATTTTTGTTTTAATGGTGGCAGCTTATATTTATTAGCCATTCATGATTTATTCTAATACGTTTATTTTAGTTTTAATTTTATTTAGCATATTTAAGTTATTTAGCATGTTTTAGTATATTTAGAATATTTTGCTTTTATGATTCCAGAATCCCAAGTCCTAAGGGAGTGAGAGCTGAGGGGTAGGGAAGAATAAAGGAGAAAAATGGATGGGCTCTCTCCACTGTCCAGTGACTCCTCGGGATGACCAACTTCTTTTTCATAGCCCACATGGCTCAGGCTAGAAGCACTTTGTCAAAGGCTGGGGGCTTTCTCTCCAGAGAAGGAGGCTCTTACCTCTTCAGCAGGGTTTTGGCAAAGCAGGGCTCACAAGCTGGAACATGGAAGCCCCTAGAGTTCAAGGGTCAGGTCTTCATTAGCCTTGAGGTAAGAGCTGTGTTACGGCTTTCCTAAATAACACTATTATTATTTTTTGCTCCAACTGATTAGTTGATAAAACGGATTTGATTTCATAGAGTGTCCAGGGAATTATGTTCTGCAGGCTGCTGTCGCCAGCAGAGAAAGTTTCCTTGACTGTCCATACACGATTTCCATGCTATTCTATTCACATTTGTTTCACGTGAGTATCTGGCTTAACAGAGAAGTCATACATTCAAACGAACAGTGAAATTAGAGCCTAGAGTTGTATTTGAATTTGATTTAAATTTTCAATTACTAAATTTCTGCAGAATGATGATTTTCAAAAGGCAATCTATCAAATATAAAATTCTCATAAATGTGATCAGCCAGTCCTCAAGTATATACCGAGTTCAATGAGAGCGAGAAAAGACATCAAAAGAAGTGCCTGAGGCTCTGCTCCCACCTGAGACAACTGGGTCTAATGAACGAATCCAGAACATAAGGGTAAAACACACACAGGCACGCACGTGTGCACACACACACACACACTCCCAGACGGTGGGACACATGTAGAACGAAGTAACGAAGTGTCCACTTTGATGCACAAACCTTGCTATCACAGTTCAGACAGAAGGGAGATGAGTGCTGCTGGCAGATTAGGGGAAACTTACCTGAGTAGGTCCTGACAGGTGAGTCACAGGAGATGGGGGTAGGGGGAGCGGTAGGAGAGAGGCAATCCAGGAAGAATGGGATGAACACATACATTCAAGAAGAGAATGGAGAGAGGCATTCCAGGAAGAATGGGATGAATACATACATTCAAGAAGAGAATGGACTGCCAGTGTTCAGAAGAGTACAGAGTACGGAATACGAAATGCCTACATTATTTTTTTTCTTCAATATTTATGCATATTGAAAAAGAATACCTTGTATTTATAAAAATTCACTCACGCAATAAAGGCAGTACTATGAATCCTTATCTTTTAAAAAAGTAAACCGCCAGCTATCTCATATTAAAAATGTGCATATCATTTCACCCAGAAATTGTTTCTAGGAATCTGTTCTAAAGCATAATCACACATGAGCACAGAATGTATATATGCCTGTATTCAACACAGCATTACTTATTGCAGGGAAAGACTGAAAACCACTTAAATGTCTATCAGTAAGGGAAGAATGAAAAACATGTTATAACATACCATGAAACTTACAGAGAGGGGAGAAGAAATGAGAAAAGAAAGGAAGAGAGGGAAGGAGGGAGGGAATTATATATGGCAGAATTTATTACTTTCTTAAATCATTAAATCTCTTACATTATTTGAAGTATTACTTTTTTAACTTATAAATGTTTAAAATACAACCATAAAAATGCTAATTTCTTGGAATCCACTAGATATTTCCAATGAACACTGTCTTCTACATATAACATGAAATAAATCATCACTTTATGCTCTCCAAAATTTACTTTTAAAATTTCCTTTCACTGTCTGATGAAAAACTCCTCTAGTCACTATCTTTTCTCATCCATTCAACAAGAACTCCTAAACATCTTTCAGCAGACAATGGACAACCTTATTTTTAAAAAGTCATGCCTGCAATTTCTGCCTTTAAACTCCTTTCTTCCTAACATTCTGAAGAATATCTGGACACCTAATTTCAGTTTAAGTAAGTCTGTGGCCCTATTTGAGAACCTGAGAAACCTAAAGACAGTCCCTTTAAAAATCCTCAAGCACACATTTCATGTAACCTAGGGGCACTTATGATTCAAGATACAAGGATAAAACTCCTTGCATTTGGCTAAGAGTTTTCACAAATATTCCTCATAGGATGTTTCTTGATCTTGTCCTCGACTCAACAAAAATATGTCAGGTTTTCCTTGTTCCATGATAAAGGAATTTTTATCAGAGCAAACAGAATTATCATAGATGAAGCCCTTTTAGTTGAATTCTATTGCCTTAGTTCTCTCTTCCATATGTGTTTTCATAAAAATCAATAAGTAATTCCTATGGCAACAGTAAACATCAAGATAAATGCATCAGAAAAACCCCTTGGTGCTTTTTTTTTTTTGAAAGCATTATAAATCTCAATTACATATTTTACAAATTAGTCTTTACTGGGCTTTTTCTTTTATGACTGCAGTAAAAATATACGTTCTGTAATAAATCATGGTTGTAGATATATAACTTTCTGTTTTCTATTTATTTGTAAAGTTCTCATCTGATATCACATATGGTAGCATGAAATATGCTTTAATATCATTTAACTCTGATGAATCAATTTTTAGCAGCAGCATCAACAAAATTCAATTTACATCCCATTATAATTTGAATAAAAGTAATTTTCTTTCATCATATTTTATGTCCATATTTAACATCAGATGTAATAAGAGGCAAATTATAAAAATAATAGAATACTAATAGAAAAAGATATAGAAAGTTATTTCAAAGTCAAGCAAATCCTGTGTTAAAACTAAAACACTGGACCCGTGTAAGTGGATCCATTGTCAATCCTATTTCAGCAAGATACAGGGGTAGTCCGAAGCACAGAACTCCACCAGTGATGAAAATAATAACTGATATTTCTAAATCAATATTTAATAAAACTGATTTATGACCCACACAGGGAGCTGAGTCCATAGCTTATAGTCAATACTACCCAAATTCAAAGAAGAAAAATACCACAAAAGTAAATAACAGCTACAGTATATTTCTTCTTGTAAAAAATACCAGTCCCAAATTTCAATACTCATAATTACGTTCTTCAGAAGTGAGTTGGGAATATAGGAAATCTGGAAGACTCAATCACCCTTTACCTTAGTTTTCTGCATTTTCTTGAAAGGCCCAATTAATTTATTGTTGCCAAAAGCAATTCATGAAGATTACAAGTCATCATCTTAAATTTGTTCTTAGCATCCAAAATCCACATGTTAACTCCTGTGGAGCTGACGACTTGTAGTTTTCTTATCTAATATTTTAAGGAGGATATATATAGAAAAGCTTTATAATTTTTTCGTAAAGAAAACTAATAAGGTAAATACTGTTTATGTCACATTCTAATAAAGAAATTAATTAATGTGGATTTCCAAAATCACCTTGTATAAATTTGTTGGTTAATTTGTGATAATTTAGAAAGCAAATTTAAATATTCATATCTCAAAGAAAGTAAATTCAAATACACAACAGAAATTAATGCATGTAGCTATACATTACATATAGCAAACACATGCCTTATCACGGCATTTTGAATTTAGTTCAAATACACACAAAACTTACTAAAATATACCAAATAGCATATTTTCTTTTGCTTGCTAAGTTCTCTCCCACATCTCTAGCCATGATGTGTCTACCACCTAATTTTACATCAAAAGTAGTATTTACTAATTTTTTCTGGCATTATCTCTAATCCTTGCCCAGATGTTTACAGCTCAGTAGCTTATAAAACTGCATTGCCTCCCAGGTACATTGTTTAATATTTATATTCTTTCATTCAACTAACATATATTATGCACCAACTCTCTGTCTCACAGAATACAGAATACAAGGGACTAGACTTAAAGCCAGAGACCAACCCCTTAAGGGGCCATCAGTTTGCAGTGGACGTCACATTCCTTCACATTTACTCTTTATTATTTATTTATTTATTTATTTATTTATTTATTTATTTATTTATTTTTTGAGACAGAGTCTTGCTCTGTTGCCCAGGCTGGAGTTCAGTGGCTCAATCTCGGCTTACTGTAACCTCTGCCTCCCAGATTCAAGCGATTCTCCTGCCTCAGCCTCCCGAGTAGCTGGGATTACTGGCACCCGCCATCATGCCCAGCTAATTTTTGTATTTCTGTAGAGACAGGATTTCACTATGTTGCCCAGGCTGGTCTTGAATTCCTGACCTCAGGTGATCTGCCTGCCTCAGCCTCCCAAAGTGCTTGGATTACAGGCTTGAGCCACCACGCCCAGCCCACATTTATTCTTTTTTCTAAGACTTGTCTAAAGACTTCAGGACAAGAGGGAGGTCACCATGTTGCAGGATATGCCACTATGGCAGGTCACTCTTTTGGAAGATGTGTTTCTTCCATCATCATAATGAGACTTTATAATGGACCAGGTGTCCTGACAAGCCACAGGAATGAAGGTTACTCATGGCTGGCTACTCTGGTAACGTAGTAGTTTGTAGATCAAGAGCACAGGCTTCAGCCTCAGCACACGGGGCAGCAAGACATGGCTTCCAAATGCGGCTGGTAAGAGGCTCTGGGAGAGTTCATTCTTGCTTATCTCATTCTCCCCACTCATCAGCTGAGGGATAATGATACCCCATGGGCTGATTTTGAGGATTAAAAACACAATGGATGCAAAACCTTTTCACTGGTGCCAGGCACATAATATGCAATCGATAAATGATACCAACAGTTGTCCTAAGTAATGACAGTAATTACAAAAGTAACGACTGTCTGATGGACAATTAGTCACCATAAGAATACAGTGTTTATTATTTCCTGGCTTTACCTTCGACTTTTGAATATATAGAACAGGCAAAGTGATCCACCATATACAGCTCGTGTAGTGTTAAGGGCATATGTTGTATGTCTTTTCTATTAGTTATTTTCAGAATGTCTTGATTCATAGTTTATCTTGCTTGTGGGCTTCCTCTGCTATAAGCTGTTTCAGTTGAATTTCATTTATTCTGGATTTTTTTGAAAATGGGCTTTTGTCATTTATTCTGATGATTCTAAAGACTAATAAAAAATGCATGATAGCGATTTACTTCCTAAGTGACTTTTCAGGATGAGTTTTATCATCCAATGACATTCATTAAGTTGTTTAGTCCAAACTGAACATTTTTTATTTTTTACCTGACTGTACAATGAATGAAGGGTTCAAATAACCACCTGAATAGTTTTGTTCTCATCTCTTGTACCAAATGTTTTACTTTCTTTTAAAAGGTCATGACAAGGAATCACCAGTTCGATGGTGTTTTTTTGCTGTGATTTATTTCGCATATATGGTATATTTTGTGTTGCTTTCTTTCTAACTGGCACATCACCTCTGTTTGGATAACGGTCTTCCCCATCAGCATTTCACTAAAGGGAAATAATGCTAACATTCCACTAGAAAATTAGGAATAAAACTAAGCTTTGCAAATTGTTTTTGAATTTTCTTCTTAAACACTATTTTGAGTTGTAAGACGGTTTGGTGGAAACAGCAAGTATGGTGGACATCTGCAAATCTGGAGAAGTGAGTTCAGCCTGCCTCTGCCCGGAGTTCTCTGTAATTCTAATCCCACTCACTCTGACTCTCAGATCCCCACCTGTGTGGGTAAAATGTATGACTGCATTATCTGTTCCAGCTCTAAACTTCTGTAATTTCATTTCCAGTGTTATTACAGAAAATCACAGTGTCGCCTCTTTTATGTCTCAGCTTTTATGTCTCATATGTTTATGAGCAAGTGGGAACAGCGGAAGTAGGAACTGAAAGTGGGGTAAGTATTCAGAAAAGGGAAGACACATTTTCTAAATAGGGTAAGTTGCTGTGATTTTGTGTCACTTCGACAGTGTGGCTTTTAGGATGTTGTCAATCCCCAAACCTTACCACTGTATGATTCCTACCCACCTTGCCACCCATACTGCAATCACGGAATCTCAATGTCTGCTAAATAAATTTTGCGATTTTGCAAGATGTCCTTTAGATTATGTCTACTACTCAGGAAGCTTGCAACATGGGGAGTGTGTGATATCTTGAGTGCACGGGCTAATGTCTTAGCAGGGATGAGTCAGTTGGGGGTCCTTAGGAAGGAGCCACAGGAAAGCTATCCAGAAATAAAGATGGAAAGGTGCATAAATGGAAGAAAGAGACAGAAATAACTAGTATCTCAGTTGTCACGTGGCTCAGGGAATTAGAGGAGGTCGGAAAATAAATCACTTAGTGCTGGAGCCCCTGCACATCACAGCATGGCTGTGCCTTCTGCTCAATGCCCCAGCTGGTGCTTTACTTAGGCTCTGTGGAAGGAGCACCTGTTGAAAGGCGCTGAAAGGGAGAGGCTCCAATCCAGGGGTCACAGATTCGAATGTATATGGATAAATAAATAAAATTAAACATATGCATGATGCTTCATCAAACTAGAAAATTCAATGACACGGGCTAAATGTTGATCAGATTCTAGAGAGATTGGTACAAGCACAGAAGTCAGGACATTTGTGAGAGGGGAGGGGAATAATTGATGAATAAAGACCAAACATCACCAAAAACTTGCCTTCTAGAATGCTAGTCATTGATTGGAATAAAATGAAATGGGAGATATGAGTTAACATAGGCAAGATGCAAGGTTAAGAACACCGTGCCCCGGCGGGTACAGTGGCTCACGCCTGTAATCCCAGCACTTTTGGAGGCCGAGGCGGGTGGATCACGAGGTCAGGAGATCGAGACCCTCCTGGCTAACACGGTGAAACTCCGTCTCTACTAAAAATACAAAAAAATTAGCCAGGCATGGTGATGGGCGCCTGTAGTCCCAGCTAACTGGGAGGCAGAGGCAGGAGAATTGCTTGAACCCAGGAGGCAAAGTTTGCAGTGAGCCAAAATTGTGCCACTGCACTCCAGCTTGGGCGACAGACCGAGACTCCATCTCAAACAAACAAACAAACAAAAAACACCGTGCCCCTGCCCCAATGCCTCTCCCTTGAATAAGATACTGGAAAACCTGCATAGTTAATGTCTGTAAACAAAGGGAATCATATCAGATGCAGTGTGTGAGTGTGAAAATATCTATGTCCTGCCCTCCCTTATTATTACACCATTTTCCCTCAAATAACACAGAGATACATTCATATTTTGCCCGTGCATCCCAATTTCTAGTTCATTCTGCGTTTGTTCTACGCTACACGTACTCTAAGTGTAGTTTCTCAGTTGCTCTTTACATTAACTGTATAAGGTAGGTCTATCACTTACCCCATTTCCTAGATGGGGAAATTGAGGCAAGAGAGTTAATTACTTTCCTAAGGCTGTCACACTAATATAAAGTGGAGTCATGATCTAAACCCCAGGGCCATTCTTTTGAACAACTGTGCTTCAAGCAAACTTTACCACAAAGGAGTCATGTGCCCCTAATAATTTTAAACATGCTACAGCAAATAGCATAACTCTATTCAGAGGTTAAAAAATATACTGTTTGTTACTTTTCTTTTGAGAACTATTATCAAGATTTAGAAAGAATTGATTCCAATATTATTACTCATATTGAAATGATTTTTTGGGACGTGGTCATAGATAATATTATTTGGATTTTTGAGTTATTTCTAAAGAAAGTAATTTCTGAGTTTATCATGCATTCTCATCTCATGACAAGTATGCACATATCTCTATTATACATTTCATATATTGTATAAATGTTACTTTTTTAACTGCTAAAATGTGAATGTTAAGAATATCAACATAATCACACTATCTCCCCCGGTTTTCATCTTATCTCTTCTAGATATTCATAATTTATAATATTTACATTGTATTTTGTAAATCCTACAGTTACATTAGCTTTGTTCTTAAAACAAATAGATACTAGAGACTAGCTCATGATAAGAAATTCTTGATTGACTGAATGTTTTCAAGAAGATTTCATGCAAAATATAGTCTCTATGTTCCTGCCTCTTCAAAAATATTCAGAAAGAGCTTGACCCATTCTTTCCCTAAAGAATTTGTAAGCATTGTGCCATTACATTCTAGAGTTCCATATTGACATGAAGTTTCAGGCCTCTCTGATGTACCTCCTTATAGCTAACTTGACCTTATTTTTTCTGGATGCCTAATGAATGTTTTCTTTAGCTTTGATTTCCAACAATTTTACTAAGATGTGTCTCAGTGTTGACTGTTCTATGTTCACTTACTGAGAAAAGCTGCATCCTTCGAATCTGTAATTCAGTGCTCTGTTTCCTACTAAGCTTTTATGAGTTATATATCATGATTTTTTTTCAGTTTTAAAAGTACCTCAAAGTACATTTTTATAGATGTGGTCCTCATTCTTTCAATTATGACTCATCTTTGAAATAAATTTTTGTTAGACCAGATGTCTGTCACTGTTTCACTTTGGGGAGGAACAGGGTAATGTTCTAGGATAGTGCAATGGACAGAATGCTGATGTTTCCCCCAAATTCATTTGTTGAATTTCTAACCCCCATGGGGGTGATGCTACCAGAAGGTAGGACCTTTGGGTGTGATTAGATCATGAAGGTGGAGCCCACATTAATGGTATTAGTAACCTTATGAAGGAGGTTCAAGAGAGAACCCTTACTGCTTCTACTACGTGAGGACACAGTGAAAAGGTGCCATTCTATGAACCAGGAAGTGAGCCTTCACCAGGCATGAAATCTGCTGCTGTCTTGCTCTTGGACTTCCCAGACTCTAGAACTGTGAGAAATAAATTTCTCTTGGTTATGAGACACTGATTCTGTGACATTTTGTTACAACAACCAAAATGGATCAAGATGGAATTGAAGGTTTTTATAATACAGGTGTGTGTGTGTCTATGTGTGTATTTCTTTAGTCCAATGGTTCATAACTCTGCATGCACATAAATTAATCACCTGGAGAGCCTTTAAAAGCCATCTATTCCTTGGATCACTCTAAGGTTGTGATTTAATTGACATGAGGATGGTGCTTGAGAATCTGTTTGTTTTAAAAGGTTCCCCAGGTCATCCTAAGTTATAGTGGCCATGAAAACCTTCCGTTTAGCTTTTATCCCATTCTAGCCAACCCAGATCAGCAGCAACAAAGCAGTTGTGTCCCCTCCACTCTATCTCCCCACCAACTGCCTGCAGAAATGAGGGCCTCTGCCTTGTGATGCTGCATGGGGTCCTAGTAAGCCTCCACAATCAGCCTTTGCTCTGATTCCCTGACTCAAATATGAGACAGTTGTGTTCCTCCAGGAACATGCATTATCTTAGAATATTGCTATCCTGCTGGTGCTGTCTGAGATCCACAGTAGGCAGAATCTTCTCAGGAAGTTTTCTGTTAGATGCCCAGTCCTGTGATGTGGTTTATAGTTACAGCTTTTCAGAGTTCTTAAACATGAAAATTTCATTTCTGTTTCTCAATCTTCTTGATATTTGGATGATTTTGGGGACACAAAGAGGCAAAGATGTCTTTACTCTTCAATCTTACAACAGGGGTTCCTTGTAATTTTTTCTACTCCATGACTCTGGCTTTTAATATATTTTAAAATTTGAATTTTTCAACATCATCAGTGTTAAATCTTAATGAGACATAAAGCTACTTCTGCCAGAAATTTTATAAGTGAATTGAAATTCATGTTTTGAATGGTAATTTGATTAGTAAGAAAAGGAAATGGGCTCCTTTTTAACTAACCATAATTACTTACATATTCAAGTATATTAGCCAAATTCATATGCATAATTAGGCACCTAATTATGTTTTAAATTCAAATGCATGCATGAAGAGATGATCACATGTGTCTAATAAAATATTTTATTTTCCTCATTTTGGGCAAAAAATTGTCTTTTGTTTCCATAAGAACTTTTAAATATAGTAGTTTGTGTATCTACAGAGATACATAATATCAGGAAGCAGCTATCAATTTCAATCTAAATTATAACGACCATTTAAAAATGTTTTGGTTATGGTACAAGATCAACATTTCATTATCTAACAATTAGTCATACAGTGATGATGAATTTGGGAAAAATAAGCAAACGGATGAAATTAAGCCTGTATAGAAAGGAAGGAGTCATGAGGAATAATGAATATTGCCAACAAAAACAGACAAAATCAGGCAAAAGAACAACAAGAAAACAACTAAATTCTCTATTGTGGCTCTGCCTCCTCATACAAACATGCCTGGTTACCAATGAATTAAAAAGACATACGCTTTGTTGAGCCTATTAGTAAATATTTATGGAGGGCTCCCTGTGAGCCAGGCATAGCCCTGTGCCCTGGAGACTTGAAGACGAAAAGATGCACTTCCTGTTTTCAAGGAGCTTAAATCCTTGGGAGATAAATTAACAGTACAGCTATAGTAAGATAATTGCTTTAGTAGGGGGCGACTGCCTCCAAGGCAATTTCCTCCTAGAACTGGTCCTCTCAAGTCAGCACAGTACAAGGAGACTTTTTCTCTCAAAAAGAGATTCTACCCTATATTAAGCAAAGCCATTGTAAGTCAGAGTGAAGAAAGATGAATCAACTTGAATATAATGCTGCATTTTGAATTTGGGTACAATTGTTGCATTAAAAACGGTGAGGGTATGAGGTGCTTTAGCTACATGATTTTAAAAAATTGGAGGTTATTTTCTGTAAGGGCAACCTTAACCCTGGAATGGTGACCACTCTCCATAGAAGACATGGATACACTCAGACCCTAAAAGAAAGAGCTGCAGACTCTGATAAGGCATGCATTCTAGTCATGCCCAGCTGTTGGAACTCCTGAAGCTTATTCCGCACAGCCTATCAGCCTATATACATCTCGCCTCCCATACCACATCTGTGATTTCTTCCTCATGCCTAAAAGTTATTGGTATAATTCATGATGCCTCTGTACTTTTGAGACAGAGGGAAGGATTTAAGACTAATTACAAAGTTGGATAAGTTTAAGAGAGTATAGAAAATTGAAATTGCTTCACATCAGTTGGCTTCTGGATTTTTGTGAAATAGGAGACAATATTACTGGTCAAAAGAGATGGAAGAATGCCATCTAACTATAATGCTTGAAATAAAATATGAGGAAATACTAAAACATAAAGATGAAAACCTGAGATGTTATTTGCAAAACTGACTTTAAAAAGATACCATCAGCCCACGTTCAGTACTATATTCTATATAAAAGCTGTAACTTTATGGTTTAGCACGCAGGCCTGACACTTGAAGAAATTTTAGTTTAAAAAATTACTCTGATAACAATTCTCAAGGCATAAAATACTTGTTTGGAATTATACATTTTTTGCTTTAATAATATAATATGCGCAACTTGCATGGAATTATAAAAATACAATGATATCAACTAAATGGCAGATGCTAAATTCTTTCATTATGTATGTAATGGCACATTTTAGGACTTAATAAGGCAAGCCAAGAAGAATGTACACATTTGAGCACATAGTTCTCATGCACAAGCATTTCCCATACATTTATTACTTAGTTGATGCATATTCACTAAGTAGTTCATTAATTGTATTCTAATCAAGGAGCACTTTTCAGCTCTAATGCACTCATCAATACCTAGTATTACAGTTTTTAAGACTTACCTTGCCTATTAGGGTATAGTTACATAGTTACATATGAAAGGAAACCAAATTTTGTTTATCTTTGAGTCAACAACCCAGAACCCTGTTCAACAAACAAATATTTTTAAATGCTTAAATGCTGTTATTGAGAATCGAAATAGTCAAAAATGAGAGATCTGTAACTCCATACAAACACTGCTGCCCATATACATACACAGCTTGTATGCTACGCACTGTCGGGTAGAATATATTATAAAATAGGCATAGAATTAAAATTTATATTTGTATTTCTTCTATACTACAGCCAGTCAAAATATTAGTATCAATTATTTAATTATTCTGTCCACTTCATAAACATCACAAAATAGAAACTTAAAACGTATTTTACCAGTAAGACAGACCTATCTCATTAAAGCCACTGTAGCCCAGCTCTTGCCTGCTAAGTCCCAGATCTTCAAGGTCCATGCATTTAAATCCAGGTGGGCACTGGTAGCCTTCTTCTAGCTCTGGTGAGCAGTGTGTGTCTGGAATAGCTAAACTATTCCAGGTTACATTCCTGTGAACAACACATGAAAGTGTTAGACAATTTCAACAATCATAAATGTTGATTACAATGAATAATGTAATTACCCTTCATTAATATCTATGTATCTGGCCAAGTGAGGTTGCTCATGCCTGTAATCGTTGCACTTTGGGAGGCATAGGCAGGAGAATCCCTTGAGCCCAGGGGTTCGAGGTTGCAGTGAACTATGATCATGCCACTGCATTCTAGCCTGGGCAACAGAGCAAGACCTTGAGAGACCTTTGCTCTTTCTATCTATCTATCTATCTATCTATCTATCTATCTATCTATCTAAGAGTACAGCAAAGAGAATATATATATATATATATATATATATATATATATTTAGAGAGGGAGAGAGAGAGAAAGAGAGACCTTGAGAGACCTTCTTGCTCTTATGTTGTAGATACCAAATCACTGATGACAAGCATTGTTGATGAGGTTAATAATATTTGTACCACACACTTTGAAATATAGAGTCAGTTAAGACTGAAGCGAAGATGGATCATTTGGCTTACATATAAGAATGAGAAATGAGGAGATATACGTGACGTGTCTGTCTAAAATCATATCTTTCTGGCCCACCCAACTGTGGTAATTGGTAATATATATATGAGACCTTGAGAGACTTTCTCTCTCTCTCTCTCTCTCTCTCTCTCTCTATATATATATATATATATATATATGATGTTATTTGCAAAATTGTGTATGTGTATCTGAATATAGTTTTAAGATTCATAATCCATAAATGATATTCATAACATTAATTACATATTAAACATTCTCAAATGATATCTGATTCATCCCCACAATAGCTCTTTATAAGAATACTATCACCATTACGGTTTTTGCCATTACAGACTGAGACCCAGATAAGCAAAGGAAGGAATTTTTCTACAGATTTGCAAAGAACGTTAACTTGTCTGAGGAGTCATTGTGATTCACAAAATTCTTGTCTCACTGTGGGCACACATTTTACTTCCCCACTTCTAAGCAATGTTGCATGATGAAAATCATTTTCTTTGCAGTACGAATACTACGAAACTCATCAATGATACTTGTCCTTCTGAGTGTTGGAAGGTGTCTAGTTTAGAAATAACCAGACAAATAAGGAGAAATGGAAGGAACTCAAGGTATCCCATAGGAAAGAGAGATTATGAGGTGATTTAGTGATAGCTCTAGGAATATAAGAATCCTTTAGGTGGATAATGACATAACCCATTTTTATCCTTCTTAAGAATAGGTTGGATATCAACTTGATATAAAGGATTTAGATATGTAATGGCTTTCCTGACAGCAAGTATAGATAACATAGGACTGCTGACTGTAGACTCTCATTCTGGGTTGACCTTAAAAATGGACCCCAAATAGCTGCTATCTGAGGTATCCCACACAGATTGAGCAGACGCCAAAGTCTGGGCTTGATGATTTCAGAAGCCTTCTAAATCCATAATTGTGTTACACTAATTTCCCACTACATCAATGTTTCTAGGAATTTCTTAAATGGAGAACAACCCTAAGACAGCCTCAGTCACGTGAGTTTCTGACCAAATTGAGGTAGACTTACCAGATGACTCTTTTTCTTTAATACCTTCTTATGTTCAGTTGCTGCTTCCATCCCTTTTATAATATGCTTTCTCTAAAGTCTGACACCTAATTGTGCAATCCCTTAGCTATTTGCTGCCACCACGCATACACACACGTACATAGTTTTACACACACACACACACACACACACACCCCATGGCTGGTGATACTTTGCCCACTTCTCAGCCATAAACAAAGCTCCAGAAACTTCACCCATGATTCAAACACCCTAAGCTATTCCTTTAGGGTTCTGCCCTTTGTCAGCAGCAGATGAGCTCATCTGTCTGCTGGTCTCAGGAAATAAGTGGTTAAATCATTGCTCCCTCTAGTCATATTTTAAGCTGGTCCTTTGGACCCCATCTGTAAAACCCAAGGGAAAGGCTCTAATTGTGGAAATTACCACAATTGGGTGGGTCAGAAAGATATTATTTTAGACAGACACATCGTGTATATCTCCCCATTTCTCATTCTTACATGTAGGCCAAATGATTCATCTTTGCTTCAGTCTGATCTGACTCTGTTTCAGAATGTGTGGTACAAATACTATGAACCTCATCAACGATGCTTGTCATCAATGATTTGGTACCTACAATATAACAGTAAGATGGTAAGGAGACTGGGCTTCTGAGTTTCAGAGTGAGGCTTTCTGGGTTTGATCCCAGCTCTGCCATTTACTGGTTGTGTGACTTAAATAAGGCTCTAAGGGCCTCTAAGCTCAGCTTCCTCATCTGTAAGGTAGAGAGAGTAATCATAATTAAAAGCAAAGCTCATGTGAGGGTTAAGTAAAGTAAACCAAGTAATGCACTTTGCATAGCACCTAATGTGTTGCAAGTACTGTACTCAAATAATGCTTGATCTAAATGATTATTAATCATTACAATAATACAATGTAGCATAAATCCCAGCATGTAAAAACAGAACAATAAAGACTTGTTAAAAGAGGAGAAGAAACTTTAGCATGTTCATAGAACTATGCAGCTAAGAGATACTATATGGATCACCTAGTTCTTCATTTACTCTTGAAGGCAAGGTGAAGTTCAGAGAGGGAAGGGTCTACTAGCCCATCAAAATTACATATATTTTTAATTCCAAATACTTTTAAAAATACAATAGCAGAAATGTCTAAGATAACACTCTGTCTACATGAAAAAGTTTCCAAAAAAATCACATTTCAGATATTTGGAGAAGAAATTGGACTTTGGAGCCAATCTTCTTGGCTGTGAGTTCTGACCTACTTATTACATGTGTGACTTAAGCATGCTTTAGTTTTCCAATCCATAATGGTGTGAAAACGTCTACCTCATAAGCCTGGGGTGAGACGTAAGTATTTACATCTGTAAATTGTATAAAACAGGTACTTGATAGACAATCAATGCTAGATGTTACCTACTGTTATTGACAGTTTGAAAGTTGTAGATTTCCTAGATTGAAACTCCAGCCCTGTGTGTATAGCCTCAGTTATCCCACTTCCAAAATGAGGATAGTTATTGCATTCTTTGTAGGGGCATTTTAATGATTAAATTAGATAATGTGCAACACTCAGAATGGTGCCAAAAATAAGTTAATCACTCAACTGTTAATGATTATGATTTTTTAAATTAATTTATAAATATTAGAGTATTTTTTCCTTTTTTCTTCCTATTATATTTGCTTTTTCTTTCATATTAGTGCTGATACTCATTTTAAGCACAACTCTCACTAGATATTATTTTGAAGTCTTTGGCTTCAGAGGCAGCAGGCTTGAAACATTTTTACCAACATCAAGTTATTAGCAAATGTTTATTAGAAACACATTTATTAGAAGATTAATTGCCCTGGAACACATGTATCTAAAACCACAAGGTAATTACTGTTTTTAAAAATTGAAATGAATGTCAAGAGTTTCAGAATATATATTTGTTAATCTTTGTTTCATTTTTTTCAGTTAACAAGAATCTTCCAGAGTTTATTTTTATTCATTAACCTTAATTATTTCCGTAGTCATTTTCCCTCAGGTACTTTGGATAGAGAACAAGTGACTCTCTGGAGTTGGGGGTGGGGTGGATGGAATTCTTGCCCCACCAGGAAAATCCTGGACATAGACAATGATTCTTTCAGTGGTAATAAATATCCACTCATGTTTAAACGGGTTTCAAGACCAGCATTTCTTACTCACATATTTCTTGAATAAAGTATCTACTTGTAATCTCCCTCTTTTAACTTTTTAGCCCATTTCTGTGACTCCAAGACAATGAAATTACTTTTGTTCACTTCCATATGATATACCCAATCAGAAAAATTTTAGTTTTATCTTCTGTGACCTCTCAGCAGTGCTCTGAATTGTTGTTTTTGTGGTAGAGAAAATACTGGTCCCCTAAAGATGTCCCCATTCTAACATATGGAACCTGTGAGTAGATAATGTTGCATAGCAAAAGGGAACTAAAGTTATAGGTGTGATTAAGGCTAAAGACATTAAATTTGGGAGATGATCCTGAATTATCCAGGTGGACCCAACCTAACTCCATGAATCACTAACAGTGATCATGGCTGTGGTTGGAGAGAGATGTGAGTATGGGAGGAAGACACAGATGCAACTCTGCTGGCTTTGAAGGTGCTGGTTTGTCCATATTTCTTAGGCCATTCTGCTTTTCCATCTCCTCTAGTCGTGAGCTGACCTTTAGTCATGAGCTGCTCTGAGCTCTGTCTTTGACCTTTCTCTTTTCATGATAACTCTCCCAGGCAATCTCATCCACTTTCATGATTTCTCAATTCTCTGTCATCCTTTACATCGTTGTAGAGTCTTAGAGCTACATGTCCAACTGCTTATTAGATTTCTCCACTTGGCTACACCACAAGTACCTCCAGCTCAATAGGTCCCTTATTCAATTTGAAATCCTAAACCAGAGTTCCCTGTCATAACAAACAGGACCAGCTTCCAAACCGTGGAGCAAACTTGAAGTCTTAGAATCATGCTTGATACCTACTTCTCCCTCAACCCTCATAAGTAATCGTCACGTTCTCCAACATATTCTCAAAATATCTTTTGAGCTAATTCCATTCTCTCCATCTCCCTCTCTACACACACTCTTATCTGGCCTCCTCACTGGCCACCCTGCCTCCCACTCTTAGCCTTTCTGATACATTTGGCACAAAGCATATGGAGAGACCCTTCATAATCACTGTCCTACCTTAACAGTGGCAAACCTGTAACATGGTCTGCAAGATACTGAAGGATCTGGCTCCTCCCACACTTCAAACACCCCTTTGTACCCCCTTTCCCCCAAGTATCCCAGTGTCTGACCACGTTGGCCTTCTCCCAGCTCCTGCCTAATGCAGGGTCTTCTCCTCCACTTGGAAGTCTCTCCTGTTTTCTTTGGTTAACCCCATTTTTGTAGCCTTCAGGCCCCAGCTTAACTATCATTTTCTCGGGGGAGCCACTCCAAGTGCCTTCCACTGGGCCAGGTTTCCCTGCTATAACTTCTCAAGGTACCCTCACTTTTTGTTTCTGGCACTTGAGACAAAGGCAATTCATGTTTGTGTGGTCATCTGTTCATTGGATGTCTTCCAAACTCAACTGTTCCTTAGTGTAATTTCCAATTCCATGAAGTCCCTGACACAGCGTCTATGATAGTTAAATTTATGTATCAACTTGACTAAAGTATGGTGCCTGGCTGTTTGGTTGAACACCAGTCTAGATGTTGCTGTGAAGGTATTTTACAGTTGTGATTAACACTTAAATTGATAGACTTTGAGTAAAGCATGTCACCCTCCATAATGTGAGTGGGACTCATCTTATTAATAGGAAAGATTTTGACTTCTCTGCAGGGAGAGGTCACTGGCCTACCACATCTTTGGCAGAGCCTTTGGCCTGCCACATCAGCTTCTGCTGAAATTTCCAGGCTGCCCTGAAGATTTTGGTCTTAACAGCCTACAAAATTACATGAGCCAATTCCTTAAAGTAAATCTCTTTATATCTGTATCTGTATCTATAGACATATCTTTTGAGCTAAGCCAACATACATATATGTATATACACATACATATATATAATATATTCTATTCTATATTCTCTCTGGAGAAACCTAATATATAGTAGATGTTTAATAATTATTTTCTGAATAAATGAATGAATGAATGAATGTGTCTTTCTACCATTATTTAAATCTATGGTGAATTATTTATTTGTAAACTACAGAAACTCTTTAATAAGTGGATCCTGTTGTTTTATGCACTTTTAAGTGTAATAATCCACAAATTGGCACTGATTTTCAATGTTTTAAATTTCTGGCTTTAGTAGCTTCCATGTATCAAAATGAGTACTAGAATCCCTGGGAGCAGCTAATTGTTTTTTTAAAAGCCTTCAATTATCCTCCTAGCATATGTTTGCTTGTTTGTTTTTAATTCTTAACAAAACATTCTATTTACAAATAACATTTTGTAGGAGTTTGAGATCTAAGAAAATGTGTTCTGAACTTGTTACTAAAATTGTTGATAATGGCCACAAACAATACCTCAGGACCTCAGAGTCCTGTGGTTTTAAGTTATTCACCACTCCTAGCGGTGCAGAGCACTGAGCTGTATATCACAACACAAAGATGATCATCTCAGTTCGGTGATTAACCAACTTAATTACCTTGGGAGATTCACTTGAAACATTTGAGCTTCAGTTTCCTCATCTGAAAAATGAGAAACTTTCCAGCTGTTTAAAAAACAATTCCCAGAAGGACCTCATAACGCTTTCATATAAAAGAAAAGGGATATACTTAAGCAAAAGCATGTGCCCCATAATTCAACATATGCTTCACTGTGCATAGTTCTCCTCTCACCACAAGACTCACCAACGACAAAGGCAATAGCTTAAGACTTCATGTTAAGATTCCTCTCTTCGTTATTCACAATATCGTCTTTCTCTACAGATATGGAACTACCATCATGGCTTCTGGCACTGCACTTAGTGTTGGCCTTCTGTAATCACTGTCATTAATGAATATGACTATGCTTATGATGACTTAGCCTCTTTTCAGAAAAATTTTCCTGTATTCGTAGGGGGGCACTTAATTGTATTTGAATGTCTGTTTATTAATTCATAATAATTATTTTTGACAAGCCTACTCTATGCCACACAGCATGCTAGGAATGGAGATGAATAAAAGGAATAAAATGGACTCAGGGACTTTACTGCTTAGTATGAGAGAGAATAAAAAAGGAATGACCACAGGAGAGTGTGATGAATGCTTTAAGAGCTATCTATATGCTCCTGATGTTAACTGAAGTTCAAAGCGGAAACATCAACTATGACTACGGGTGGCAGATGGTGGGTACTGGGAAAACCTTGCAATAGGGTGTTGCTTGGAGTGACTATTATTAAAGGATGCACACGTACTAGTTCTAGGGATGGAATAAATAGCATAACATTCTGGAAAGTGAAAATGTCAGAGCCTGCATTTGCATATGAGAGAGAGAGAGTGACAGAAAGAAAGAGAGAGAGAAAGAGAGAGACCTTTTCACCTTTTCTCTGGTGAGTGTAGCTGTTTAGTGAGATACAAGGATTGTTAACAAGCAGTTGTTATCATACAAAAGCAATTTTTAAACTACACTGTTAGAGATTTATAGATTAGGGTAAAAGACAAGGATTCGTGCTACCCTAAATGGATACTGTGACTGATGCAGCATGAGCTGATTATAAACTGTTCCTAGTAGGTGAGAAAGGACAAAAAAGGTCAAAAGATACTCACAAAATAAATTATTACTAAATTTACTTGCTAGATTTTCAAAACATATACCTATGATAGGAATTTATACATAGCAATTTTGTTTACATTGTTATTACCTTTTTTTGTTAAAAAGCTAAAGACAAACAGGCTAAGGATTACTTCTTGGTATCGAAATTTGACCCATTTGTTGTAAAAGACATTTGCAGAGTCCAAGCTACAATACATTTCTGAAGTCGGCATTCCATAAGAAATTGTCAGTGATGTAAATAAATAAGTAGCCCAACAAATCCACATGCAACAGATAACACTATACAACTTGAGCATTTTGTTTTTGATTGCATCTGTAAGGCTTCATTTTTATTTATATAGTATGTTCTAGAAATACATCAAAAATAGAGGAACACAATTCTAAATAAACCCATGGAGAAAATTACACCCACACACAATCATACATAGACACAGACACAGACTCTTTTGCACTCAAGAGAATAATGAATATAGCCTTTGATACCTTACGTGGTGCTTGTCTTGCCTTTTGTGGCAGATATAAAAATTTAGCAAGACACATTATCTTGCTAAAAGCTGACCCCTAGATTGAGAGGTTTTCCTGGTCATTGCATGTACTTACAGAAAACTTAGTCTGGCTGTTACCGCCTTCCAGCTTCACTTCAGACAATCATCTGACTTCATTTTCACTCTTATTTAGCTTCCTCTGGTCAGGATTAATTATAAACTCCTATGAATTGGTCTAGCTAATTCTAATGCTGGATGCTTTGGAATACTAATCCCACCCTGGAAAGCAAGAGTCTTATTTGCAGAGATAAATTATTTATTGATTTTGGAAAACTTTCAATGGCTCCGCCTGGACTTTTAGTGGAACTGCAAAACAAGATAAATATTCTGAAGCAGGAAATAATATTGACATCACACCTCTTTTAATAAACAAGTTAACCTGGCACATTTTTTCTAGGAAATAAGTTGTAAAACTGAGTATTTTAATATGATTTTCCCACTCCTTTCACCCATTCCTGAAAGGGTTGGTAGGCAAAGTTGTAAAGAATTGTAGCCATCATGCATAAAAATGGTAAAATTAAGTATTTTTTCAAATATTGTGACTATGAAATTTAAGTGACAATGCAGTACATGATTTTATTTTAAAGGAATATTTTAAATAGTTATCTTGTTATATCTGAATAGCTTTTTAAAATAATATATGTTCCCCAAGTTGACTCCCTCAACTACTTTGCCAGTATGGATAAGGGACAGTGCACCTGACAGAAGCCAGAAGACTGCAGTTGGGTTAGGATAAGGCAATGAGAGGGCATGAACATATTCAAAATAATATCAGAAAAGTTGGTCGGGTGCAGTGGCTCACGCCTGCAATCCCAGCACTTTGGGAGGCCGAGGCGGGCGGATCACCTAAGGTCAGGAATTCGAGACCAGCCTGGCCAACACAGTAAAACCCATCTCTACTAAAAATACAAAAATTAGCCAGGTTTGGTAGCGTATGCCTGTAATCCCAGCTACTTGGGAGGCTGAGGCAGGAGAATCACTTGAACCCAGCGGGTAGAGGTTGCACTGAGCCAACATCATGCCACTGAACTACAGCCTGGGCAACAGAGTGAGATTCCACCTCAAAAAGAAAAGAAAAGAAAAGTTAAGCATCAGGACACAGAGGATGCACTGATCAGCTCCAAACTGAAATGTGAAACCGTTTGAGGTTATAAGGCAGTCCACTGTCTTTGACTTTTAAAATCTGGGCCAAGAGATCCTCACGCAGCAACTTTTCTCCTTTTGCCTTAGGAACTGGAAACTACAGGGTGAGAATCTATATGTAAAGAGAGCCAGTTGACATAATGGAAAGGGGCCACCAGAATTTGGGGCCAAGCATAACAGAACTTCAGTTGGTAATTCAGCCAATTAACTTTGGCAAGGAGCAATTTGCTCATCTTTCTTGTGAAGATCAAATTTATGAAACTGTATTATAAATTAGAAATTGTGAATATAAATCACCTCTTACATACTTGGAGGTCAAAATATATTTATGTTAATTGAATGTGGTTTGACTGAGTTGTATGGCTGGAGAGAGGCAATTTTTTTTCCACTCCAATAAGCTTTCATCCTTTCAAGGTGGCCAGACATACTAACGACTCCCTGATATAGTTTGGATATTTGTCCTTGCGCAAATCTCATCGAAGTATACTCCTCAGCGCTGGAGGTGGGGCCTGGTGGGAGGTGATTGGATCACAGGGGCAGAACCCTCATGAATGGCTTGAGCCAACTCCTAGGTGATCAATGAGCTCCTGCTCTGAGTTCACAGGGGATCTGGTCATTTACAAGTGTAGGGCACCTCCCCTCCACTATCTCTCTCTCGTGTTCATTCTTGTCACGTGATGTGCCTGCTCCCCGTCTGCCTTCTGCCATGATTGTAAGCTTCCTGAGGCCTCATCAGAAGCTGAGCAGGTGCCTGGTGCCATGCTTCCTGTACAGCCTGGAGAACCATGAGCCAATTAAACCTTTCTTCTTTATAAAATACCCAGTCTCCAACTTGGATAAAGAGTTAAGATCCATTGGTATGCTGTATTCAGGGGACCGATCTCATGTGCAAAGACACACATAGGCTCAAAATAAAGGGATGGAGGAAGACCTACCAAGCAAATGGAAAGAAAAAAAAAAATCAGGGGTTGCAATCCTAGCCTCTGAGAAAACGGACTTTAAACAAACAAAGATAAAAAAAGACAAAGAATGGCATTACTTAAAGGTAAAGGGATCAATTCAACAAGAAGAGCTAACTATCCTAAATATATATGCACCCAATACAGGAGCACCCAGATTCATAAAACAAGTTCTTAGAGATCCACAAAGAGACTTAGACTCCCACAAAATAATAGTGGGAGAATTTAACACCCCACTGTCAATATTAGACAGATTAACGAGACAGAAAATTAACAAGGATATTCAGGACTTGAACTCAGCTCTGGATCAAGTGGACCTAATGGACATCTATAGAACTCTCAACCCCAAATCAACAGAATATACATTCTTCTCAGTGCGACATGGCACTTATTCTAAAATCAACCACATAATTGGAAGTAAAACACTGCTCAGCAAATGCAAAAGAACTGAACTCATAACAAACAGTCTCTCAGACCACAGTGCAATCAAATTAGAACTCAGGATTAAGAAACTCACTCAAAACAACACAATTACAAGGAAATTGAACAACCTGCTGCTGAATGACTCCTGAGTAAATAATGAAGTTAAGGCACAAATCAAGAAGTTCTTTGAAACCAATGAGAACAAAGAGACAACGTACCAGAATATCTGGGAACTAAAGCAGTGTTAAGAAGGAAATTTATAGTACTAAATGCCCACATCAGAAAGCTAGAAATATCTCAAATGGATACCCTAACATCACAATGAAAAGAACTAGAGAAGCAAGAGCAAAAAAATCTAAAAGCTAGCAGAAGACAAGAAATAACTAAGATCAGAGCAGAATTGAAGGAGACAGTGACACAAGAAGCCATTCAAAAAATTAATGAATTCAGGAGCTAATTTTTGAAAAAATTAACAAAATAGATAGACAGACTGCTAGCTAAACTGATAAAGAAGAAAAGAGAGAAGAATCAAATAGACACAATAAAAAATGATAACGGGGATATCACCACTGACCCCACAGAAATACAAAATACCATCAGAATACTATAAACATGTCTACCTAAATAAACTAGAAAATCTAGAAGAAATGGATAAATTCTTGGACACACGCACCCTCCCAAGAAGTTGGCTCCCTAAATAAACCAATAACAAGTTCTGAAATTGAGGTAGTAATTAATAGCCTACCAACCAAAAAAAGCCCAGGACCAGACAGATTCACAGCCAAATTCTACCAGAGGTACAAAGAGGAGCTGGTATCATTCCTTCTGAAACTATTCCAAAAGAATTGAAAAGGAGGGACTCCTTCCTAACTCATTTTATGAGGTCAGCATCATCCCGATACGAAAACCTGGCAGAGACACAACAACAACAAAAATAAAACTTCAGGCCAATATCCCTGATGAACATCAATGCAAAAATCCTCAATAAAATACTGGCAAACCGAATCCAACAGCACATCAAAAAGCTTACCCACCACAATCAAGTCGGCTTCATCCCTGAAGTGTAAGGCTGGTTCAGCATACACAAATCAATAAACGTAATTCATCACATAAACAGAACCAGAGACAAAAGCCACATGATTCTCAATAGATGCAGAAAAGGCCTTTGATAAAATTCAACAACTCTTCATGTTAAAAGCTTTCAATAAACTAGGTATTGATGGAACATATCTCAAAATAATAAGTGCTATTTGTGACAAACCCACAGCCAGTATCATACTGAATGGGAAAAAGCTGGAAGCATTCTTTTTGAAAACTGGCACAAGACAAGGATGCCCTCTCTCACCACTCCTATTCAACATAGTATTGGATGTTCTGGCCAGAGCAATCAGTCAAGAGAAAGAAATAAAGGGTATTTAAATAGGAAGAGAGGAAGTGAAATTTTCTGTTTCCAGATGTCGTGATTCTATAGTTAGAAAACCCCATCATCTCAGCCCGAAAACTCCTTAACCTGATAAGCAACTTCAGCAAATCTCAGGATACAAAATGGATGTGCAAAAATCACAAGTATTCCTATACACCAAAAATACACAAGCAGAGAGCCAAATCATGAATGAACTCCCATTCACAATTGCTACAAAGAGAATAAAATACTTAGGAATACAACTTACAAAGGACGTGAAGGACCTCTTCAAGGAGAACTACAAATCACTGCTCAAGGAAATAAGAGACGACACAAACAAATGGAAAAACATTCCATCCTCATGGATAGGAAGAATCAATATCATGAAAATGGCCATACTGCCCAAAATAAATTATAGATTCAATGCTATTCCCATCAAACTACCATTGACATTCTTCACAGAATTAGAAAAAAACTACCCTAAATTTCATATGGAACCAAAAAAGAGCCTGTATAACCAAGACAATCCTTAGGAAAAAGAACAAAGCTGGAGGCATCATGCTACCTGACTTCAAACTATACTACAAGGCTAGAGTAACCAAAACAGCATGGCACTGGTACCAAAACAGCCATATAGACCAATGGAACAGAACAGAGACCTCAGAAATCACATCACGCATCTACAACCATCTGATCTTTGACAAACCTGACAAAAACAAGCAGTGGGGAAAGGATTCCCTATTTAATAAATGGTGCTGAGAAAACTTGCTAGCCATGTGCAGAAAACTAAAACTGGACCCCTTATACCTTAGACAAAAATTAAATCGAGATGGATTAAAGACTTAAATGTTAAACCCATAACCATAAAAACCCTAGAAGAAAACTTAGGCAATACTATTCAGGACATAGACATGGACAGTGATTTCATGATGAAAATGCTAAAAGCAATGGCAAGAAAAGCCAAAACAGACAAATGGGATCTAATTAAACTAGAAGTACTAAAGAGCTTATGCACAGCAAAAGAAACTATCATCAGAGTGAACAGGCAACCTACAGAATAGAATAGGAGAAAATTTTTGCAATCTACCCATCTGACAAAGGTCTAATATCCACAACCTATAAGAAATGTAAACAAATTTGCAAGAAAAAAAGAAACAACCCCATCAAAAAGTGAACAAAGGATATGAACAGACTCTTCTCAAAAGAAGATATTTATGCAGCCAAAAAACATGAAAAAAAGCTCAACACCACTGATCACTAGGGAAATGCAAACCAAAACCACAATGCAGTACCATTTCACACCAGTCAGAACGGCGATTATTAAAAAGTCAAGAAACAATAAATGCTGGCGAGGATGTGGAGAAATAGGAACGCTTTTACACTGTTGGTAGGAATGTAAATTAGTTCAACCACTGTGGAAGACAATGTGATGATTCATCAAGGATCTAGAACCAGAAATAAAATTTGACACAGCAATCCCATTACTGGGTATACACCCAAAAGAATAGACATCATTCTACTATAAAGATACATGTACACGTATGTTTCTTGCAACACTATTTACAATAGCAAAGACACGGAACCACCCAAATACCCATCAAGGATAGACTGGACTAAGAAAATGTGGGACATATACACCATGGAATACTATGCAGCCATAAAAAGAAATGAGATCATATCCTTTGCAGGGACATGGATGAAGCTGGAAGCCATCACCTTCAGCAAACGTAACACAGGATCAGAAAACCAAACAGCGCATGTTCTCACTCATAAGTGGGAGTTGAACAATGAGAACATACAACACATACTGGGGTCTGTCGCGGGGTGAGGGGCAGGGGGAGGGAGAGCATTAGGACAAATAGCTAATGCATGCGGGGCTGAAAACATAGATGATGGGTTGACAGGTGCAGCAAACCACCATGGCACATGTATACCTAGGTAGCAAACCTGCACATTCTGCCCATGTATCCCACAACTTAAAGTAAAAATTTTTTAAAAAGCAAACAAGTGAATAAATGGATACAAAGCAGGAAAAAAAGTAGAAAATACTTATTTAACAGGATGGCATTTATTACCCAGAAAGTTCTGAAAAAAATTATTAGGAGATGCTTGCTCCCTAGGGTGCTAAAGACTACTTAAAATCAACATTACAAATTACAGAACATGAAAGATACGTGTATCTTGAGCTTCGCATAAAACTGATGTCTCTTTATGGTTAAATTTAGACTATAATGTACTTTTGAGGGGGCAATATCACAGCAGTGATGCTGCGTCCTTCTGTGTGCATCAGCACATCATAAAAATTTGTCCTAGTGCAGTTAATGTTTATGATTCACTTGGTTAAAGAGCTCTCTGACAGACTGTCGCACTACAGAGTTAATTATTTTTCTCTTAATTATTAGGTATCTTTATGCAGCTGATGTGCATAAACCATCACATTTAATCTGGCAGCTGCCCTTCTTTCTTAGGTTTTCTTTGCATATATCTGTCTTTGGTAAATGAAAACTCTCATCTTTGTTTACAAGCCAGAAAAACTAGAAAAAGAAACACAGGCTCTTCCACTTACTGAATTTTTGACAAAATATTCTTCTTTGGCCAAAAACATTGACATTACTGGTGAGCTTGTTAAAAATTCAGAAACTGAGGCTTTCTTCCAGATCTTCTGAAAAAATAATCTACATTAACACGATCTCCAGTTTATTGTACACATTAAGATTTGAGAGGTACCTTTTAAGTCAATATTTCTTTTCCATCTGAAAAATATACAGAACTCATTCTGTATGATACAAATATAGGACCCAAAAATGTAATAAAAGAAATAAGATACCCAGTCTCAGTTTTTCTTTTTCTCTTTCTTTCTTTTTCTTTCTTTCTTTCTCTTTCTTTCTTTTCTTTCTCTTTCTCTTTTTCTTTCCTTTCTTTTTTCTTTCTTTCTCTCTTTTTTTCTTTCTTTCTTTCTCTTTCTTCCTCTCTTCCTCTCTTCCTCTCTCTCTCTCTCTCTCTCTCTCTCTCTCTCTCTCTCTCCTTCCTTCCTTCCTTCCTTCGATGGAGTTTCACTCTGTGACCCAGGCTAGAATGCAGTGGCATGATCTCGGCTCACTGCAACCTCCCTCACCTCCCGGCTCCAACGATTCTTGTGCCTCAGCCTCCCAAGTAGCTGGGATCACAGGTGCACAGTACCATTCCCAGCTATTTCTTGTATTTTCAGTAGAGATGGGGTTCCACCATATTGCCCAGGTTGGTCTTGAACTCCTAGTCTCAAGTCATCTGCCCGTCTTGACCTCTCAAAGTGCTGGGATTACAGGCATGAGCCACCGTGCCCTGCCAGTTTCAGGTATTTCTTTATAGCAATGAAAGAATGGATTTACAAACTCCCCAATGATGTGAACACGAAAAGTAAAGTCAGTGAGGGATTTTAAAAGTGCCAATGCCCCTGACGACTCCAACCACACTCAACCACAAAGTACACCAGCCCAATTCAATCTCTAGAAATAAGAACATGTAAGAGTCACTAAATAAATAAAATTGAGATGGTTGTCCGTCCCAGAAAACAAAGACATACCTGCCTCTTTGCAGGAAAGACAGGAGGCTCTAATTACCTCTGGTGCTCCTTGGACATTTCTGGGGAAATAGTCTTAAGGGAAGAGGACAGGCATGCTACCCTTGGGCAGGGCAGTAAGCAGCTAGCTAGAAGACTAACATTTCTTTGAAGACTCAAGGTCTATTTTTTTAAAAAGCCATGTAATTTTGTGTTCTACTCTATAACATATCTTTTGGAGTTTAATTGCAAAACTAAAATTTTAAACGATTGATTTCTAACCTGGCCAATTCTGAGAATCTCAGCCTTGCCTAAAAATACGAATCACAAATGTGGCTTGGAATCAGTATTTTTTACAACTTTTGCCAGGTGATTTTCTTTACCAAAGAGATTTCATCCTAAAAATTAATTTTCAAAATTTACTCTTGGTGCTGCTGTAGTTATGCATACTTATTATGGTTTCTATCATGGGGAAAACCAAGCTGGTTGGGTGGAACCTGAGATACAAAAGTGATAGTAAATATCGATTCTGTGGAGGCGGCTACAGTAAACACTATTTGTGAGGGACAGAATAGGTAGAGCTCCTCATTCCACACTCACAGAGGATGTTCAGAAGTTCCAGTGCATGCCTTTAGAATTCAGTCTTAAAATAAGCAATCGTAATTAACCACTTACTCATGCGTCCCACTGAGAACTTGTCTTTTAAGAATAGGCTCCTTGTAACTAAAGGAAAACTAAATATTTTATTCAAACATTTTGGACACACATGTTGAAGGAAGGTTATCTCATACACTGAACAAGTTACAACTGAAAGCATAGAAAGCAGTGTGAGGGAGAAATGGGTCTAGTCTTGCTTCTGATACAAGCTGTTTCATCTCAGCCACTTTATTTAACTTTACTCAGCTTCAATTTCCTTGGCTGTAATATACAGTGTAAAAATGGAACATAACTTATCGGGTTGTTATAAGTATTAAGTGAGAAAATAACATACAGCAATTGTTCAATAAAAGTTATTTACCACTAAAAATAAGAATCTTATAACCTATAATATTACATTATCTTCTTTTTGGGAAGTAAACATATGATCAAAAGATGGATCAAAATAAGTTACATTTCTTTTAGACCCCCATTCAAACTGCATGGTTTTCTTTTGGTATACTGAAGACTCTCACAAACATTTTTGCTATTCTGGTAAAAATCATGCTGGTATTAATTTTCATCTGAAAGTTCAATTTATTCTGAAATATATTCTTATATTTACTTTATTAATATTATTATCATATGAAAGGCTGGTTTCTGGCACCTCAGGTGGTTCACATCTTGGAGATCAATGTGCAGAACAATTTTAAAAGAGATATATAGATAGTACTAAAAATATATAATATATCACTAGTTTATAGATTTAGATGAAGTCGAATCCCATGAAACATAACATATACATAGGGATAGAAACCAGACTTAATGAAAACTTTAATGTAGAAATTATACTACATATATTATAAACAGTTTATACATATGGATGTGGATCTCTATATGTCTATAGGTTTATGAATGTAGAATTAAAATACAGAAGTTTCTCAAATGGTAAAACGTACATAGGCTTGGAAGTTAGACTTGAGTTAAAATCCTGGCTTTCTTACTTACCATCTGGACATATTATTTAACCTCCCAGAAATGAAAGGATGGCTTAACATATGGAAATCAATAAACATGATACATTACATAAATAAACCAGGAACAAAAACCATGTTATTATTTCAATAGATGCAGAAAAAGCATTTGGTAAAATTCAACATGTCTTTATTATCAAAACACTAAAAAATTGAGTATAAAAGGGGTATACCTCAAAACAATAAAGACCATATTTGACAAACCCATGGCTAACATCATACCAAAGGCGGAAAAATTGAAAGCCTTTCTGCTAAGATCTGGAACAAGATCAGGACGCCCATTTTCATCAGATTTATTCAACATACTACTGGAAGTTCTAGCCAGAGCAATCAGATAAGAGAAAGAAATAAACGACATCCAAATTGGGAAGGAAGAAATAAAATTATCCTCATTTGCAGACGACATGATCTTACACTTAGAAAATCCTAAAGACTCCACCAAAAACTGTTAGAAATGATAAGCAAACTCAGTAAATTGCAGGATACAAAACCAACATACAAAAATTAATAGCATTTATATACACCAACAGTGAACAATCTGAAAAATAAATCAAGAAAGCAATGCCATTTACAATATTTATTAAAAAATTAAAAATGCCTAGGAATAATTGTGACTAAAGAAGTGAAAGATCTCTACAATGAAAACTATAACACTCTGATGAAAGAAATTGAAGTGGACACAAAAAATGGAAAGATATTCGATGCTCATGAATTGGAAGAATCAATATTGTTAAAATGTCAACACTACCCGAAGCAATCTACAGTTTCAATGCAATCTCTATCAAAATACCAATGACATTCTTCACAGGAATATAAAAAACTATCCTAAAATTTATATTAAAACACAAAAGATTCTGAATAGCCAAAGCAATCTCGTGCAAAAAGAACAAAGCTGGAGGCATCACACTAACTGACTTCAAAATATGCTACAAAGCTATAGCAACCAAACCAGCATGGTACTGGTAAAAAAACAGAAAATATCCCAATGGAATGGAATAGAAAACCCAGAAATAAATACATGCTTTTACAGCCAATTCATTCTTGACAAAGGTATCAAGAACATTAAGGAAAGGACAGTCTCTTCAACAAATGGTGCTGGGAAAAATGGATATCCATGTGCAGAAGAATAAAATTATGCTCCTACCTCTCATCATATAAAAATCAAATAATAAAGGATTAAAGACTTAAATCTAAGAACTGAATCTATGAAACTCCTAGAAGAAAACATTGGGTAAATGCTCCAGGACACTGGACTGGGCAAATTTTTGGGGGGACAAAATCTGAAAAGCACAGGCAACTAAAGCAAAAATAGATAAATGGAATTGCATTAAGCTCAAAACTTCGGCACAGCAAAGGAAACAATCAACAAATTGAAGTGACAGCCCACAGAATAAGGGAAAATGTCTGCAAATGATTCAACTGACAAAGGATTAATAACCAGAATATATAAAGAACTCAAATAACTCAATGGGAAAAATCTAATAATCTGATTAAGAAATGGGCAAAAAATCTGAATAGACATTTCTCAAAAGAAGACATACAAATGGCAAGTAGGTATATAAAAATGGTTAACATCACTAATCATCAGGGAAATGCAAATAAAAGCTACAGTGAAATATCATGTCACCCCAAGTTAAAATGGCTTTTATAAAAAAGACAGTGAGTGCTGGTGAGAATGTAGAGAAACAGGAACACTCATACACTGTTGGTGGTAATGCAAATTCTGACAGCCACTGTGAAAAACAGTACGGACTGAAAAAAACTAAACATGGAACAACTCTATGATCCAGCAATTTCACTATTGGGTATATATCCAAAAGGGAGGAAATCTATATATTTAAGAGATAGCAGCACTCACATGTTGACTGCAGCACTATTCCAAATAGCCAAATACGGAATCAACCTAACTGCCCACCAATGGATAAATGGATAAAGAAAATGTGATATGTATATATACACACACACAGTGTTAATACTATTCAGCCATAAAAATGAGTGAAATCCTGACGTTTGCAGCTGCATGGACAGAACTGGAGGTCATTATGTTAAAAGAAATAAGCCAAGCACAGAAAGACAAATATCACATGATCTCACTCATATTTAGGCCTTAAGTAAGTGGATCTTATGAAGATAGAAAGTAGATTGGTTGTTACCAGAGAAGGGGAAGGGTAAAGCCCAGGGTTGGATGAAGAAAGGTTGGTGAATGGGTACAAAAATACAGTCAGATAAAATAAATAAGACCTAAGCATTTGATAAATCAGTAGGGTGACTATAGTAAACAGTAATTTATTACATATTTCAAAATAGCTAGTAGAGAATAATTCAAATGTTCCCAGTATTAAGAAAAATGTTTCAGGTGATGGATATGCCAATTGCCCTGATTTGATTATTATGCCTTACATCAATGTATCGAAATATCATATGTACTCCAAAAATACTTACATCTATTGTGTCAATAAACATATGTAAATAAATAAATACATAGGAATCAAGAAGACGTCATAGACCGTTGCATGAATTTGGGGCAATTATGATTTTACATATTCTACAAAACTGTCTCTTGATAAAGTCCTTAGAAATTAAAAATTAATGCTCTAAATTCCAGTATGTTTCCATTTGTATTTCTTTTTCTTTTAACTTTTATTTTAGATTCAGGGATACATGTGCAGGTTTGTTATATAGGTAAACTGCGTGTCATGCGAGCGTGGCGTACAGATTGTTTCGCCACTCAGCTAATAAGCATAGCACCCGATAGGTAGTTTTTCAGTCCTCACCTTCCTCTCATCCTCCACCCTCAGGTAGGCTCCAGTGTCTGTTGTTGCCTTCTTTGTGTCTGTATGTACTCAGTGTTTAGCTCTCATTCATAAGTGAGAACAAGCGGTATTTGGTTTTCTCTTCCTGTGTTAGTTTGCTTAGGATAACGGCCTCCAGCTTCATTCATGTTGCTACAAAGGACATAGTCTCATTCTTTCTCATGGCTGCATAGCATTCCATGAAAAAACCTCTTTATTTTGTCAACAAAATTTATAAGACAATACTTCACTTATTTGCCAAGTACCCTAAAGAATACGTGACAAATAAATTTTAATTTAGTTGATAAATTTTAATGTATTTATTTTAATAAATGTAAAATGTATTTGGACCAGCAAGAGCAAACTGCAAAAAAATCCAACTTTATATTATCTCTAATTCAACTCTTGGTGATATTTTATAAAATACCAAGTTCTATAAACTTCCCCTGGGCAAGGTGACCATAAAATGCATTGTCTACATTGAGATTCCTTAAAATCGAATAACAGGCTGTTAGTGATTACTTTGAAACAGTAGGGATAAGCCAAGATTGTCCTGGGCATCTGTGATGTGTGATCACCCTACCTCTGGGCTTAAAGCTAGTGGTCCAGCCATCGCGAATATGTTCCTGAGTTCCTGTTTGAATCCTGCTCTCTCTATATTAAACTTTCATATATTTAATGGTTACACTTACTTACCTTAAAGTTTTTCTAATTATCTCACTCTTGGAAATAAGATTTCATTATTTGATACCGAGCTATGAATATGTTTCCCTTCTTTTTCAGGAATGATAATAAGGTGTCAGGTAAGTCTTCATCTTTTCTATTTAACCTGCCAGCTCATTTTTAAACATTCCTGTTCCAGCTTCGGGGAGATTTCTGCCATCACAGTTGGTATTTCACAACACCTGTTTCTGCTACAAGCCATTGCTCTCCTCAACTTTCTTTAGGAAATGAGCTGCTTTGCTTAGTCAAATCTCATTACTCTTTTCATAATTGCCTTAGGTCTCCATTCATTAACAGAGAAGAATCTAAAGCTTTACTAGTACTGCTACTGAAGACATAACTAAGATTTCCTGCTATTGGGCCTTACAGGAACTAAGTTCCATTTAAAAGCAAAACTGTATATATTGTGTTGCTTCTTTATCTTGTTTGCCTCACATATTAAACACAATCAGTTCTGGAGGTCAACTATGAAACCCAAGATATGCAAGTTTCTGGTCTGAAATCTCTGTCATGATTAGGCTATAATACATGCAAATCAATTAGGCAGAACTTGGAACAATTGTTAACAATTTCTCTTAATCGTTTCTCTTAAATGATTAAGAGAAATGAGGTCACGGCAGTAGCTGGTAACACTGATTGCTGAAAACACAGCCATCATACCTTAGCTTAATATGTGACTCGGAGATGTGTATAATACATTTTTTAAATAATAGTATTTCAATTGACAAATCATAATTGTATTACTTTAATGCAGCACCATGTGATGTTTTGATGTATGTATACAAGACATAATGGTTACATCGGGCCAATTAATATATCCATCATATCACTTAACTTTTTTGTGATGATACATTTGAAATTTACTTTCTTAGTTATGTTGACATATATAACGCATTATTATTGACCATTGTCACCCTGTTGTGCATGGATCTCAAAACTTACTCTTACTGCCTAGCTGAAACTTTGTACCCTTTGATCAGCAGCTCCTCATTCCCTTGCAGCTCCATCTCCTTCTCACCGCAGCCCCTGATAACCACCATTGTCCTCTCTACTTCAATGAATTAACTGGTTAGGATTCCACATATGCGTGAGATCATGCAGTATTGATCTTTCTGTGCCTGGCTTATTTCACTTAGCATAATGTCCTCTAGATTCATTCCTGTTATTCCAAATGACAGAATTTCTTTTTTTATTTTTTTTTATTTTTTTAATTTTAATATATAAAGTTGTATTTATTCAATGGACTCTGCAGTTGTAGAAAGAAACTCACAACTTAAATCTACCATCCCAGTTTGGGGCCAGCATTCTATTATACATCCTAGTACTCTATTACATTGTTTCATCTGAAAGGTATTATCCTGCCTTAATTTCCAATTCAAACACTCCATTCCTAATTCTAGAGTTTGCTCAAAGGTCATATTCTTTACAAAGACTATAAAACTCACATTTTCTCTCTTTTTTGACATCTGATAACACTTTCTAACTAATTATTATTATTATTACTAATCAATGCCTAAGGTAATTAATCTTTGGCTGCCTCAAGTGTGAGCTCCTCCAGGACATGACCTATTTTTTTCTTCCTCTTTTATCCCTAGTGCTTAATTCCACGTCCCATGCATTCTAGGTCTTAAAGCTTTTATGCTTAATAAATATTAAATTAATGAGCTGGGATTCTGGAAATCTAAATATGGAGTAAAAATCAACTCTAATTGTGTAGGATTGAAACAAAACTATATAAATTAGTTTATCTTATTTTCTGTGTATATGTTGAAGGTTACATGTACATTTTCAAAAGTAGATACTGATTTAAAAGGTGAGATCATAAATATAGATGTGAAAAATCATCTTTATATGTAAAAACAATAATTTTATTTTAGGTTTCAGCTTCTTTGGCAGTTCATTATGGTCTTCAGAATAAAATGCCAACTTGTAAGCATGGTGGTGTCTTGATGTGGCGTCTCCTATTTCTCTGCTTTCACGGTTTGTCTTTTCCCTATGATGCTCCTTTCACTTTGAATGTTCTTACACAGGGAATTCTTTTTTTGACTTTTTTGAAATTTATTTTATTTTATTTTATTTTATTATTATTATACTTTAAGTTTTAGGGTACATGTGCACAATGTGCAGGTTAGTTACATATGTATACATGTGCCATGCTGGTGTGCTGTACCCATTAACTCATCATTTAGCATTAGGTATATCTCCTAAAGCTATCCCTCCCCCCTCCCCCCACCCCACAACAGTCCCCAGAGTGTGATGTTCTCCTTCCTGTATCCATGTGTTCTCATTGTTCAATTCCCACCTATGAGTGAGAATATGCGGTGTTTGGTTTTTTGTTCTTGCGATAGTTTACTGAGAATGATGATTTCCAATTTCATCCACGTCCCTACCAAGGACATGAACTCATCATTTTTTATGGCTGCATAGTATTCCATGGTGTATATGTGCCACATTTTCTTAATCCAGTCTATCATTGTTGGACATTTGGGTTGGTTCCAAGTCTTTGCTATTGTGAATAGTGCTGCAATAAACATACGTGTGCATGTGTCTTTATAGCAGCAAAAAAAGTCATAGTTTAGAGGCTACAAAAGGAAACAGAAAAGTTTAAAAATTTTCAAATCAATTAACATTTTCTGTTTTATTTTGAGTTTGGATATTTCTTGAGTCTCTAAGAGTAAAACTACATTTATGTCTGGGCTAATAGTAACGGTAAAATGGTGCTGACAGTTTTTCTGCTTATGTGTGGGGCTTTAAAATGCAGTAATATTGAACTGAAATTTTTTTTTAAAAATAAGGCTGGACATGGTGGCTCAGGCCTTTAATCCCAGCACTTTGGGAGGCTGAGGCAGGCAGATCTCTTGAGGTCAGGAGTTCGAGACCAGCCTGGCCAACATGATGAAGCCCTGTCTCTGCTAAAAATACAAAAATTACCCGGGTGTGGTGGCACACGCCTGTAGTCCCAGCTACTTGGGGGGCTGAAGCAGGAGAATCTCTTGAACCTGGGAGATGGATGTTTCAGTAAGCTGAGATCATGCCACTGCACTCCAGCCTGGGTGTCAGAGTGAGAGTCTGTCTCAAAAAAACAACAACAAAAAAGATATTATTGATAGATTCTTGAAATGAATTATCAAAGCTATAACAGTTGTGATTATGAGCAACATTACTACCATGTGGCTAGTTAAGCATTTTCTTCTTAAATAGTAAACAAAGAGTCACATAAAAAGAAGACAAAATAAATGTGTGTGTGTGTGTGTGTGTGTGTGTGTGTGTATGCTACTAGGCAGGTTTTACACATATGGGAAAGAGAAAAATGCAGCCATTTCACCATAATGGCTATGTCTCAGGTAACTAAGCATTCTGTCAACATTTATGAAATTTTTCATGGTGAACTTCATTTTTAGGATAAAGTAATGAGCTGGAGCTAATATTTAGATCACAAGGCATGTTTTCATGCATTTTTTCAGTATCATTCTTTTCTTGGTACCAAATACAGCGTGGAACTAGCAAAGAATACTTACTGAAGCAACTCTAGGGTCATGAGTTCAGAAGACATTCGTGTATCTGTTCTCAATTTCTGCGATCATTTATGTGCCAATATGAGCTTTCGTTTGCCAGCATAATGCCTGATCTTCTAGCTGCATTTACAAGTTTTATAACTCTCACATTCTGACTTGGTTTTAATAAAACGGTAATTTGAAGCCAGCCTCTGTACCCACTGCAGTACTACACAGCTGCTTTCTTATCCAGAAGATTTCCCTGTTCTTCATCTCCATATTGATTGTCTCCAACCCACACAATATCTTTTTCCATTTTCATATTCACTCATAGAACAATCTAGGCATATTCTACAGCCTACATACACTAAAAAAATAAATCCAACTACCTACAGATTTTCTTCCATGCATTTGTCTCTTCCCTCACCCACACAGTCAACTCCCTTACTCACCACTTGCTTCAATTTTCTTACTCCGTATATGAACTAATTCACTGCTTCTTTCTGCTTAAACTTTGTTTTTCTATTTTTTAGCCATTTCTCCTTTCCTGCTTTTAGCAACTTACTTTTCTCTGTTTCTTTTTTATTTCATCTTCTTTATCAATTTGTCATCATGTTAATATTATCTGTCTAAATAGAATATGTTCTCAACCATGCCTTCAATAAATAGTTACTAATTATTTATTCTGTGTTAGGATACTAGGTAGTAAGGATAAAAAGATGAATATAACACAATATCCTCTTTACCTTTCTCATACGTGTCCTCAAGGACCTTAGACAAAAATAGAAAAAAAAATAGCTATGGATGTGAGTCCTGGTTGTGGCAAGATGGACTACACCAAATTCAACTCCTTCCACTACAAACAAATAGATAGCATTAAAAACTCCGCATTTAGGCTCACAATACAAAACCTGCATTCCAAAATGTCAAAACATAAGAAGGAAAGCAGTAAATGAGTAGGAACAGAAGGAACATGAGTTGACATAGTGTTATGAATGGGAGCTAATGCCTGGGTTTTAATGCCCATGTGAGGCGGAAGACCAGGTCTTGAGCCCATGTAAAGCTGAAAGCTGGAAATATGACCCCATGTGTAAAGCCAGATTGTAATTTGAAAGACTTTCAGAGTGTGATATTGGCAAAGAGGTAGTCCAATAGACCAGTGAAGCACAACAGAGCCCCACAGGAACAGACCCACGTATAGACAGGGAATTAGTGAATGAGACAGGTGAAACTAAACTCAGTGGGTAATAGCACACAATAAATAGTGCAGGCACAATTGCTTAACCATATGAAAAATTAGATTTCTACTTCACACTGAGACATTTTAAGCAGTTTCAGTGGGTGTAACTGACATAACATAAACTGCACATACGAAAGTGTACAGTTTGATAAGTTTTGGCACATGTACAGAAGCACAGTCAAGATAATGAACATGTCAATAAACCCCAAAGGTTTCTTGAGGCCCCTTTGTAATCCCTTAATTCCCACCACAACCTTTATCACTAGGCAACTGCTGATTTCTTTTCTATCATTAAAGATAAGTTTGCATTTTCTAGAATTTTATGTAAATGGAATAATAGAACATGTCCTCTTTTTAAATCTGGCTTTATTCAGTCATCATAATTATTTTGAGATTTATCCAAGATGCTGTATACATCAATAGTTCATTATTTATTATTATTAAACAGTATTTATTATATGGATATACCATCATTAGTTTATCTATCTGTTGATGGAAATTTGGGTTGTCACCAGTTTGGAGTACTATGAATAAAGTTGCTGTGGGCATTCATGTGTAAATCTTTCTATGGACATACATTTTTATTTATTTTGGTTAAATACCTGGAGTGGAATAAATGAGATGTGGCAGGTGCCTGTCCAACTTTTTTTCTTTCTTTCATTTTTACTTCTTAGAGACTGGGTCTCACTCTATCACCCAGGCTGGAGTGCAGTGACGCAATCATAGCTCACTCTAGTCTCAAACTCCTGGGCTCAAGTGATCATCCCACCTCAGTCTCCCAAAGTGCTGAGATTACAGGTGTGTGCCACTGTACCCAGCTTGATCAACTCTTTTATTTTTATTTTTTTAAAAACTGCCAAACTGTGTTTTGAAGGAGTTGTAATATTTGCTGTAAAGTTGTGATATTTGTACCATCCTCTATTCCCCCAAAATAGCTTATAGGAGTTAGTTGCTTCTCATTGTTAATGTTGTATGCCACGCACTGATGCAGAGGACAAAATAAATTTGGTAGGCACCACTTGATTCACTTCACCTATTTAAAAAACATACAAAATCTCCAAGGTTTTGACAGTGGAATGAGAGTTGCTGATTAGAGCATCTGACCAGTTGGTCCACACTCTCTTACTACTGAGTTTCTTCTTCATTTACGCTCTTAGTACTGGGCTTAATTTCATCACCACCAGGCTGGGCTCAGGATTGTGCAGCCCATGCTCTAAAACTAAGAATTTGTCATGTGCTCCCTTTTACTGTCAATCCAGGAATGGTCTAAAGTACACGTAAGTAATTGTGGGAACAAATCAATTGATTAATAAGATAAAAGATGATTAAATAAAATAAATTATTTCAGAGTTACACATTACTTTAGAGTTATGATTACTGAAAAATTTGAAACGTCATGTTCTTGACCCATCATATACCCTGGCATCCCGAAGCTAATTAGGAAAAAAATTCAAAATTCATGACGATAAAAAGGTCAGCCCATCTGAAAGATACAATGACACGTTATGCGCCTAATTAAAGTTGAAAATTATAGAAAGCAAAAACTGACAAAAATAAGAGAGATTGAAAATTTCTGTCATGTCTAGAAAATTGAATAGTACTCTCTCAGCAATTGCTAGAACAACCCTGATTTTAAAAACCAAGAAGGATAGAAATACCCAGAACAAATTATCAGCCAACTTGACTTTGGTGACATTTATAGATATTATACTCAAAAACTGCAGATTTCACTTTTTTCTTTTCAAATTCTCATGGAATTTTCACCAATTCAGACCATATACTGGTCCTTAAAATGATTCCTAATGAATTTCAAAAGGCTGAAATTTCACAGGGACTATTGTCTGACCACAACAGAATAAAATTATGCACCCAAATAACATTTTTAGAAAATCTCATCCTTCTAAAAATGCACTTCTAAATAACCTACAGGTCAAAGGAGAAATCACATATATTAGAAGATATTTGAATTGAATAATAATAAAAATACAACATATCAACATTTTGGAAATGCAGCTAAAACAGTGCTTAGAGGCTAAAACAGTGCTTAGAGGAAAATTATATTTTTAAATTATTGTATTAGAAAAATGTTAAAAGATGTCTATATACCTTCATTTTATGAAAGATGAAAAAGAAAACAAAAACTAAAAAGCAGAAATAAGGAAATAATGAAGATAAAAAATCAACATGAAAAACAGACTAACAATAGAGAACATTAAATAGGGCAAAGATTCTTGTGTGTGTGTGAAAAGAATAATACAATTGAGAAGACATAAAAAAATGGAGAGAAAGGTACAAATTATCAATGTCAGGAAAAAATGGCTTATTACCACTATTCTACAGATGTTAAAAAGATAATCAGACATTCAAAAGATAATCAGAGGGCATTTGTATAAACATTATGCAATATTGACAAATTATAAAAATAGGTAAGCTCTTTGAAAAGCAAAATTTACCAACTTAACAGAACAAGAAAGATAACAACTCCATAGCTCTGTAAGTTGAATACATTTAATTTGTAATGAAAAACGTTCTCACAAAGAAAATTTCAGGCCCTGAGTTTTACTCATGAATTCTATCAAACATTTAAGAAAGAAAGAATATGAATCTTATATTAACCCTTGGAAACATGTTCCACTTGTTTTATGAGGACAGCATTACCCGGATTTCAAGACCCGGTAAAGATATTTCAATTTAAAAAACCTAAAAATAATGCTCCTTGTGAACAAAGATGCAATAATTTGTAACAAAAACATTAGCAAATCAAATCTTCCAATGTATAAAGAGGAATACAATATGACCAAATTAGCAATATACCAGAAATGCAAGATTGGTTTCTATTTAAAAAGTCAATCATGTAATTCATTACATTAACTGAACAAAACGGAAAAGCACTGGACAAAATTTAGCATACATCAATGATCAAAAACTCTTGGCACTATAGGAATTAAAGGTAACTTCCTCACTTTGAAAACTCTACAGCTCACATCCCACTTAACGGAAATACTGAGAGCTTCTCCTAAGATACCGATGTCCATTCCAACCACTAAGTTAAGACTACATCTTGACCCGTACCTCATAAGAAATACACAAATTAATTTGAGGAGGATCATTATTTTCAGGAAGTACCTCATAAGAAATATACAAGTTAATTTGAGAAGGATCATAATTTTCAGGAAGTAGAATAATAAATGCAATAACTTACTCTCTGGATTTAATTCTGACAGAAAAAGGAAATAGTTCCCTCAAGACATATATAATAAATATGTAAAGATTTTTATATTCACCAAAATCTCAATAAAGTGGTTAAAGTAGAGACATAATTTCAATAATAGGGGAAAATAATAATATGTCCAGAAAATGGTTATCAAAAAGTTATTTTCCAAGGCTATTTTGAACAATAATAATGAAGATTAGGAGTGGGGTTAGTAGCAACAGTATTTTTCTTTTAAAAATAATTTTGAATAGATTATTCACTCACATCATGCAAAAATAAAAGTTATATTAAAAAACAAGAAAAAATGAGATCTTTACTTCAACATAATACTATGGATAATCAAGGAAGGCATGGTATCTGTCCACACTTCTGTGAACCTAAGGTAAATTTCTTTCTTTTTTTTTTTTTTTTTTTTTGAGACGGAGTCTTGCTCTGTGGTCCAGGCTGGAGTGCAGTGGCGCGATCTCAGCTCACTGCAACCTCCGCCTTCTGGATTCAAGCAATTCTCTTGTCTCAGCCTCCCGATCACAGGTGCCTCCTGGCATTACAGGTGCCTGTGCCACCATGCCCGGCTAATTTTCATATTTTTAGTAGAGAGGGGGTTTCACCGTATTGGTCAGGCTGGTCTGGAACTCCTGACCTCAGGTTATCTACCCTCCTCAGCCTCCTAAAGTGCTGAGATTACAGGTGTGAGCCACTGTGCACAGCCCCCTCTGGTAAATTTCTAAGTAGGTATGAGATGCATGCCTTCTAAATAAAAATAAAATTAATTAAGGCCTTGACTAATAGATTATGCTTTACTGTTTAACATTTAACCAGTGAAATTATACTGATGTTTTGAAGTTACTGAATACATTCATATTTTCCTAGAAACTTGCACATGCCTCCTGGTCTGAAAACACGTGGAAACAAAATCTCTACCTTTTTGGAGTTGACATTCTTTGGGGTGGTGCAACAGCAAACAACTAAATTCACTTTTAGTTTTTAGAACATTATATAATTATTAGGAGTTGCATAATATACATATACTGTTTGTGCATGAATTAGAAATTCAATTATTAAATTTATTTCTGTGAGAGACTAATAATTAAATGACCATTATAAATGTGAAATAAACTCAGAATTAATTTAGTTACTTTGTCAGTAAAATAACATAGCCATGAGTTACTCATAGATGTTTTCCTTTCACACTCTTACAAGTTTAAATTTTGGTCTTCTTTATTGCTCTTTCCTTTTTTTTAACCATGTTATCTCTATTTTGGAGGATACACTTATGCCTACCACCTCAGCATGTAAGCGTGTTTACGTATCTCTTTATGACAACAAAATAATGACAGCTGGCATACAGTGAATGCCTTTACTATGTGCTGGTTACTTTGCTTGTCTTTACATTCATTCCCTCATTTGCTCTTCCTGATGCCTCTAGAAAGTATGTCCTGTTATTAATCTACTTCATTGAGGAGTAACCTAAATAATTTATGCAAACTCATAAAATAAAGTGTTGGAATTGAGCCAAGCTTATCATGATGTCTATACTCACAGAGATATTCACTTATTTGTGGTTTATTTACTTTGTATATATACAAGTATATAGACTTTATGAAAAAGAAATCCTCCAACTGCAGAAAACACAACATAACCCTTTCAATGTTTTTAAACTCAATGATCCTTATATACCCAATTGGTTTGTAAGTAGATATTGATATATTAAAAATATTTTGAAGATGAATGGCTGCTTGTAATCTCTTTTTGAATTTTACAAAGTGCTTTAAATCTAATTTCTAAGATTTGAATCAAGATTTTTCAATCGGTAATTTATGGATGAGTTCTTCATTTATAAATAGACAAATTCCTATGTGAAGATTTGAATATAAGGTATAAAATCAATTGTATTATCCCCAATCCCTGCTGCCCTGAAATCTGGCATAGTCATATCTGTTGCACTTCTGGGTTGTGCTTGGAACCCCAAACTCTATATCTAGCTAACACCTAATGGGACACTTCTGGACCATCCAGGGGCCAACATCCCACTCTGCTCTCTCCTGCCATCACATCCCTGGAGTTGTATATTAACAATGATCAGCCAAGTAGAAGAGGCAGGTGCTCTATTGCATAATACATAATAGGTAATTAAAGTACATACATTCTATCTTACCCACCAACCCTACAACAGTCAAATGCAACAGATAATAGTGTTTAGTCTAGAAATGATGTTATAATCATTTAGGAAACTATTTTAGGGAATGATGACAAAAGTAAATAATAATAAAAATGAGCTTTTTTTCCCGAACATGTAACTCATTCTAATATGAAAAGCTTCCACAGTGAAGCTCTAGGTTTATGTTATTATGTTAGCACACTCCCCATTTTGCCACACTAAGGTTTCTAAATGTACACTTTGCATTTGCTTAATCTACTTTTCCACCAGGTTACATTTTCCAATCTGTCCTGTCTTGAATACTTGTCTTTAAAAATTGGACAAAACAAAAATTAGTCGGGCATGGTGGTGCACGCCTGTAGTCCCAGCTACTTGGCAGGCTGAGGAAGGAGAAACGCTTGAACCCGGGATGCGGAGGTTGCAGTGAACCGAGATCGCGCCACTGCACCCCAGCCTCATGACAGAGCGAGACTCCATCTCAAAAATAAAATAAAATAAAATAAAATAAAAACTGGACAAAAACAATACCGAGGAAGCAGAGACACAGAACAAAGAGGACATAAGCACTGTTTAAAAAATCTGACATAGAGGTTATTCTTATGAAAATTACAGAGATATCTTTGTTAATCAACTAGATTAAAATGCAGTTAATAGATAAACTTACCCTGGCTTTGTGTCATTTACAACACAGTGATAAGTAAATGTTCCAAACATCTGAACTCCTAAAATTCCATAAAGAAGTAGAAAGAAAAGTAGAAAAATGGAAACACTCCATATTTGTTCTCCCGATCGCCTAGAGAAACAAAAGTAGGTAAAGTACATAAAACTTACAAAAAACTTCATAAACTTTTCCTCTTAACTTATTGTAAAGCAGCGCTCACTTTAAAATATTTGTAATTCTGGTCCTTGGCAGTTCAAATCGGAAATAAATCCGGAATGCTCGGATCATAATCAGTGGCCGTGGAATCCGCAACATGCCCCAAGGTGACATCTGATCAACTATATCAGCAATTTCAAACACCTACAAATTAAAAGATGGGTAAATGAGGTTGGATTTTCCCTTAGCATTGCTTATAGTCATGGAACATACAGATGTTAGCAGCATAAGTAGGTGCACCTCTACTCTGAATTTAGCCATACATTATTTTCCACCAAAATCCACTTTCTTTTGAGTATATTTTGAAGCTATAGCTATCTTAACAGAAACAAATACATAAACTAATAAGAACAACATTAATCTTATTCATTTCCTGTCTCGTTCGTTAAGACAGTTTTTAGTTACAAGAAGTGCCAACTTAGAATATATAGTAAGTATGCTGTCTTTCTTGTTAATAACGTTCTTTAGTGGAGGCTTTTGAATATCTAGAAAATAAAGTAATAGAGAAAGGGTTAAAATATTAAAAAAGAATTGCACTATTTACTAACAGGCAAAATAATAATTTGAAATGTTTGTCAATCACATAATAGTTATTAAATGGAAAAGAACACATTAATGTGAGAAACAATTCAACCTGACAAAGCTGATTAAAAAAATATATGAGTGATGAAATTAAATTGTGGGAGAGGTGAACTTTATAAAAATATGAAAGGAAAGCTTATCAACAAACACTATGATGAGTTGGCAGAATGGGCTGTGAAGTTTTGAATTCTGAATTTTTAAATAAAGAATAGATGATTGAACTCTAGAGACCTGTACAACATTGTACCTACAGTTAACAATAATTTATTGTACAATTAAAATTCATTAAAACAGTAGATTTCATGTTAGGCATTCTTACCACAACCAAATCAAAACAGATCAAATCAAATCAATAGAATATAGTAACTTTAGTTGAATTAAAAGGCAAAATCATGTCTGAATGAATGCACAGAAATTAATTCTACTTATTTTCCAATCAAATCTGTCCTGTAAGTCTTTTTAATGTACGTTCCCCATCACTTATAATAAAGCATTTAATATTTGCAATATAGTATTTTATGTTGGCTAATACCTATCCAAATATGGGGAGACTAGACTTTAAATTTTTAAGTTCAATTTTTTATTTACAAATACAGAAATATTGCTCCACATTGTTTCCTTCATTTCAGGGAATATATTTTATATCTGATTAACAGCTAATAATTTTCTATAGTATTGATTTTCGTTTCTGATTGAGAAATAATTCACAATCATAACTGACAATAATTAAGATATTACAGCTATTGACTTTTCTAACAATAAAATGTTTGAGGTGATATAAAATTGCTAATTATGCAGATTTGATCATTACACCTTGTATACATCAAATATCACTCAGTCCCCCATAAATACATACAAGTATTACGTATCAATTAAAATTAATTTTTCAAATTTCAAATATGTCAGAGTAAACAGACTAATCACATCTGTTAAAATAAAAATAAAATAAAATGTTGTAGGCAATTACACAATCACATTTGATATATATTTTGTAATATTTCTATTTAGACTTTTAATGCAAAATAATTCCCATTTTGGAGAATACCTGCTTGTAATTTAAAAAATATTTAATTACCTGTAGCACCAAAGAAACCCAAAGGCAAAAGACCATAAATCCATCAAAAACACACCAGCGATCTTTCACATAGGAACTATCCCCCTAAAAATAAATTTTACATGGCATTATTAGGCAAAGCAAATATTTTAAAGAACAATCTGTGGAGGAAAATGTCAAATATTATTTCAATAAAAGCTATCTACAATTTTTGTATCATAATAGAACAGACTTTCACAAGGAATAAGTTTAGCATTTTAAGTAGCATTACTTATAAGAAAAATAATTTATAAAAGACAAGCAACTTTGCAGGTAAAATATTTAATTCATGCAAAGGGAAAATATCACTATTTTTTTTTTCTCAGCCACACAAATTCTAACACTTAAAGAACCAGAAGCCATTGTTCCAAATATGCTATGTAGGTCCTAAGCCAGCTCCCTGCCTACAAGAACCAAGAGTGCACTGTGGTCAACAGGAAGGTCTTTAAAACTGCTAGGTTTAGCACCGTTAGTAGGAAAACTAACAAGGCATTCACTTCAAGCTGATTAAAAAGTGAAGAAGAAAAAAAGCTCATCATCACTGGTCATTAGAGAAATGCAAATCAAAACCACAATGAGATACCATCTCACGCCAGTTTAATGGTGATCATTAAAAAGTCAGGAAACAACAGATGCTGGAGAGGATGTAGAGAACTAGGAACACTTTTACACTGTTGGTGGGAGTGTAAATTAGTTCAACCATTGTGAAAGACAGTGTGGCGATTCCTCAAGGATCTAGAACCAGAAATACCATTTGACCTAGCAATCCCATTACTGGATATATACCCAAAGGATTACAAATCATTCTAGTACAAGGACACATGCACACGTATGTTTATTGCAGCACTATTCACAATAGCAAAGACTTGGAATCAATCCAAATGCCCATCAATGATAAACTGGTTAAAGAAAATGTGGCCCAATATACTATGGAATACTATGCAGCCATAAAAAAGGATGAGTTCATGTTTCTTGAAGGGACATGGATGAAGCTGGAAACCATCACTCTCAGCCAAACTAACACAGGAACAGAAAACCAAACACTGCATGTTCTCACTCATAAGTGGGAGTCGAACAATGAGAACATATGGACACAGGGAGGGGAACATCACACACGGGCCTGTCAAGAGGTGGGGGGCTAGGAGAGGGATAGCATTAGGAGAAACACCTAACGTAGATGACAGGTTGATGGTGCAGCAAACCACCATGGCACGTGTATACCTGTGTAACAAAACTGCACATTCTGCAAATTTTTTATAATAATAAAAAAAGACCCAACTATCCTAACTATATATGCACTTTACACAGGAACACCCAAATTTATAAAGCAAGTTCTTAGAGATGTTCAAAGAGACTTACAGTTCTGCATAATAATATTGGGAGATTTCAACACCTTGACAGTATTAGATCATTAAGGCAAAAACCCCCAAAGATCAAATGCACCTGATAGACATCTACAGAACTTTCCACTGTATATATGTGGATGTATATATACACATATATACATTTTTTCTCATTGTCACATAGCACATATTCTAACATCAACACTTAATCAGACATAAAACATCTCTCAGAAAATGCAAAATAACTGAAATCAAAACAACCATTCTCTTGGACCACAGTGTAATAAAAATAGAATTCAAGACTAACAAAAAAAAGTGAAGAAGAAACTTGTCTTAATTTGCAAGGAAAACACATATTGACTTTAATTTTAATTGGGATTGCATATGTAAAAGAAAGATAAAGATGTACCACTTTCATTTTTTAATAGGGTATCTATTCTGACATTAGAATGCTTTAATAACATGGGAATTTAAAAAATGCCTTTGGAATAATAAAACAGAAAACTTCATGAGGTTAAAAATTAGAAACTTTAAACAGAAAAGCCTTTGCTTTTTTAGGACTATCCCATTAAATCATGAATTCTGTAATCATCCATGTAAGTCAATTCTGAATTCAGTCACATATATCATTACCTCCTCTGATTAAACCTGCTAGGGAAATGAAAATAGAAATAAAATGTCAAGATTTCAAATCAAATGATAAAACATGTTGCAGGATATTGACATAAGCCTCTACCTTTAGTAACAAATAAGTATCCAAATATCTCCTTGAGAGGTTTCTGGAAATAGTTTATGGTGTATGCAAAACTAACACTATGATAAAACACTTAATGGAAGTTATTTGACCCAAAAATGAAGTATAAACTCAACTTAATGAACACTGGGTAAGTGCCTGTTTTACATTAGAGGATATATAATGCCTAGCTAACACACACACACACACACACACACACACACACACACCACCATCACCACCACCAACAACCAAAAGAACAGTCTTGTAGAAAAACAGATGTGAACACATCCAGCTAGTATATAAAGCAAAATAACTTAAAGCTATAAACATGGTGGGAAAGATGGTAAGATTAATTCTATGGGGAGTTTAGAGAAACCAATGTTAATTCCCAAATGAACGGACAAATAATGTTTTCAGGGGCAAGGTAATCAACCAAACTTGGTGACTCCTGGGTTTGGGAAGACTCACAAAAGAGATATGAAAGCAAACTCTGAAGCTTGGCTCTGGGTGACAAGAAGGACAATGGCCTTATTAAATTGTGTGATTATCATCATATGAAGATTTATACCCAAGGAAGAGAAAAGCTGCATCTTAGGATGCTACCGATGCTACTGGTGTTTATGTGCTACACATAAACGCATCACAAAGGTTACATATATAACAAATAACGTAAGGATTTTTTATAGTCATCTTCAACTTTTTTTATAGTTGCATTTTTTAATAGTTGTGTTAAAGATCTCACAGAGGATCTTTAACTATAAGCATCATACTTGCCTCGTATATTGCACAGTTGAAAATGTAAATTAATTATAATCTAAATACAGATAACATAGCCCATATAAAATTGACTTTTTCTGAGCCTAAATTTGATTAATACCCAAGAAGGTAATAGAAGATGAATTATTTAAAGTTGTGCCCTTCATTCCTTCCTCCCTCTCTCCCTCCCTTACTTCCTTCTTTCCCTCAGCTCATAAGCATCCCTTTAACCTAGGCAGTGTTCAAGAACTAGGGATACGAGGGTGAACAAAACAAACGCTTCTGTCTTTAAGCAATTTACATTCTGAATGAAATAAAATATAAAATATTCATTATGTTATATGTTGACAAGTGTCATGAAGAAAAATAAAAGTGTATATTTTCAAATGGACTTTTATTAAATGAACAAATGTTTTTTACTTGTGTGTTAGGGAAAAAAAAAGAAAAGTATCACTTCATCTTTATTTTAAGAACTAGGCAGAGTTGTCACTTGTTTTTAAAAAGGCAAAGAATTCCAAAAACGAAAACTGAAATTTTATGGGACTCAGCAGAGAACTATGTTAAAATTGGAGCAATGAATGAGTACATATTAGGCAGGAAAAGAGTAATTATAGATCGTTGAGTACACGGGCACCCAAATAGGATGAATTTATATTGTACTTTTTCAAAACAGTATTACTATTTTATTTCATTTTTGTCATTAACAATGTTATATGTAGCAGCACTACAATTACCCTCTTTTTAATTGCTCATAATTTGCTTTAGAAATGAATTAAACTCGGTGGAACATTGAATGAGAGTTCACCATTACAATGAGGTACATTTACAATGTTAACAAATGAGGATAAACAGTGATACTTCCCTTTGTGTTATGGGGAGGGGGGCGGGCAAGTGAATGGCCAGGAGCCAAAGGTGGAGGAGAGACATGCTTTTCACAATGTATTCTGATATGTTTTTGGACCAATGCTTACATGTTAAATTTTTAAAAATAGCTTTTCAATTTTTTTTTTAAGTTGGACATTTTAGCTTTAACAAAATCACTTCTCCAGTTGGCAAAAATAAATTTAAATTTAAAAATTGGGGCCTCACCAATTCAGAATGAAAAGCTATCAATAACAGATGTGACTGAATTTTTGTTTCTGATTTCTTTGCTAAGGAAATTAATGTTGTAAAACTGGCCCACACTACATTTCAAACTATATAAAATAATGAATTATTTTAAATCATTTTAGAAGCACCAGTGGTGATCAGAAATTAGAAGCATACAAACATCTTAATTTCGAACGACCTCAGTTATAAAAACTGGCTTAGCAAAAATTCTACCATGTAATGTAGAAAACTTTCTTTTCCATAGGAAGTAATTTAATTGTTTTGTTTGGAATGTCTTCTGCCTTGGACTTTTCAGAAACATATAGTGGCATTCCTGTGTCACCAACAAGCTCAGCACATGCTAGATGGTATGCAGTGGTCAATCAGAATTGACCTCTTTTTATTTTCCCAGTGAAGTATGGAAATAATCCTCTGGGCATAAGTTTCATGTATTACTTTTTGGCTCATGTTTCCAAGAGTCATTCAATATTCATAAACATCTTTTATAAGCAGAGTTATGACCCAAGATACAAAGGCCAGCAACCCTCAGCATTTTTCCATTTGTAAAAAATCTTTGGCTTTTTAATGTTCATTGTTTTTCATGCTGTCCATCTTCCCGAAAAATTCTGCCAAGTCTGTGCCAACCTTTCCTTCCAGAGTGATCTGACTACAGCCTCCTCTGATCACCTTAACTCAGGCGTCATGCAACAACTGACAACTCAGCTCATGTATATAAATAATGTGCATCTTGTGTTACTCGCAGAATATGCCTTTGTAATCCATATTGGTTATTTCATGAATTTATATTTGGTCTCTCCAACTTATTGGATCTGATGGTGAAGTTTGAGTTTCCTACTTAAATCTTCTCTGAACGTATTCTCTGGAGTTACATTAGAAAAAAAAAAAGAAGTCTATCTCTCATGGTAAATGTTTGAGTGTATTCTGAAGATGAGTAACACCCTGAGACTTTAAGTCGGATAATTTAAGGTTGTGTTTGCAGCACCCAGTACAGTGGGTGACATATAGCAGATATTAAATGAATGATGAGATAGGTACATGAACCATGTCTTAGATACAGTGTATACAGCAAGATGTCAGTTAATATACAATGTATACAGCAAGATGTCAGTTAATATTTCTTAATGAATGCATCCATCCATCCATCTATTCACTGAAATTATTTGTATGCTTCTAAAAAGAAATTATTCCTTTCTGGCTCCTTTGTAACCATGAAAGATCACAGACGAGATTATGAGATGACTTATGGATACTTCCTGGATTAGCATAGTTTGCATAAGCAGAACTAAACATGCCATGCAAATACAGTTACGGTTTACATATTTTATACATTACCATGATTGTAAATACAATTGAACTGGTAGGAATTAAAATTACTATCATATTAATCATTATCAATAATTGCTAAGGCACAATAAGTTTATAATACTTTTAAATAAGTAGAATGCAGACCTTGAAATCTGACACTTTGCAATACAATCTTGGATTATGTTTTGTATCTGGCACATTTATCAAATTATCGTCAGAAGCCCTAGCCATAGTAGTCAAAGTTGCTTTGATTCCATTTATAAGCATGGCCAGATCCTTTAAAATTCTACTGTATTGAGGCTCAAGTTATAATATTTGCAACCCAATTCTAAAATATGCAACCAGAAGCTAACACATATGAATGCCCAGTGGTACTCAAGATATTTTAACACCTTAAATATGAAAAAATGTTTTAATTTGTTTGTTCCATCAACAAGAAATGGAGGGCAGAGAGTGCTTGAGCTATGCGCAAAAATCAGCACTTTGGTGGCTGAGGAGAGGAGTGCTTCAAGAGCTGTATATGTCAATTTTTATAACGGTAAACACTTGAAGACTGCCAATCAACGATAAGGTAAGAAAGTAACAACATATCATGCAAGTATTTAACAAGCAGAAAAAGGAAACACATTTATAGGGATATATTTTGCAGTGACAAAATGATATGCACTGGTACAGTTTCATGAGAACAGGATTTATTGTCCCAAGTTTCCAGGGCCCATCTGTCACTATGTCTTAGCATCATTATATATTACTTCAACAGTGCTTAAAGGATGCATGCTACTTTTACTTGTATCTATTGCCAGATGTGAAATAGACAACTGAGAATGGTCTAAAGAACTCACAGTCTGCAATGCATGAAGTGCTCTGCAACAACACAGACATGTATCATCCAAATAGTTTCTTTTCACCTCTAGGGATTTGGTGAGTGAAAATGCTTCCAGCAAGAGGAATTAGGGAGGCAATTAGAAGAAAGCTGTTGAGGAGTGGGAATTGATGGGCAAGCACCTTCAAGCTTTGGGAATATTATAAAAGATGGAAAACACTTAAAACAAATGCATTCCTCCAACAAAAATTGTTAAAGACATTTCTTGCTGGAAGGACTTTCTGCTTCAGTTTCTCTCCCCAGCTGTGCATCCAGCATGTAACTTCCAGAGTGAACTATTCAAACACAAATCAGATTGTACCACTCTCAGATGAAAATCCTCCATGCATCTTTACTGACCACAGAACAAAGTCAGAACTCCTTGCAGAGCCTGCTGGGCCCTCCATGATGCAGCCAGGTCTAGTTTCACAAACTCCTCTCCAGCTGCCTCCTGTGCACAGCCCATCTGCCACTTCTGACTACTTTGAGCTCGGCATGTACCTTGCTGTTCCACTCCTTTGTGCCTCATATTCCTTTTCTTTCTCCGTGAGATCCCTTACTTCTATCTTACTTCCATCACCCCTGCCACAGACCACACTTACTCATCCTTCAAGGCATTGTTTCACGTTCCTCTTTCTTCAAGACTTCTCTGATATCCCCAAGCAGACAGTTTTGGTCCTTTTCTTTTTTATGCCTGCCTCCCCCATAGCTTTTACAGACCACTATTAAAGCCCTTTCATAAAAAAAAAGAAGGTCCCTCTCTATGTAGATTCTCATTATACTAATATTTGCTATTTATATCTGCAAAAAATGTTTGCCCCAGAATCACTATGAACCTAGAAGAACCACCATAATGACTTTGCACGTGTGCCAATGGAGACATTAAAGTTGCCAGTGGATTCTGCCAAAGGTATAGTGTGCAATGCAGGTGTATCTCTGTTGTTCACCTTTTGGGCCCAATCTTGTACCAGCATTGTTTACCTACTTAACTATTTAATACTAGTGCATTGATATCTTCCTCTGTCTTACCTTTCCCCTGAAAGTTAGCCTTTCAAAAGATCCAAAAATTGAGTTTACCAACCCAGGCCCATTTTATCATATTTCACCAATTCTAAAACACACCCTACCCTGCTCCAACACAGTTGCACAATTCTGGATTCAGCATGCATCTTCTAATTGATGCTTCAATTAAAATCTTACATCTTACAGTCAAAGTATAATTAGAAGCCTTTATTATTTCTTAGAGACCCGTGAATCTGTGAAGTGATGCCATTTTTTTTTACAATTGATGATATCAACAATTCAATAAAATATGGTGGATGGTACTTTAATGTATTTTTTAAATTTACTTAATAACAGAAACTTCCTGTTATTGTTGGGCACATATAAAACATCCACTGTGGTTTGATTAGTGCAAATAATTGGGTAAGGGATGTTTTAAATGCTTTTTATTTTGCAGAAATATGCAGGTTGACTTGTATAGGTATTAGATGGTAATGCAGTGATATTTGGAGAAATCAGTCGAGCTCCCCTAATACATTATTAGTTTTCCCATATAAATTAGTGAAAGAGAAGTGCCTATTTTCTGAAAATATGCTATCCACCATGTTTTCAGAAATATATTGGATGTTGAAAATGAAGAGTGCCTGTATGTGCTAAGTCTGTCCCACAGAGTGAACCAGGTTTTCTCTGAGGACAGGAGCTCTGCTTGGTTTTGTCTGTTTCCCTTCTCCAAGGACAGAGATGAGCTCATTGTAAGTGTTCAATAAATGGTTGCTGGATGACTAAAGGAAAACTTGGAAACTGTACTTGGGTTTAAGAATATAACTCATTCTTATATTACATTTATATCTTAAATATCTTAAACATTTTCATATCTTACATATTTTATATTTATATTTATACATATTTTAATATATTTGGCAAATTACTAGGTCAATAAACTTAGTAGGCAATGCTAGGAAGCCACAGCTTTGACACGTTTGTTTTGAAAAAATAAAGTTTCTGGGTTTGGTTTGTCGTGCATAATTTTATAAACTAGGTATCATTGGATAACACTACTTTAACGATTAGGTATGACTCTTAGGTACACCATAACATTGCCAAAATTGGCTAGGTATAATTTTAAAGAACTGTGCATGACAGCTGGGCAAAAATACATTGGTTTGCTTCTATAAATATTTTCTTATGGACTAACATACTTTTATGCATGGAAAAGACTCTTTAAAAAATAACAGGTTGGCCAGGCGCGGTGGCTCACGCCTGTAATCCCAGCACTTTGGGAGGCCGAGGCGGGTGGATCATGAGGTCAGGAGATCGAGACCATCCTGGCTAACAAGGTGAAACCCCGTCTCTACTAAAAATACAAAAAATTAGCCGGGCGCGGTGGCGGGCGCCTGTAGTCCCAGCTACTCGGGAGGCTGAGGCAGGAGAATGGCGTGAACCCGGGAAGCGGAGCTTGCAGTGAGCCGAGATTGCGCCACTGCAGTCCGCAGTCCGGCCTGGGCGACAGAGCGAGACTCCGTCTCAAAAAAAAAAAAAAAAAAAAAAAAAAACAGGTTAGCATTTCGCAAATCACTGGCATATGTGTACATCAACTCACACACACTTTTCCACCCAGAACACATGGCTAACAGGTACTGCTCACTCAATAACTAAATTTGACTATTCCTTAGAAATATTTTAGATGGAAATCAGTGAATATTAAACATTTCATATTTGCACAACTCTGTTCCAAACAATGTGAAAACTTACTATGAAAAGTGTAACCTGAAGATTAAAATAGAACATGTATATTCATAACGTTCCTATTTATGTATGAAAAAATACAAGCTTAAATGTTAGTGAGAAAATGCAGCACATATTTGCAAATTATTCTGGGTGAAGGGACTAAAGAATTGAGAGATAACTGCAGTGCTATTGGCAAATGTATTAAGGTAGAAAAAGTATGAAAAATGATGAGGTTTTCAGCAGACAAGTGCTTAACAAAAGTTTTAAAAATTATGGTAGAGTTGAAGAAAGCATAGTAACTCAAACTTGAGTAATATGAGAGGTCCCCTGAAAGGTATAGAACTTCGATGTGACAGTGTGTTTTTATTATGATGTAACTTAAACACCTACAATATGTACAAATTTCTCATGTAAGTATAAAAGCAAAACAAATTTACAAATACAAAAATGCAAAGCTAATAAAATATAAATTAGGAACATACATTTAATGTGACAAAGGACATTTTGCTAAAATAAAGTCTTATTAAAAGTTTAAGTTTTGAATATAAGAAAATAATATCAAGCCCAATATACTCTTTGAGCTGTATCTGTTATGACATGCATGTTTGAAGAAGTCTGTAGTATAAAAATAATAAAACTGTGGCTTAGATTTAATATCATGAAAATGACAGTACTTACTGATATAATTATTACCCTCTAACAATAATAGAGGCCATGATGGTAAAAATTTAGTGAGTTGATACATTTAAAGCTTGGTTCAGGATAAACAGATTTCATATTTAACTATATTTAACTAAAACGTTAGCTAGCATTTAAACATAGAATACCAGTTTTACTGAGCTATGAAGTTGAGCTGACTACTTCAAGATAATGTTAACAGTGCAATATTACTAAAATTGCATTACAGTTGTATTTGATCCAATTATTTCTGAATGAAAACCAGAAAACCTTATTTGATTTTCATTTTAAATTTCACCTCTTACAGATTGAAAATAAAAAAAAAAATTTTGGTTGTAGTAAATAGCTCATCACCCAAATGTTGATGGAAATGTGAAAATACTGGAAATGGCTAATTTACAGCATTTTGAAAACGATTTGGTCCTAAGTCATTTCTTTCTCTTTTAACTATTGATTCAACTTCTAACATTTACATTATTAAAACTTGTGTTCTCTCACTGCTCTGTTCACTTGGAATGAGTATATAATTTATATATTAAGTATGCCTCTGTTCTTTTTATCATTAGACTGTGACAACTAGCAGAATGCCTACTATCATTTTAGTGATGTGAAATCCAAGTCTTTATTTAATGACTTAAAAAAACAAAAGTTTTCTTGTAGGAACATGTCACTTATTTGTTTCATTCAAATGGAACCCTTAAGAAGTCAACACATGGCAATTTCAATCATAAAATGCTTCACCCAGAATATTCAGATCTTTCAATGCATGGGCAAAGGTTGCCATGGCCCCAATAACCACTACACACAAGTGACAGGGCCATTCATGGCCCTCTAGTGAGCTAGGGCCGGGCAACTACACAGAATGTGAGCTAGGGCCGGGCAACGTCCAGGGGAGTACTGTGAATAACAGAGATGTTAGCATTCTCCCAAGACCAACTTTCTCCCAAGATGGCCTCCTGAGACAGGTTCCAGTTTTCTGAACCTATGCTTATCTAAACCTAGTGCTTATAAAAACTAGCCTAGCCACATTGTGGAAGATACAGACAATTTTGGAATCATCCTGAAATCTGTTCATTGAAGCTATGGAGGATGCCCACCTCTTCCATAAACCAGTAGATTTCCAAAACCCCAAAATCACTAATAAATACGTGTGGAATGCTGAGCAGATATCTCAGAAGGTGAACCTTAAAATAAATGGCAACATTTGTAGAAATGTAAACTGGTAGGCTGCAAGTTGCAGGTTAATGTAAAACAAAGGAACAAAACAAAAACAAATGACTACCAATGTCCCCAAGAAACTGCAGAAAGATCAGAGGCAATGGAATATTAGAAACTCCAAAGGACACCCAACAAAAACCCTTTCCAGACCACAGCCCCATGTTTAGAATGGCAATTCAGTAGGGCAGGGACACTGGGGCCAGTGGGTAAGAAATATTCGATAATTGGGCCAGCAGTCCAGAGGCAGCAGAGCTCAGAACCTGACGGTCGGTACACAGAAAAGCTCCATGTTTACCCATCAGGATAACAACAGTGGAGGGACCCCTCGTACTGACAATATGCAGAGGCTACTCTACCCAATGTGTGGGAAAAACTCCCATTTCATGTGAACAACAAGAAGAACAACCAAACAAACGGATCATGATGAAGCCCTTGTAAAAACATTACAGAATAAGATGAATGAAATAATACATAGGCCGGGCATGGTGGCTCACGCCTGGAATCCCAGAACCTTGGGAGGCCAAGGCAGGCGAATCACCTGAGGTCAGGAGTCTGAGACTGGCCTGGCCAACGTGGTGAAACCCCATCTCTACTAAAAATACAAAAATTAGCCGGGTGTGGTGGTGCGTGCCTGTAATCTCAGCTACTCAGGAGGCTGAGGCAGGAGAATTGCTTGAACCCAGAAGGTGGAGGTTGCAGTGAGCCAAGATTGCACCACTGTACTCCGGCCTGGGTGACAGAGCGAGGTTCTGTCTCAAAAAATAATAAAAGTAAAAATAAAATAATACATAAACGTATAAACAGAAAATAAACACTCAAAGCAGATGAAGACTATAATCGAATATGACAACATGACCAAAAGAAATTTAAACAAATAGAAGCTCCAAAAGAATCACAAAACTAGAAATAAGAAAACACAGAAATGATGTCTAAATGATAAGAGACTAAAAAAAGAAAGAACAAAAACTGTTCAGGAAATGATGAAAAAGAAATGAAAAAAGTATTTGAGAAAGAGGAGTGAAATACAGGGGACAGAGGAGTGAGGGGACAGCATGAGGAGTGAAGCAAGGGAAAGAGAATGTAGAAAACATAAAAACAGAGGGAAATACATGGAAAGAAAACAAAGGAAAGGAAAGACCAAACCATAGATCCTGGTATAATTAGAATACAAAAGGAATCCTGAAAACAATGCAATAAAATAAATATCACATGATGAAACTAGGAAAATATATCCGTAACTATCAACAAAAAGATAACATACATTCTCATAGAGCTGCTGACTTGAACAATAAAGGGAAAGTCTCTTTCCGTATTCAGGAGAAAAGAGCAAGCCACTTCGAGGGAAAAAAAAACATTCTCAGCAGTAACATTTTATGCTGCTGGTTAACATTATCCTTGTGGTTAACATTTTAACCACGAGGCAAGGAAGCAGCAGATTTAAGAGTCTCAAGAAATGAAAATGTGAGACAAACACCTTCGAAAAGTTAGAAACAGACCCATAAAGTAAACCAAATAAAGCAAAGAAAGAAACTAATAAATGCACTTGGACACAGGAAGGGGAACATCACAAACCGGGGCCTGTCATGGGGTCGGGGGAGGGAGGAGGGATAGCATTAGGAAATATACCTAATGTAAATGACAAGTTAATGGGTGCAGCACACCAACATGGCACATGTATACATATGTAACAAACCTGCATGTTATGCACATGTACCCTAGAACTTAAAGTATAATAAAAATATTTTTAAAGGAAAAAAATTAAACAAAAATTAATAAGTTAATTAAGCTGATTCTTTTTAAAAAAAATCAACAAAATGAGCAAACCAATTGGCTAACCTAAAACAAAATGGAACAAACAAAAAATACTGCTAGCCAACCTGATGACAACAAAATGCTAATCAAAATAACAAAAAAATACAAAATTAGGAGAAAATCAAACAGAGGAAAGAAAAGCTATTTACACAGGTCTATGTTACCAAATAATTAAACAAAATAAATAGGGGATAATTTCCTAAGAAAATATACTTCACCAAATAGACCCCAATAGACCAAGCAAGTCTGAAACAGACAGTTTTGACTGAACACTGTGACTCACGCCTGTAATCCCAGCACTTTGGGAGGCCGAGGTGGGAGGATCGCTTGAGTCTGGGAGTTGGAGACCAGCCTGGGCAACATAGCAAGACCCTGTCTCTAAAAAAAGTTTTAAGAATCAGCCACACATGGTGGCACACACCTGTAGTCCCAGCTACATGGGAGGATGAGGTGGGAGATCTCTTGATCCCAAGAGCTGGAGGTTGCAGTGAGCTATGATCACACCACTACACTCCAGCCTGGGCAACAGAGCAAGATCTTGTCTCTACTAAAAAATGAAGACATAGGTCTGCCACAGTGGCTCACGCCTGTAATCCCAGCACTTTGGGAAGCCAAGACAGGTGGATCACAAGGTCAGGAGATTGAGACCATCCTGGCCAACACAGTGAAACCGCATCTCTACTAAACACACAAAAAGTTAGCCAGGCGTGGTGGCACACGCTTGTAGTCCCAGCTACTCGGGAGGCTAAGGCAGGAGAATCGCTTGAACCTGGGGGACAGAGGTTGCAGTGAGCCGAAAATGAACCACTGCACTCCAGCCTGGGTGACAAGAGTGAGACTCCATCTCGAAAAAACAAAAACAAAAACAAAAAAAAAACAAAAAATAAAAAATAAAAATAAAAATAAAACAGACAATTTCCATAGAAGAAATAGGAAATACTGCAAAGGAACCCCCACAAAAACGCAACAGGACCAGATGATTTCACCGGGAACTGATACCAAACTTTTAAAGTGAAAACAATTCTGAGAGTGCTCAGACTATTTTATAGTGTGCATACATGCCCGCCACCCACACACATGAAAAATCTAATATCAAAACCTGACAAAGATTAGACCAAATTTAAAATAAGGAAAATAATAACATATATAACAAAACAACACATTAAAATAGAATAAAAATGTATGTTGACCCAGTAGGGATTTTTCTTTATCGGAATGGAAGGATAACTCAATATTTAAAAATCTCTTCTCTTACAAGCACTAAGGAAAAAATAATAATTTGACAAATTAAAAATAAACATTTGACAAATTAAAAAGCTAGTTGTGCTACAACTCTCAAAATGTGAAATTAAAGTTTATTCACTTAATCCAATAATGTACACATACTTCAAATCCCAATTTTTTGAACTAGTTAATGAAGAAACACTAGAGATGTTCTAGATAAACCAAAAACAAAACAAAATAAAAATGTTCACTACCTCTACTAGTATTTAAAATTTTACCGGCAGTGTTAGTCAATTCATTTATTTTACTTTAAGTAAGTAAAAGCAACTAGGGCATAAAAATTACAAAGAAAAAGACAAATCTTTCTTTATTTGAATATGATATGATCATATGGAAGCATCAAAAGAATTAGCAGGAAAACTATTATGACTAATACAAGAATCTAGAACATTTAGTAAAGTAGCAGAATATAATATTAATGTATAGAAACCAACAGCCTTCATTTAAAAGAACAAGTTAGAACATGTAATAGAAGACCTCATACAAATAACAAAATGATTAAATAAAATACCAAAGCATAAATATAACCAAGAATGTGCAAAATCTGTATGAGGAAACCTACAAAACTCTCCTGTATGACATAAAATGCAGACAATAGAAAGTTTGTCCATGATTTGGATAAGAATTGTGTATGGTACAAATAACCACAAACAAAGCCAATCACAATGGCAAACTGGGAAAAACAATTGCAACTTATATCACAAACGGCTGATACTTCTAACACACACAGAGTGGCCAAAATTGAATGAAAAAATAGTAACTTAAAAATGGCTCTTGATACATAAAATCCCATCTAACCTCACTCTCAAAAGGGAAATGCAAATTAAAACTACAGTGGATTACCGTTTCCCACCCTTCAGACTGGCAAATATCCAGAAGTCTGACATATTTTGAGGTGACCATGTGGGAAAGAAGCACCTGTGCGCATTGCTGGTCAAAATACAAAGCAGTTCAGAGGACAAGGAGTACACAGAAACTATTCAAGAGCACCATCTGGAAGCAATCAGCCAAATCTCAAATGTAGAATCTTCCACAAGACAAAAGACGCATGTCTTCCAATGGATCAATGACATAGGAAAATTTTTTGCAGGATGTGAAAAGCTGAAACTTAGTGGACTTACAGAGACTTAAAGGAGACTTAAGAAACATAAGTGGGAGGCCGAGGCGGGCAGATCACCTGAGGTCGGGAGTTCAAGACCAACATGGAGAAGCCCCATCTCTACTGAAAATACAAAATTAGCCCGGGGTGGTGGCTTATGCCTGTAATCCCAGCTACTTGGGAGGCTGAGGCAGGAGAATTGCTTGAATGCAGGAGGCAGAGGTTGCAGTGAGCTGAGATCGTGCCATTGCACTCCAGCCTGGGCAACAAAAGTGAACCTCCCTCCCAAAAACGAAAACAAAAACAATCAAGTATACTATGTAAACCTTGTCTGAGTCTTGAGTTGAAGAAACCAACCATAAAAAAAATTTGTGACAATATTAGGAAATATGAACGGTGGGTTAAGTATTAGCCTACATTAAGGAATTATTGCTAAGTCTTGTTACAAATATTTTATCATATGTAAAATATTATTATATTTGATAATGGTATGGTGGTTATAAAAAGAGAAAATTTTATCAGTCACCAATACAAAAGGAGTTATTTCTGAAATGACTTGGTTTCTCAGATTTGCTTTAAAATGAAACAGAATTGGCTAAATATTGATAATTGTTGATGTGTAGTTACAGGGATTCACATTATAACTGTAATATACTTTGGGGTAAATTTTTTAAAGTCCACAATAAAAAGTTAAACAAGAACCTATTAATGCATTGTCTGTGATCTCTGTCTTTCAAGGATGGCACACAATTAATTATGTATAAAAGGGAAGCAATGAAATTGACAAATAATTATGTGTTATATATTGTCTCAGTAGATTCTCAAAATCCTTGTACAAAATAAAACACTTTCTCACCAAAATTAGCTAACTTGAGATGCTGATACAACCAGTAAGTGAAAGAACTAAGATCTGAGTCGTCTGTCATTTGTCAAACTCTAAAATCTGCACTCCTATTACTGCTTCCCCAAATAGTACAATTTAAATACTCTAGGGACAGCATCATCTACATATGTTTAACCTATGTAAAGATTAGTGCTATGGAAGGAAAAGATATCCAGTGACAGAAATTTTCTTCCTTTTCTTTCCCTTTCTTTACCCTTTTAAAACATTTTATATCTATTTTGTTTCCAATTGGTACTAATTTCACATGACACATAATTTTCCTTTTGGCCCCAGACATTTTTTCCATCTCATGTCCTTTTTTTTTTATCCTTTTGTATTTTCAAAACACATCAAGTAAATGACATCGTGCTGCAATAATATCATGCTCTAACTCTATCATGTGACTCTGATTCTGCACTCCCTAAGTCAACAAATAATAAGGTGCTTCTCTGGGCCAGCCCCTGTGCTGGGTTGTGGGCTCAGCCCTAAGTGGCATGAATAACCCTACTCGAGACTTCACACAGTCATTAGTCAAACCATCTTGTTCCTTCTCAGATATTCCAAGAGTTTGTGACTTACAAAATTTATTTAACTTTTAAAATAGTCTCATGCAACAATTTCTCCCAGTCTCTGGAGTTATGCCTTTTTAAAAAGGACTTCCATATGTATAAGATAAAATGATGTTTTGTTTTACTGAAATGAACAAGAAAATATGATTAAAGGGATTAAGACTTTCAACACATTTAGGTTCTTAGTTTAAATGACATGGAAGTGCTCACCTTGACAATGCCCCGGATGTGCATTTTTGCTATCATCTCTGCCGTGTAGAGAAACATCAATAATGTATCCAAAGTGAAGGTCACATACTGAAGTGGAGGATAGTGCTCGAAGGTCATTGGCGTATTCATACAAACAGAAATGACGCTGATGATGGCACAGATGCGCAGCAAAGAGTGAACCCACTGCAATGATGGTCCAGAGTTACTACACGGCACCATAACTGATATCTCAAACTTGTATTATGAACCACACTAAGTGGAAAACATAATACTGAGGTTAAAATAGTTTACTAATGTGGAGGTGAAGAAGAAGAAATCTAACACTAAGTGCATATAATGTGCTACAAATATTTTCACGTTTTTATATCATTTAATTCTCAAGGCACCTATTTTCCACATAAACACACTAAGACAGAAAGGTGGAGGCATTTCTGTGGCCATGCGTTACAAAGACCCAAAGCATAGACGGAACCTGATCAGGCTCTCCCAAACATCTGATAACCTCCTGGGCATCAGACTACAATATAGGAAGATTCTGGTTCAATTAAAATATGTGTTTGTAATTTAGTCACATAGGAACTTGATGTGCCATTACTTTTTTTTCATTTTTGTACTATAAGTACCTAGAATTAGGGGCATACTATATTTACCATAACTTCCCTAGCATCTAGCACAAGGGCCTATCATAGTAGTTAAGAAATGCTTTTTAAATGAATTGATATATAACACATCCCATATTTAGAATTTCCTTTCTATTTGTATCTGATATATAATGCCTTTGTATAAAAATACAAAGAAACTTTTTAAAAATCTGGTCTCATCCTACATTTGAAAAAAATGCATAGATTTTTTCTCTTTATTTTGGAGAACACATTTTATACAAATTTAGCCCAGACATCTTTCAAAATTCCACAAAATAACTTTCTGTGCAACACTACAGGCATGTCTGCTGTCTGAAGATTTTCTTTAACCCCAAAATAAGAAGAAAGAATTAAAGATAAGTGTGTGTTAACATGAATATATATACAGGACATACAATCACTCATACTCAATATTTTATTATGAAAACTAGTATCTAGGATTAAAAAAATACTTAACTGCATCTCCATGCTAAACCCACCACAATTAATATTACCAGTTAATCAATTAGTATACAATTCTTAAACATAATCCAAATACGTTTTTATTGACTATCTGGGACATATATGAAATTATGATAATTCTTTAATATAATACTCTGAAAAAAATTTTAGTCTTGTAGTAGATGGATTCTGCAGCTATATATACTAGCAAATACTCAAGATGAAAAATAGAAAAGACTGTCAGAACTTTCAGGAGACTCAGACACTTGCAGCTGAGGAGTTATAATATTTATCTGACAGTTATAATATTTACATGAAGATATTTTGCTGCTAATTCCATACCACATAAGCCACTGATGATTCAGTTTACTTTAAAGGTTGATGTATTTTTCATGCAATTTGGAAGCACTTCAATAAACATTGGTGTGTGAATTTAGCCCCATCTGGACTTTCAACATAAAGAATCTAATTATACAAAAGAGCTTCCAAATATAAGTTCTTCAACAACAAAAGTGTTTTTAGTTTAAAGACATAATTTTAATGAAGAATTATTAATTTTAGTAAGTGCCTCCAAGGCCACATCTTTTATACTACCTTCTTCATAAGTTTGTAGAAAGCTCTGTAATAAGATGGACACTAAGAAAAAGTTAGGGGTGCTTCATTCTCTATTCCATTCAATTCTCTAAGTATGAATGAAGGCCTACTATGTGTCAGAATGCTGGGAATGGAGAACAAAATATGGAAGCAACACACTTCTGACTCCTGCTTTGCAGTCCAAGAAGTAAAACACCTATGAATGTATTATATATATATATATATATATATATATATATATATATATATATACATACACATACATATATATAATGTGTGCATATACACATAGCATGTTATATGTATGTATATATTATGTTTCATGTAAATACACATACATGTAAACACATGTAGTCTGGAAGGCAGATTAGAGAAAGAAAGACAGACTGGGAAGGACAACAAAGAGTCCATGCAGATCCTGCATGTATCATGGTTAGGGGAAAGACAAGCACTGCAAGAGGCAAAAACATGTCACATTATATAACATTATAAAACATGTTCTAGATAAGACATAATATACATATATCATGTATAGTCTCACGTATATAACATATATACATATTACATATACATGTTATATGCATGCACATATAAATATATGTACACATTATACATACATATAATATATATGTATATGCATATGCGACATGTATATATGTTATATACACATGATATTTATATGTGTGGGTAATATGCATATATGTTAACACATATAACATATATGTGTATGTGTAATGTGTATATATGTGATATACATATAACCTGTTATATGTTTATATGTATGTGTATATAACATGTATATATACCTAAGACAATAGATCCATAAATATATGTATATTATATAAATATACACACGACCTACAATGTATATAATGTAAATATACACATAATATATGATGCATATAAAAATACAGTTATTTATAGATAACTTTATATTTACATACAAATATAAAACAGGCTAAGTGGAAAGAGAAGAGAGGTACATTCTGTCTGTGGTGGAAATAAGCCTTTCAGAGGAGGATGCCAGAGGTGACATCTCATCCAGTCCTAATGGATGAGGAGGATTTGACTCATCAGAGGAGCTGGGAAAGGGTCACTGGGGCCAGGGAGCAGTACGAGCAGGGAAAGCAATGTGAACAATCCAGAGAGCCTAGAGGAGTAGGAGGCTGCTGATGGGGCTCAAGTGGACAGTGTGCTGACACAGGAAAGGAGCAGTTGCTGGACAGGTTAGGTCCTGAATGAAAAGAAGCAGGAATGTCACACTAACGTATTTTAATTTGCAATGAAGGTAATAGGGATGCTTCCATGATTATAAAGCAGAAGCGTGATGTGAATAAAAATAGAAATATAGAAAGAAATGTGAGCAGGCAGGGAAAGTAACCTGGAGGGCAGATTAGAGGAAGAGAGACTGGGAAGGACAGCAAAGAGTCCAAGCAGATCATGTGTGTATCATGGTTGGGGGAAGGACAAGCACTGCAAGAGGGAACAGGCCATTTCCTTTTGTTACTTCAGCATCAACCATGAGATGAGTAAGAAGTTGATCCTGCTTGGTTTTGCAGAGCTGAGATTCCAGCACTCATGGATATGCATGCCTGTCAGGCTTAGTTCTGGTTACTATGCTTTCTGGCACACAGTCGTGCCTGGCCTAGCAGTTCTTCTCAAATCCTCATCAACTTAATTAGGCGGTGAAGGTGACAAAGTTCTTCAGAGATACCATCCATTATCTCATTGACCTTTTACTCAAATTTTGCAAATCAGAAGGAGACCTTTAATTCCAAACATGTGCATATTGTCTCACGGATTCAGGAACGTTGACAACAAGTAAAGGAGGTTCATTCAGAACAGGTTGCTCATCTTGGACCCCAGCTTTGGATCAGCCTAAGAAGTGGTATCATCTCTACACCATGTGACTCTGAGGACAGGGTGCACAGCGTGGGGAGGGGAGGGGATCAGACTACCCAGTGCATCTTCCTATGTGAGTAACTCATAGCGACATCTCACTATTTCATTGGATTGTTCTCTACTTCCAGACTCTGAACCTCATCCATATTCTACTGCAGCTCAGATATTTCGAAGCCAAAGGTACATGATATTTGAATTTGTCAATCACATTTATCTCACATCCACATATGCTTCTCCATACTCAAAGAAGAAACTTACTGGTTTGTTAATCCAGAGGATGTCAGCATTATCCGACAGAGACTCATCAGGACCAAAGTCAGTGACTGGCTGGGCTTCCACCCTGGAACTCTGCTTCCTTTTGAGCATGCTGAGGTTAGCTTTGGTGAGCAAGCACAAAACCACAGTCTGGGAAAAGGAAAAGTTGTATTTGTCATCTAAACCATCTTGCCCTCATCAAAAAATTGAGTTCCCCACATATATCTACTTATTTGTAAGGCATATATGTGTTCTACTCCATAGTGTATAATAAACATATGAAAATAGAAACTTTAAAAGGATGAGATAAATTAATACCAACAGAAGCTTGATTTTTTTCTCCCAAAGCAATGGATTATTTTATGTACTTCAAAAGCAGTTTAGAGGCTAGCTATTTAGAATAGCTAGAGTAAAATGGGTTGCTTCTTAGGGCAGACATATTCTTGGGAAAATCTTTTTAGATGTATGCTCTTATACCTAAAGCTGTCTCCACATAGAGGTGCTTTGTGCTAGAACACTGCTGAGTAATACAGATGAAATGCACAGATCTTCCCCATGGTTTCCCCAGTGTTAATTTAATACGACATTCACAGACGTCTCTTACTTCCAACAGTAGCCCCAAGTTGATCTCCCAACTTGGGAGGGGAGGGAGGTCAGAAAGAATGGGGGAAGAACCTCCCCTAAATGGAGATGTTGTTTTATGAATGCAGTGATTATCTAAATTCTTCCAGCTACTCTGAAGTAAATTGTTCATGAAATTACATTGAGGTGGGAGATGAGATGCCTGCTAACTGCTTAAATTTCCACAATTCTGAAACATCTACATCCTGTGATAGACGTTACCTCCCTATGGCCATTGCTACTGCCTTCCACAACTCAGCAGTCACTTGAAGGGGGGCTATTATATGTCAGCCCTCAGGACACAAATAGCAAATAAGTGCAATACAATGTGAGAAGAATTGTTATAAAGGCAGGTGGTACCTGATGATCCCTGAGTCGACTGTGAGACTTCCCATTTGATTAGCACCTGGATTGAGTCTTAAAGGAAGGTGAGGAACTAACAGCTATGGGCATATACTATGTTTGGGACACTTAGCAATGATATTTTATTTGATCTTTACAACAGCCCTAACCAAAAAAAAACAAAAAACAAAAAACTCATCTTCTTACACATGCATGAGAAAAATGAGAAAAGCTAGCCTCAAGGCAGGTAATAACTTGACCAAGGCCATCCAAGCAAACTTGAAATTTAAAATAAGCTCTGTTTGACTACAATGTGTAAGGGGTTTAGAGTTGACCATGCTGAAGCTGCAGACTATTAGGAGAATTTCTCAAGGCGGGTAACAGAAAAAAAAGAGCGCTTCAGGCAAAAAAAAGAGGCTGAGTCAGGAAAACGTAGCACTGCAGTTTTAACATCAGGCGGGTTCACTGGCTCTCCTATCTGGTGCTCCATGGGTCTAGAGAAAGAAACCTAACCAAGCACAATGGGTGCCACTTAGTCCTCACTGGAGTACAAGAACATGTTTGCAGTGTGTGTGTGTGTGTGTGTGTGTGTGTGTGTGTGTGCACGTGTGTGCGCGCGCACACAGATGCAGTTTTTACTGGAAAAGAGAATAAAACACAGAAACTCAGAACAAAGCAGCTCCGAATCTGATTGCCTGTATTGAGCACCTATCCCCATCGCTATGTGCTCCTTTATCTACCTGGGCAGGTATCTCTGCCTAACTCTCCTGATATGGGTTGGCTGTGTCCTCCCACCCCCCAAAATTTCATCTTGAATTATAATCCCCACAATCCCCACGTGTGGAGAGAGGGGTTGAATTATGGTGGCGGTTTCCCCCATGCTGTTCTCATGATAGGGAGTGAGTTCTCACAAGATCTGATGGTTTTATAAGTGTTTGACAGTTCCTACTTCACACACTCTTTCTCCTGCCGCCTTGTGAAGAAGGTGTCTTCGACCATGATTGTAAGTTTCCTGAGGCCTCCCCAGCCATGCAGAATGGAGTCAATTAAACCTCTTTCCTTTATAAATTAGCCAGCGTCGTCAGGTATTTCTTTATAGAAGTGTGAAAACGGACGGATTCACCTCCTATTCCCAGAAGAAAACAAGCTAACTGGCTTGAAGACATGCTGGGTATTTCCAGGCTGTTATTGCTCTGAATATTGAGTTTGAATATGGGCTTTGCAGTAGGCTGCACTAATTAATTTATGTTATATAATTGGAGTTTGGGACTCTTTGATATCCCATGTTAATGTATACAGAGTATTTAAAGTGTTTTTTTTTTCTCTGATGTACTGGTAGTGGGGAAGGAAATCTGGTGGCCTCAATTTGAGATGCCTCTTCAATGACAGTCTCCTATCCACCCAAATACTGAGTGTAGATACAATCTTTTAGAAATCCTTCAAGATGACACATACAAAGGAGCAAGTAAAAGAGTGGTTTCACTTCAAAGATTATATAAGGAATTTTAGAGATCTGTCCACAATTCCTCTTTCACTGAGCAGTGGAGACAATGGGCATATGAATTCCATGCACCTTTATTATCAATACGCCACCTAAAGCAAAAATCATTTTTGATTATGGATTTGTTTATCTAGAAAAATACATGTCCAGAATTTATTGTTTTTTAAAAAATTCCCACTTTGGTTATATCTGACCAACCAAAATAGTGCAATTATAACTGAATGACATTAGCTGTCACTCACATTTACCTTCACTTTACCTGCTCCCAGGTGCCACTAAATCTCACAGTGCCCAAGAAATGATCTAAGCTCCAAAGATACCTGGCTAATCCACACATACATAAAAACTCAACAACTAGCTCCTGGATCTCTAGATTTAATTTAATACTATTAAATATTATATAAAGCATTCAAGTAGTAAAATAAATTTAAGTTACAAACACATGAGGAATTCAAAATTAATTTGAGGTGGTTGATTGTAATAATTTTCCTTTGCAAACAGAAATATTGTTTTATGCCTTCATTCATGTTGAATCAATAAAACTGCATACAGCAGACCTATTATTTCTCTGATAAAAACCAGTAGGGATATTTAAGTATCCTAGGTAAGTTTATTATTTTGATAGGAAATTGCTCCTGTGTATCTGAGCCTTATCATTATTATGTTTTTATAAGCCAATATCTCTTTTTTCTGTTTACCAAAGTGTCCTTCATAAGACAGTACACAAAGTTTGAAAAACATGGCTTTCAAAAGGTTTCCGACATTTATTAAAAGTAGTTGGTATTTAAATAGTTCAATATCGGGAGAGAGGCTACACAGTCACAATGTATCCATTAATAAATCTTTTACTCAGAAACAGCTTATAGCAACTCAGGAAACTCATTCATCCCATGTTCATTGCTGTTTTAAATGGTTAAGACCCAGTTTTTGTATTCTGTGATAGCAATTTCATTTCTATTGGTATATACTTTCCCTACTTCATTCCAGCCCCGTCTTCACAGTATTAAAATTAAAATATTCCATTTTCTTTAACTGCAGCGCCCTTGCAACACTATGGGTCATTTCTTTCCCTTGCAGCTCTCTTGGGTTCAGTATTAAAGTCTTTTGAATCTTCTCCTGTCTTCCAAATTATGGTTCACAGCATGCCCTTCTTGCCTGTCTTCTCTACTTAACCCCTTAAGTGATCACCTGTTGTTACAGTTTCCATTACCATCTGTGTCCAGCTACTAATTTAGAGAGGTATCGGTGCTGCTTCCCCCGCAGATGTAGGAAGACGGTGCCAACACCATCATGAATGAAGATTCAGCCTGAGAGAGCGACATGAGCCAGGCATCCTGCTTTTCTCCTTCCTCTCATGTCCCAGACCCTACTGCTCTGAACTCTTCAGGTTCCCCATGTGCAGCGGGAAGGCCCAGCAGGTTCTCTTTGCACCCACTCTCAGCAGTGGATTGTTTTCTTGCTCATTCATTCCATATATGTACAACGGCCTTTTTCACCTATCCCCATTTCTAGACTCCTTTCTAGGTAGGCCATGGGCCCTCAGGTCTGGGATGCCTTTCAAAATGTTCCCTCTTTTATATAAAAAAAAATCAGCTTCCAAACACACTGTAGGTCTCCTTTGTAGCCCAGAAAACCTCAGTGTATCTTCTTATTTCTCATTCACTCACTCATTTGTTCATTCATTCATTCACACAGCAAATATTATGCATCCACTGTGGTATCAGGCACTGCGGTATGTGCTGGGTATACAGCACTGAATATGAAGGCATTCTTGAAGCTTACGAACTGCCTACTTTATTTAACCTTATGTTTCCAGGACCCTGAGTCCCACTGATTTGTACCTGCACTTCCTTTCACACTCATACCACATGCTGCACTCAGGTTGGCTAAACATACCATTATTCACCATCCTGCAACCTTTACTCAACTAATTCAAACCCTTTATCCAAGCCATGTCCTCTTTGTTATCCAATGCCAATCCCACATCAGTCTTTCCTAATTCCCTCACTTAACTCATGAAGACTTTGTCTATGTGTGTGATTTGTTATAACTGAAAAACTTAATATTTGGGAATAAAGATGTGAGAAGATAAACATACAACTTGTATAAAATGAAAGCATCTATTTCATTCTAAAAAGCCCCAAAGAAGACAGAAGTCATTGACTCATTTTTAATCATTAGGTGTTATTAAGGTTGTCAATACATCAATACCAACAACCACTCTTCTGATAACTTTTGTGCATAAACTGTGGGGTCTTTAGGAGTGCAAGTGAAATTGTTTATCAACCGCCCTATTGCAGACACAGACACACACATACACACTTAATGGTGGGTTTTTATCTCTTTGCTTAGTATCCCTGGCACAGTTTGAGAAGGAAATTAAGAAAAGAAAATGTTCAATAACATCTCCGGGACTCTTCACCTCAAACTCTGACTTTCATGTCTTTGGGAAACCAACCAGCATTGCTAGCAGAAGTTTCTCATTCATTCATGTTTGCATAATTGTTTTGTTTTTTGACTATCCTGACCATTTTGTTAAGTGACGTGGATTTAACATTGAACAAAACATACTAGGTCTTTTCCCTCCATGTTCCTGACATGGAAGACAACATACTGTATTTAAAGGCAGAGTAGCTGATTAATTAAAAGAGAGCCTCTAGTGTGGCGCACTTTCTCTTCAACGTCCATCTAGTGGTTTTCTTATTCCTTCAGTACCTTACTGCTGGCTCCATACTACCTCCCTAGGCAAGGAATATTGAGCAGTGGATTCCCAACACGTTTCTGTGCTATCGGGCATAATGAGATTCATGCAAAAATCCAGGAGAGCTGACTGGTCTTTCTTTGCCTAGATCTCAAATACTTAAACCTTAAATTAAGTTAGAAGAAAATAATTCTATTCTTATTTTATTTTCATTAACACAAGTAATACAGGTTTGTTGTAGAAAAATTAGAAAAACTATATAAACAAAATAAGAAACAAAAATGAAAGCCATCAGGGATTCCACTTCTAGAGACTCAATCATTTTTGCAAAGAATTTGTTGAGCACATACATTGTGTCTGCCACCGAACAAGGGGCTGCAGATGAAGTAGTAATTAGTTATGGTCTCTTGTGGAATTTTCTTTAGGGTGCTTACTCTCCAAGAGGATATGAATTGTATCTCTTTTAGGACTTTCTTTGCCACATATATTTTTCCATGCATACATTTATTTTTAAATGGCTGCTTACACATGGTTTTGTAACCAGATTTTTTAAATCTAGCCATATTCTGTGAACATCATCCTCTGTCAATAAATACACATGTGCAGAAAATCCTAACTGTAAGTAAACACTACCTTCAAACATCTGTGCCCCTTCCTTGTCTTTCTTGTCCCATAGCTCATTCACATGCTTATACGTGCAAGGCCTTACAAGGTGAGCTGATATAAGCACAGCTTTCCAGATTAGGTTCCCAGTGTTAAATTTGTATCTGAGAAAGGCATTACCCCATATTTTGAAGACACATGTATTTGATGTTACCAATTTGTTAATGTAGGCATTACAATATTAATTCTTATTTCAAATGTTTTTATTTCTTCCTCTTTTTAGTTCCAATAGCCACAGAACTCAAAACAACAAACCACTAAAATCTACATTTGAACAAGAGCTTCCTGTCCTTTCCCTATATGCACATTTACATCTTCAGTTTTACCTCAATACACCACAGTGAAAACTTGACGACAAAAGGCGATGCTTAACAGCAAGATGGCCTTGTTTCTGTAAAGTTTGACTGTCAATTTTGCTTGCTAAGTTCCTTCTCAGACAGAAGACATGTCCATTCAGAGCAAATGAATGTAGCATCATACATTTTATGCTATGGTTTCAACTAGGAAAAAATACCCCATATTTTTGTCTTATTATCTGTTATCCAACATCCATCCACCTGCCTCATGTGTCACCATCCCTGCCCACTCTGCCGTCCTCCAATTCCCAGGGCCCATTTGAGCCTCAGAGCTACTGATACCTGCACCTCCCTCTGCCCAGCTGAGTGTCCTCTCTGTGCATCTTGAGTGTATGAACTTCCCCTCTTTCTCTGAGCCCAGATCATCTGTGTCCTGCATGCTCACGCTCTTCCTCTCCCTCCATGAGGTCACCTCTCACGGCCTCCACAGCCTCTCACACGCACTGGGCACTTTCCAGACCAGAATCCAGCAACTCTGCTGTCTCCCATTTAGGGGCTGCTCAATGACTGCCTTGAGATTTCAATCATCACGACAATTTAAGGGAAAGTGTTAAAAACAGAAGTTGCTGTAAAAATGAATGTTATCTCCTACTCAGAATGCTTTCTCCAAAGGAAAATAGCCTTCAGTAGCTCACACACACTTGCACACACACATATACCCCATGAAAAAGTGCTTTGGGATACATGAGAGTTTCCATGTTAAAATAGTGAGCTCACTGGTTGATTTCAACCCAAATTACGTTTACTGTCATGCAAAAACAGAGTCCTTCTAACAAAAATGTTGGTTGAGGGGTTATTATGTGCCAGTCTGTTTAATAATATCATACATTTTCAGGCCATGTGTGGTGGCTCCCACTTGTAATCCTAGCATTTAGGGAAGCTGAGGCAGTGGATCGCTTGAGTCCAGGAGTTCGAGACCAGCCTGGGCAACATGGAGAAAACCCATCTCTACAAAAAAAAAAAAAAAATACAAAAAATTAGCTGGGAGTACTGGCATGCACCTGTAGTCCCAGCTACTCAGGAGTCTGAGGTGGGAGGCTCACTTGAGCCTGGGAAGTAGAGGCTGCAATGAGCCAAGATCATACTACTGCCCCTCAGCCTGGGTGACAGAGTGAGACTCTGTCTCAAAAAGAAAAAAAGAAAAAAGAATATGCACTATGTCATTCCATTTTCACAAGAACCATTTTACAGATGAGGAAACTTAGGCACAGAGACAAGACGGGACAATGTGCCTGACAGAACTATTGAATCAAAAATTAAGTATATTACAGAATGGACAGGAAATGAGAAAATGACTTTTTCAATATATTTAAATCATATAGCCTGGTGTTTACAAACTCTTGGCATCAATTATTTTTTGTGCAAATAGTACAGACATTTCTCATCTCCTGAAATTGAATCCATTTTTATTATCTGACTCACTTTATGATTTTTCTCACCACACACTTATAAAAATGTCAATTTTTTTCTGGTAGAAATCATCAAACCTCTCATTAAATCTATCTAAATAACCCTTTCAAGTTTCTGAAGGTATTATCCATTTATTATTCCTTTTTCCTTGAGGATGAATCCTAGAAATATTCTATTATACCTTCATTATTTTTTTCTCTAAATTTGGTAAAGAATGAGAAAAACATATTTACTAACTCCCATTTGATAATCTCACCCCATGTAGTGAAGAGACAGATCTCTCCATTTCCTAAAATGACAGATTTCTTCACTTCCTAGAGTTAGTTTTAGTCTCGTAATTTCTTGACTGACTAGGCTAAGAATATGAAAACTAAAAAATAGATTCCACCTATGATACATGGCTAAAAGAATGTATGTAATTTTTTACAGAGATTGTGCAAGAGCAATTAAAAGGTATGTATTGAGAAAGTTTTTCTGTCATACCCAAAATCCAAAGCCCAGAACACAGTTGTTATGATTTGTTTTGTAGTGCTCTCTGTTCTTCTAGCAAGGAAAATGCAGACAAAATAGAAATTCTCTAACAAAAGTTTATCAAGAGGTGACTGTTTATTTGATAAAAAGAACATCTACTCTATAAGTTTCCAATCATAATATGTTGGAATATCCCAAAAGGTGGTAAACTCCTTTATGGATACTCTCAGAGGGAATGACTACACATTTTAGAGTTTGCAGAAAAGATTTCTCCTCTGTCTGGGACTTTGCAATAGATGATATCCAAAGTGACTTCCAATGATAAAAGTGATTAATACTCTTGACACTGCTCAGATTTTTATGCATTTGATCATTTCTCAGGGTAGAATGAAAGTCCATAAACTACTGTGCATAATTATAGAATAGAAGCAAGCTTAGACATTATGTACTCATTTTTTTAACTTGAAAGATGAGAACAAATATTATTGAAAGCTTACTCCATGCCAGGCACTATTCTAAGCATTTGACACCTCTCTGAAGTAGTTTTTAGTATTATTCCCACTACAGAGATTAAAAATTGGAGGCAAACATGCCCAGACCCACATGAATTGGAAGCAAGTTTAGAATCCAAGTAGTCTATTTGTCGGGAGAACAGAGGGAGGGAGAGAAATGGTGAAGCATTTGACTTTCACTTTTTAACCTTAAGAACTTTTGTACATTTCACAAACACGAACTTCTGTACATGTTCACAAAGATGATGTGTTTTATTTATAATTTCTTTGAAACAAGTAAAACATTAAAAAAATTTTCAGTTTAAACAAGTTACACCTAACATTTGCTGAGGGTTTATTAAGTGTGAGGCTAATTGTTACCTATTTCTCACCATGCCTCAATGAGGTAAGTGTCTCTCTCTCTGTTATTCTGATTTTACAGGTGAAACTGAGTTTTGGAGAAGATAAGTGCCTTGTCTGAGGTCACATGGTTAGCTGTGATAAACCACGAGGGAGCCAGGTCTTTCTGATTGCCACCCCAGGAATACTTTGCTGTCCATGTCTTCTTTCAGTCTGACCCTTTCAAGTCTTTGTAAATAGAACAGTCTTCTTTCCCAGAGAACAGAGACGGGAATCTCCAAGTTCCTGCCTATTCCACGTCTAAGTAATAAAACCAAATTAGAGCATGCCTGCCACTAGACTTACAATGCCAGTCCTTCCGGGCCCTCTCAAGCAAGCCTCTCCTCCGCGTATCCTTAGCTTGTGAACTTCAATGAGCTGGATGCATCATTCCCTGTAATCTGGCCTCTGCTCAGAGGAAAGGCAGCAGCTCTATGTTTTCTCTCTTAAACTTAGCCTGGAGTCCTGCGTCTCCCCCAGCAACACAGCAGAGAACATGTTAGCAGGAGAACTAAGACAGCATCAAAAAACTGACACCCTGGGCATCACAGCGGCAATGCGTGTCTCCACAACAGAACAGCGGCCCACTCCCCTGCCCCTGCAGGTAGTGGATTGTTGTGGTTGATTTTCAATCTAATTTTGTACAAAAGTCAAGACCCTGATTTGGCTGCCTGGTTTTCTTTGTTCTTCCTTCTCTTTTTCTTTCTGCCTCTCTCCTTCTCTCTCTCTCCTCCAAATGCCACCTGCCACTTTTCTTTTGGGGTACTCATTCATCTGTGTCTTGGCCCTCACTAAATAATGTAGCTCTGCAAAAAACAGAATTTTGCATGCATGGTCCAGTCCCAGCAGACTTCAAGGGCTACCCAAGGTGGTGACCACATAGGGGAAGGCAAATGTTTCAAAGAACCATCTCCAAAAACAGACTCTTCTGTTTTCCTTTTGTCAAGGTACTGATTAGAAATAAAAAATGGTTCCCCACTTTTTATGAGTCTATTTCTTAAATCCCAAAGTAAAACAGCAGGTTATTTTTCTCTGGTTATTTCTAGAAAAACTCCAAAACTGTCATTACTTCTCCAAGGATTCTGTTTTGTTTTATTTTTTAATTGTGAAAATTGAATTTTCTCTGGCCTTTAAAGTGATTGGGTTTGCTAAAGGGATTCAGTACACACCACAATGCCCCAATGCCCTTTTGTCATTGCACCCTGCACGCCCAAACTAAAACTGTCATTGCACCTACATGCCCAAACTAAAACTGTCAAGCAGTATGAGAGGGAACTGGGTCGTATTTTTGTCACCTACATCACAGTAATTTTTATTTTTGTTTCATTGTAGTAGGAGCATTTAACACGAGAACTGTCTTAACAGATTTTTACATTCACTATAAAATGTTAACTACAGGCACAATGTCATAACACAGATCTCTCGAGCTCACTCATCTTGCATAACTGAAACGTTCTACCCAGTAATTAACAACTCCCCATTTTCCCCTCCTCCCAGCCCCTGGCCACCACCGTCCTACCCTGTGCTGAGTATATATCCTACTCTATATTAATTATCCAGTGTTGGATATTTTATTTTGATGAGCTGCTACTATCATTTATATATTATGAAAAACCAGAAAGGGGATACTTATTTTGATTGTGGTTGTTTAATCTTATAATATGAATCTGTAAAGGTTAGATAAAGAAGGTGGATGGTTTAAAACAGTGGTTTTCAAAATTTGCTACTATATTTAAACATAACAGAAGATCAAAGGGAGATTATGTTTTTGTGTTTGTTAAATTTTGCAATATGAATCCACAAATTTGCTCAAAAGGGGATGGTTTAAAATAGTAATTCCTAAAGACTGCTTAACATATGAATTATCAAGGGAGGTTCAGAAACATTCTCAACACTATAAACCGAATGGTTCTGCCTTCCTCAAGTCATATGTTGAAGCTCTTATCTCTAATGTATTTGGAGGTGGGGCCTTTGGGAGGTCATGAGGCCATGAAGGTGGAGACCCCATGAATGGGACTAGCGAATCTATAAGAAGAACGGAGGCAGCTGAATGGTCTGTGGACCAGGAAGACAGCCCTCACAGGAATCAGCCAGCACCTTGATCTTGGACTTCTTAGTCTCCAGACTGTATAAAACCAAAGTCTGGAGTTTAAGCCACCTAGTCTGTGCTATTTGTTACAGCAGCCCAAGCTAACTAAGACACTCAAGCTGAGGCCTCCTTCACCTCAGACATACTAAATCAGAATCTTTAAGGGTGGAAAACAGGACATTGTATTTTTTTAAAAACATCTTCAGGTGATCCCTGCACACCTCTCCCATCACTGTTTCCAAATTAATGAGGCATCACTAGCCTAGATGCTCAGAAGAGAACACTTAGAGAGTTCACATTGCATAGTCATGGCTCTGTGTGGAAAAGAATAAGAGAGTCTAATTATAAGCAACACAGGCAAAATATGTCTGAGACAAAAATTTTGATTTATAATTGTATGTATATACAGTATATTCTATTCTTTCCTCAGAAATCTTCAGAATTTACTTTTAAAATAACTAACTTGCATTGTATACAGGAATTAAATTTTTGTTTTATAAAAGGATAACTAAGATATTTGAGTTTTTGTTGGGGTTTCTGTTATGATTTTCTAGTCTAGACTACACCTTTAAATTGCCATTCAATGCCTTCAAAGAAAGGAAGCAAAACGATATTGCCTCTGGAAGTAATCTCATGTGAATTTCAAAATAACAATAAAACAACTAGAAAAGGGAATGAAGCAAAGGATTTACCCTGTAGATACTATTAACTGAAAGATAAAGCCGTAACAATTTCTTTTAACTAGACTTAATAGAATACAATAGCACAATCACCCAAGCTCGATGATCGGAAATTATTTTTAACCTAGGACTCCCTTTCATTCTCTTCCTTCCATCACTAAGACGTGGTAGCATTAGTTTTTGTGGATATATCTTTACCATCCACCTCTTCATTTCCATTACTGCAATCTGATTCCAGTTCTTCAATCTTGGAATTGTATATCCAATTTCTCCAGTGCATTTCTTCACTAACCTCCTTGTCATCATTCCAATTTGTTGGCATTCTAATTTACCTTAAATATACCTGTAGATCAATATTCCTCCCAGATTGGAATGCTGTAGCTCTCAGTTTTTGCTATCAGATTTAGAGTTTATCTATGTCATAGTGAATTCATTCATGTTTTCATTCTTAAAACTTTATCCTCTTTCTTTTTTTTCCTTTTTTTTTGTACTTCTTAAGATGAAATGCTGACTCCCAATACCATTTTAGGTCACAAAACTCTTTAAAAAGATATTGAGTCTGTGGGCATGCTTCCGCTTCCATTTCCCCTAAAATAAGCATCAGACTTTTTTTTTTTTTTTTGAGACGGAGTCTTGCCCTGTCGCCCAGGCTGGAGTGTAATGCGTGATCTCGGCTCGCTGCAACCTCTGCCTCCTGGGTTCAAATGATTCGCCTGCCTCAGCCTCCCCTCCCGAGTAGCTGAGATTACAGGTGCCCACCATCACACCTAGCTAATTTTTTTGTATTTTTAGCAGGGACGGGGTTTCACCATGTTGGCCACGCTGGTCTCAAACTCCTGACCTCGTGATCCACCCATCTCGGCCTCCCAAAGTGCTGGGATTACAGGCGTGAGCCACCGCGCCCGGCCAGCATTATGCTTTTGACTGTGCATACTATAATGCTCTGATCGTTGGTATATATGGGAAGCCTGTAGTTATAAATGTATTAAAGATAGCAACTTTTATGACTTTACGGTCTTTTTTCTCATTTAATCAAACAATTTTTTGAACTGTTTTCTGATATTTACACACTTCTACCTCATTTTTTTTTACTGATATCACTTGCCTAGTATGTATTTCTTCACCTATTTATTTTTCACTTTTGACTCATTTACAACGTAAGAGAATTGTCTACTGATATTTTTCAGGACTACAGATTTTCAGGACGTTATTTTATGTTTGCTGATAATTTTAGAGAGGAAGTATAACATTAATCTAAATTTTCTCTTTGTGGATAAGTAATTTCTGAAGCATTTGATCACAATGATGGTGAAATATTTTTCTTTTTATTGGTTTTCAAATCCAAAGTTTTTATCAGGCTATATGTAGATGTTGGCTAAGTTTTATTAATTGTTTTGGTACATGATAACTTATTTTCATCTGAAGATTTGGATTGTTTTTAATCTAAAAGAAAAAAAGAATCTTATCTCACTTTAAAACATGGCTGTGTTCCATGCACTGTGATCCCCTCTGTCAGGAAAAACATTTATTGGTGTGTCTCTGTTGGCTGTCTTCCATCTATATCATTCTCTCTCCAAACAACATCCTCTTTTCATCTCTTTTCTTTGCATAATTGGAAATAATTCTCACTCTTGATCTCTTCATAAATGATTCTCTTGGCTTCAGTGTTCTGGTCTATCCTACTTCTAATTCTTCCACTCCTGCTGCGGAGGCCTACCCCTGCCCCCACCCTGGACCTGTGGGGTCAGTCCCTGTCTTCAGAACATATTCCGGTATGGCTGCCTTGCCCTGGGATCTCATGGAGAAACAAGCAATTCTGTTTTACAAAAGCCTGCTTCCAACTTTCAACTTCGCTCCTTCATACTAAGGGGCTCTTCCAGGGTCTCTCTTCCGTATTTTTTGTACACTGATCTTAGAAAGGAAATTGTGAACTGAACTTTAGCTTTTCCTATCAGTCCTGTTCCATCTATACTGAATCTACCAGAAAAGCCTTGGATTCTGCAGCCTAGGAAAGAAAGATCCTCTTCTTCCTTTACCTGTGGGGGTACAGATTTCTCACTATGTAAGCCCTTTTGATCATTTACTTGAAGTCTGAGTAGGAAAGCAAAAAGCAGAATTAGACTCCTGAATACAACAGCCAATTTTCTAAAGGAACTTGCATTGATTTTTTTCTTTTTCCAGCTTTGAACTTTTATAGTATTCCTATTTTGGCTTTACTCTAAGAGGTATATTTTAGCATCTGGTTTTCAGGTGATTTTTGTAAAGGTCAAGTTTTTATATAGCACAAAGGTCAAACATCCAAATTATTATGTTACCTTCTTTTATTTCTGTAAAAGAGGGAATGTGATCCACCAACACTTTTTGTAAAAGGGTAGATTTACCTCAAAAGCAGATTAAGCAATTTATTCAAAATTATAATCTGAATTCTTTAGGAAATCAATTTAAAGACATACAATATATCTCTATAATAATTCAGATACTTCTTTTTTCAAAGACATAATTACTGGAAATTTATCATAAATAAATTATAATCTGAATTTTTCAGGAAACCAATTTGAAGATATGGAAAAATAGGTGACAGATATGGACATATTTGGATATTTATACTGAAAAACATAAAATAGAAATAAATCTCTACATTATAACTATCAGGACACTGTTTATAATGATGAAAAACTGGAAACAGCAAATGTCCAATGATAGAGGTATGGTTAAATATATGAGGCTGTATTTACTGGGTATGGTGTTATACAGCCATTTACAATTTTTAAGTAAGAAAATTATATAGAAATATTTTAAATATTTATAATAAATATTCAGTGGTAAAAACAGTATAAAAGTTGTCCAATGCCACGATGACAACTACCTGAAGTCAAGCCCTTAAAAAGACTACAAAAAACACACAGATATTGTGGTCATCTGTCTTCGGTTATTAAAACTAGCTGTTTACTCTTTTTTCTCTATCATTCTATCATCTCTATCAACTTTGGTTACTTTAAAATTCAAAAAATCAATTAAAAAAATTTAAGCATTTGCATAGAGTTTGAAGGTATGAAAATCTGTGCTGGTCCTTGAGACAGGCGAGAATTGTATAACATGAGTGAAGCTCTAAAATGTTGATAACATTTTGGGACAGGGGCATTCTTTTTTTATTTTTAAACAGAGTCTCACTCTGTGCCCAGTCGCCCATTCTAGAGTACAGTGGTGCCATCATAGCCTGCTGCAGCCTTGACATCTCTGGGCTCACGCGATCCTTCCACCTCAGCCTCCCAAGTAACTGGGGCTACAGGTGTACACCACTACACTTGGTGAATTTTTTTTTTTTTTGTAGAGACGGGGTTTCACCATGTTGCCCAGGCTGGTCTGGACTCTTGGGTTCAAGCAATAGGCCTGCCTTGGCCTCCCAAAGTGCTGGGATTATAGGCATGAGCCACCGTGTGTGGCCTTGGGGACCATTCTTAATATGTTTAAGCTCACTATCATAGTTTCCACAGCAAAACTAGAAAATAAGACATCTCACTGTATATCCACCTGCTTACATATTTGTCTTTCCTGAAGGATTCTTAGGCTCTCAGTTTATCTCTTTTTCTCACTCACCACCCAGCTTCTGGCCCAGTGCTTAGCTTATCTTAGGATATAGAGGTGTAGATGTGAATTTTCATTCACAAACTTGAAATCCACATGTGACTCTGACCTGGGATAAATTTATACAGCTATGGAAATTCTGAAATTATCTGAACATCATCGATAAATGATAAAACAAATGTGTACATTTGTGTATACACATACATGCACACACAAAGCATGCCGGAATGATAAAATCACCTGGAAACCATTTCAAAGAAATGCCATACCCAAGAAGAAGAAAATGCTACTCAAATCTTCAGTTCACTAAATTGCAACTAAATGACACTATTTTGAGTAGACTTTTTTTAAGTACATTTTTTAAGTACATTTCTCCTTTGAATATCTTGCAAGTCCTATCCAAAGTTATAAGTGTACAACCACTATTTTATAAGACATGCTTTCTCCTAGAGTTCTGTAGAGATTTTAGCATAGTCCTTATCAGTGACGGCACATTTATTCTGCAAACAGATTATGTCTTCTATGAACACAGAAGAGGATCCAACTGAACCTTTTCACTTTTTAAGTTTTTCTCCAAAGCTGGATTTTGTCTTCACACTGTCTGGTTTTAGCAGTGGCTAGGTCAAAGTATACTACAGAAGAACGAAAAATCGACTCTAGAAAAGCACGCAGAATGACAGCCAACCAGTTAGGGAGTAAATGTTTCTCGTTGCAGATGTTTGGGAAGCCATGATTTTTATTTAGAACTGTGGAAACCTTATCTTTGAATTTAAAAAGCCAGTCCTGAGATGCATCTGCCTCAGGGGTAACTACCATAGTGAAACCGCTCCTCTCCCAGGCCATATCAAATCACAGTTGTAGTTATGAACATACAAATCACACACATATATATATATATATACATACATATATATTTCAAAATCGCCACCTGTTAATTTTTGATCCCCTATTAGAGGTGTTATCCACCAACTACTAACACGAAGGTCACTGGTCCTCAACCCACATTTCACCACCAGGGCAGTCGGGCCTAGCTGATGACCACACGAACACCAGATTAAGAGTAAAACCTTCTGAGGCCTGAAAGTGAGCGTGTATTCACACATCCTTAATAATACAGTGTCTGAAAAATTGTACCTGAAACTGAAAGATTTATTCTAAGGTATTTCAAGCACTAAGGGTCTGAGTTCAGCATTCTCACACCATCCTGAAAGAGGAACATTAAGTCAGCAAAATGACTGCGATCTGGGCCCCCAGAGGGATCCCAGCCAGGCCATCCTTGCTGGTGTCTTAAAGATTCAGTGACAAAATGGTGTTGCTTGGCAGGACACTGTTTTGCGTTCGGTGTAGCCACCCTAATGACGGCTGCTTAACAAGGCCAATGAATATCATAAGGGACATTTAGCAAGGAGCAATCCACAGGAGCATGGGGGTGGGGCAAGGCCGCGGAGCCCCCGCGGAGACCTGCTGGAGCCAGGCTGCCCACCCCCACCTCCCCACCCGCGCGTTGGCCCAGAGGTTTACCCAGGCAGCGGCCCTGGTGCCGAGGGGGCAGGTGCAGCGCTGTAGTGATGCCCAGTGGCCTCGTCCTCAGCCACCTGCCCCCCAACACCTGCTAGATGCCCAGGCGGGGCAGGCCCGAGGTGTCGCCGGCCCTGGGCTTCCCAAGCCAGCCCAGGGGCATCCCGCGGCAGGCGCCCCCGACACCCACGCGCAGGAATAGGGAGGGCGCATCGCGGCTCCCGCGCCCCGGCCAGGCCGGCAAGGACCCCACCGCCCCGCTCTCGGGTGGAGGCGCCCCTCCCCACCCCTCCCCCGCGCGGGGCCCCCGCCCGCAGCCCCTCTAGCAGCCCCTCTCGCAGCCCCAGCGCCCCTGAGCCGTCCTGGCCCGGACCGGCCAAGGAACTAACGAGCGCGCATCGCGGGCCTCGGGCGCAGGGCACGGAGCCGGCCGCGCCGCAGCCTCCCGGGCACCGGCGGCGGTGACCAACCTGTAACCCCAGCGCTCAGAGCTGTCATGGTGCCCGCGGGCGGCGGCGGCGGCGACAGTGGGCGACCGGCAGGATCAGTGCCAGGCGCGGCGCCCAGGGCGGGCGGGGACGCGGGCCCCTCACCTACGGCGGCTCAGCTCAGGCAGCGCGCTCGGCCCGGCTGGGGCCGCGGCTCACGCTCGCCGTGTCACTCACTGAGCGCCGCCGCCGCCGGGCAGGCTGGGGGAGGGGTGGGAGCCGGAGTTTTCGGGCCTTTAAAAAATTATTATTTTATTTAAATTTTTAAAGTTAGCTTTGCTACAGGGACTGCAGTGATGCCGAAGGGCGGGCACCGCAGAGGAGGCTGCGCCGCAGTTGGTGGGGAGCGCCAGGGTCGGTACTGGCAGTTCCTTCTTGCCGGCTGCCACCCGCAGTCAGTCTCACAGCAACAGCTAGGCTCTCATCTGCGAGCTCCTCTCGGGGGTCTTTCGTACTCAACAGCACGGCGGCGGTGTGCACGGGAGTCCGCCGGGCACACGCGGGGTACACTTAAGTGCACTGCCAGGAGGCCGGGAGCCCAGCGTGCGAGCGTGAGGTCAGACTGTGCACGGTACCGAGGACTAGTTCCATTCCTGAGTATGAAAGGGTGAAACCGTTCACCTCAAGTTTCACCCCGGAGTTATTAAATAATGAATGCATCAGTCACACTTATAGTTTTCTAAATAGGTTGACGTTCGCCTTTAAAATTAAAATATGTTGTCGTGTGGATGAGACAAAGTCTATTCAGAAATTGACAGTCCCCCACCCCATACCCTGTGAGTATACCTGGACAGCAGACTGCATCTGAGGCTTCCTAGGGCTCCCAGCAGAGCAGGTTTAGGGAAATCTGGCCTCCTAAGCACCATGCCCAGGGCGACATCCTCCCACTCATTCCCACTCTCTGAAAGGTTTACTTTGGGTCTGGAATCTTGCCATGTAGTCAGATACGAAAATCCCCAGGGAACTCCTGACCAGTGATTTAGACATCATGCACACAGGCATATAAATAAAGGGAAAGAAACAACTGAATGAAGCTTTCTCTACAAGAGAAATTCTAAACAAAGAGCATTTGTCTATCACAAAATGTTATGTGGCAAGGTATAGAAGTAAAACTACACAAACCTACATTTTAAAAATGTATTTTCTGGTTACAGATATTTAATTAATCTACTTTCTTAAAAAGTCCATTCACAATTTGTTCACATTCATAATCCATATTAGTACGTTTTATTGTTTACAGGGAAATGTTAAAATATTGGTATTTCATGAAATACAGAGTCATGCGAGATAATTTTTCAAATTTCTAAAGACTTCAGAAAAACTGTGTCAAAAGCCAGGTTTTAAACAAATGATGAAATCACTCCTCATAAGAAAAAATTGACAGTAATTTAAACAATGCTAAATCTACAACCAGTTTGCTTAGAAAAAGTATTTACCAACTTGTTTCATCATCTTTATTTGCGGCTTTCAATTGCTTGTTCTAAATACTAGTTTATTTCACAAACTGAAATATATAGCTATATATATATGGTAGCTGAATGATAGTGTGTTATTCCTTGACATTCGTTCGAATTATCTGTTAGTAAATTATATTAAGGAAATATTTAAACATTTATTTATAATGTTTTGAAGTGGTCAAGGCAGTGATTTTTTACTAATCTCAGTGCCACTCCTCACCCAACAGGCATTTCAGACCTTTCTCTGTCCTTGGTTGAACTACCTCTGTTAAGTCTCTATAATTCATGCTCATGAGCCAAACAATCCCAATGATGATGGAGACAGTCTCAGAGAATTCATGGGCTTCAAGGAAGTCATGGAATCCAGCACACTCATCCTATAATGCATAGGGATTCACTGTGTATTGGAGTAGACAATCATTTTAAAAAACAGGTACATCCAAAATATCATAGTACCCCTTCTACCTGCTCAGTATCTCTCTTCTTTTGTTTTCTTTGTTATTTTTAGAGACAAGGCCTATCTCCGTTGCCTAGCCTGGAGTGCATTGATGTGATTATAGCTCACTGCATCCTCAAAGCAAAAGTAGAAAGGATGAACAAATATCTTTTCCAGGTTGAATTGGCCCTGTAACTACATTCATTGCTGGAATCCAGTAAAAGTCAATTGCTGGCCTGTGGGTTCAATATAAACTGAGAATATAATTCAGGTGTGTTTTGTATGACTCAATGTATATTGTTGACAAATTAAGATCAATTACCAACATTTGAAAACCACAAGAATTTTATTTTATCAGGAAAAATAGGAAGATATGGATAACAGGCAGCCTCCACCATGCCCAGCTAATTTTTGTATTTTTAGTAGAGACGGGGTTTTGCCATGTTGGCCAGGCTGGACTCGAACTCCTGACCTCAGGTGATCCACCCACCTTGGCCTCCCAAAGTGCTGGGATTACAGGCGTAAGCCACCATACCTGTAGGAGTCTGAGGCATGACAATCACTTGAACTGGGGAGGCAGAGGTTGTGGTGAGCTGAGATTGTGCCACTGCACTCCAGCTTGGTTGGGTGATAGAGTGAGACTCCGTCTTGAAAAAAAAAAAAGGAAGGAAGATCTGGCCAGGTCAGTTCTGCATTCCCAAGTGGTAGGGGGCCAATAGGGGCATCCTGTGCCTCCCATAGGTGGGCATATACTTCCCATTTGCCTCCATGTCCCCAGCCTGCTTCAATTCCTGGCCCTGGAAGGTGTTTGCATGTAGGAGCCTATACAATTAAATCTGTATTTGACGGTATGAGATTGGGGAAAGGATAATGTCAAACACAGAGAAAGCAGTCAATACAGAAAGTTTTACAATAAAGAGGATGAAGCCAAGCCAATGCACAACCAAGATAGTAGTAGCCTTTGGTTTAAATGAAATTGTGTTCATGGTCCTGCAAGTGCTTTGGAATGGATGTGATATCATTTGTCTGTGTCCCCATCCAAATCTCATCTTGAATTGTAGCTCCCACAATTCCCATGTGTTGTAGGAGGGACCTGGTGGGAGATAATTGAATCATGGGGGCAGTTTCCCCCATACTGTTCTTGTGGTAGTGAATAAGTCTCATGGGATCTGATGGTTTTATAAGGCCCTTTCTCTTGGTCTTCATTTTCTCTCGTCTGCTGCCGTGTAAGACGTGCCTTTCGCCTTCCACCATGACTGTGAGGCCTCCCCAGCCATGGGGAACCGTGAGTCCGTTAAATCTCTTTTTCTTTGTAAATCACCCAGTCTCCAGTATGTCTTTATCAGCAGGATGAGAACAGACTAATAATACAGGAAGTAGCTATGAAATGCAAGACAGCAAGAATTTGATGAAAACAGGGTATTTGTTTTTCACTAACTCATTTGTTCCTACTGCTTATTTCCACCTTAATTAGTATTTCACTGGACACCATGGTGAGTTACTGGGAAAACAATAGGCATGCTAAAAGAGAAATTTGAAAATCCATGGAGGGACTGTCCTGTGCTCTATGGAAATATAGACACTGAATCAATTGGAGAAGAATTCTGCTCGAATATAATTATGTTTCATTTGATTTATGAGTAGATTATGCTTTAGTAACTACACAAGACTGTAATATTTTTGAGACTCTCATTAAGATTAGGTTTTTTTTTTTTTGAGATGGAGTCTCGCTCTGTCACCCAGGCTGGAGTGCAGTGGCGCAGTCTCGGCTCACTGCAAGCTCTGCCTCCCGGGTTCACGCCATTCTCCTGCCTCAGCCTCTCCGAGTAGCTGGGACTACAGGCGCCCGCCACCACGCCCGGCTAATTTTTTTTTATTTTTAGTAGAGACAGGGTTTCACCGTGGTCTCGATCTCCTGACCTCATGATCCACCCGCCTCGGCCTCCCAAAGTGCTGGGATTACAAGCGTGAGCCACCGCGCCCGGCCTAAGATTAGTTTTAATCCGTATACACTTGTTTATGTTCTGTGATTTCAAGACCCACATGTCACCAAATATTGCTATGATGAACTTTTAGATGCTCTTTGGGCAGGGAAAATTAAGGTTTAGAATACACACCTAAAAATGTAAACAGGCTAACTAATAGGCATCTCCTGCTTGTTGCCTCACTAACATGGATTTACATGTACAGGCGTTCCTGGAAGACAGTGCAATTTGGTTTCAGACCAATGCAATAAAGTACATATCACAATGAGGCAAGTCACACAATTTTTTTTTATATTCCAATGCATATATAAGTTATGTATACACTGTACTGTATACTAAAATATATATATATCTTAACTTAAAAATACTTTATTGCCAAACAATGCAAATGATCATCTGAGCCTTCTGTGAGTCTGTGAGTCATAACCTTTTTTTTTTTTTTTTTTTTGAGTATCACTCTTGTCACCCAGGCTGGAGTGCAATGGTGCAATCTTGGCTCACTGCAACCTCTGCCTCCTGGGTTCAAGTGATTCTCCTACCTCAGCCTCCTTAGTAGCTAGGACTACAGGCGTGCATCACCACGCCCAGATAATTTTTGTATTTTTAGTAGAGACGGGGTGCGATCATGTTGGCCAGGCTGGTCTTGAACTCCTGACCTCAAATGATCCGCCCGCCTTGGACTCCCAAAGTGCTGGGATTACAGGCGTAAGCCACTGTGCCCAGCCCCTCATAACCTATTTGTTGGAGGAGGGTCTTGCCTCATTGTTGATGACTGCTGGTTGATCAGGCTGGTGCTTACTGAAGGCTGGAGTGGCTGTGGCAATTTCTTAAAAATAGACAAGCATGAAGTTTGCCACATTGGTTGACTCTTCCTTTCATGAGAGATTTTTCTGTAACATGCCATGCCATTCAATGGCTTTTTACCCACAATAGAACATTTATCAAAATTGCAGTCACTCCTCTCAAACTCTGCTACAGCTTTATCAATTAAGTTTATGTAATATTCTAAACCCTTTGTTGTCACTTCAACAATGTTCACAGAATCTTTACGAGGAGAAGATTCCATCTCAAGAAACCACTTTCTTTGCTCATCCATAAGAAGCAACTCATCCATTTAAGTTTTATCATGAGATTGTAGCAATTCGGTCACATCTTCAGGCTCTATTTCTAATTCTAGTTCTCTCACTATTTCCACTAAATCTGCAGTTACTTCCTCCACTGAAGTTTTGAACCCCTCAAAGTCATCCACGGGGGTTGGAATCAAGTTTATCCAAGCCCCTGTTAAAGCTGATATTTTTATATTCTTCCATGAATCAGGAATGTACTTAACAGCATCTGGAATGGTGAATCCTTTCCAGAGGGTTTTCAATTTACTTAGTCCAGATCCACCAGAAGAATAGCTATCTATAGCAGCTATAGCCTTACAAAATGTATTTCTTAATAAGACTTGAGAGTTAAAATGGCTGCATAATAAATGTGTTAGCAGGCATGAAAATAACATTCATCCCCTCTCCAGCAGAGCTCATGGATAACTAGGTACATTGTCAACGAGCAGTAATAGTTGGAAAAGAATCTTTTTTTTTTTTTCTGAGCAGTAGGACTCAACAGTGGGCTTAAAATATCCAGTAAACCAGAGCTGGGTGTGGTGGCTCATGCCTACAATTCTAGCAATTTGAGAAGCTAAGGAGGGAGGATTGCTTGAGCCAGGAGTTTGAGACCCTGTCTGTACAAAAATTCAAACAATTAGCTAGGCATAGGGCATATGCCTGTAATCCCAGCTACATGGAAGGCTGAAGCAGGACGATTGCTTGAGCACAGGAGGTTGAGGCTGCAGTGAGCTGTGTTTGTGCCACAGCACTCTAGCCTGGGTGACAGAGCAAGACTCTGTCTCAAAAAAAAGATAATAGAAAAAAGAAAAAAGAAATTCCAGTGAACCATGCTGTAACACATGTGCTGCCATCTAGACTTTGTTGTGCTATTTCTAGAGCACAGGGGGAGTAGATCTAGCATAATTCTTAAGGGCTCTAGGAGTTTGGGAATGGTGAATGAGCAATGGCTTCTACTTAGTCACCAGCTGCATTAGCCCCTCACAACAGAGTTAGCCTGTCCTTTGATCTTTGAAGCCAGACACTGGCTTCTTCCCTCTAGCTATAAAAGTCCTAGATGGCATCCTCTTCCAATAGCAGGTTGTTTTGTCTACATTGAAAATCTGTCATTGAGTATAGCCACCTTCATTAGTTATCTTAGTGAGAACTTCTGGATAACTTGCTGCAGCTTCTGCATCAGCTGCTTCACCTCATATTTTTATGTTACGGAGCCAGCTTCTTTTTCTTAGACCTCATGAATCAGTCTTTGCCAGCTTCATATTTTTCTTTTGCAGCTTCCTGACCTCTCTCAGACTTCATAGAACTGAAGAGAGTTAAGGCCTTGCTCTGGATCAGGCTTTGGCTTCAGGGAATGTAGTGGCTGGTTTCATGTTCTATCCAGATTACTACAACTTTCTCCATATCAGCAAAAAGGCTGTTTTGCTTTCTTATTACTCGTGTGTTCACTGGAGTAGTACTTTTAGTTTCCTTCAAGAACTATTCTTTTGCATTCACAACTTGGCTAACTGTTTGGGGCAAGAGGCCTAGCTTTTGATCTATCTCAGCTTTTGACGTGCCTTTCTCACTAAACTTAATCATTTCTAAGTTTTGATTTAAAGAGAGAGATTTGGAACTCTTCCTTTCACTTGAACACTTAGAGGCAATTGTAGGGTTATTAATTGACATAATTTCAATATTGCCATGTTTCAGGGAATAGAGAGGTCCATGGAAAGGGAGAAAGAAGGAGGAACAGCCAGTTGGTAGAGCAGTCAGAACACATACAACATTTACTGATTAGGTTCTCTACCATGGACATGGTTCATGATGCTCCGAAACAATTACAATAGTAACATCAAAGATCACTGATTACATATTGCCATCACAGATACGATAATAATGGAAAAGTCTGAAATATTGAGAATTACCAAAATGTGACACAGAGATACAAAATGAGCACATGCAGTTGGGGAAGCAGCCCCGATAGACTTGCTTGAGGCAGGGTTGCCACAAACCTTCAATCTGTAAAAACAAAATACAATATCTGCAAAGCACAATAAAATGAGATGTGCCTGTACAGAATTCAGCCTTGGCAGAATAGATGCATTTTGATAATGGAGTGCATTGGGAAATTTAAGGCAGTTTGCCTCCCAGATCGCCCAGCAGGAAACACGATGTGGAGTGTCTCTGGGGAAAGGAAAGAGATAACAGAAGAGATGTCGCTAAGTTTTGTAGCCCCAAAGACCAATCTCACTTTGCGTAGCTCTGTCTTGGATCTTGAGGGAAGTAACAAGTGTGATAAGATTCTATTGAGGAAAGAACTGCTGGGTTGGTGGTCTTCACTTGCCAGTGATATTCTAGATGAAAAACTTGAATAAGTCTTCTTCTCGTAAGTCAGCATCTCTAAGCAACCACAAAACATTTATTCATAATTAAATATTTCAAGCTATTGAAAGACACCGCGCATCATAGCTTTTCCTTAAGGCGATGTTCCTCAAACTTCTCTGATAATAAGGATTACCTGGACCATCTTAACTATTTCCAGAGAGGTTCTCATTAAGTATCTCTGGAGTAGGAAAGGCAACTGTGGAGAATTCCTCTTTATAAAACAGACATCCTTTCCTAACAGGCCAGAGTGGACTTGCCTACTTTCCTCCCTGTCCTGCGAGTCTGTGTGCTTCAACCACCATCTGGACCAGTTCTGCAACACCTATAGACCCTGCACTTACATTGTAGCTGTGTTATCTGAAGCACTAAAAACAGGTGAGCGCAAGTAGGTGGTAAAAATCCATCTGCTGAGTCAGAGTGGAGGTCTTTGAAAGGTTGGCATATGGCCTTTAATTGTGTCATTGAAATCAGCTGTGGATGGGAGAAGCCTTAGTATACCCATCAACAGAAAATAAGGGTAAGTTCATAGAAAGATGCTATTAAACCTCAAAGAGACAGAAGCTGTGATGTTTATACTGGGCAGAAATATCTTTGGGCAAGGAATGCAATTGATTTTTCTTATGGAAAAAATAACTGCCTAATGACATCGGAGAGGTGACGGACACACTGTACTTGGAAAATCCTATGGTGGAGAAGTAGGTGTGATATTCACACTGTGCGTACTTTACAGATTAATCAAAAATATTTTCTACATCACCGTTTTGTTGTACTTTAGAATTATATTTTCAGAGGAAACTAGGTTTTAGAGAAAAAAAAACAAAAGGAAGCCTGTGAAATCAGGAGTAAACAGTAATGCCAATTAAGCACTCGTGCTGGGAGCAAAACAGAGGCCTCATTGTGTTGAGCCACAGCTGAGCCAATCGCCCAAAGGAACTGGTGGACTTCTAAAAACAAAGGTCAAGTTTCAAGTGAATCACTCAGCAACAAAATGAAGAATATTTTGACCATTTAATAAAGGCTGCTACAAGATAGGAGTAAAGCTTTGGTTCCAAAACTAACCATGAAGAACTCATTTATTGCATAAAATATCTTAGCAAATACATGATAACCAGGGGCTCAGACCCTTCAGGATTGATGGGCTGGGTCACTCCATGAGACACGAGCTGAGAGGGAGAGGGATCCAAATAAGAGAGGGGATGAGCATCATTTACTGAGTTCGGGCCAGCTGTAGCAGCACTGGCTGTTGTTCATTTCAGTAATTCTCCTCTTATACATTGCCCAGAAATCAGGACCAACAAAGATCCTGGACAAATTGTCCCTGGATGGAAAAAACTTAAAGAGAGAAGCAAGTAGATCTGAGTAGCCTGAGAAGCAAGAGCTAGACAGTGCTGGATACTACTGGCACCACACCCAGATCCTAACAGGCCAGTGCAATTATCACCCAACTTGTGTTAGGATGACTGCTAACTTCTCAGAACTGTCCCCTTCCCCAGAGAATGACCCTCTTCTGAATAGCAGATGTCTTACATGGGTCGGTATAACCCCACCCTGACGCAGGGGCAGTCTGAAGTCAGGGACAAATGGACATGTTTCTACAAAAGCTAGGCCTCTTGCCTCCAGGTGGACCAGCTCTGTGTGTCATTCTTCTCCAGAGTTCCCCAGAGGTCCAGGCTGAAGCTGAACTCCATCTCCCCATATATTTAGAAGGAGCATGCCCTGTGCAGTTTTGATTGCTCAGCAGCGTCTTCTATGTGCTGATCATGAAGTTCAATATTTTTGCATCTTAATTTTTGTTTGCTTGATTTGTAAGTTTCTGAAAAGTTTGTATTAAAATCCCCCTCTATGACTGAGGGTTTATCTTTATTTATATTTCTGTCAGTCTTGCTTTATATGATGTGAGGCGATGTTACAAAGTGCATACAAATTTAAAATTGCTATATTTTCCCAATGTAATAAAACTTTGGCCATTCCAAAGTGACTTTATATCTGGTGATATGGTTTGGATTTGTGTTCCCGCCCAAATCTCGTGTCAAATTGGAGGAGGGGCCTGGTGGGAGGTGATTAGATTATGGCCGGAGATTTCCCCCTTGCTGTTCTCGTGACAGTGAGTTATCACGAGATTTGATGCTTTAAAAGTGTGTGGCACTTCCCCTTTCGCTCTGTCTCTCTCCTGCCACCATCCGAAGAAGGTGCGTGCTTCCTTTTCGCCTCCCACCATAATTGTAAGTTTCCCGAGGCTGCCCAATCATGTTTCCTGTTAAGCCTGCAGAAGTGTGAGTCAGTTAAACCTCTTTTCTTCATGAATTACCTAGTCTCAGGTAGTTCTTTATAGCAGTGTGAGAATGAACTAATACACCTGGTAATGCTTTTTTCTTTAAAGTAATATTAGTGTAGCTGCCCCAGGTCTCTTCTGCTGTGTATTTTTCATCCTTTTTCACTTTCTATTCTTTAAACTTCTTTTTTTCCCCTATGATTTAAACTTTAACATTTTATCTTTTTACTTTCAACCTTTCTGAATCCTAATTTTTGATATACTTCTGATTGTGCATGTTTGTCTTTTGATTTAGTATTTTGATCATTTATCTGCCCAGATTTCCATTTGAGAAAACCTGCTGGTGGCAAATAGTTCCTTTTTTGTTGTTTATTTGATAATGTCGTTAATTACTAAGTCTTGAAAGATGAATTTGTCCTGATATAATAAATTCCTAGTGTAGTTTAGCATTTATATTATCTCAGCACATTGAATATAAAATACCACTTCAGCATCTTCTAACAAACTAACAAACGTTTCTATTTTTTTTGAGACGGAGTCTCGCTCCGTCGCCCAGGCTGGAGCGCAGTGACGCGATCTCGGCTCACTGCAAGCTCCGCCTCCCGGTTTCACGCCATTCTCCTGCCTCAGCCTCGGAGTAGCTGGAACTACAGGCGACCGCCACCATGCCCGGCTAATTTTTTGTATTTTTAGTAAAGACGGGGTTTCACCGTGTTAGCCAGGGTGGTCTCGATCTCCTGACCTCGTGATCCGCCCGCCTCGACCTCCCAAAGTGCTGGGATTACAGGTGTGAGCCACCGCGCCCAGCCACAAACGTTTCTATTTTTGAGAAGTCAGTGCTCAGTCTATATGTTTTTCTATTGATCTATCTTTTTATATGTGTGTATATATATATATTTACTCTTTGTGTTTGTTTTTCTGGAATTTCTCCATGATGGATTTATGTGTGGATGTCTTTTTATCTATTCTAGTTGAGATTTATTAGACTCGGAACTTATGGATTGGTATTAATTATTTCTTCTGCTTGTTCTCTCCTTCTGGGGCTCCAGTTTATGTACATTAGCCCATCACGCTTTATCCTTCATGTCTATGGATCTGTATTTCCTTTGTTCCTTTATTATGTATTCTGAATAGTTCATCTGACCTGTTTTTCAGTTCACTTATACACCTTGCTGCATCTAAAAAGCTATTAAACCAGTCTTTTCAGTTATTAATTTCAAATATTTATTTAGTTTTTGAAATGCTATTTGATTTTTTATGTGGCTAGCTGTTTTTTTATTTCCTACAGATATTTTTAGGTTGCTCTTTATTGACTTATGCTCTAAACATAATACAGTTATTTTATATTATATGTCTGGCAATTTCAAAGTCTAAATATTTTCTGGATCTGTTTTTGCAGTCTAATTTTTTCTGAAGATTCTTCATCATGGTGTCTAATTTTCTCTCTCTGTTGCTTATTTTTTCAACAAGTGGTCTCGAAAAATCTTTTACAAAATTTTTTGAGACTTAAGATGAAAATGGTTTCACTAGGGAGGATTTGTTTTAGCTTTTGTCAGACACCTAAAGACACCAACAGTCCATAGTACAAGGATGACCAAAATTCATGGCATGTGATTTTTTTTATCACCTGTGGGAAGGCATTTTGTCTAAAAATCTGTGCTAGTGCTTGCTCTTAGTTATAAATCCTTGGGGACAATGCTTCCTTATGCTCAGCTTCAAGGCAAATCTTGTCCTCTGTCTTCTCAAGTCTATGGAATCCAATGGAAGATTTATAGCTTTTTCTTTTGCTATAAACAAAAGTTTTATTTAAACTGGATAGGCAAATTCCCTTATGGTAGAAATGCCTTCAACCTCTGCTTATATTCCAGTATTCATTCTTGTTGCCTGCATTTCGCCTGATGATTGCTGACTGTCTTATCAGCTCTTGGATGCTTTTAGGAAGAATTAAAATTTTTAATATTTAGTCTAGCTTTTATAATTATATTTACCAGGAAGCTTAGCTAGAAAATCTAGACCACTTTTTCTCCAGAAACAGAAGTCACTGGACACTTCTTTGAATCTTTCACAAAATACTTGAGTAGATGTTTTCACCTCCTTGCTGCCACATGAACTATGGGGCATGCTTCTACCTTAGGGCCTTTGCACCTAGCCTTTCCTATAAAGTACTCTTCCCTCAGAAATCTTTTGAGCTCACTTGATCCTTCACTTGTTTGGGCTGTTTTTCAATTTTTATTTCAGAATTGGGGAACATGTGAGGGTTTGTTACAAAGGTATATTGCATGATGCTGAGGTTTGGAGTACAAATGTATCTGCCACCAAGGTAGTGAGTATAGCACTCTATAGGTAGTTTTGTTTTGTTTTGTTTTGAGACTGAGCCTCACTCTGTTACCCAGGCTGGAGTGCAGTGGCGCGATCTCAGCTCACTGCATCCTCCACCTCCCGGATTCAAGCAATTCTCGTGCCTCAGGCTCCCAAGTAGCTGGAACACAGGCGTGGGCCACCATGCCTGGCTAATTTTTGTATCTTTAGTAGAGATGGGATTTCACTATGTTGGCCAGGCTGGTCTTGAACTCCTGATCTCAGGTGTTCCACCCACCTCAGCCTCCCAAAGTACAGGGATTACAGATGTGAGCCACTGTGCTCAGCCTCTACAAGTAGTTTTTTCCAACCCTTATCCCCCTCCCTCCCTCCCTCCTCCCTCTTGTATTCCCCAGTGTCTATTGTTCCCATCTTTATGTCCGTGTGTACCCAATGTTTAGCTCCCACTTGTAAGTGTGAACATGCAGTTTTCTGTTTTGGTTTCTTGTTTCTGCATTAGTTCACTTAAGTCCTTCGCTTCCTGTATATTAACTTCCCAGTCAAACCTTCACTGTCTACCCCATCTAAAATGCCATCACCCCAATCCATATTTCTTATTTTTTCATTTAAAACAATCTTTACTCCTTAGTTCTTTTAGATACCCAACATTCTCTATATTTTACTTATCTTGCCCATTGTCCACACCACTGAAATAGAAGGTTCATCAGGGCAGGGGTTTTGTTTGTTTCACCCATTTGCTCTATCCTTAACACCTAGAACAGTGCTTAGCACATACTAGGCATTTAAAAATATGTATTGAATGAATAATGGAACAACTGCAGTCTTGGATCCTGTCTTTTAAGGACATAGACTAGTGTTTTAGAAATGCAGGACTGATGTAGCACAATTGAATTATTATGGAAATGTTGGAATAGCAAATTAGAATTACAGCTAAAAATAAATAAATTGCTAAACTTTGGGTCTGGCAAATAAGGGCATCTGTCAATAGTTTAAACAGGAGAGCAACCAATCATGCAAGTCAGTTGTAGAAGAGAGTGTACCTTGCACTGGAAGAAGAAAGCATAAACAGTACAAAGCATATTATTTCAGAGGATTTGTTCTCTACTCCCATAGTTTTACTTTTTAAAATTTAAAATATATGCTCTTTGAGAGTAGGGATTTCTGTCAGTTTAGTTCACTGCTATATTCTCTCCCTCAAAAGAGATCTTGTATATGCTGTGTGCAATAGTTACTTTTTGAATATGTGATATTATGAATATTGACATTGACATTATTGTTGAGTAAATTAAATTATACATATGATTATGACATGAATATAGCCATAGCTTACTCAGCAAGTCTTTTAGTGAGATGGTCAATAGAAACCCATGATTCAACTGGATATCTTGATAGGCCACCTGGAATTAAGTCTTCAATGAACAATGTTTATAGAAAAGCGGATTTTGGTGTCAAAGCAAAAGCTACTGCAGAAATAAGCATCTCTTTTGTACATAAGTCTCTGCCTATCTACCAGGGTAGTTTAGAGGTATTGCCTATAAGTCACTTGTAGCAAAAGGTATGCTCTGTGCATATATAGATGGAGCCACTAGTAGTCCAGCCTTTCTGTGAAGAAAACAGCACCCTCTATTATGGGGTGACTCAACACATATCAGGGATTATGGCTTGGAGAAAATATAGCAAGGCCTGGATTTCAGCCCCATGCATTCCCTCAGCCAGGTGTCTGTGCAAAGCATGACTTGCACAATCCGATATAGTGAGCTCATGTGTGGATGGCTTTCCAGAATGTTAGTTTGCATGTCTACTAGCGGTGCACCGTGAGCCTGCCTCACCCATCCTCTTCAGTGTTATAGTCTATAGTCTTTCCAGTTGAAATGATGAAAAATCATATCTCATTGTTTTGTTATTTTACCTTTTCTTGCTTACCTGGTGAGTTTGACTTTTGAACTACGTTTTTATGTATTTCTTGTTTTTATGACCTTTTTCTACAATTTGCTTATTTTGTTGGAAAACTAACATTTTATTATCAATTTATAAAATTTGATAAGATATATGTTGCTATATATATGTGTGAATGTGTACGCATTTATACATATACACAAATTATGTATATGAAGACATATATGTTGCTATTATTTTGCCAAGCTTATTATAATACATAGAAGAATATACTTTTTCTCTTCAGTGGTTCTAACAGTTGTAGACTTTTAGTGAAAAACTGTGTTCAAAGTCTTAAATTAGGAATTGTTAATAATTTTTTTCATAAATTTTATAAATATTTCTCCCATTTAGTATAGGTTTTACTTTTTTTGTGATGTATCAAAAGTTCAGTAAACTCTGTTAGCCTTTTCCTTTGTGGTTTTTCCCTTTGTTTTTATGCTATTAACATGTATCAATATATTTATATTTATAAATCTATATCTAGCTTTGTTCCATTTAGAATTTAGAGTTTGGTATCAACTGAAGACTTAGGTCATTTTATTTTGAAAAAAATAGCTGTCCAAATATTTCATCATAACCATTAATGTTTACTGTATTTAGAATATAAGGTTCAATTTTGATTTATCTTTTCTGTGATATGATGTAAATGTTAACTCTTGCACAAAATTTATTCCATTTTTAGTATCTTCCCCATAAAATGCACTTAAATAGTTAAAAGAAAAAGTCTTATTTGCCAACTGCCACTATTACAGTTCTTTTCTATTATGTATTAGTCATATTGTAATTATTTCTGCAAATTAATTTTGGAAAACCATTTTATGCCATCCACAAAAGTAACATGTTAAGATTTTTAGTGACATTTCATTAAGCATTTGAGTTACCCTGTGAGTAACTGACATCTTTGTTATTGTCTAGGAAGATGGCATAGCCCTTTTCATTGAGTTCTAATTTGATAGTTCGCATTAAATTTATGTATTTTCTCTTATAAAGGCTCCATACATTTCATGCAGAAGTCATTCTTAAAAGTTTTAAATATTTGGGTAACCATTGGCTCTGTGATTTTCCCTATTTATATCCAAATTTGTTATTGCCCTACATAGATAAAATATCTAGTTTTGTACATTTATCTTGTATTTGGCTACATTTCTGAACTCTTAAGAATTCTAAAAGTATTTAGTTCCTTCTGGATTCATGTATGTTGCTATTACTTTGCCAAGCTTCATGTGAGGCATAAAAGAAGATACACTTTCTTTTCTCTTGAATGGTTTTAACATTGGTCTACCTCTAATGAAAAACTATTTCCCAGACCATAGGCTTGCCTGAGGTTTGCATGAACCTGGGGATGTGGAATGATTGGCAGAAACCATATTAACCAGCTTCATATCCATTATAATTTCAACCAATGAGTACCACAGAGTGAGTTATGGTGAATCACTTCCACAGAAGAAATTTCCTGAGAGATTTCAATCCTGTTATATATGAAAATTGTCAGAAGTAAACAGCACTAGGTCAAAAAAGTTTTCAACTTATGTCAGCTCTTTTAGCGCATACATGAGACGTATTTTGTTCATTTCTGTATCCCTAGAACCTAGAACAGGACTAGAAAATAGTAGAATTCAACATCTATTTCTTTATTGCTGTTGAATATAAATTTGGAGAAGTCAAATTGCCTATAGGAGAAAAATAACCTGATACTGACAAATCTATAGGCTTTGGAGTGTCGGCAGCGTCTACTAGTGTGTATTTAGAGGGAATTTTTGAGATGACTCAAGATTTTGAGTGGCATTTTATTAAGCATTTGAATTACTTTGTAACTGACATCTTTGTTATTGTCTAGAAGAATGGCATAGCCCTTTTCATTGAAGTCTAATTTGATAGTTTGCATTATATTGATGTATTTTCTCTTATGTGGGTTTCATACATTTCATGCAGAAGTCATTCTTAAAGAGTTTTGAATAAGACTCTTATCCAAAATTCCCTCTAAAAACACGTTAGTAGACATTGGTGGTTGTCTGACCAATTAGTTCTCTCTCCCCTTGGCCATGTGCTCAGGGCAAGGGCCAATCACCAACTCAAATGAACAGCCATGTTAATGCTGTTTCCGCCTTCAGTAGTTGTGTTAGGCATAGGCATATGACATAATTTTGTTCAACAAGGCTTGTGAGGTAGAGGGATCAGACCTTCTGAGAAAGATCTTTTTCATTCTTAAAAAGGAACGTTAAGTCAGAGACATGCTTTACTTCCCAGAGGATATTCTGAGTGAGTTTTATGAGTTGGTGAGGTTTAGACTGGACACAGCCATCTGGTAACCATGAAGGGACAAGTCTGAGACCAGAGCCAACAGCCTGAGGATGAGGGGCAAACACAGAGGAAGAATCTGGGCCCCATGAGGTCAACAGTGAGCTGCTAAAATTAACCTGAAATTTCCCTGCTGGGAGACATTGTGTTGTGAAATAGTTTTATACCATCTTTTACTAGGTTTTCAATTACCAGCAGTTGGATGCACCCTGTGATCCAATGGATACAAATGAGATTTAGAAGTGCACTTTAACTTAAATAAAATAAATAGCCTTGTCTAATGTATTAACGAGAAAGACATTTTTGTCTTATTTATATGTCTTATATTCTTTGAAATGAAATAAATGACCATATATGCTTGTAAAGAGAGGGAGTCTACAGATATTTGGAGAAAGGACATTCTGGGTGGAGAGAACACAGAGTGCAAAGGACTTGAAGTTAAAGTGCATCCAGCAGTCTCAAGGAAGAGTAAAGGGGTCCATGTGAGTGGAATAAGGTGAGCAAGGGAGAGAGGAGCAGGAGATGGGGCGCAGAGATAAGCAGGTGAGGTGCAGGTCATGGAATGGCTGTAGGTCATTCAAAAAACTTTTTTTTTTTTATATTTCCCCAAGAAATGAAAAGATTTTCAGCAAAAGAGCACAGTGGTCTAATAATGGCTTAAGAATCATTCTGGCTAAGTTGTCTAAGGGGAATAAGGGCAGAAGCAGGGAGACCTGATTAGCTGTCTCCCGCTATTCGGGCAAGAGCAGATGTTGAGTTGGAGTGGGAGCGGTGGGGATGGTGAGATGTGTGCTGATGCAAAATCATTTCCAAAGGATCTGACAGGAATCACTGAAGGATAGAGTGTGGGCAATGAGAGAGAACGTGGACTGTGAGGAGTCAAAGATCACCCTGAGGTTTTAGGCCTGAGCCTCTAGAAAAATGAAGTTATGATTTATTTAGATGGGGAGGGCTGTAGGAGGAGCAGGTTTAGATGTGGGTTAAGGGAAAAACAAGAGCTTGGTTTTGACATGTGAAACTTTGGATGCCTGTTAGATCTCCAAGAGAAGACTCTGAGTAGCATTTGTAATATAGACATATCACAAAAGATAGAAGTATGTATGTATATACACATGTGTGTACATACATATATATATGAATATATCATTTATAGAAATAGTCATATAGGAGTGTATGTGAGTTATAAATCTGGTAGTCTTCAGCATAGAAATGGTGTTTAAATCCTAGAAACTGGATAAAATCACCTAGGAAATCTCTTTTCTATATAGAAATATAGAAGTGGTCCACAGTCAAGCATAGGGCATACAATAGTTTCAAGGCCAAGCAGATGTGAATGGAGACACTCTGCATAAACAACTCCTTAAAGGAGTTTTGCTGTAAATGGAAAGATAGAAATGATGTGACAATTGAAGAAGGAAGTACATCAAAGAATTTTTTTTTTTTTGTACAGTTGGGAGACATAACAGTACACTTTATGCTGAACTGGTGGACAGGCAAAACATGATAATGCAAAGACTGGTAAATAAAGAAAGCATTGCCCTTGTGGAGAGGAGTGGGATAGGATCCAGTGGACAAAGGAGGGCTGGCCTGCACTAGAAGGCAGGTGATTCATCCACTCATTCACACTAGCAGAAAAGAAGGCAGAGTGCAAGGTCCTAAAGGCAGGGAGTGGGTAGTTAGCTGACACAAGCTTATGAAAATTTCTTCTAATTGATTTTATTTTATGTCAGTAAAATAGGAAGAAACTCATTAAGTGAAGGTGAAGATTGAAAAAAGATGTGTTGGAGGTTTGGGGAAAAGAAAGTTATGCATTAGTCAACTAGAAGAATGGAGGAGAAGCTGGATTGGACTGTGGGTGATTGCTAGAAATATTAAGAAACCACGAAGGAGAGCATCAGGATAAATAGCTAATGCAAATGGGACTTAATACCTAGGTGATGGGTTGATAGGTGCAGCAAACCACCATGGCACACGTTCACCTAGGTAACAAACCTGCACGTCCTGCACATGTATCCCGGAACTTAAAATAAAATATTAAAGAAGAACCCACTGGAAAGAATTGATCATGAAGTTAAAGCGAGATATGTACATTTTTGTCCTAGCCTTGCTCAGTTATGTGAGTGAATGTGATGATAATGCAGTCTGCTCTTGTCAGGATTGTGGTTTGGCCTGGAGAGTAATACAAAAATCTTCAAGTCCAGTGCCACTGTGGCAATGTCTCCTGTGGCTGTGTTTCCCTTAAGAAGTTTAAGTCAGATTCATGTGAGTTTCTCAAGTCATTGTATCTTGTGTGCTAGCATAGAGCTTTCAGAACTCATCAGCCCTTCTGCTCATGAAAGATACCTATCCTCAGAGAAAAGATGAAAAATGAAGAGATGTATCATCAAGGGAATAAATGAGCCATTTGGAACCACATCAAGTAAATAAAATATTTCTCTAAGAAATATGCATTGTGGTTTATCACCAAAACCATTGAACCTCATTAACCTCAGTGATAACGTACACAATTGGTTTTGAGATGTTTACAGCTGGACTCTACCAAAACATAAGACTATTAGAGAGTAAAAGATATGGGAAATATATTCATTGGCTGGATACATTATTCTACATTAATATTTTCCAAAGGATTAATTTGGCCTCATCTTGGTTCAATACTGTCTTTTATGGTAATATATCTTCTTATTTAGATTTTGAGGCTCTGAAAAAGAGGGCCTTATAAGGCTTCACATATAGTCTTTTTTTCTGTGTCTTGTACTTTTGTTTTTTTTAACCCAGTTAGGAGCTAAATCAGTATTTGCTTAATGAATTAACTACCAATTAATTCACAAATTCAGTTGTTCAAGTTTTAAGTGCTTTGTATGAATAATGGTCCCTTTGATGCAATGGATATTTTTAGGGAGACAGTCAAATATTTTTATATTAGGAACTAAAAATTTTCCATTCCCTGACCAGAAATCAATCTCAAAACACGGCCATGATAATGTCTAATTATGAAACCACCAGGGAACCAAAGCTTCCTATTTTAGTGTGAAAATAAAATAGAGGATGATGTTGAATAAGTATGTCCTCATTAGCCTTCAAAACATTCTCACATTGTTGGACTGGAAAAACCCTAAGAGGCTGTTGGCTTTATCATCTACTTCCAGGCAGGATGATAACTAAATCATACCGAAAATATTGTTGCCTTTCTTAAATAAAAATCTTCAGTGAAAACTATTTTATAAAAATGTTTTAGTTATAAATTTTCATGATGCTGTATAACAAATTAAAAATTACAGACATGATCTGATTTTTATGTTTTTATCACATCAAACAATTGGTGTAATAAATCTTCGTAACTAAATTTTTGGACTCAAATAATGGTTTTCTTATTTGATATTTCATCATTGTTTAAATTTCCCAGAAGCAGGCTCTGAGATGAATATTTGTGTGCAATTTTAAAAACAAGTGCTCCCAGGGGAGACTGACATCGAAGTAGAAGGAGGACAGGAGGTAGAAAAGATAACTGTTCAGTCTTAGGCAGAAGACCCGCAGGGACCGGAACTTAGCATGATTATGTTTGGGGATTCTAAATTATAACTTACACCTCAGAGTTGTCTAAACTTAAGGCAGATTTGCAGTTTTTCACCCAACAGTCATTAGTTAATAGCTTTAGGAGGGTAAATAAGGAGGGGGGAATAAAAATAAACATTTAGGCACTTCTGACTCTGCATTTGTTGACAAAGTGGCTCGATAGTCTGAGGGCAGTGACCTGAAGTTCTACAGGAGCTGGCGCATCCCACCTATACCAACAGAAGTTGCGAATCTCGGGGAACCTGGACAAGGCAGCAGCCATGTCTGCTACCCATGGCAGGTGCCTTCAAGATGCTGAGAAAATACAGCCAACACATATAAAGCAGTTACAGTGCAGTGCAAAAATTAATTAACTAGTTGTCATTGTAAGTTCAACATAAATTGAGACTGTGAAGATTATCCATATGGGCTGAAAGACACTGATCAGACATTGAACTAAACAGGTCTTTAAAAATGTGAAAGATTTAAGTACATGGAGAAGTAAGGGCATTTCAAGTAGATGCAAAAGCAAGATTTTTGAAGATCAAGAAACAAGTGTTGAGGTGGAATTAGGAGTACACAAGGTTTGCTGGGAAAAGGAAGAAGCAAGATTGGGCAGGGGGAGCCATCAGACTTCTGTGCTGACCTGACATTGCCTCTGTGCCAGCCCTGTGGGAGGCCCTTGATCCATGATTGCCCTAAGATTATACTACATTTGGCTCAAATGGCTGGACTCTCAGATCACTGCTTTGTACAGCCAGAGACAGACCATCCTGAGAATATCGTGACCTTGGTTCACACCTGTTTTTGAAGGGGTGAACAGCTGGTGGCGTTCAGCCTACCCTACTCCTCCCAGCTGGTTAACAAGTACTTTTCTGAAGGGAATTCTACACTATATAGCTTTATTTTTGTTCTTATGGCTAAGTGCAAAATGTCAGAAATTATGAATGCTTGTGAGACAATATCAGACTATTTGTAATGGAATAGAAACCACCTTGGTAATCATAAGAAATATTACAGATTGTGAGAAATATTCCTCGGGTCTGTGCTGCTTGTATTTCTCATCGTCTTGCAAACCTGGTGTCAGTCTTGATAGTACTTAATAGATGTACACTGAATTTTTTTTTTGAATAACTGAATGAGTCTAGGCAAGTACTTGTTGCTATGGGAAGGGTATGGGGATGATCCAGTGTTCCAGCTGAATCAAAGAAAACCGAGTTACCTGAGAACATGTGGCAGGGAAGGAGAAAGAAGTAACTAAAGTGGAAAACAGATGGGTGCAGAATAAATTTTACCATCTTTATTCTTTGAACTAAGGCTAATTCTGTTCCAAAAGAAGCAATTGACTGTAAGCACAATGCTTTCTCTATAATCTACTAGCATGATTATCTTGCTTTGTATGCCTGACTTTTGCAAGCATCGTGTTTCCACCTCATGAAGTTGTTGTATGAGTTAAACAAGATAAAATATCACATCTTGTTTATTCCAAGAGGCAATTATTTTGTTCACATTTTTGACAAATTTGAAATTGGATCAATAGCAATGAATGGCATTTTGCGATCTCTATTGGTAAGTCATGATGATGCACAAACATCCAAAGCTCTGACTTTGAAATCTGCAAAACTGGTGTCAGGAACTTGCAAGAAAATTCTGAGATAGTAGCAGAGCAAGTGAGTTGTGTTGAGCACGAGTGGGCCATGGTGACTCAACTGAGTTCAGAAAACTTCTAGAAGTTGGAATAAAAAATTGGGCAGCTATAGAAATATACAAAGAGCTCAGCACCAAAGGGATTTGGCTTCTTTCATAGGTTGTATTAAGTAAAACTGCATCACCTGCACTTAAGGACAATATATAATCAGAGGGTGATATATTGTATGAAAAACACAGTCATATGATTCCAAGTTGAAAAGTGAATAGTTGGACTCTCCAAAGGAGTTTTAGGAATATCTCAATTTATTTCACCTGTGTTTTCTTTTTATTTCTATATAATAATATGCCAATATAATGATGTTTTGGTAAACAAGGAACCACATATATGATAGGGATCCCATTAAGGTTATAAAGCCATATTTTTACTGTTTCTTTTCTATGTTTGCATATGTTTAGATATACAGATACTTACTATTGTGTTACAGTTGTCTCCAGCATTCAGTACAGTAATGTCCCATACAGATTTGTAGCCTGGAGGAAATAGGCTATACCATACAGCCCAGGTGCGTGGTAGGCTATCAGGGTGTGTATGTACACTCTGTGATGCTCACACAGTGATGAAATTGCCTAGTGATGCACTTCTCAGGGAAGACCCTGTTGTTAAGCAATGTAGAACTGTAATAGGGAGATATGACAAAAAATATACTTCTAAATAAGCCTAAAATATCTCTTTCAATAAATATAAAATTAAAATCTAACTGATAAGAGCCTGTGTCATAGTTTAGTTTGCCACATTTTTTTCTTTTACAGTGGTACATAAAATGATGAAAAATCTCTCAATGGATGGTTGTATTTGATAAACTATGGCATGAAAAGTAATTGATACATCATAAGTTCTCAATGAAAGTGAATGGACTGGATTTTTTTTATTAGTTGTTGCTTACCAATCTTAAAGAACTTAGGTAAGCCATTATAAAGAATTCCTTAGAATAACAAACACAATAAAAATAAAAATATAGAAGATAAACCATCCAGTTAATATCTTCTTGTTCCATAGTATAGGTTTCTCATTAACAGAAAGAAGTATATGCTGTTTTTTTCTGCTTTTATATCCAATCAATTATAAATAGACCTAGGAAGACAGTTAATTTAAAACATGACAATTAAAAAACAATGAACTGCATTTTCTTTCCATTGTATTAAATAGTCTTTCAGTACACCAGGACACTTCTAAGAATATTTAGGTTTTCAATAACTATTTAATGTGAAGCTTCATTTGACTCTACAATGCCAAACTGACTGATTTAGGGGCTAAAGTAACTGAAGGAACAAGTTGCTTGACCATTTCAACCAGAGCTTGAAAGGCAAGTGTAATTTATTGTGTTGCCTGGTCAAGAGGAAGGCAGAAGGTGATAGGAGAAGTGGTAATCGACTGGGCTACCCACAGAGGAGGTAACAAGCTGCTGGCTTTATCATTCAATACTTTTCTCACTCAAGCTACTTTTTTTTTTTTTTTTTTTTGGTTACTGGTCTTATTTACCCCTCCTTTATTCCATAAAGAAATTCATATCTTACTGTTAGTAATTGATCTAGATTATTATATCAAATAAAAATTTCTATGACTAAATTTCATTTTCTGTTTATGAAAATGAAAAAGTTTTGTGGACAGTTTTCATCACAATAAGGCAGTGTTTATGGCAATTTGGTCAAAGAAATTACATCAAAATCCATATAATGTCAGTTTTATAAGTTGAATATTATTATGGGAAAATGCTTGGGCTCTCATATTGGCTTTTATACTGTGATTATTATTCCCATAACACGTTTTAGTGTCTTACACAACTCAGGACAGAGTCTCTTGACCCTGGCGCTAGCACACAACCTCATGAGCTTCTCTCTTCACCTATGGAACCTGTATTTAGTTTGTTGCCTGTGGTTCCCGAGTGTAGCTCTAGTGGACCAGGCTGTGTAGTAGGAAAGGTCTTGGCACAGAGTTCAGATCAAAATACACATAAATGAAATATATTTTTAACTTCTGGAAACTTATGCTATATAAAATAGCTCTATATGAATACCTATTAGCAGAAGACTCATACTTGTTTTCATCATTTCCAACTCTGATATGTATGTAAGATATATATATATATTTTATTAATCTATTGTATATAATATATAAATAAAGCATCAATCCTATTGACACTATTCCACAAGATAAGGAAAGAGGGAATCTTCCCTAAATCATTCTATGAAGCCAGTATCACACTAATACCAAAACCAGGAAAGGACATAACAAAAAAAGAAAACTATAGACCAATATCCCTGATGAACATAGACGCAAAAATACTTAACAAAATACTAGCTAACTGAATCCAATAGCATATCAAAAAGATAATCCGCAATGATCAAGTGGGTTTCATACCAGGGATGCAGGGATGATTTAACATACGCAAGTCAATAAATGTGATACATCACATAAACAGAATTATAAACAAATACCACATGATCATCTCAATAGATGCAAAAAAAGCATTTGACAAAATAGAGCATCTTTTTATGATTAAAACTCTTAGAAAAATCGGCATACAAGGGACATACCTTAATGTAATAAAAGCCATCTATGACAAACCCACAGCCAACATAATAATGAGGAAAAGTTGAAAGCATTCCCTCTGAGAACTGGAATAAGACATGGATGCCCACTTTCACCACTTCTCTTCAACAGAGTACTGGAAGTCCTAGCCAGAGCAATCAGCCAAGAGAAAAAAATAAATTGTATCCATATCAGTAAAGAGGAAGTCAAACTGTCACTGTTTGCTGATGATAATATTGTATACCTAGAAAACCATAAAGACTCCTCCAAAAAGCTCCTAGAACTTATAAATGAATTCAGCAAAGTTTCAGGATACAAAATTAATGTAAACAAATCAGTAGCTCTGCTATATACCAACAGCGACCAAGCTGAGAATCAAATCAAGAACTCAACCCCTTTTACAATAGCTGTAAAATAAAAATTAAAAAAATAAAAACCTTAGGAATATACCTAACCAAGAAGGTCAATGACCTCTACAAGGAAAACTACAAAACACTGCTGAAAGAAATCACAGATGACACAAACAAATGGAAACACATCCCATGCTCATGGATGGGTAGAATCAATATTGTGAAATTGATCATACTGCCAAAAGCATCTACAAATTCAATGCAATTCCTATCAAAATGCTACAATCGTTCTTCACAGAACTACAAAAAAAAATCCTAAAATTCATATGGAACTAAGAAAGAGCCCACATAACCAAAGCAAGACCAAGCAAAAAGAACAAATCTAGAGGCATCACATTACCTGATTTCAAACTCTACTATAAGGCCATAGTCACCAAAACAGCATGGTACTGTTATAAAAATAGGCACACAGACCAATGGACCAGAATAGAAATAAACCCAAATACTTACAGCCAACTGATCTTCGACAAAGCAAACAAAAACGTAAAGCAAGAAAGGATACCCTATTCAACAAATGGTGCTGGGATAATTGGCAAGTCACATGGAGGAGAATGAAGCCAGATCCTCATCTCTCACCTTATATAAAAATCAACTCAACATGGATCAAGGACTTAAATTTAAGACCTGAAACTATAAAAGTTCTAGAAGATAACATCAGAAAAACCCTTCTAGACATTGGCTTAGGCAAAGATTTAATGACCAAGAACCCCAAAGCAAATGGAACAAAAACAAAGATAAATAGGTGGGACTTAATTAAACTAAAGAGCTTTTGCATGGTAAAAGAAACAGCAGAGTAAACAGACAACCCACAGAGTGGGAGAAACATCTTCACAATCTATACATCTGACAAAGGACACATATTCAGAATCTACAAGGCTCTCAAACAAATCAGCAAGAAAAAAACAAACAATCCCATCAAAACTGGGTTAAGGATGTAAACAGACAATTCTCAAAAGAAGATATGCAAATGGCCAACCAATATATGAAAAAATGCTCAACATCACTAATGATCACGAAAATGCAAATCAAAACCACAATGCAATACCACCTTACTTTCACAAGAATGACCACAATCAAAAAATCATAGATGTTGGCATGGATGCAGTGAACAAGGAACACTTTTACACTGCTGGTGGGAATGTAAACTAGTACAACCAATATGGAAAACAGTGTGGAGATTCCTTAAAGAACTAAAAGTAGAACTATCATTTGATCCACCAGTCACACTACTGGGTATCTACCCTGAGGAAAAGAAGTCATTATAAGAAAAAGATACTTGTACATACATGCTTATAGCAGCACAATTCGCAATTGCAAAAATATGGAACCAGCCCAAATGCCCATCAATCAATGAGTGGATAAAGAAACTATTATATATATATATATATATATACACTTAGCCATAAAAAGGAATACTACTTAGCCACAAAAAGGAATGAATTAATGGCACTTGCAGCAACCTGGATGGGAGAGCATTATTCTAAGTGAAGTAACCCAGGAAGGAAAAACCAAATGTCGTATGTTCTCACTCATGAGTTGGGGGCTAAGATATGAGGATGCAAAGGCATAAGAATGATACAATAAACTTTGGGAACTTGGGGGAAAAGAGTAGGAATGGGGTGAGGGATAAAAGGCTACAAATGGGGTTCTGTGGATACTGCTTGGGTGATGGGTGCACCAAAATCTCACAAATCACCACTAAAGAACTTACTCATATAACCAAACACCATCTGTTTCCCAAAAACCTATTAAAATAAAAAATTTTAAATATACATAATATATATTTTATATAATGTATATTATAAATTATGTAATATATTTTAATAGTACATAAAATATTTTGTATGTTAAAATATATAATATTTTATATTATATTAAATATATAATATAAAACATACATATAAAACTTACATATTAGAGTTGGAAATGAAATATTTATATACATTTATATATAAATTATATGAATATATAAAACACATATGTATATATGTTTATGTGTGTATAATATACGTGTGTGTCTGTATACACACGTGTACATATGTGTGTGTATGTGTATCTGTTCTTCATCTATTACTAGAAGACACTGTGGACAAATACATAATATAATCATAGAAGTTCAGCATTAGAGAAAACTGATATTCCCTTCAAGCATGCCCTTGTGGAAACAGAATTTAGGAGGTTAAGAAACCTGGCCAAGGTCTTCAGCTATTGGATTACAAAGGCAGCAGCACAATTCATCTCTGAACGGTTAAGTCTCCATGCCACTTGTGTGCCTAGTTACGTGTGTGCCTAGTTACATCCTCCTGCTTATTAACAGCTAAATACCACTTTAAGAATTAAAAATCTATTCATTGGCATAAGAATAATATTTATGTGATAAGTTTCTTTTCCCCTAAAGTCAATGAAAATGACTCCTAGAATTTTTTCCTAAAATTTCCTTCTAGCATCAACTAGAACGGCCGAAATATTCAGAAGAGTGAAAGAATATTTCTCATCCCAGAGACTCCTAATATTTCCAGGTGTTTTTGCTATGTGGGAGGGAAAAAAAGCCCTCTGGTTCTGTGCTAACATCTGGAAAAGATGTTAACTATACACCTTTTTTTTTTTTCTAATTCCACAGATCTGGCTCAGCTGAGAAGCTCTTTTTCTTGGAAATGCAAACTTATTTTTATTGCTGCCTGGGAATATTTAGCCTTCCTGAAAACTTTGGTGTGCCTTTTACTATTTGAAAACCTGGAAGGTGCCTTTGAGTGAAAATATCATTCAAGTAGGTTTTGAGTGAAATTGAGATTTTTTTTAAACTTCAAACTTGACTGTAAGTGATTGTAACAATTAGTGCCACACATATATGGAGAGTTCAGTAGGTGCTGTTTATTATCTAACTGTAGATTGGCTTTCTTGATGTTTTTTCATAATAGATAGAATTTTCTTTGTTTTTATATTTTAGTTGCCTAAATTCATCTCATTACCGCACGTTGATTTTTGCCTTCCATTAAGCTTGAAATACTCTCATTTAGTTCAAAAGGTTGAGTTTAATCAACATGTTATTAAAAATTTTAAACCATTTATTATTCATTTATTTTATAATTCATTCTGTCAGCAAATACTTGTTGAGGCTTTTCTCTGTGCAAGATACTGGGGTTACAGCAAAGAACAAGAGAGAAATGGTCCCTGCTCTCACAGAACTTGCATTGAAATGGGGGAGTAGTAGATTATTCACAAGTAGATAAAGATATGGAAACAATAATATTAGATACTCGTAAGTACTATCAATCAAATGGGATAAAGCGTGCTTGGACAGGGGAGTGGCTTTAGACAGCACAATCAGGGATCAGCCTCCTCTTTCAGAAGGTGGCATTCGAAGAGAAGCCACTCAGCATGTAACCTGGGGGAGAGGGATCCTTGCAAAGGGGGCACTGAGGCAAAGAACAAGCTTAGGATGTTCTAGAAACATGAGAAACAGAAAGCCTCTGAATGGTTGGAGAGTAGTGAGTAAGGGGAACAGTAATGAGAGACGAGGTTAGACAGGCTGACAGAGCCACATCACACAAGGCTTTGTAGGATTTGGGAAGTAAGTAATCAACAGAAATTTATGGAGCAATGTAATAATGGGAGGAAGAATCAGTGAAAGAGTGAGTGGAGATGGAAGGAAGGAATGAAGGAAGGGAGATATTGTGTAAAGATACAAACGCTGATTTTGCAGAGAAATTAAAAGTACCTAGAACTGAATTGGACAAGAATATTCTGCCTTTTCCAAGGATAGTGATGGTCAGAGCACGGCATACCTTGGTCTGAGTTAATATAGGTAATACGATAGGGGAGCGGGCAGCTGGAAAACGGAAACAAGTTAACAAAAAGAGATACACACATTTGAAACTGCTTTAACCAGTACTATCTGTATTCGTGGTTATTCGAATTGCTTCAACATGTGTATAATGTGTAGTGTGGTATGTGTACGCATACATTGATCCTTATTTGTATCATACTTTAGATGTGCTTTATCAGTATAATGAATATTAGAATCAGTTTTTAATTGGTGGGATATATGTTGTTTAAGTTAAGGGGTTGGCTTGGAGTGATGCTCTTGCATAAATAAAGTGTTAAAACCAGCCAGCCCATCAGTTACACCAGCTTTGAGGTACATGAGGTCTGGAGGCCATGGGTTCTGGTTCTATTCACTAAAGACCTTGACCACAAGAGATTTGCCAATCCTGTGGGTGGTAAAAATGCCACTGAATATGCTTCAGAAGATTCAGAGGGAAGCTTCTATACAAAGCTTAGGTTGGTATATCAGAAGACAGAGGGGTAGGGATATTACTTTTCCAGATAGGCTGTGTGACCACTCTTGCGTGTTTGCTGATAAATGCCTACGTGTTTGGCTATTTCAGGTCTGAGGCTCACTTTCCTTGTGACAAATGCCTGATAGTTTGTGGGGCAGAAACTTACAGCTCTCCTTTCTCCCTCTGTTGGGAACCACCTGATACTGCTGATGTTGCCAAAAATCCATCTGAATGACCAAACCAGTTTGTGTTGGTCAACTAAGTCAGTGTCCAAAAAAAAGCAAACAAGTGAACAACAGGGCTTGGTATGATTATTTAAGATCTTCTAGCCCTGGGGATATCTTTATCCACACCCACATTTTGATGGACAATAAGAACTGCTGTCATGTTTGTTCACATTTACATTTCTGCAGTCTCAGACCAGTCCTTGGAGAAGCTTGAAGGGTCAAACTGTCATATTCTCCCAAAGAATCTACTGGAGAAGTTATAATAATAATGCTTAATATCTCACAATTCAACTTGCCTTTAAAGCCCGGCATCACTTTAAAGTAAAAGAAAAGAGAGATTGTATCCAGACAAGCCATAATTAAAGAAAGGGTTTAGCCTAGAAAGAGCTTTGATTTCTGATGATGAATAGAAGTGTATGACTAGAAATAAAGCAACAAAGACTGGATTTACCAAGATTTCCAGTCATTTCCTACTAAAATCTTGAGGAAATTTACCATCTTATGCTTGCATTTCAGCCCCTGAAATGGAAGCGTCATGGGAATGCTTTCTGCAGTGGGGATGTTTGAACAATGAGTTTATTAATTGATGCATGTAGACAAGAGACTGTTGGGTGGTGCTAGGAAGAAGAAACCAGCACCCTCAGAGAAGAGATAGGGGTAGTGCCCTGCCCCGTGCAGAGTGGACTTTACTGAATAGAACTTCATACCCTAAGAACTGGATTGCCCCTCATCACTCTGTGGCCTTGGTATACATATGAATTGCATTATTTTTAAAGGAATATGATCCTTGAAAACAGTTTTAAAAGACAAATGATGCACTACTAATAGACTTATGTAGGAATCCCCTGTCCCATCCTCCTATCTCCAGTGTGGCTACCCTGAAGCAAGAACCTTCAACTTCTCTACCCTGAATCAACTGCAGTGCCATTCTCCCCAATGGCATTTACCTCCATGTTTCTAAGTATGTGTTTGTGCTGCTTGTAGTTGATTTATGGTAGAGAAGACTTTAGCTCTCTCATATTACCATTCCATTTCCTCTATACCCCTGCTTCCTAATTTGGTGATATTACCAGTTTTCTATTTGCTTGGTTGTCTATGTACATATGGTTTGTTTTCCCCTTAATCCAGTGCTTCTACTTGTCAAATTTATCATGTCAGATCTGGTAGGTCCATTTTCTGTTCTCTTGAAGATCTGCCTTCTAAAGCCTCACATTGTTATATAGCAGTCGAGAGTAGTTGTTCTGCAACATAGAACTTGCCTTTGAAATTCCCCTTAACTTCATTATTTGTTCTTATTTTCATTTTTCTTCTGAGATTTATCTGAATTCCTGGATCCCATGTCTTCCCTGTCTTGATTTTTTGACCTGAGAGTAGTGAATCAGATCTTCTATCAGCTTCCCAGGAAGGGGGCCAGGATGAAACATTTTTAAAAACCAATATATCTGAAAGTATTTTAATTAGCATGTATGTTGGATATAGAATTATGGGCTGAAAATCACCATCATTCTGAATTCCAAAAAAATTGCTTCCAATGTTACTATTAAAGCATCCAATACCACTCTAGTTCCTGGTTCTCTGTATGTGACCATTTATTCTCTTTTGGAAAGTTTTTTAAAAATATTACTTTCCTATTATTCTGAAATTTCCCCAAGATGTTCCTTGGTTTCCATCATTTTCATTCATCTTTTTACCTGTTAAGTGAGACTATCCAATATGGAAACTCATGGTCTTCAGTTTGGGGAAATTTTCTTGAACTTTTCTTCAATAATTTTATCCCCTTTATTATTTTTCCTATTCCCTTTCCAGAACTCCTATCAGTTAGACGTCAAATCTCATAGATCAGTCATTTAATTTTTTAGTCTTTATTTGTATCAGTGTTTTGGCTTTCATTTTTAGGAAACTTCTCCTCATTTATTTTTCAACCCTTTTAGTGACTTCTTTCCAGCTAATTTATAATTCACTTTTTTGGCACTGCATTCATTTTTGATTGTCCTATTTTTATGGCTGCACATTTTTGCAAGCCCGGATCTGCTTAGCTCTCTGAGGAGAGGGATTATACTTTCTTACTTAAGTTGCTTCCTGTTGCCTTCATCATCTTTGTCATCTGAGTTTCTTTCATTTGTGCTTTGTTTTTTTAGTTGTTTGTTTTGACTTGGGTCTTTTATTTTGGAGGGGCTCCTTCAAGTTCTGGTGCCTAGTAATCCTTAGCAATCTTTTTATTAAAAGTGTGGTTTTGAAAGTCAGAGTGTAAATTCACAGTATCTTAGTAGGACCTATTGAGGGTGAGCTCCACCACAGATAATTTTTTTATGAAAGCCTCAAATATTCACATTCATATCCATTGTGTGTGTGTGTGTGTGTGTGTGTGTATATATACATATATATATGTATATATATGTTGAGTTTTCTAAAAACTAACAATTTAATCGATAGCCCCTGAGGGAAATAAGACTCGTATAGGCCAAGTAAGGAAACAGGGTGGATTATCGCTGTTCAGTTGGCTCAGTTTCACTTAATTCCTCTTTTCTTTCATACTGCCTTCTGCTGTGTCCAGTATTCCTGAGTCTAAAGCCTGGGGTCTCAATTGGGAAAGAGGTAACTTCCTATCTGAAAGATCACAGGTGAAAATCTGAGGTCAAATTTCTCCTGTAAGAGTATTTATACAAATCTTCTTGTTAACCTCACACCTCACACATCTTGTCGCTTTCAGTTTTTGAATCTTTGAGTCTTTTCTGCATTGTTGACAGAAGCACAATGATGGAGCTGTCCAGCTCTACAGTTTCCATATGTGAGAGGCTTAATGATGTCAATACTGTTGGAGGTAGAGATTAGGGAACTGTCTTGAATCTGAGTGATCAGCCTCTGGGAAGCCTGTCCTCTTATGCACAGGGCAAGTCTCGGTGAGAGGGGCAGCTGTGACTCATCAGCAGTTATTACTGTCATCAGCGAGATGGGTGGATACATGGGCCCCGGAGAGGGGATCTGGGAGGCACCACAACATCCACTAGGGAGACAGTCAGAGTCCAGATACAAAGTAACTTATGAACTCAGAGAGTATTTGGGCTTTATACTATAAACAATGGAGAGCTACTACAATATTTTCAATAGGGAATGGACGTGATGAAATTTGCATGCTAGAAAGATGTCTTAGGGAGCAGGATAAATGTAGACACAAAAAGATAAGAATAAATGCAGAGAGACCAGTTGGGAGGCTATGGCAATAGTGTACGAGGTATAAGATGAAGATCTGAAATACATACATTGAAGTGGAAGGCTAGATTACTAAGAGGTGGGCTCAATGTGATTCAGGGATTTACCAGAAAATCCAGATGAATTGTAGACAGGAACCAAAGGTAACTCTCACAATTATGTCTACAGGGAATAAGTTAAAATGATATGATTAACAAAAATTGGGAATATAGGAAAAGGATCTGGTGTTATATAGATTCAAGCTGAATCCACAGTCATCTCAGGGGGATACCTAAGGCCAAAATGTCATCTGACAACTGATCCAGAATCCACTATATCACCTGCATCCTTTGTTGACTCATAAATTTATTATTTATGTTGTACATTATTTTTAGTTATTTTTGCCATAAATATATATCGAGTATGTAATATGTATTGGGCACTATTTTAGATGATGGCAGAAAAAAGTGGTAGCCTATGTAATGGTAAACTAAGAAAAGTAAAGCAACCGATGGGATCTTTCATAATATTTTTCTGGGCAAAATGAAGAAATAGGTTCATATCAGACAACTCAGTACACTTGTAAGTGGTTGGATGGCCTCTTCAATATGTGCTAAGAGGCTAATATTGTCTTAAGAAAGATTGTATCTAAACTTGGTCCTCAGCCTAATTTTTTTTCAAATATCTTCTTAATTATTTGAATAAAGGTACAGAATGTGTGCTCATCATATTACTTTTGAGAGGGTGAAATAAATATAAAACAAGTAACCATAGTTATTTTTACCGACTGGATAAAAGAACAAAGCTTAGATGAAAAATAATAAAGATAAATATCAATTTGTGTTTGGGGAAAAATACACTTTTAAAAGCACACAACTGGGACAACGTGGCATTCAAAAAAGTGAATATGACCTTCAGTTTTATTGGGAGAAATATAGCATATGAAACAAGAATACTCAAAGTACTGATCTATTCCACATCCATTAGGCCACAGCTTCTTGAATGGTTTCAGTTGTATATATCATACTTTCCAAAAGGCATCCATCCCAGAAAAAGCAAAAATGCTCAGAAAATCAGGGTTTTGAAAGCTTGAAGTTATAATACGTAAGAAAGAGGTGAAGGCAATGAAAATATTTATCTTTAAGAAGTGTAGAATTGTTTGGGGGTTATATAGACTGGGGAATATACTATTACATCATTGAATATTTGATTCAAGGCTAGTGGCTAGAATATTATTTTAAATGTCTTCTTAGAGTAGACCTGGAACCAAGGGGTGAAACCTTCAAAGCAATTCTCAGAAAAGGATGTGGTCCTCTTAATTTTTGTTTTTTTACCAAGGCCACCTAATTACTTGGCAAATATACGGTATGTTATCAACAAATTTAGTTTTGAACTAGACAACCTTTAAAAAATACCTTGAAGGCTGAAATTCTCTGATTGTGTAACCTGAGGACTGAAGGACTCCATTCAAGGACTAGGGTGTTTTCAATCTTTTTGAATTCAGTTCCAGATGCACCCGGTCCTTTCAGGCACCCTTCATTATGCATCCAACCTACTGCTGTGTCCCCAGCCAGCAGAAGTGAGAAACTCAGGACCTTTCTTGGCACATGTGCGTCCTTGAGGTTCTGAAAACTGGGAAAATGGAAGGAGTAGGTGTTTCCAAGGCATTCAATACTTTGGTTAAAAAAAAAAAAAAAGAATGCTAAAAGGCATAAATTTAAAGTTACCCTTTGATTTTGACAGAGTTTCTGTGGATCCAAGACTTTCGACTGAGTCACCAAGTCAGCCACAATATAACTATTTCAACTGACTGGGAATATTATTTCTGAGTCATAGTAATGTAATGATCTGAACATTTATATTCTCTCAGTTACCTAGTACATACTAACTTCATTTCAAAGGTGAATAATATATTAAAGAGAATATTGCTTATTGAATACTACACTGTATGAAAATACTACAGGTTAAAAAATCACTTAAATCCATTAAAAATGTTCAAATATCAAGTCCCTATTTCATAATAAATTTTCCCTCAGAAAATATGCAAGGAGTAAACAATACATGACTCATTTATTAAAGCTTCCATGTTTTTATTGCAAATTCCTAGTTGGGCTTTGGAATAGATACTTCCCTTCTATCATTACCACATTCTCTGAGTCACTAGGTTTCTAGATGTTGACAGGAAAGCCTGTTCCTATGTCCTTGTACTATCACACGTGGGCAGGATAAAATGTAACTCTAGAATTTGTACTAAAGGTGGGTGGAAATTCCACTCTTAGATCCAGGCACCCTCAGGCGTCAGCCCTGAGCCCTGTGCTTTGCAAACTTCTCAAGCTATTATTATGTAAAAATAGATATCTTGGGATATTATTCAAATGCACTCTGTGATTCCTTAGAGCTGGGGTTGGGGCCTGAGAAGTTGCATTTCCATAAGTTCCCAAATGATGCTGATGTTGCTGCAGGTCCATGGACCACGCTTTAAGAACAACTGACTTAGTAATTCCCATTCTGTCTCTTTTAGACAGGCCCTTCCCCCACAGGCTGCAGTTCATGTGACTTAGGGAACCTGCCAACTCAGAACCTGTGTCCTTTTTTCCTAAGCCGCACTTTGGTTATCCAAGACCCCAGAATTACCTGTCCAGACAGCCTCCCAAAACTGTGCATACCTGTCCCCAGTCTGTCCTTGCAATAGAAGACTCCACCAGTGTGTACACACCTGTATCTAAGTGTGGCCAGAAAATCAGCTATTTGAAAAAGGTTAAATTGTGTGGGTAGGGGTTGGGGGGTGGGGGGACACACAGATGGGCCTCATGCAAAACCTCCCCTATTACAGGGTGGAGATTGGGGTAGAAACAGAAATGTACTATGATTAGAGGACCTTCATCGTCTTCTTGCTCCAGCAGGCTAGTGTTGTGGTGGTCTTACCCTTATACCTACTTATATATAAAGGACAGGGAGAAATCCCATCCTATTATGGCTCATCCCTGATTTTAAGGATCTGGGACCACAGATGATTCTTGGATGGTTCTATTTCATGAGGAAGGATTGCATGTACAGTGCTCTTCTTAGGGTGAATGAAAAATGTTTTCCCCCTTCCATATAACCCTCTACACATTTTCCCAGATGACCATAAATGTAGGGGATAGTGTATGCACTTTGGATTTCAGCTGAAATACGACTAACTTCCTCTGTGAATTTGAGCAAGTCAGTTGACCTCTTTGCCCTCAGTTTCTTTATCTTTAAAATGGGAGTAAGAATGTCTCCCTGTTCTCTTCCATCTCCTTCTTATTTCTACCCAATTTAATTCAATACTTTTTTCAGTTTTTTGTTCAGATGCTACCATCTTTGATTAGATCAAGTGCCTGTATCTCATCTGGAAGTAACTTCTCACTGCACTTGCAACCCTTTGTTCTTTTTTTTTGTGGTTTTGTGTTGATTAATGTCTTTCTAGCTCATTGGACTCTGAGAGAGCAGGGATCATGTCTCCTTAGTTCTCTGTTATATTCATTCTGTCTTGCACAAAACCTGGCACCTGATAGATGCTAAATCCCCATTTGCTAATGCATAAATAAATGTGTGATTATTGTCATAATTAGAGAAAACATACTAAATGACTGGCACATAGTAGGTGCTTAGTAAATGACACCAATTGTTTTTCAGTGCAATTTGTGCTATAAATAAACATTTAATTTTCTTTTCTCACATTTGATATATGGGGAGAATGGGGTGAATTTGAGACAACTACAATTTAAACTGTCCAAGTCACCAACAAATTGTGGTGTGATAAGCTACTGGCCTAAACAGCTGGAAGCATGACACGCTTTTTAAAGACTAAAGAAATGAAATATCCAGTTTAAATCAAAGGATAATAAATGCAAGAAAAAGTTGTGTTTGTCAGATTTCCTTGCCCCGGCCCCAACCCAAACTCCAAAGAGTGCATCTACTTTAAAAGCGTGTGGTGAAAGTAATTCCCTACCCAAGTGTTCCCACTACTGTCACTGGCCTCACCCTTCTCCACAACTCAGGGATTATTTTAAAGGTTTCTTTAATATCGGCCAGTCCAAATATTCTCTTGTCAAATATTTCTGTGGCCCGTACTTGAAATCTGTGAACAGGACACTTTTTTTTTTTTTAATGTCAAAATAAACCATCTGCTTGTACAACTGTTTCTAATTACTTCCCTGCCTAGACTCTCCACTGAGGGGTTTGGCACCAGCACCCCGCCCAGAGCAGTGCCGCTGCCCAAATCCTCGCAGGCAGCTCATCAACGCAATTGCAACTCCGGCTGGAGCCCCGGACCTGCAAGCCTGGGTGTCCGTGGGTCCGTCTGCCCAGCCATCTGCTGGTGGCACCTCTCCCTCCTGCCGCCTCCCTCGGTGAACCCCACCTTGCAGAAGTGCAGCTCGCCCGGAGCAGCCCAGGAGCTCAGCATGCGTCCCCCAGGCTTCAGGAACTTCTTGCTGCTGGCGTCCTCCCTTCTCTTTGCTGGGTTGTCAGCTGTTCCTCAAAGCTTCTCGCCATCTCTGAGGTAAGTTTGGTTTGTTATTCTTCAGTACAGACCTGCCCTGCTTATGTGGCAGGGCTCAAGCTTGCAGGATGGCTGCCCTAAGCCAAGAGCTGTTATTAAATTGGACAAGGGATAAACTGTTTTCAACCTGTTCCTTTTCCTCTCCTTATATCTACAGCGTGTATTGCCTCATGTCTGTCCTTTTGCTTTTCCTTTGGAAAAATGCAATCATTGAATAAAAATATAATTTTCTTTTCTGCAAATACATATCAGGAGGAATTCCTGCTGTGAGTTAAAATGCTATGTGTACCAGTATCTTCTCACAACATGTAAAGCAGAATGATCTGTTTCCCAAGGGCAGCAACAGGAGGTCTGTGTTACATTTTGTATCATCCTGAAAGAGACTGAGTGAGGCACACTGCAATAGTGAAACTAAACTTTTTAAAAGTAGAGTTCCTAAAGACTGCTTAATGCAAATTATGCCCGATGCTATCATAGCATGTCTAACTCTTTCTATAGATTCACGTTTTCTCTTCTGTAATATAAGTGCCCATTGGCCATCAGATAGCAGTGGGACGTTTTTTAAAGGAGAACTGAAAAGTCAGCTGAGTGCCGTACCTTGGATTACTTTGTATTTAATCTAAATGTGCATATAAGATTTAGTGATAAACTACCAAAGAGCAGGGCAGTTCACCTCTGTCCACCTGGAGGAAGGACCTGTGTCCGGGGGCAGGTCACCCATTACACATTTTGGGCCCTGGTCATTTCTCTGGTGGGTGATACCTGTTTGCTTGGGAAAATACAGCCCTTCCAGGCAGCGCTTGGACCCCAGAGAGATGTGGGCCTCAGGCGTCCTGTTCTTGGGGTTGTACGTCTGCACCTGGAGGGGACACTGGGGAGGAAACGTGGGTTCGGAGCAGGGGGCGGCGTCCGCGTCTGACCCGGCCTGCCGGTTGCTTGTCGCCCGCGCAGGAGCTGGCCGGGCGCCGCCTGCAGGCTGTCCCGGGCCGAGTCGGAGCGACGCTGCCGCGCACCTGGGCAGCCCCCGGGGGCCGCGCTGTGCCACGGCCGGGGCCGCTGCGACTGCGGCGTCTGCATCTGCCACGTGACTGAGCCGGGCATGTTCTTCGGGCCCCTGTGTGAGTGCCATGAGTGGGTGTGCGAGACCTACGACGGGAGCACCTGTGCAGGTAAGAGGGCGGCGCTGTCTCCTCCCTCGGGAGGTCGAAACTCCTCTTCTGGGATTTCTGCCACTCCCTAGAAGAGTGAAGGGTGGGGACACGCCTCCCTTCACATAAGCACCAATTAAGTTACTGCGATTGTCACACTTTGGCTAGTTAATTCTGGCATCATTTATCACAACACTTTTATCCCCCAGGCTCTGAACTTGAATGGAAGTAAAGTTTTAAAAATTCATTCACTTAATTATATATTTTATTGTAATTATGATTTTTTAAAGTTGGGATCTTGCTATGTTGCCCTGGCTGGTCCCCCCCCCCCCCCCCAACTCCTGGAATCAAGCTATCCTCCCTCCTGAGCTTCCCAAAGTGTTGGGATTACAGGCGTGAGCCACTGCACCTGGCCGTCATTTGCTTAATTCTAAAATCTCACTTGCCTCTAAAGTTCCTCATTATAGACTAAATTCCCCAATGTCCTCACAAATGGAGTTATTTTACTGGGTTCTCCTATCCCTATCAAGAATGTTAATGATAATATTTGTAGATCTTAGGCCTGTATTTTATTTTACATAGGAAACAGTGGGAGGGGGAATGTATTATTTTCCTCCATTCTAGGGAGGCAGGTTTTGTCTTTGAAGCCTGATTTGCCCTCTCATTATTAGAATATAGTTCACAGGCAGGAGTGCATATCAGAAAACTGTAACAAGGAAAAAAGTAAACGGGCACATATTTACTTAGAATGACTGTTCTTGCATTGTTCTAGCTGCTTGAATTTTTGAGTTGCAATGAAACTTGGTATTTTCTGAGGGTGGAGTGAAAATACATTCATTTCCCTTGCACATTTTTAAGGAGTGATTCAGGTTCTGATATTGGAAAGGGTCAAAAAATTCCTTCCCAGAGAACACCCTTAACCTCTTTACCTGTGTCGTTTTACTTAAGGCCAAGAGCCTCAATTAGTGCCTTGTGAGTGACACAGAACTCCATTAGTGAAAGCACAACACAATGCATTCCAGCCAGGGTTTGGCAAATTTGTAGGAAAAACCAGCCACTTATTTTACCCTCAATGTAGCTAAGAATAATAAGACAGCCAACACTAACATAGAAAGATCAAGAATGAGTTTATAGCAAAATATTTTTTTCTCGGAACCTGGGCCCAGTAGTGTATAAGTTACTTAATATGCAGGCTGCTTGGCAATGCAAAAAATAGTCATAGAAGAAATTTGGAGGGGCGCAGGTGCATCTACTTGATTTGTTTTCCCTGTGAAGGCTGTGGATCAACTCTTTAAAAATACTGAATGCTGGGTGGGGTGGCTCACACCTGTAATCCCAGCACTTTGGGAGGCCGAGGCAGGTGAATCACTTGAGGTCAGGAGTTCAAGACCAGCCTCGCCAACTTGCTGAAACCCAGTCTCTACTAAAAATACAAAAATTAGCTGGGCGTCGTGGCATGTGCCTGTAATCCCAGCTACTTGGGAGGCCGAGGCAGAATTGCTTGAACCTGGGAGGCAGAGGTTGCAGAGAGCCAAGATCATGCCACTGCACTCCAGCCTGGGCAACAGAGCGAGACTTCATCTCAATAAATAAATTAATAAATAAAATTAAAATATTGGATGCCACAACTTGTTATTTAACTTCGCAGTCCTACAAACCGCAGTATAATTAAGGGTAGCCCTTTGGAATGAAAGCTAAGTTACCGCCTAATATTTCATTCCAAATTTGACTGTTACTTGGCTTCTCTGACCTATGGCCTCTGGCAAGCCCTCTTCAATATCATGAATTTTGAACAAATTTTCCAGGGCTTTTTCTCTTGTTTTATTAGAGAAGTAAGAGGTAAGATGCAGCCTTTAACTGGTGAAAGTTGTGAGTGTCGTCAGATTCACTTTCCCTGTTGAAGAACCTAGGCTGGTGCTTTTCTCCGAGAAACTATGCAGAAGGAATGCTGTGGTAGACAGCATTCCTTTTTCCCTCCCATAGAAAATGATATGTTGTTTACTCATAGCATCTTAGTCACTGCATTCCTTCCTTCTTGATACGAAATGCAGGACTGAGTCAAGCATGGTTTTGTTTGGTTATGCATGCATTTCTGTAGAAGATGAAATGCTTCTCTTTATTTTAATACTGAATGGAATAATGAAGTTCATTTTTTATTCTCATCTTGCTGACTGATGCCCATCAAAACTTACTCTACAGGGCCTTGAGCAGAATCTGTCCCCGCAAATGCCCTGACCACGTTTGTGGGGCCCATGCGGAGATCCCTACAAGTAGCACCTAGGGCTGCCTTGCGAGCCCGTCGATGTATTCCATGCTTCAAATTTAGCTTCTCAGTTTTATTTTTAAGAGATAGTTCCAGTTGTATCACTGGAATATGGAAATATAGCAGGTTTCCTATGTTTATGTGCCCCTGTGCTTTCACCTCCATGAAAGTTCCTGTAGGTCCTTTCCAGAAATAGAGTAACTTTCGGAGACCTCTCCAACTTCTAAGAAGAAAACAAAATCCTTCTCTTATAGTACTATATCATGGAGTGATTAAAAGTGTGGGCTCTGGGCTGGGTGTGGTGGTTCATGCCTATAATCCTAGCACTTTGGAAGCCTGAAGCAGGTGGATTACCTGAGGTCAGGATTCAAGACTAGCCTGGAGAACATGGTGAAACACCATCCCTACTAAAAAACACAAAAATTAGCTGGGCTTGGTGGCATGTGCCTGTAATCCCAGCTACTTGGAAGGCTGAGGCAGGAGAATCGCTTGAACCCGGCAGGCAGAGGTTGCAGTGAGCTGAGATGATGCCGTTGCACTCTAGCCTAGGAAACAAGAATGAGACGCTGTCTCAAAAAAAAAGTGTGGACTCTGGGAGACAATTTCCAGGATTCAAATCCTAGTCCTATTACTTAATAGCTGTATGAACTTGGGCAGTTACTTAAACATTCTGAGCCTTGATTTCTTCATCTGTAAAATGGGAATAACAGTACCTAACTTATAGAGCTGTTGTAAGGTTTAACATATGTAAAATACTTAGACTAGTGTCTGACATGAAGTAAGTGCTCAGTACATATTAAAATGTATATATACATAATATTATTACAATGATGCATAACAAGTGGGCTAGTATGGATGGAAGGATGGGTGGATGGAGATGACAGATGGGTAGATAGATAGCTGGCCCAGTGTTTGTTGGGCATTTAATGCAGTGAGAGCAATTTACTTCTCTTCATGTAGTCTGGGTCTGTTACTGATTCAAGGCCCAAAAAGTCAAGTAGGGATAACTATTTTGGCCCAGCCTCAGGGCAGCTGTATTAGATACACTATGCCCTTTTAAAGTTAAGTCCATTGGGATTATTATACTGTGAATCATAAGAACCATACTTATTATAGTTTGCGCTGGTTGAAAGTGATTAGGTTCCCTCCATTAGAAGTCTGTTTCTTCCAGTGTCCACTTGTTCGTGGCACATGCATCTTCCACAGACTTTTATAGCATAAAGATCCAGCCAAGTGAGTGTTCCTATGGATGTGATGGTCTATTAAGGGGTAAAATAATTTTGGTAGAATGGTGAAACCCTGTCTCTACTAAATATACAAAAATTAGCTGGGTGTGATGGTGTGCGCCTTGTAGTCCCAGCTACTCGGGAGGCTGAGGCAGGAGAATTGCTTGAACCCAGGAGGCAGAGGTTGCAGTGAGCCAAGATTGCGCCATTGCACTCCAGCCTGAGTGACAGAACGACACTCCATCACAAAAAAGGAAAGAAAAAAAGAAAGAATGGCAAAATGTTTGATTGCATGGAAAGAAACTTTCAGTTGATATTTCTAAAGCATTCCTGGTTGACCCCATGACCAGCTACAATGACACTTAAATAATGTATTGTTTTCTTAGAAATCTTTTGAAATTGCTGTTGAAATATGTCACTTAAAGAGTTTCAGTTTTAGTAATTTAGGAAGAGCTAATTGAATTCAATTTAGCAACACTTATGAAGCACTGCATATTTTCTAGGCTCTGTCCTGTTGAAGGGAGTGTAAAGATGAGGGATAGAAGGCAGCTTACCATTGAGTAGGGAGACACAGAGAAATACCAGATATCTATAATGTAATGCAAAATATCATCTGTACAAATTTTTATGAGGGCTCCATTGAGCCAGGGGTTATATATTATGGCTAAAAGTTCTTGAGAAAGAGGTAGCATTTGACATAAGCACTTGAGTACTGGGAGATTTTTTAATCCAAAAAGTGGACTGTTGGAATTCTGAGTAAGGAAAATCTTAAGCAAAAGTGTAGAAGCAGAAAAACATGTGGATGTTTGGGAAATAGGGCTACAAGGGTTGGCTTGGCTGGATCTTAGAGCTGTAAGGAAAGTAATAAAAGATATGTTGAGAATTACAGTTGATCATATTGTAGAGAGTTTGTTCTTGATTAAACAGCATATAAGAGCTATTAAGAGTCCAAATATAGGAGTGATCATTAGTGCTCTGATTTATGGAAAGAAATACAGTCATTCCTTGATATCTGCTGGGAATTAGTTCTAGGGAGCCTCCCCCACCAGTGGATACCAAGGATGTTCCAGTCTCTCATATAAAATGGTGTAGTATTTGCATGTAACCTATACACATCCTCTAGTAAACTTTAAATCATCTCTTGATTACATATAATACCTCATGCAATGTAAATGCTATGTAAATAGTTGTTATACTGTATGTTAGTTGTATTATTTTGTACTACACTTTTTTATTTTCTGAATAGTTTTAATCTGCCAATGAGGAGCCCACAGATATGGAGGCCCGACCGTATGGTGCCCAAAAGCATGGCAAGTTAAAGTAGAGAACCAATGGGGAGGAACTCCACGGGAGAGGCAATAAGAACAGAATTATTATTTTTTTAAAGGCCATTTAAAAGTAAAATCAATATGAATTAGTGTCCAAGGATGAGTAAGATGAATTAAAACTCATGCTGGGTTTTTAAGTCTGCGAGATCAGAAGTGTGATGGAACTGATGGAGTCAAGAAATCACAGGAAAGAACCAGATAACCAAATCCATGACTTAAAGTTCTTTTAAAAGAACTCTCATTTTTAAGTGGAATTGATATAAAATGAAAAATTAATGCTAGCAGAAAGAGATTCTGATTTCATTGGCCACCACGTTTGGGGCAGGATGGGAATCTTGTCTGAATTGTTAACGTGGGTTAACTTGTTTATGTTGTTAACCTTGAGCCAGGTTTTTAATTTACCTGATATTTAGTGCCTTTTTCTGTAACAGTATCCTTATGGATATGAAGAACCTTCTATTCTGTGTGACATTGAGCATGATTTTATGTATGTATGTATAAATTTATTTAATATTCATATCCTTTATATACTTCTACATTTATTCAGACTATACGCCATCCTTAGCTGGGTGTGGTGGCTCACACCTGTAATCCCAGCACTTTGGGAGGCTGAGGTAGCTGGGATGGCTTGATCTCAGGAGTCTGAGACCAGCCTGGGGAACATGGTGAAACTCTGTCTCTACAAAAGATACAAAAATTAGCTGGGCATGGTGCACACCTGTAGTCCCAGCTACTAGGGAGGCTGAGAGGGGAGGATGGCTTGAGCCCAGGAGGCATAGGTTGCAGTGAGCCATGATCATGCCACCGCACTGCAGCCTGAGCAACAGAGGGAGGCCCTGTTTCAAATAAATAAGAAATAAATATAAAAAATAAATATAAGCCATTCTTATAAACATTGATTTATGTGTTCAAATATTAACAATATAACAATTAAAATAATTAGAATACATTGAAACATTTTTAATATGTAAAAATTAGTAATTTTTTTTCTTGAAGATATTTGACTTTTATACTACGAAGTAAGTAGTATGGGAATTATATGTGGTTATTCATGAGAACTGGACTTCCTGGCTCTTGAGGCTGCCTGAGGACTGTTCGACTTGCCTTTCCCTTCCAATTGCATTTTTCTTAGATTGTTGAACGATCTCCCTCCAAGCCTACTTGTGGATTTACTCAGGCTTTTTCTTTACTAGTCTTTTTCTATTTTTCATCTTCTCTCCCTTCCTTCAATCCTCATCCTGTCTTCCTTGCCCACTCCTTCACCTCCGTCTAGCCCATCTTGGATTTACCGCCCCCTCTCTTTCGCAAAATAGCCCTTCCATGTCTCTGAGTCGGAGGCACCAAGCACGTAAGAATATTATCTGCCTTGAATCCCCTTCACCAGTAAATAAATGTCTGTAACAGACAGACTGGCTTTCACATTGCCTCTTTCCTGTATTTTCTTCATAGTCTTCACATCGCTTGTAGTTTTTGGAAACACATTCAGGAGTTCCCCACTAGCTCACCCACTGCATGTAAGCCATTTTTCGGGAGCTCTACTTTCTTACATTCATCTGTGTTCGATAAATGCATATTGTCTTAGCCCAAGTGACGTATAAAAGTTAAATGTTTTCTTTCTGAAAGCAAGTGCCAAACATGCACAGCAATTTTCCTCAATTGTACTGCTTTATTTGGACAGGGCTCTGCAGCTCTACCATGGTTTCTTAGTCTGTTTTGTGTTGCTGTAAAAGAATACCTGAGACTGGGTAGGTTGTAAAGGAAAGAGGTTTATTTGGCTTACAGTTTTGCAGGCTGTACAAGCAAGGCACCAGCATGTGCTAGGCTTCTGGTGAGGCCTCAGGAAGCCTTTACTTATGGAAAGTGAGGAGGGACTGGCATGTCACATGGCAAGAGATAGAGGGAGGGGTACCACATTCTTTTAAGCAACCAGCTGTCCTGTGAACAAATAGAGAACTCACTCATGACCTTGGGGAGGGCACCAAGCCATTCATGAGGGATCCACCCCCATAACCCAAACACTTCCCACTTGATTCCACCTACAAGATTGGGGATCACATTTCAACATGAGATTTGGAGGGGACACACATCCAAACTATATCACACAGAGACAGACATACCTTGCCCTGGACTAGGTCATCCCTGCACCTTGATGATCTAGAGGAACATATTTATAGCATTGTGGTATTTAGATAAAATAGTATAAATGTGAGAAATTCAGGAGTTATTTTCTATGTAAAGTTTCCCCAGAATGAGAAAGGAAAGGAACATATGGAAACAAATTTATTTGTATTACAAATTTTAAATTTGCAAAACATAAACCTCCCTCATAAGGTTCTCAGAGTCTTCAATATATTTTGAAACACAATGCTAAAACTGACATCGCATGTTCTTGATATCATAAACCCCCACAAAAGCTGCTCAGCTCTCTGAGCCTCATATACATATTGTTACATCTGACCTTGTGACTCACCATGTTCATGTTCTTGAGGTAGGTGATCAATGCCCTAGGAGGGACTGGGTGTAGTGGCTCACATCGCCTGTAATCCTAGCACTTTGGGAAGTTGAGGTGGGAGGATCCTTGAAGCCCAGTGGTTTGAGACCGGCCTGGGCAGCATAGCGAGACCTGCTCCCTACTAAAAATTTTTTAAAAATTGCCAGACCCAGTGGTGGGTGACTGTAGTGCCAGCTATCAGGAGGCTAATACAGGAGGCTCATTTGAGCATGGGAGATTGAGGCTGCAGTGAGCTATGATCAGGCCACTGCACTCCAGCCTAGGTGAGAGAATTAGACCCTGTCTCAAAAAAATAAAATAAAAAATTCCCTGGGAGCAGAGAGCCCCGTTATCATTCTTTGGGGGAATTCCCTGTCTGCAAAATTATGAAGTAAGACGAGACATTTTGCCAAGCTTCATATCCTGCCCTTGTATTATTTTTCTATTGCTGCTACAACAAATTACCACAAACCTTGAGGCTTAAACAGCTCAGATGTCTTTTCTAGAGTTCTGTAGGTCTCAAGGTCCCCTGACATGGGACTTCCAGGGCCAAGGTGTTGATAGCCTCTGTTCTTTTCTGAAGACTCTAGGAGAGAATCCGTTTCCTGGTTATTGGTGTTGAGATAATTTAGTTCTGTGTGGTTGTAAGACTGTGGTCCCCAGTTCCTTGCTGGCTGTCAGTTGGGGTCCCTCTTGTCTTCTAGAAGCTACTTTCGGGTCCTTACAAGTACCCCACTCCCAAATCTCAAAACTGGAAACAGGTTGTGAGACCTTTCTCACACCGCTGTCTCCCAGAGCCTCTTCCATCATCACATCCCTTCTTACCACCGTCGGAAAACATACTCCACTTTTAAGGTGTATTTTAACTAGACTGAACCCAGATAATCCAGGATAAGCTTCCCATCCAAGACTCATAAACTTCATCACATCAGCAAAGTCACTTTTGCCACGTAAGGTGACATATTTACAGGTTTCAGGAGCAAGGGTATGGCTATCTTTGAAGGCCCATAGTCTTCTCAGCATAGTCACCCTCCTATAAAGTGCAGGGCACTCTGTATGTGTGAATGGCAAGGGAGAGGTTCCAACTCCATTCATATCTGGCTGTTGGTATGCTCCATCGAGGATGCAAGGGCTGAGTCTTTTCCTTCTTTTCCGAGGTTATCTATATGATCTAATTGCTCTGGCCCATCTTTTCCATATCATTATTTTTTTTGAGTTGGATTCTCGCTGTGTTGCCGAGGCTGGAGTGCAGTGGAGCAATCTCAGCTCGCTGCAACCTCCACCTCCCGGGGTCAAGTGATACTCCTGCCTCAGCCTCCTGAGTAGCTGGGACTGTAGGCATGCGCCCCCACACCTGGCTAATTTTTGTATGTTTAGTAGAGACAGGGCTTCACCATGTTGGCCAGGCTGGTCTCTAACTTCTGACCTCAGGTGATCCACCTGCCTTGGCCTCCCAAAGTGCTGCGATTACAAGCGTGAGCCATGGCACCTGGCCTTTTCCATATCATTTCTGATAAAGAACACTAAGTGTCTTTCTAAAGCATGAAGAGAGGGACTTAAGCCCAACAGTTGCCTGCATTCAGTTCCTGACATTGTCACTTGCCCACTGTGGAGCTACAGGGAGGTTACCCAAGAGGTTACAACCTCTGTTTCCTTATGGTTGAAAAGAGGGCAATAATAAGACCAAATAGGGATAATGACAGTGCCAAACACATATGAGTGATTAATAAATCACTGGAGTTATTATGCTTAAATATGCTAGACACCCCTCTCCTACCCTAGCGTAATTCCTGGTCCTAAGATATTTATTTTCAAATAAGCAATTTTCTTTCCATGTTATATCTTCCTCCATTACTAAATTCATGTCTTGGAATTACTCTGATAGTCTTTGAACTATTATATCCCAACAAGCTTGCCTACTCTATAGTGCCAGGGCTGGGTGTGCCCTCAGCCCTGGCCAGCATGAGGAATCTGAGAGCTTACTGTATCATGCCCCAACTCACTGCACTGCCAGCCGTCTGAGTCTTGTATATGTCTTTGTCTCAGAACCTGCCTTTTGTGTTCCTGTCCCTGAAATCTGTACCCTGATTTATATGATCATAATTGATCTAATGGAATGCTCCAGAACCCTACCCTCAGAACTGTATAATTAGTCCTTGAATTTGGAATTTTCATGCTTTTTCTCTGCTGGAAACCTTTAGACGTCTGCAGACTCCCAGGGCTTACTCTATAAGTGCAATTCTGCTTCTGACTCTTCCCTCCACTGAGATGCCTGTACTTCTAGGGTGTTCCTTGATCTCCTCTAAATTGTTGATCCCAAATAGGTTGATCCCAGAAACTGCTTCTTCAGTTGCAAAACTGCAGAAAGCAACACAATAAAAAAACAAAATCAAAATAACTCACATATTTTTAAAAATATGTAATAAACATTACTGAATGTTGTGGAGACATTGGGTTGTGTGTTATTTAATCATAAGAATGCAAACTACTGAAGATTGAATAGGAGTCATTCTAGTTCTTTTTTTTTTTTTTTTTTTCCGAGACAGATTCTCGCTGTGTCACCCAGACTGGAGTGCAGTGGTGTGATCTCAGCTCACTGCAACCTCCACCCCCCGGATTCAAACGAATCTCCTGCCTCAGCCTCCTGAGTAGCAGGGACTACAGGCGCCCATCATCACACCTGGCTAATTTTTGTATTTTTAGTAGAGACTGGGTTGGCCAGGCTGGTCTGAAACTCCTGACCTCAGGCGATCCACCCGCCTCAGCCTCCCAAAGTGCTGGGATTACAGGCATGAGCCACCACGCCTGACCCATTCTTAAAACTCCCAATGCTTTGTTATGTACTTCAGCCTCTCTTCTTTATCCTGTTTGATCCCCTCCTTCTCATCACATTTCTGTTTTTTTATTTCACTTTCAAATAATGTTCATTTTTCACAAGGAGTTTAGTTATTATTTCTGTCATCTCATTTTTTGCCCATCCATGGCCTCTAAAATCTTGGCTTGTACCCCAAGTGTTGATGTACTCAGATATTAAGGACACAGACATATATGCATGTGTCTGTATGTATATATGTAGTTTTTTACATTCTGGTTTATTATGTATATGTATACATAGAAGACCCAGAGAGGGTCTCTCTCTCTCTCTATATATATATATATGCATATGTTTATATATCCTCCTATATATTATTTATGCTTGTATAGCCAATCAAAATACATATATTTTACCCATTTATATTTGGTATATGTATATATTTTGATTGCCTGTACAAACATAATATATATACACATATTTATATATGTATACATACATATTTGATACCCTAATTTTATACACATACGCCATACATATGTGAATATGTAAGTATGTGCACAAACATACATATATATGTGTGTTTGTATATATGTGTGAGTCTAAATGTTATACACAGGGACATACATGCGTAAGCCCTTTTCTGGTAGACCACTACCTGCAGATCGAAGTCAAGTCCACTTTCAAATTTCTGTAATGCTGACACTCTTGATATAAAGGTTGCTTGGGATTGATGCCACATGTGTAAACCTGCTAGAAATCAATATCTCATTGGGGAATACTTTTGTGTCTTTATCTGTTTAATGAATGCCATGAAAACAATGACGTATCATTTGGGTGATTCATAATTGGATTCTTTTTTCACTATGGAGTTAACTAAATGCTTTTAGGCTATTCAAGTCACATTCGAATTACAGTTAATAGTTGGTAAATGGTCCTCATATTGTTATACTAAAACTGTGCAAAGATAGAAAAGAGAAAACAGCTTCTTTTCTTTTTTCAAAATAAATAATAGTGACATTCTTATGACTAATATATTTTAATGCTATATACATTTTTGTGGAGTATTTGGAAATGTCACCAAAATTAGGTTTCATTGGAAATCCTTGAGTCTAGGGTTGGAGACAAAAATCACTCAGGATTCTCTTATAGCTGTCCTCTGAAAGACATAGTCTTAAAAATATAAAACTATGATAAATTTTCTCTATCTTTGAGGCAATAATAGCTGCTTGTATTATTTTGCTTCTAATAATAAATTCTGATATCTATTAACAGATATGCTATTCTTTGCTAAATTACTGTGAATTTTGTAGTCACATCTCAGAAGGAAGAAAAAAGGAAATAAAATAATGTGATAAATCAGCTTTAGATTTGTCCGGTTTTAAGACCCTCTGCCTTAAGAAGCAGCTTGCATCAGTGGAAAGATAACTGGATTAGGAGACAGGAGAAACAGGCCCTATTATCTACTTTTCCACTTATCTACTATGTGATCTTGGCAAATAACAGTCACCCATTTATATTTGGTATGGTACTTCTGACTTTTTTGAAGAGAAGGTATGAGGTTGAGGATCCCTGCAATGAGTAATTGGCAGTTTGTAGGGGCTCAGTAAATATATGTTCAGTGAATAAATGAGATTCAGCTTATTTAAATTACCATTATGGCTATGGAATAAATATTTAGGTAAAGGCATCTGAAAAGATTAATAATTGAGGATAGCGGTAACTGTAGAGCGTAGAGGATAAAGACACTCATAACTTTAAGAGCAGAGGTAGTGATGTTACTGATAAACAGTTGACAAGCCAACCAAAATGAAGACGTGGAGTCAGAAAGGCCAAGAAAACTTGGAGGGGAGGGGATCCTCTTAGTCATCCAACTAAACTATGGCCAACTTTGACTCATCCTTTTCATTTGCTCTCATATCCTGCCAATATTGCTAATGTTTTTACTTAATTTTCTGCTGAATTTAGTTCTATTGCTAGTGACTTAGCTTAGCCTTCATTTCCCTTGACAAGGAATATTAGTAATAGTAAAGTTCTTATCACACCTCATGCTTCATTCAGGCTGTCTTCCCTTCTGTCTATCCTGTATACCACCACTTGGTGAATCACCGTAAGTGACATTTTGTCAAGTATCTGTGCTTTTCAAATTCACTTCAAAGATCATTCTAACCATTTATACTGGCCACTTATTCTGTACCCCTGCTTTGATTCACTTCATGAACACACATTGAGGGTATATACTATAGGTATCAAATCTAAATTTTGGCTTCTAATCTACTTGGCCATTAAGACATTCTAGAATCTGATTCCTCTTTAATGGCATGCTGACCCGCTTCCTCTTTCTCACCTTGTATGCTCCCATCTCTCTAGTTAGATCTTAACATCACTGTCACTTAATACAGTCTACACCAAACACATTTTTCATGATTTCACGTGTTTTCTTATGTTTACAAATATGCTGAATATTCTGAATACTAGCACCATCTCACATATTTTTCTGGAAACTAAAAACAAAAATATTTAGCACAAAAAATAGGTATTTAGCACAGTTCTGAGTAAACAGTACAGATCGATCTTTCCTGGAGCTCTGCTTTGTATGGTTTTGAATTACTGTCTAGTGTCCTTTTATGTCAACCCGAAGGAAGGACTCCTTTAGAATTTGTTGCAGGGTAGATGGTTTAGTCCATTCAGGCTGCTGTAACAAGATACCCTAGACTGAGTAATTTAGAAACAGGACAAATTTAATGCTCACAGTTCTGGAGGCTGGGAAGTCTAGAATCAAGGTGCCAACAGATTCAGTGTATGGTGAGGGCTCATTTTCAGCTTCCTGGATGGCAACTGTATCCTCACATGTTGGAAGGGGTAAACAGGCTCCCCCAAGCCTCTTTTATAAGGGCACTAATCCCACTAATGAGCCTGGAGTGCTCATGACCTAATCACCTCCTGCAGGCCCACCCACCTTCTTAATACTGTCACGTTGGGGATTAGGTTCCAAAATATGGGTCAATATTTATATCATAGCAGCCGGTCTACTAGCTGACCTTGGCAAAGGGAAACCTCACATCAGTGGGACGGGGATATTGAAGCCTTTGTCCTTTGGGAAATTTAGCTTCCAAACCTGGTCTGAGATTTAAAGGCAAGAGTCACATCTAAGAAGGTGGAAAAGTCTGGTACAGCTAGACTGAGAGTATCAGGGGAATTTACCAGGGCGTTTTTGGGACTCTACGTGGGTAAATTCTCAAGCTATTTTCTAATAACTTCTAAATTGATAAAGATAGAGAGCTGCATGGGGGTTGCAAATCTCATTTTCTTTGGAAAAGGAGTGCTTTGTCTTTCCAAGAATCACATTTCCTGGCAAATAAGAAACTATATTTTGTAATAGAAGTCATTCTCCTGTCTACTCTAAATCATCTTACTTAAGGCTGGGTAGAAGAATGAGGGCTTTATAAAGAGAAAAGAAAAATAAGACTTTTATAAGGGTGCTTACTGATTTGACTTTGTACAACCCCACTCTTAGGTTATACGATAAAATCAGTCCCTGTACCAAGAGCCCTATCGTTGTAATTGTTTGTACATAGTCACTAGTTCAAACACCGAATTATTTAAAGTGAATACCTACCCACTCTAGTTTCCTGTTCTGTTATTTTATCTGGAAACTTCCTAGGGAAAGGTAGGCTAAATTTTTTTTTTTAAAAGAGGTCAATGAGTTTGGGCATTGCTTAAAAACTTCTCTTACGGCAAGGTATTAACTGTAAATTCATGACTTAGTCAATGGGGTAGAGTAAGGAGCCAAAATCAGAAAATGAAAACGTGGTAAATGCATTTCCTAATTGTTCATTACTGCTTTTTCAAAGCTATCATTTTCTGCTGAGCAAAATAGTTAGACAAAACTAGTTATTTTTATAAACAAAGTGACTTGGCCATTTAAGCAGTTTCCTCTCCAAAATACAAAAGACAAGTTATAGACTATTTTCTTTTCTTTCCTGGGCAACACCATTAGTTATATGAGCTCTAAGAGCTGTCTTGACATGGAAATAATTCACTTGCTTCAAGAAAGAAAGTATTTGATTTGTTAACTATGTGCTCGAGAGACTTCTCTCAGTTGCCTGTTTGGATAATTTTAAGCCTTGAAATTAATGCTACATTAGAAATACAAATGAGTAAGAGTAGTATCTACCTATATTTGAGTATAGTATGCTGGAAAATATTTTCATACATATGAATTCATTCACTTTTTATAATAACTTTTAAGAGATAGTCAAAACAATTATCCTCCAACTATTGTGCTAAGTAAGCCTGAGGAGAAATTCCTCCCACCCCAAATCAATAGAAGGGTTTTCTTCAGCATTATAGTAAAATTATCCTAAAAGCACATATGTAGGGATAATTTCTTCATGAATTTTGGAGTACTGAAAGAAAAACATAATTTTCAGAAACTTTATTTACATTTAAAAATATAACTTCTTTTTGGAAAAGTAGATTTTGATTCTTATTTTTGTCTTAGAGAGTGCATGTAAAAGCTCAAATGGTAAGAAAGTACTGGGCAAAAGAACCCGTTATGCATCTCATGTTAAAGAAAGTGAGATAGCCGAAATCACTGGGACAAAATTACTTGTCGTACTGATAATGAGCATTTTCTCAGCTGTAGTTGAAGTTTTTAGAGAGATTGCATTTAACATCAACCATATCCAAATAAGAAGGATCCTCCTGAGTCAGCCTTTGAAGGAACTCCTCCATAACCTAATTTTTCTTGTCTATAAAAGTGAAAGAAAAGGTAGGTAGGAGAGTTGAATCTACATATTTGTTATTTCCTTGGGCATTACCTTACATTATTTTGTGTATTACATATTTTGGCTATTACGAATAAGTCACATCAGAGATTCTCTTTTGTTCTTATAACATTACATTTCATAAAGTGAGCTCCAAAAATTTAAACACATGCAGGTTTTAATATACGTATAGCCTTTTTGAGATCAAAGCTATGCGAGCCAACAATACTGCAAAGAGAGAGAAGAAAGGCATTTACAGAAAGCTGAACAGTTTTGAATGGATCATCATGTAGGTTCACTTTGCATCTTGGAAATGAATGGGTGGACCGTGGGTCATAATATGAAGGCTTATGGGGACATCCTGCCTACCTGGGATTCTGGATATTGTGGTCTTTCAATATTTCAAATATCCCTGTTAATACACCAGTTGTTGCCAGGCGCTGTGGCTCATGCCTGTAGTCCCAGCACTTAGGGAGGCCGAGGCAGGTGGATCACCTGAGGTCACGAGTTCGAGACCAGCCTGGCCAACATGGGTGAAACCCTGTCTCTACTAAAAATACAAAAATTAGCTGGGCATGGTGGTGGGTGCCTGTAATCCCAGCTACTTGGGAGGCTGAGACAGGATAATTGCTTGAAACCGGGAGGTGGAGGTTGCAGTGAGCTGAGATCACACCATTGTACTCCAGCCTGGGTGACAAGAGTGAAACTCCATCTTTCCATCTATAAAAAAACAAAAACAAAAAACACCACAAAAACAGATGTTGTATTTTAAGACCTATGAGTGGCAATGCGCTGATCTTTTATTAAAAGATAGTACAGTCTTTACTGAATTTAACAATCTTTTCCTTGGGAAAACTAAGCAGGCAGGTTTGGGTAGGATGAAAATGCAGAGGCAGAATGCTCTGGAAAATGCTTGGGAATTGGAATTAAAAAACAAAGCTGTTTGATCTTTCTCCGCTATTGTTGCTGCCTGTGTGATCTTGCACAAATCACGTAACTTCTCTGAGCCTCAGTTCAGTTAAATTCAAAAGGCACTTATTAAACATCTCCAGAAGGATGTCTAGAGAAGAACAGGGAAATCTTATGATCAGACCTAGCCTCATTAGCTGTGAGATTTCAGCCATCAGATGGCAACAGGAGCTGGATCTCCAGTTACTGTAGATTTGATAAGAGGGTGGAAAGAATTTGTTTTCTTACAGTTGACTGCAAAACGAAATATTCTGTTACCTTAGCTAACCTTGGAAGCTCTGCTTTCCTTGAGGATTTAAGAACTTTCATATCCATAAATAATTATTTAATGCATGTCCAGTGCTTGAAAGATAGTATAATATAGGCATTACTATTTTATTCCTTTTTTAATTAATTTATTTTTTTTTTTTGAGATGGAGTCTCGCTCTGTCACCCAGGCTGGAGTGCAGTGGCGCGATCTCGGCTCACTGCAAACTCCACCTCCTGGGTTCCAGTGATTCTCCTGCCTATGCATTACTATTTTATAAAGTAGACGTGGTGTTTGTCTTTAATTCCCCAACTATATGCACACAGTCTGTTAAAGCACAATGAAATAATGATATTTGTGTGCATCTCAACATTTACCCTCTGGGTGTATAGTTATCAAAAACCATAATAGTCTCTGCTGCCCTTTATATGAAAGTCAACTAGGCAACCTAGCAAGAGAGCCATGACTTTGAAGAACAACTAATGAATGAGGTGTGTGTGGGAGGGGTGGAGGGGTGGTGTTTAGAAGAGAATAGCAATAGTCTGGAAAAAAATTCCTTTTCTAGTAGGACAACATTCTATGGGGTGCCCTTAAAAATCTATTTAATTATAATCATCCTATATGCTTATTCTTAATTTGAAATAAGGTAATGATAATACAGCTAACATTTATTTAGAATTGCTACATCCTTCTTGTGTGGTGTTAAATTCTCCCAATAAACAAATATCATCTTACCATTCTAAAGATAAAAGCATGAGCCTCAAAAAGATTAAATAAAATGTTTAAGATCACATGTTGTCTGAAATAAAAACTGTGCAATCAGTCACTTTGTTATTAAGTTACACCATTTAGTACAGTGACACTGGCTAACAAATGCCCCAAGAAGTATTAAATCTCTTTTCTGAATTTTGAATTATCACATGCATTATTAATCTACCATAATTAAATGTCATTTTCATATGTGAAAGTGTGAGAGGGAGAATGCTGAGGAGATTGAAGGAGAAAGACTATATGGGTTCCAAAACTGGCTCGATTTTGGGAAGTTAGTTGATTTGCTTGTGCCTCTGTTTCCTCTTATCATAGTGTTATTATTGAGAAAACTCCCTTGCAGGTAATAAATCCTCAACAGCAACTTCTTTTTGTTATCAGTATTATCAGGCCATTCCCATGTCACTATGATTAAATTATATACTCCTCAAGGGCAGGAATAGTATCTGATTTTCTGTAAGATTTTCTCTTAGGTCTTTGTTGTTATTGCTTCAAGAATGCTTCATTACAGACCACCACAACATTTAGTGGCTTACAGAAAGGCAACACAAATATATATGTGTGTGTGTGTGTGTATGTATGTGTGTGTGTGTGTGTGTGTGTGTGTGTGTGTGTGTATATATATTTCTCACTCTTGGGTGTGCAAATGAGCTACAACTCAGCTAGGCAAGCCTGGACTTCAGGCTGAAGGCTGGCTGCATTCTGCTGCACGTTATTTTTATGCTACCCAAGCTACGTTTTCGGTATTGTGGATCACAGGAGCACTAGAAAGTGAGACGAAATACTTGAGATCTCTTAAATCTTTGACTCTGAACCAATAACATGCACTTTATATCCAAACATCACTGGGCAAAAGGAGCCACAGGCCCAAGCCAGATATCTCTGCTCTGCATGGTGGGAGTGAGTGAGGAGCTCACAGCAGTAATACCATCAGTAGGATTTAGAAGGGATATTCAAATATTCAGTGAAATTAATTTATTGACATGATCATAAACATCTGACATTTAAATTTAATTTGGAAATAAATACATTTTATTTTTATTTTAAGTATAACCATATTAATCAATTACATAGTAAATTATATTGACATCATAAGACATTAGGTCTATGTTTAGGGAATTCATTTTTATGAGATTGATATGAACTCTCTTATGTATTAACTTCTGGATGTATTTTTACTTGTTTAAAAATTTTCATGTCCCTTCACAAAAATCCTTAATTTCCTAAATATAGACTTAATGTCTTATGAGTTAAAGAACACTGCACTGAAATATATCCAATATGCCACTTTATGGCACCTTCCAAATGCTCTTAGTGTAAATGTATGTTACAAATCCCATAAAGCACAGCAAAGATAACAACCAAACTGTTGGTACAAATCATGAGACAGATTCAGTAGTTGTCTGTTTTTATATGCACATTCAGTAAGCTGCTTACCTATGTTTTGTTACATTACTTTAATTTTCGTGCGTTTTCTACCTTAAAATAATATTTTATGTAGGATAATATGCTTAGATCTTTGAATAAGCTACTTTTAGAATTTCTTGAGAACTTCAAGAGTATTGGAAGCAGTCAACATATTATTATTCAGATTTCTGTTTTGGGGGTTTTTAAACCATATAACTCAACTTACTTGAGAAGAAAGGAAAACGTAAATGGTTTTAAATGGTGTTAGCTCTCACACAGGCATTGGGTGGCCAGTCAACTGTTTTAAATTAACTGACAATGCTATTGTGAAGTCCATTAACTTAATGCAGAGGGTTGTTTCATTTTTTTTAATGAGGAACTTTAATTCCTTTAGGAACTAATATTTCCATAAAGTTTCATCAATTTTGAAATTTAATATACATTTTGATTTGATGTCCATATTTGTATAAATATATTTGACAAACATATTTATCCATATCAAATGAACACAATCTTTAAGAATTAAAACTCTAAAAATGGACTGCTTTCTCATATATAGAGTCAAGGATTTATATATTGATATATAAATTAAGAGTTGTATATATTTATGTTGTGTGTATAATTATGTTGTTCAATCAACAGTTATTTATTAAGGAACTACTATTTATAAGATGCTATATTTGTAGCTGCAGAGGTTATAAAGATTAAAATGTGATTCTTGAGAGGGAAGTGGAACAAGATAGCCAACTAGAACCCTCCAATGATCATCCACCCCACAGAAACACCAAACTGAACAATTATCCATGCAGGAAAGCACCTTTATGAGAACCAAAAACCAGATGAGTGATCACAGTACCCGGTTTCAATACCATATCAAAGAAAGAGGCAATGAAGAGGTAGGAAAGACAGTCTTGAATCACCACACCATGCCTACCCCATCCGCCGGCAGCAGCCATGTAGTGTGGAGAGATCATCTCTGTGCTGTTGAGGGAGAGGGAACAGTGATTGTGGAACTTTGGATTGGAACTCAGTTTTGCCCTGTACAGTGGAAGACAACAAGGGGCAGGATTCAGCTGATGCCTACAGACAGATCATTTTGATCAGCCCTAGCCAGAGCGGAATCATCCATTCTAGCAGTTGGAGCCTGAGTTCTGGCTAGCACCACCACTGTGGACTAAAGTAGTCTGGTGTTTTAAATAAACTTGAAAGACAATCTAGACCATAAGAACTAAGATTTCTGGGCAAGTCCTGCTCTGTGCTGGGCTTGGAGCCAGTGGATGTGGGATGCATGTGACCTGGTGAGACACCAGCCAGGGCAGCCAAGGGAGTGTGTGCATCACCCCTCCTTTGACCCTAGGCAGTGCAGCTCATAGCTCCAGGAGGAGAGGGTAAAGAGGAATTTGTCTTACAACTTGCATACCAGCTCAGCCACAATAAAATAGTGTACCAGAGCCCCCATTCGAGGCACTAGCTCCTTGTGCCAGAAGGAAACCCACTACCTTGAAGAGAAGGACCCAGTGCTGGCAGAATTCATCACCTGGCTAAAGAGCACCTGGGTTTTGAATAAATATCAGTGGTACCCAGGCAGTACTTGCTGTGGGCCATGGGTGAGACCCAGGGCCATGCTAGATTCAGGTGTGATCCAACATATTTCAAGCTGTGTTGGCCATGGAGAGAGATTTCTTTTGCTTGAAGAAAGGAGAAAGAAAAGTAAAGGGGACTTTGTCTTACAGCTTGGGCAACAGCTTGGCCCAGTGGGTTAGAGGATCAAGTGAATCCCTGGGGTCCCCAGTTCTACAGTTCTAGGCCTTGACTCCTGGATGGCATTTCTGGACCCACACTGGGCCAGAGGGAAGCCCACTGCCCTGAAGGGAGAGACCAAGGCCTGGTAGCATTCACCACAAGCTGAGCCTTGAGTGAACATTGGTACCAAGCCTGGGGTGGTAATGGCCATGGATAGACACTCTTTCTGACTGAGGAAAGGAGAGGGAAGGGTGGGAAGAACTTTGTTTTGCAGCTTGGGTGCCAACTCAAGTCACAGCAGAACAGTGCACTAAGTAGATTATTAAGTTTCCTGACTCCACGCACTGGCTCATGGACAGCATTTCTGGGCCAGCCTTGAGCCAGGGAGTAGCTTGCTGCCCTGAAGGGAGGAACACAATCCTGGCTCAGTTTGCAACCTGCTGACTGAAGAGCCCCTGGGCCTTGAACAAAATTGGCAGTAGCCAGGCAGTGTGGTTGCTATGAGCCTTGGGTGAGACCTAGTACCATGCTGGCTTTGGGACTGACCCAGAGTAGTCCCAGTAGTAGTTGCAACAGGGGTGCTTGTGTTACCCCTCCCCCAGTTCCAGGCAGATCAGTGTGAAAAGAGAGACTACATTTGTTTGGAGGAAAGTAAGGGAAGAGAACATGAGTCTGCCTGGTAATTCAAGGAATTCTCCTGGATCTTATCCAGGACCACCAAGGAGATACCTTTACAAGTCTGTAAGAATCACGGCATTACTGGGCTTGGGGTGCCCCCTAATGCAGACACAGCTGCAATGACCAAAGATTTAGATAACAACACTCAATTCCCTTTGAATGCTTGGAAATCCCTTCTAAGAAGGACAGATACAAATAAGCCTGGACAGTGAAGACAACAATAAATACCTAACTCTTTAATGCTTAGACATCAGTGAATATCCACAAGCATCAAGGCCATCCAGGAAAACATGACCTCACCAAACAAACTGAATAAGGCACCAGGGACCAATCCTGGAGTGACAGAGTTATGTGACCTGTCAAAGATAATTTAAAATACCTGTTTTGGGGAAGATCAGTGAAATTCAGGATAACACAGAGAAGGAATTCAGAATTCTATCAGATAAATTTAGCAAAGAGATTGAAATAATTAAAAAAAGCAGAAATTCTGGAGCTGAAAAATTCAGTTGACATACTGAAGAATGCATCAGTATCTATCAACCACAGAATTGATCAAACAGAAGAAAGAATTAGTGAGTTTGAAGACAGGCTATTTGAATAGTTAGAAGAGACAAAAGACAAAAAGAATGAAGTTTGCTTACAAGACCCAGAAAATAGCCTCAAAAGGGTAAATCTAAGAGCTATTTGTCTTAAGGAGAAGGGGGAGAGAGAGATCAGCATAGAAAATTTATTCAAAGGGATAGCCGAGAAATTTCCAAACCTAGAGAAATATGTCAATACTCAGGTACAAGAAGGTTATAGAACATCAAATAGATTTAACCCAAATAAGACTACCTCAAGGAATTCAATAGTCAAATTCCCAAAGGTCCAGGATAAAGAAAAGATTCTTAAATTAGCAAGAGAAAAGAAACAAGTAACATTCAAAGGAACTCCAATACATTGGAGCAGACTTCTCAGTGGAAACCCTACAGGCCAAAAGGGACTGGTGCAACATATTTAAAATGCTGATGGGGGGCAGGTGGTGGGGGCTGGGGAGGTGGGGAACAACTTTTATCCTACAGTAACATATTCAGTGAAAATATCCTTCAAACATAAAGAAGCAACAAAACTTTCCCAGATAAACAAAAGCTTAGGATTTCATCAATATCAGATGTGTCCTATGGGAAATGCTAGTTTTTCAATCTAAAAGAAAAGGATGTTAACAAGCAATAAGAAATTATCTGAAGGTACAAAACTCTCTGGTAATAGTAAGTAAACAGACAAATACAGAATATTATAGCACTGTAATTGTGTGTAAAATATTTATATTTTGAGTAGAAAGACTAAAAGATGAACCTATCAAAAATAATAACTCCAATAACTTCTTAAGACATAATAACATAAATAGAAACAATAAAAAGTTAAAAAGTGGGTGGATGAAGTTAGTGTAGAGTTTTCATTAGTTTTCTCTTTGCTTGTTAGTTCATTTTTGCAATCAGTGTTGTCATCAGTTTAAAATAATGAATTATAAGATATTATTTGCAAGCTTCATAGTAACCTCAATTCCAAAAACTGACAGATAAAAAGTTTAAAAATGAAATTAAAACATACCATCAGAAAAAATAATCTTCACAAAAAGGAAGACAAGAAGGAAGGCAAGAAAGAAGGAAAGATGACAAAACAACCAGAAAACAAGTAACAAAATGGCAAGATTAAGTCTTTACTTATTAATAATAATATTGAATATAAATGGACTAAACTCTCTAATCAAAAGACATGGAGTGACTTACTGGATTCAAAAACTAAACAAAACAAATGAGACCCAATGAACATTTGCCCACAACTAACACACTTCATCTGTAAGACACAAATAGACTGAAAATAAAGGGATGAAAAAACATATTCCATACAAACAGAAACCAAAGAAGAGCAGGAATAGCTATACTTATGTCAGACAATATAGATTTCAAGACAAAAACTATATAAGAGGCAAGTTTATTATGTAATGATAAAGGAGTCAACTCAGCAAGAAGTTATAGCAAGTGTAAATATATATACACCCAAAACTGGAGCACCTAGACATGTAAAGCAAATATTATTAGAGCTAAAGTGAGAGATAGACCCCAATACAATAAGAGCTAAAGACTTTAACACCCCACTTTCAGCATTGGACAGATCATCTAGACAGAAAATCAACAAAGAAACATCAGACATAATCTGCACTACAGACCAATTGAACCTGATAGGTATTTCCAAGAACATCGATGGCTGCAAAGTGCACATGCTTCTCCTCTGCACATGGATCATTCTCAAGGGTAGACTATATGTTAGGCCACAAAACAAGTATTAAAGAATTCAAAAATATTGAAATTATATCACATATCTTCTCAGACCACAATGGAATAAAACTAGAAATCAATAACAAGAGGAACTTTGGAAACTATGCAGACACACAGAAATTAAACAATATGCTCCTGAATGACCAATGGGTCAATGAAGTAATTAAGAAATAAATTTAAAAATTTCTTAAAACAAATGGAAAGACTACATACCCAAACCTATGGAATACAATGAAAACAATACTAAGAGGAAAGTTTATAGTAATAAGGACCTACATCAAAAAAGTACAAAAACTTCAAATAAACAACCTAGTGGTGCATGTTAAAGAATTAGAAAAGCAAGAACAAACCAAACCCCAAATTACTGGAAGAAAATAGTGAAGATCATAGCCGAAATAAATGAGATCAAATTAAAAAAATAACAAAAGATCAACCAAAGGGAAAGTTGGTGTTTTGAAAAGATAAACAAAATTGCCAAACCTTTAGCCAGACTAAAAAAGAAGAGCCAAATAAATAAAATCAGAGATGAAAAAGGAGACATTACAGCTGATACTACAGAAATTCAAAGGATCATTTGTGACTACTATGAACAACTATATATATGCCAATAAATTAGAAAACCTGGAAGAAATGGATAAATTCCTAGACACATACAACCTATCAAGATTGAACCAAGAAGAAATTCAAAACCTAAATAGTCCAATAACAGTAATAAAATTGAAACCATAGTTTATTGTACATTGATGAAAAGTTTCCTGGCCTAGTAAAGCCCAGGACTCAATGGTTTCACTGCTCAATTTTACAAAACATTTAAAGAAATAATACCGATCCTACTTTAACTATTTCAAAAAATGGAGGAGGAGGGAATACTTCCAAACTAATTCTGTGAGGCTAATATTACCCTGATACCAAAACCAGACAAAAACACATCAAAGTAAGAAAACTATAGGCCAATATCCCTGATAAGCATTGGTGCAAAAATCCTCAACAAAATACTAGCAAACCAGATTTAACAACACATTAAAAAGATCATTCATCATGACTAAGTGGGATTTATCCCTGGGATGCAAGGATGGTTCAACATATGCAAATCAATCAACGTGATACAACATATCAGCAGAATGAAGGACAAAGCCATATGATCATTTCAGTTGATACTGAAAAAGCATTGGATAAGTCACTATTACTTCATGATAAAAACCCTCAAAAAACTGGGTATAGAAGGAACAAACTTCAACACAATAAAAGCCACATATGACAGACCTATGGCTAGTATCATACTGATTGGGGAAAAACTGAAAGGCTTTCCTTGAAGATCAAGAACACGATACGGATGCCCACTTTTACCAGTGTTATTCAACACAGTACTGGAAGTCCTAGTCAGACAATCAGATAAGAAAAAGAAATAATGTTCATCCACATGGGAAAGGAAGAAGTCAAATTATCCTTGTTTGCAGATGATATGATCTTATGCTTAGAAAAACCCACAGACTCCACCAAAAAACTATTAGAACTGATAAATTCAGTAAAGTTTCAGGATATAAAATCAAAATATAAAAATCAATAGCACTTCTAAATGCCAACAGCAAACAATTTGAAAAAGAAATCAAGAAAGTAACCTCATTTACAACAGCTACAAATAAAATGAGTTAACCAAAGAAGAGAAAGATCTCTACAATGAAAACTATAAACATTGATGCAAAAAATTGAAGAGGACTCAAAAAATGGAAAGAGATTTCATGTTCATGGATTAGAAGACTCAATATTGTTAAAGCATCCATACTACCCAAAGCAATCTACAGATAAAATGTAATCTCTATCAAAATACCAATGACATTCTTCACAAGAATAGAAAAAGTAATCTTAAAATTTATTGAACTACAAAATACCCAGAATAACCAAAGCCATCTTGAGCAAAAAGAACAAAACTGGAGGCATCATATTACCTGACTTCAAATTATAACACAGAGCTATAGTAACCCAAATAGTATAGTACTAGCATAAAAACAGACATATAGACTGAAGGAATAGAATAGAGAACACATAAATAAATCCATACATCTACAGTGACCTCATTTTTTATAAAGGTGCCAAGAACATACATTGAGGAAAACACAATCTCTTCAATAAATGGCTCTGGGAAAACTGATATCCATATGCAGAAGAATAAAACTAGACCCTTATCTCTCACCACATACAAAAATCAAATCAAAATGTATTAAAGACTTAAATCTAAGACCTCAAACTAGGAAACTACTAAAAGAAACAGTTGAGGAAACTCTCTAGGACATCGGTCTGGGCAAAGATTTCTTGAGTAATACCCCACAAGCACAGGCAACCAAAGCAAAAATGGACAAATGGGATCACATCAAGTGAAAAAGCTTCTGCACAGCAAAGGCAACAATCAACAAAGTGAAGAGACAACCCACAGAATAGGATAAAATATTTGCAAACTATTCATTTGACAAGAGATTAATATCAAGAATATATAAGAAGCCCACACAACTCAACAGGAAAAAAAAAATCTAAAAATCCAATCAAAATGGGCCAAAGATCTGAATGGATATTTTTTGAAGACATACAAATAGCAAACAGGCATATGAAAAGGTGCTCAACATGACAGATCATCAGAGAAATGCAAATCAAAGCTACAATGAGATATCGTTTCACCCCAGTTAAAGTGGCTTTAATCCAAAAGGCAGGCAGTAACATTCCCACCAACAGTGTATGAGAGTTGGAGAAAAAGGAACCCTCTTACAGTGTTGGTGGGAATGAAAATTAGCATAGCCACTGTGAAGAACAATTTGGAAGTTCCTCAAAAAACTAAAAATAGAGCTATCATATGATCAAGCAATCCCACTGCTGGATACATACCGAAAAGAAAAGAAATCAGGGTATGGAAGAGATATCTGCCCTGTTATGTTTATTGCAGCACTATTCACTATCACAAAAGACTTGGAAGCAACCTAAGTGGCCATAAACAGATGAACAGTTAAAGAAAATGTGGTATCTATACACAGTGGAGTACTATTCAGCCATAAAAAATGAATGAGATCTTGTCATTTGAAACAACATGGATGGAACTGGAGGACGTTATTTTAAGTGAATAAGCCAGGAACAAAAAGACAGACTCTGCATGTCCTCACTAAGTTGTGGGAGCTAAAAATCAATGCAATTGAATTCATGGATACAGAGAGTAGAATGATGGTTACTAGAGGCTGGGAAGGGCAGTGAGTGGCAGAGGGGTGGAAGTGGGAATGAGTAAAGTGTACAAAAATATAGTTAGATACAGTGTATAAGATCTAGTATTTGATAGCTCAATGATGCTATTTTTTCCATTTGATAACACAAATACTAGATGAATGTAGGGTGACTACAGTCAAAAATAATTTATTGTACATTTAAAAATAACTAAAAGAATACAATTGGAATGTTTGTAACACAAATAAATGATAAGTGCTTGAGGAGATAAATACCCCATTTACCCTGATGTGATTATTACACATTCTATGCCTGTATCCAAGTATCTCACACCCTGTAAATATATACATCTACCATGTACCCATAAAAAGTAAGAATAAAAAAATAAATTCAGAGTAAAAAATCATATGATTTTGTCCTTGAGAAACTTAGTAGTAGGTTTATAGTATAGCATAATGCAGTATTAGAGAAGTACAAAGTGCTTTATATGTGAGGAGTTGGGGTTGTTTTGAAAATGAGCATGATGTTGACTGGTGGGTATGAAAAGAATTGCATTGTAGTCAAACAAGCAAAATTTTAAGGTAGGATATCATGGACATTTTGCTTGCCTAGGCCAGCAGGTTCTTTTAAAGATGCTGTTGGAGAGAAACCTTCAGAGATCAATAGGAGCAGCTCATAGGGAGCCTTTTAATGCCAAAAGATATGTGTGTGTGTGTGTGTGTGTGTGTGTGTGTGTGTACTCATATATGTGTAACTATATACACACACATACATATATATACACACATATATATACACACACGTGCATGTATATACACATATATATACACATGTGCATATATATATGTATATATATATATATGAGAGAGAGCATATATATACATATGAGAGAGAGAGAGAGAGACTGTGAACGCCCTTGGCAGGCAATGTGAGCAGAGAATTGGCTTTTCCAGAAAGGAGTTTCTGGGACATCACTCTTGGGATAAATAGGAAAAAGATAAAAGCCTTCAAATGGAGGTACCAAGGAGAAAGCTATTTAGCTATTTTAATAGCTAATAGTGAAATTAATAATATTCTAAAATTTTGTGGGTGGCTATAGGAAGAAAAGGGAAAGAATGATGCTAGGCACATTGTGATATTATAGAACTGACAGGAATTGGAGACTGGGTTAAGAGGTGGAGATGGGGCTGCAATTTGGTAAATGTAACTAGTTATGGACTTCTGGCTCTCAAATATTGCAAGTTCTACAACCCTTCCTCCACCTTATCCCAGAGATATCTGAGTGTCTTTTTGGTTTGAATTTCAAGTTAAAACCCTGAATATCTGGAGGAACACCCACGCCCATCATGCTCTGATGTTAAGTACTAATACCTTTTGCTCATCCTTGGTTAAATCTTTTTAAATTCATTCATTGTTCTCTCTATATATACTCCTCACTAACATGCAAGATTTTCTTTTTATTTTGAGTTGTATATATTTTTATTTTTCCCCATTTAATTTTTAGTTGAGATTAATGTTGCACATATTCACGGTAGGCAAAGTGATATTTCAATATATGTATACAATGTATAATGATCAAATCAAGGTGATTAGCGTATCCATCACCGCAAATATTTATCGTACCTGGGAGAGTCAAGGGGAATGTGGTGGGGCCAGAAAGGGGAAATTTAGAAGGCAATATTTGGGAGGCAAAGGAATGAGGGGCAGTTGTTCATGAAATGACAGTCTGAAGGTAGAAAGTGGGGGCCAAAGAAGACATCAACTCCCAAAGATTACCAGTTTATTACGTAATGAGCATGTATTAGCCGAGAAGGCTTGAAAAAGTTGACTTTTGAATGCGACACATTTTCTTTAAAATATTGAATCTGGATGTTTTTCTAGTTATTTAAATTTTTATTTGTAGGTATCTGTCTAGGGCACTTTGACCCTTTAGGTGTGGGTTAGCCATTTCTCATTAGGACTGGGAAAGATGAGTGAGAAATAAAATTATAGATTGCATGTTAAAAAGAAAAACACTGGTTGTGACACTGAGTATAGGTTTTTTTTTTTTACTATATCTGAAGTAAAATGATACTTATCTGCCTTGTTAATTATATTTATTTGTAAAAATAGTTTCCATTTAAATTTGTCAATAATAAAATTCCTCATGAAAAATATCAGAAACCTACTCTCTTTTATAATGAAAAGAAACCTAAGTATTAGTTTTTTATGTACCTATGACATTTGATTACAATATGGAATGAAATTTAATTGTAGCATAGTATGAAATGGAAAACACCCTAAATATACCATGAAATTTATGTTATGCTGTGTAATAATTTCCTCATATACTTTCCATATATAGGCACTAAATAAAGTGAAGTAATTTAGGTTAATTTAGGAGGCAGATGTTTTTCAAATACTCATAGGTGTATCAGGTAGGATACACCTGATTGTGACATTATTTGGGGTCCGTATAATAGAAAACCCAAGCCAAGGGTGTGTAAGGAAAAAAATTGCAATTTACTGGACCACTTAACTGAAGTAGTTAGGACTGTGATTTCCAAAGTGTGATTCTTGAATCAGCAGCACACGCATCAACGGGGGACTTGTTAAAACTGTGAATTCTCAGTTTCATACTCACGGCATCAGAGACTCTGGCTGTGGAGCTCAACAGCCTGTGTATTACCAAGTCCTCCAGCTTCCGATGCTTCCATAGTCAAGTTTAAGAAACACTGGTATAGAGCTGGATCTATCCCTGGGTGCAAATCAACTTACGGTTCAAAGGATACCACCAGGATCTAAAGGTGGACTCTGCTAGGCACTGGGATAGCCCCACACCCAGGCTTCACATGGTGGCTAATGACAACAGTAGATACATATCATCACAGCACCCTGTCCAGTGGACAGAGAAATTATCTCACCTGGAATCCTCTTGATGTTCCTGGGTAGCCTGACTCAGGGAGTATCTCTGTCCTTCAGCCAATCACAATGCTGAGTGAATGGGATGTTCCAGTTGTCTTATTCTAGTCATATTGTCCACTGTCAAGGTTGCAATTAATTTAGTATGGGGGCATTGCCACAAGAAGGACAAGAAGATGTAGAATATCATTGACAATGTGTCACAAACAGCAAAGATTCAGTTGTTTCAGAAGACAACCTCAGGCCAAAATTTATTTAACTGAAGTTATTGATGAAAGAAAAATTCAGAGATGCTCTAGAAGTCAATCACTTGACTGGAGAAGGAGAAAAATGTTCACTTGCACAGAAAATGCACAGTCCCATTTTCCAATGTCCTATTACCTAGAGGGCAATTTTAGTTTCATAACCTTGATTACACTATTAATACTGGGCTATTTGGGCTAGTGTGGAGGATAGGCTTGATGTTTGTAAAATAACATTTATTTGAATATGTTTTTCTAAAATTCAATTTTTTTCCTTCTTAATATAAAAATTGTCCTTATTTTACTATCTTACCACATATTTTTGAAATCTAATCTGATTGTTATCACATATTTCTTTAAGTGGAATGGCTTAAATAACTCAGATAATTAAAGGCTAATTAAAGGCTTTGTCATCATTAAGATAATTAAAGTATCAATTAGCTTTTTAAAAGGAAGCTTAGCCTTAATCAGAAATCCTCTATTCACACAGCAGGGCCTCAGATATGGCAGATATTCCTGAAATGGAAAAACAGTACTTCAAAGTTGAGGCTCTGTGGAACTTCGTCATGATTTTTCTTCATCAATCTCTATTCTTTTTTGTAGACGGCATATTTGGTTTTTTTTTCCCCTGCTTTTTGTCTAACTAGTTATATATTGCTTATTGTAGATACTTTTGCAAATACCAAAAAAAATGAAACTCCCAGAAGCAACATTTTAGCTAATTTTTCCCAGCATTTTTCTAAGTTTTATTTTTATTTTTGTGGTTAAAAGGGATAGGTAAAAACCCATCAGCATAAAAAATTTACTTCTCTAATACCCTAGGAAAACAAGAGAATTACAAAATACCTAGAACTGAATGATAATGATTTCTGGTTTCAAATATTTCCTGCCATGAATTTAGTTTTATTTATCCTATCAGTGATTATGTATAGCTTTTCTACATGGTTTATTTAATTCTTAAAAATTCTCAGTGATTTTTCTATTCCAACATTGTGAATTGACCCAAGTTGAGTTTCTGGATATGAAAACCACAATATTTGATATGAAAAATACTATATGGGATTAACAGCAGATTCACATCACAGAAGAAAAAACGGTGAATTTGAAGATGGAGCATTCGAAGCTATCCAAATTAAAACAGAAAAATATTTTTATTTGTATAAATTTTAGGATTACAAGTGCAGTTTTGCTACATGAATATGTTGTATAGCGGGGGAAGTCTGGGTTTTTAGTGTAATCATCTCCTAGGACTATTCAGAAAATAGGTTTTAAAAATGAATGGAACATCAGTTAGCTGTGAAACAATTTTAAATGATCTAATAGAGGTATAATTTAATTTGTGAAGGACAGGAACTGGCAAAATATTTGAAGAAATAATAATGAAAATATTTCAAATTTGATGAACATTGTATATCCACAAGCACAAGACGCTCAATAAACTTGAACTATAAACAAAGAAATCTGAAGACACTACACTGAGGCATGTCAAAATTAAATTGCTCAAAACCGTTAATAGGGAGACAATCTTAAAAAGCATCTAGAGAAAAAACCGTATACTGTATACAGAGGAACGAAAATAAGGATGATAGCAGATTTCTCTTATTTCAAAGACAGTAGAACAACATCTTTAAAGGATTGAAGAAAAAATGTAAACCTAGAAGTCTAAACTCAGCAAAATACTTTTCAAAAACAAATGTGAAATTAAGACTTTTTTCAGGCTTACAAAAGAGAATCATCACTGGTCGATGTCAGCTAGAAGAAATGCTAGAGGAAGTTCTGCAGGCACAAGGAAAATCATGCCAAGTGGAAAGATGAATCTACACTAAGTCATGAAAAGAACTAGAAATGGTAATTACATGGGTAAATATATGTGGTGCATTTTTCTTTTATTCACATGTCTTTTAAAGAGAAGTTTGCATCAAAAAGTGGGTAAAGGATATGAATAGACAGTTCTCAAAAAAAGATATACAAACAGCTAACAAACATATGAAAAAATGCTCAAAATCACGAATCATCAGGGAAATGCAAACTAAAACCTCAGTGAGATACTACCTTACTCCTATAAGAATGGCCGTAATTAGGCCAGGTGCGGTGGTTCACGTCGGTAATCTCAGCACTTTGGGAGACCGAGGTGGGCTGATCACGAGGTCAGGAGATCGAGACCACAGTGAAACCCCGTCTCTACTAAAAATACAAAAAATTACCTGGGCGTGGTGGCAGGCGCCCGTAGTCCCAGCTGCTTGGGAGGCTGAGGCAGGAGAATGGCGTGAACCCGGGAGGCAGAGCTTGCAGTGAGCCAAGATCACGCCACTGTACTCCAGCCTGGTCAACAGCGCGAGACTCTGTCTCAGAACAAAACAAAACAAAAGAATGGCCATAATTAAAACATCAAAAAAACAATAGATGTTGGTAGGGATGTGGTGAAAAGGGCACACTTTTACACTGCTGGTGAGAATATAAATTAGTGTAATACAACCAGTATGGAAAACAGTGTGGAGATTTCTTAAAAAACTAAAAGTAGAACTACCATCAATCCAGCAATCCCACTCCTGGGTATCTACCCAATGGAAAAGAAATCATTAGACGAAAAAGATAAACGCACACATGTGTTTACAGCAGCACCATTGCAAAGATGTGGAACCAACCTAAGTGTCCATCAACCAACGAGTGGATAAAAAAAAAATGTGGTATATATACACCAGGGAATACTACTCAGCCTTGAAAAGGAGTGAAATAATGTCTTCTGAAGCAACTTGGATGGAGCTGGGGGCCATTATTCTAAGTGAAGTAACTGAGGAATCAAAAACCAAATATATGTTCTCACTTATAAGTAGGAGCTAAGCTATGAGAATGCAAAGGCATAAGAATGATATAATGGACTTTGGGGACTTGGGAGAGGGAAGGGTGTGAGATGGGTGAGGGATAAAAGACTACCCATTGGGTACAGTGTACACTGCTCAGGTGATGAGTGCACCAAAATCTCAGAAATCACCACTAAAGAACTTCACCTGTTTCCCAAAACTATTGAAATAAAAATAAAAATTAGAAAAGATCAGAGGGAAAGAATATGGGGGAAATAAGACCCCCATCAAAAAATAAGTGATGAAAGATACTGGGGAAAAACACAGGAGAGCAGGTTACTGGGGAAATAAAGACTATTTGAGAAATGGGCAAAAATGATAAATAATGCAAATCCACAATGTAAGTTTCATATTTTAAAAGTCTAGACCTCTTGCAGCTTTGAAACTTCATGATGCTATTTAAATGTCATGTTTAGTATTGTAAATAATGGTAATTTTAATCATTAATGCTAATTGCTATTCTCTGTGGCTATATTACTATTCATTTATTCAGTCAATGCATGTTTGTTTAGCACTAGAAGGAACATAAGCACACATCCAGTAGTCTGTATTTTATTTGGTTTAATTTCACACACCCAAAAATGCCTACGTAGGTATTAAATGTCAGCTCTTATTTTTAATGCTTTCTAGATTGCATCAGCCAAATGGGAAGAATTATAAAAAAAATGTAAATAACTACTTAAATACATTCATAAGGTCAATAATAACAAAATTTTATAATACTTCTTCATAAACCTTGGATTTGTTTTATTGCTTCTAGGTTCTCATAGTGATTTTGATAGCCTATCTTATCATTTGTTACTATATCTTTGTTAGGTATAAATGTTCAGGCTTCACCTATTACCAGGCATATTAAATTTCACAAGAGAAATGTGTAGTTACAGCTCCAAGGCAGGTGTTATGATCCTGTCAAATTGCTCAGGCTAATTTTAAATCATATCAGGTCTGTTGCTGGGAGATGTTTGAGGAACACAGGAAATTATATGGAGCCTGTTGATAACAGCCTGTCCTTATCCTGTGACCTAAAATAATACCAAACTTGCCACATTACCAACCCTCTTGTTTAAATGTAAAACCCATATTGGAGGTTTACACCAATGTCATTAAAAAAAGAAAGTTAGGATTCAAAAATATGATTGTAATTTTTGAAATCCTGGTAGCGAAAATTTAGCTGAAATTGGCAATTATATTTGACAAAATATTTAATATAAATCAATGTGATGTTTAGTTCAATTACCTCAGGAATATATAGAGTTATCACTGATGGCCTAAGGCCATGCATTCCAAGCTTGGGTGATCATAAGCATTACCTGTGGTGTGTTTCTGCAATACAGTTTCCTAAGCCCCTTTTCCGAAGTGCATTCCGTAGATGTGCAGGTTAACCAGTGTCCTCGGTGAATCTCCTGCTCAGATATACTGGCAGCACACTGGCCTAAAGTAAGGAATTCTTATGCTTTTTAAGAAACTGGATGCAGAGAGCTCTTCTGCATCAACTGAAGTATGTTCAGTCTTAGCTTGTAGGTTTTATTTCCTTACAGTTCATTAAGGTCAGAAAGAAGGGTTAATCTTCCTAACTCAAATGATGCTCCGAAGACAGGAATTGTTAACTAGGTTTGTGTTCAGTGTGAAACTGGCACAGGGGGCCTGACTGCAAACAGCCATGCAGGGAGGTTGAGGCTGAGGAGGTGGTGATGGTAAGAATGCTGGGCTTCGGAGGAGGAGATCAAATGGGCCTCCCTCATGATGAGAAGGGAGAGAAGGGATGGAGGATGGCAGGGATTGGGACTTACAGTAAACAGATACTGGTTTTTCTTGAAGGATGTTTGGATTTCACAGCCCATGCTTTTCTAACCAAGGAGCCAGCCTTAGCATTGACATTTGAGGGAGTATACAATTCCAAATGAGGTTGAAGATAAAGGAGCAATTGCTTTTTACATTAAAGGCACAGCCTTTTCAGAGCAATCTGTTCATCCTCTGTTATCACTTTAAAGGGAGTCTAGTTTTTAGCTTGATGTATACATTTAACTGACTCTCTATAATGGCAGAGAAGACTGCATGGCACTTCCAAGTTCATTTCTTTACCTTTAAGTGGATTAAGGCATATGCCTGCTTAGCTTTCCCACGTTCACTGCTTTGAGGGGAGTAAAACTGGAGTGATTTCAGGAATTGACACTGGAAGAGTTTCCTGGTCACAGGCTTTGAACCCGGAAAGACCTAAGCTGACTGTCAACTTTAACTTGAGAGAGCTGTTAACCACCTCAGTTTCCTTGTCTAAGCGGAAGAACAGAACATGTTAATAGAAAGTGCAGTTTACTGAGCATGTACTGTGTGCTCAGGCATTGTACTAAGTACCCTATGTCTTATTCGTGAACCCCCCACTACAACCTTTGGAGATATGTGTTATGTTCTGACAACAGCAATAATTTTGCGTCTTCCTCATGGAATTTTTTGTTTATGTGTGAGTGATAATGAGATTAGACTCATTAAAGATTAAAGAAGATTAAAGCCATGCCAATATTAGGTTCCCAGTTCTCAAAAAAAAGGGAGTTATATTCCTTTTCTTTCATTTGTGACTGTTCCTTTTCATCTTTTGGTGTTTTCAGGAAGCCATTTTGCCTGCAGCCGCTGAAGTGGCCCAGCTGCAGATGTTAATGGCTGTTTACCAGTAGGAGCCAAAACACCACACTAAAGAAGCTAGGAGGTGTGGTTATTTTGCCTTTTCTGTAAGATAAATTTCTTAATGCTAATGCCTCCAAATGAAGACATTTGATTTATCTCTAAAGTATATTTTTAAGTATAGAAACTGTAATGAGTGGCTAGATTACTACTCTGTTTTAAAATGTGTTACAAGACAGCTTTCATCATGTCAATCTACGGATCCAACAATTAAAAGAAAGGTTACCGAAATTGTACACAGATAGAAGTTTACTTCATATAGCCCTGGCATTCCAGTCTCTTCTAAGAATGTGAAATAAAGGATTGATAGATGGATAAACACATGGTAGATGGAGGTCTGATTCAGGTGGTGTTAAAAATCAAACAAAAATCTTTCCAAAGTAGGGATCAAATTCTACTTCTTTTGAGATATAAACTGTTTATAGCTTTGAAATGACAGTTTTCACCTCAGCACACCCATTAAATTTTTATGGAACCCTTCCTCGTCTATTAATACATGGCATATAGGAGGGGCTCAATATAATTTAGTTCCCCTTAAATGCTTTGGTATGTGATTTGGAGAGAGCAGCTGACATAGTTGAATATATATCAGATATATGGTTAGAAAAATATCGCATAGCATCTGTAGCAGAAAAATTAGTTTTCTGAAAAGAGTGAATGTAAATAATGCCAGGGAAGTATGCTTTTGAATAACATTTGGTAAGATCCATTCTGAAAGAAGAGAGTTAGGGAACTTTTATTTTATTTTATTTTTCACAGTACAGGAAAAAAGCAAAACAAAGCAACCAAATGTCCTGCTTGGGATGAGGTCATTGATATCAGAGGATGCTGCGATACTGATCAAACTGATAAAATAGCATTCAGTTTGTCTGACTCATTGGTGAAAAATAGAAACCAGTGAGAGGTGGACTAAAGGTTAGTGTGACGGTTGCTAGCTTTTAGAACAAGCAGAAAACAAAATATTTTTACTTTAAACTTTGTCTCATGAACTTAGTTGCAGTGATGGGAGCATTTAATAAAGGTAAGTAGTATTTTTCATTAAATTTTATTAGCATTTTGTTATGGACTGAATATTTGTTTACCCCCAAAATTCTGTGTTGAAATTCTAACCCCCAGTGTGATGGTATTTGGAGGTGGGGCCTTTTGGAGATAATTAGGTTTAGTTGAGTACATGAGGGTGGGGCCCCATAATGGGATCAGTACCTTTATAAGAGAAGGAAGGAACACCAAGAGCTTTCTTTCTCCACCATGTGAGGGTACAGCAAGAAGGCTGCCATCTGCAAGCCAGGAAGAGAGCCCTCACCAAGAACTGAATCTTCCCGCACTTTGTTCTTGGGCTTCCCAGTTTCCAGATCTGTGAGAAATAAATGTCAATTGTTTAAGCCACCTTTTTATGGTATTTTTGTTGTAGTAGTGCTAGCTGACTAAGACACACTTGATAAGTAGCTACTATGCACAGAGTCCTCTTAAGGAATAAAGAACAGTCTAACCCTGAAGCCAGTGAAGACAAGACTAATTAAAATAATACTACTAACAGGGCTGTGAGTAATGTGTTGTTCACACACAGTAAGTAGCCATTAATTCTGCCTGGGATTATCTTGTGGGTGGTGCTGTTTGAGCTGAGTCTTGAAGAGTAAGAGGGATTTGTAGCCTTGAGATGGTACAGCTTCTGAAGACAGGAAATTGGAAATGGGCACAGAGAAGAGGCTAAACTACAAATAAGTGTTTTGACAAAATATGCCAAACCTAACACATGTAGGCAAAGCCACATGCAGTAGTTCTGGCTCTGTTTATCTTCCTGCTCAGATTTTAGTCTGACAGATTTATAGAGAGAAGGGGCAGAGTTTCTGGTTCATTTGAGAAATCATGGCTGAATAACAGGTTTTTCCCTTGATTAGCTGGGAATCCCTAGGGTTGCCCAAGGGCCACAGATACTTACTGACATTTAGTAAAGAACCTCTAAAACATCTTCAGACTGGTCTCATTGTTAATAAGTGGTGTGACACACATTGTGTGTGTAATGTCTGTCTTGGTTTTTGGTGGACCACTTAAAAGTTTATAAAAATAGTTTTTTAAGGTTCTGATGACTTTTCTGCAATATAATTTGTAAGTGCTTATATATCTCCAACCTGTAACTATGTAAATTACTGTGAATAATTTTGTCCTTAATGAAACTCTGTCTGCTTCTCTGTCTGTGATTAAAGATTATGAATAAAATGCATCGGTCTTTTTTGTCCTACATTCTCCTCTGCAAGGTCAGGAGATAGGGTTTGTCAGGGCCCAGTTCTAGCACTGTCTTAAGACTCCATCCTCAGACCCTCCTTCTCCCCGTTACCATCACTGCAAAACTTACCCTATAAAGCAGATAGCTTCCAAATTAACCTACTTTGAACATTTTTTATCATTATGAGCAACTTCATCTAGCAGATATAAGTAGTGAAGTTTTATTCAGATTGTTACATTTGAAGGGATTTTATAATTTGTCACATTACGGTAGAGAGCCCTGTGGCCTCCCAAATTGTAACAACTTTTCCTCCATCACACATTGTCATTTTCTTATGCCACACATTCTTCTGATGATTTTTAAGTGGATTTGTAAGATGAAAAATTCTGAATCACCTGGATGAGCATTGCTTTCTTTTTCTTTATTTTTTTTTAAATTATACTTTAAGTGCTGGGATACATGAGCAGAATGTGCAGGTTTGTTACATAGGTATACACATGCCATGGTGGTTTGCTGCACCCATTAACTCGTCATCTGCGTTAGGTATTTCTCCTAATGCTATCCTCCCCTTAGCCCTCCACCCCCTGACAGGGCCCCGGTGTGTGATGTTCCCCTCCCTGGGTTCATATGTTCTCATTGTTCAACTCCCACTTATGAGTGAGAACATGCAGTGTTGGTGTTTGGATTTCTGTTCCTGGGTTAGTTTGCTGAGAATGGTGGTTTCCACCTTCATCCATGTCCCTGCAAAGGACATGAACTCATCCTTTTTTATGGCTGCATAGTATTCCATAGTGTATATGTGCCATATTTTCTATATCCAGTCTATCATTGATGGGCATTTGGGTTCGTTCCAAGTCTTTGCTATTGTGAATAGTGCTGCAATAAACATATGTGTGCATGTGTCTTTAAAGTAGAATGATTTATAATCCTTTGGGTATATTCCCAGTAATGAGATTGCTGGGTCAAATGGTATTTCTGGTTCTTAGTTCAACCATTGTGGAAGACAGCGTGGTGATTCCTCAAGGATATAGTGCATCGCTTTCTTACAGAGGTGTCTGAAATAAATGCAGTTCCTTCTTTTGAAAGTTCAAAGGCGTTAAGTCAATATATGACTGTATTTGTGGTCCTGCTCAGCAGTTATTCATTTAGGAGGTGATTTGCTATTTTCTGAGAACAGGGATATGAAATGAATGTGGTTGCTTTTAGAGTCCAGAAATCCATTTGGCTCAATGGAGCTGACACAGTTTATTGCAGTTTTTAGGACCTTTTTGTAATTTACAGTGGATACTAATTTCCTGCTCAAGTTTTCTTTGGCAGCTTCTGTACAGCTGGAACAGAAGCTGGAGCTATGCCCTAAGAGGGTGGTCTGGATTCACTTCTGTGGGTCTACTCCTCTGCCTCTTCTTCTCTGTTCCCTCTTTCCTTTGCCTTTCTTTTCCCAAATTCCTCAAAGCTTGAAAGGGTGAGATTTTCCTTTTCTTTCCCTTGCTGCCCTCCTTGGAATTCCATTATGCAATTCACCAGCCTCAGCTGTTGGTGGAATAAATGGTAGCTACCAGAGGAATTTAGACAATCCTTTCTCTTGGCTCTCAAGTATATTGTCTCACTGTACAATCCTCTTTTGAATTCCCAAAGCCGAATATTAACTCTTTCTTTCTTCGCATTGCTTCTGTAATAATCCTAAACTTCCTCACTCCCTTTCCTTTTCCAAGTTCAAATGCAGAAGCTTCAGGCTGCCTAAGGATAAAATGCGTTTATGAAGAATTCCTTTACACAGAACTTTTCTGGGAGTAAATCTCTGTTAAGCATGTAGTAGATGTTGTACAAAGTTTATTGTGTAGATAAATCCATGGGTTAATGGGTGGAAGGGGAGGTAGAAATTACAGACTTTGTGGAATGAGTAGATTTCAAATCATCCTTGGAATTTTCAAGATTTTACTCAAGGAGCTGATATTTAGAGCTTAGATACACCTCTACTATTTTATAAATAAAGGGCCAGCTGAACCGTATGAGTTTCTTACTTAGCAGAATTGGAGCTCTTGCTTTTTTGTCTTTCATCCTCTATCCCAAAGATTTGTTGAAGGATGATGAACTGAATGAAGGCTGGGTATCTTTAAGAAGATACCAACAATGTCACTTATTGAAAAAAAAAAAGCTATTTCGATTACATAGTTTTAATAATCCTCATGTCATGTACTCTTATTACGATTCTCAATATTGCAGTAAATTGTGTTTTGTGGGGCTTTGATTAAAATTACATTTTGCACTCACTTTTATGGTCTGGAGTGATTCTGATCTATGGGGGGAGTGATAACATCAGCATCAAGATTTTCTTTGTCCGGGACGTGCTTCAGCTGCATGACAACTCTCCTCCTGAGTGATATGTGACTTGTGCCTTCATCACCTGTTCATCCTGCCAATATATTTTCCACATCTGTCCTCCCATTCACCTAAAGATTTATTCCACATGCCTGATGACAAAATGTCCTTGCACCTGGGGGACCTAAGCCTGTAGAACATCTATCTCATTTTCTTTCTTTTGACACAAGTCCATTAGCTTCATCTGTCTTGAGGACAATCCCGGCTAAGAGCCTATCTGATGTTTCTTCTTTGGGGACCTTTCAGAATTTCAAGGTTATAGGAAACTTGGCTTTGTGCAAAGTATGTTGCCATCTGTTGCTAGTTTCTAATTTCAGATCCATTTAAGAGATTTGCCAGGTTAGATTTATATAGACATTTTAACTAATTCTATTTCTTTGTACTTAACCCAAGATCACATACTTAGGTTTGTCCTTTCAATATCATTTATCAGAATACTCCACTATTCAGCCACTTTGAGGAGACACATTGTTTACCTGCCACTTGCTGTGATAAGACATTACATGCAGCATGTGTTTATTTGGTAGTTATCAAATAATAATGCCTGGTAACAGACAGCCAAAAAGCAAACAGGGGATTTAGAGGTTCCTGTTTATTTTTGTTTGTTTGTTTTGTTTTAAATAAGTAAATTGAAACTCAGAGCAATTATGCGGCTTACTTAAAGTCTCAAAATTAGCTCATATTTCAGATGAAATTTGCCTTCAAGTTCTAGATCACCTGCAGCACTGAAGTTTTGGTGACCATTTATTCTTCAGATTGTATTTATGATTCCTTGATTAACAAATCTTTAAAAAGTTGTGAAAATTATTTTCTGGCAAACATTGGAAAAGGGCTAAAATATGATAATACTGTAGTCAGAAAAAAACTATTCAAAGACACACTTGTATACAAATAAATATATTTTTATTACATATGCTTCATACGCACTTTCTCACATACAGAGCTCTAACTTCAGTGACAATAAGCTCTTTCCAGAGATTTATCTTAAGACAATAATCCAGAAGAAGGAAAATGCTATACATATGATGGCTATAATAGCCAAGTGTTATAGGCAAATTGTGTATCCAATAATATAAAATAAATGATAGCATATTAACTAATGTGGTAATTTACAGTCATTAAAATGATGAGTATGAAGACAATATATGGAAATATGATGAACAATCGAGTTTAAAAAGCCAGAACCACTGTATTCGCTTTCCTTTCAACTATATGAAAAGTATACATGCATAAGACAAAAATGTAAAAGTCTATGAAATACTTAGTGTTAGGTTGATGATATTATAAGCGCTTTTCTACTTTTATATTTTTCTGTAAGTTAATGTTGGTTCTACAACACACCATGATTACAGTGGTATGATATCCACTGCCAAAGAATAGGAATGCGTTAGACCAAGAGTGATGGGGATTATTTCACACAAGTGCTATATTTCTCTACTTCCCATGATTGACATTCTTAATTGATGTTGGAAGGGTTTTGAATCCTTCTAAGTTAGTTCTTCAGGTTCATGAACTGATCAGCAAGAGCATGGAAGTTGCCAACCCTTTTTAACTTTTATGTAGTTTACTCTATATTCCAAATTAATTGTCCAGAAAGAGTATTGACTTTAAATGGGCTCCAAAATATATAAGTAGCAGGAATGGTGGCTGAGACAAAACTCCTGGTGTTCATTGCTTAGAAATGTCTGATGTGGAAGTGATGGAAATGGTGGGATCTGAGCTGGCCGTTGTCGTAGCTGTGAACGAATTCACATTTGTTTCCCAGGCCCCACACAGGTAATGCTCTGTCTGTATTCCACAGACAGACACACGGTCAACCCCACAAGGGTGCTTTTCTGTTCCCTTCCTAGAGTCCTCTCATGAAAATGTGCTTGTTCTCATCTCATCCCCTCAAGGTTTGGCTTTCTACTTCACTGACTCCCCGGATTTAATCCATGTATGGGTGCAGCTCCTCAACAGTGGGATTGCTATTTGTGTAGGAATCTTCTGGGTCCCCACACTTTTTTTTTTTGTACAAAGAGGTAACTAGCAAAAGGGATTTTTTTTAAGTAAATGATTTTTGGTACACTTCCAATCAGTCTATATGAAGGGCCTACCTCCTATAAGGATGGGCATGAGTAGGGGAATTAGAAGAAGATTAAGGGGGGGTCTTTAGTTGGAGCTACCAGGGAGGTGTATGAGATTTCATGGTGTCTGTCTGGGACCTGGTAAGGAGTAACCTTTCCCATTTGTGTAGGTGTATTTACAGTTGACATAACTGGTATAGCTTTCCTTTATCTCAAGACAGGACAAATAATACTGTAATTCTAGGTAAAAGCAATTCATTGAGAGAGAAACTGATATATCTTACATTGTATATTTCATAATATAGTGAAACATTTTGAAAGCTTACTTGTCTTATATTGGTTTTCTTAATATTCTTTAATTTTCCCACCAGCTTCAAATTCCACAATTTATCTACATGCAGATACCCACCATTTCTCACAGATACATATATTCCAGCCTATATTTCTCCAGAGTTGCTATTTCTTACAGAATATTTCTACTTGAATGATTTACTAATATGTAACCTATTTTTGTTGCAAAACAACAGATAGTGCTCAGTGTAGAATTTCACACTCCAATCCAATGTAATCTAGAGGTAGACGCTCCCGGGCAGGCTAGTGTTCAGCAGGGACACAGCCCTGGGCATATAGTTGGGAGACTTGGGCTGGGGTTTTCTCTGCCAGAGCACAGATCTCTGATCCTGTAAGTCATTTAAATTCTTGTGTTTCAAATTCCCTCACTGTAAAAGGAGTGGCTTGACCTAGATGATCTCAAAAGTCTCTCCAAGCTTGAAAATTCTGGTTCTATGATTTTAATATTTAACAATACACATAATTGTGCTTGTGCTTGCATGATAATTAGGCATGCATGATAATGGGGCACAGTGAATGACTGTAATTAGCTTTACTCCTACAGAGAAAAAATCTATTTTTAAGTCTTTCCACTTCTCATCTTATTGGTTTTTTAAAATATTGATAATCAGTATCAATGGCCTTTGACTTTCCCTTGGAACCTTTTACCCTTACCATCCTCAACTTCCTTCTTGCCACTGCTCTCTGTCATTATAGCGGTAATCACAAATCCACACATATATTAGAGACCATTATGTTGAATATTAATTCCTGCAGAGCTGAATTCTTCCTGTTCTGACTTTCAGGTAGGACAATCCTCTCCCATGTCCTTAATTTTCATCCAATAAAGGTACTTTTGTGGAAGCTTCCTGCCATATCCTGAATAAAGGTGTCCTTAAAAATCCAGAGATGAACATGGAGGAATTAGGTAAACAGGATCTGTTTCACAGGGGCCTGTGGAAAGCCTGGGATGTTGTAGTATCAGGCATGTAGATCATAGTAAAGGGGATGTCAAGGAGCCAGGGGAGCCTGGGACAAGCATGGCAGAGGGCAAAGCCCACAGTGTGAGAGGCCTGGGGGCCTGCTGACCCACCTGGGAGTTCTGAGGCCAGAGGGAAAAGAGAGGGAGAGTTGTCCTTACAGGATGAGAGAAGCTAGAATTGTGGCCCTTTACTTTAGAAGTAGCCTTCTGGCTCTGTAAGTAAATTTACCTGACAATCATATTAATTATTATAACTAACATTAATTCTACAAATGTGCAAGGAACTGTGATAAGTACTGTAAAAGAATGATTTAACTCCTCACATTATTCCTTTTAAGTAAATCCTTTTGAATCCCTCAATTGTAGGTTGATGATCTAAGTACTAGAGAGTTCTGAAAACTTGATCCCAGTGATATGAGTAGCAGGCGATGGAGCCAGCTTTAGACACAAGGCGATGACATTTTCTTTTCCCTTCTACTCACCCCACAGTCCGTATGCCATCCTCAAAATATGTAATTGCAATGTCAATTTTTCCTGTTTCGTTGGACCAGGACATGTAAACCATGGAGGCAGAGTCTGAAAAGTTCTACGTAATTGAGCAAAGTAGTGAAAAAGTGAAGCTGGAAACGAAAGACAAGTTTTGATTCCACTTGGTGTGTTTTAATTTAAGTTGGCCACCAGGAGTTCCTGAGCAAAGGTGCTCACTGTCTCTAGTGGTACTTGTCTTCCTGAGATGGAAGCTCTCGGTCCTTACTCCCCAAGTGACCATGTCACGCTCCTTAAGGGCAGTCTCTCCAGATGATGACCAAATGGTTTGTAGGGAAGATTTTAACTCTGATGTGGAGGGGCTCTTCAAGCAAATATTTTGTCTCTTCTCAGTACAGTAATTAAGCTGATAATTTTTTTTTTTTTTACCTTTTCGGGCCACTACAACATTCTCTGCTCTTGGATTCAAAGATGAATGTTCCTTCCACACAGTTTAATACGTCTACAGTTCCAGCCGAGGTTGGGGGAGATTTTGTCTGATCAGGATGTTTTTCCAATAGTAGTGTCTGGTTCTGTGTTGGGATTTCACTCAGTAAGGTTTTCCATTCAGTTTTATGATTTGGTACTCCTGGTATGCACATCTTAATATATCTGACCCTTCACTTTAAATTTTTGTTGCACTTTTTCTTTTTTTTAAATTTTGTACCAAAAAAAAATGTTCTGTATCCGAGACCTCATATAGCTTCTATTGGGAGTTGTCTCCACTTCAAACTTACATTTCCTTTGAAATCCCAGTGAGTAGCCTTACTTTCCATATGGCCTGATGAGAATGTATTTCCCTTGCAGATGTGAACAAGCTTTTTATTTTTAACTTCTCAAATAAGATGTACATCCAAGACTGTTAAAATAATCTTCCATAATGATTTGTCTTAGAGTAGAAATATGTGGCATATTTTTAATCATAAATACATATACACATTATAATTGTTCTTCTGTATTTAAGTTAGTACCTGTGATTTGTTTATCCAAGACAGATGGTAAGGGGTGATACTTTTGTCAGCTTACATCTAGAGATCTATAGTAGGGTTAATTTAGAATTCAAGTAATTTTTGTTCAAGGCTTTATGATTTTATGAAGAAAAAATAGGAAGAGGTTAAATGTCATCAAGCATTCAGTTTAAAAAATATACAGATGACCTAAATAATTTGTTCAGTTGTATACTTATATATAGGTGTATGATGTATTACTCAGCTTAAACCTCCAGTCCTTTCTCCTAGAGCCTAATAGCATGAACGGCCGCAGATGGGGATTTTACCTAGGTTTCTGTGTTAGCCTGTTTTTAGGCTGCTGATAAAGACGTACCTGAGTCTGGGTAATTTATACAGAGAAACAGATTTCATGGACTCACAGTTCCATGTGGCTGGGGAGGCCTCGCAGTCATGGTGGAAGAGAAAAGGCACGTCTTACATGGCAGTGGGCAAGGAAAGAAATGAGAACCAAGCCCCTTATAAAACCATCAGATCTCATGAGACTTATTCACTACCACTAGAACAGTATGGGGGAACCTGCCCCCATGATTCAATTATCTCCCTCTCACAACTCATGGGAATTAGGGGAGCTACAACTGAATGTGACATTTGGGTGGGGACACAGCCAAACCATATCAGTTTCTGAATGTCCTCTTCAGGCACAATTTTGCCTTGTGTTATCTGTGCTCTAAGTTCATGCTGCTTGTTTCCTGGCTATCTGCAAAAATAATAAAATAAAATGCAGCTTCAGACTCCTGCATTTGCCACATATACTTTTCTTATGCTTTACAAACTTTATCCTAGTTATCAAAGACCAGGTGTTGCTGGATATTTCTGCTTTGGCTTCTACTTTTCTTTAATTCTGTCAACCCCTCCCTCATGTCTTTACACTGCAATTACATAGAGGTACTCAGTACAAAATATATTGTATCAGCAGCATAGATGGCTGCAGAGATTGCCTTACAGTAGAAGGCAGTAGAAGTTTTTATGGTTTTATATGGAGAAAGAAAATTGTTTGCTAGCACTCAGATATTCTTCTCCTTAAGTTCGTTTCTCCCGACTTTGACTTTCACTATAAAATGCCCTGACTCACTTTTGGAACTGGAGCAAAGAGAACAAGAGAAGTGATCTAGAGTTGCTACTTCTTGCTTGGGCAAATAAATGCCTCATGCTTCCCCTGTCCCTTTAGTGTGAGTCACATAGAAGACTTTGGCAATTGATTTTTCTATTTATAATCAGATATCCCCATAGGAATCTTTACTGGATTACTCTGACTTTAAAAAAGGAGAGAGATTTCTGTATTTAAAATGTTTCATAAAAATAATTGGGGAAAAGAGAAACAAGAAATAAGAGATGGCTCAGGGCTTAGATGCCTGTGTCCCCTAATTTGCCCCTGAGATGGAGGACATTCCTGCCTTCTGCTGCGTCAGCCTCCTTCCACTGGCTCTTCAACCTCCTGGACCTCAGTGTGGCTTTCCAGGTGTGGCCACTGGCTGGCCTTGGGCCTGTCACCACTCCTTTCATCTGATGCCTTCCCCCACTGAAGGCCATAGGTTTATCTTCCACCATCAGTTTGTCTTATTAAAACTGGCCACTCGACCCTTGCATTTTCTGTGGTCTCACAAAATAACACCTAAGGATAAAGACAGTAAATCCAGAATACACTTTGTTTAATTCCTCATGTTGAGGATCATTTTTGATCATTGCCTGCTCCAACAAGCCAGAAAAAAAAAGTCCAATAAAATATATTATGCAGTATCTCTTTATAAATTGTTTTCTTGAATAGTTATGAGTGGAGTCCATTGGATTCCCATTTATAACAGAGTTTAATGTAGTGAAATTCCTGCTGACTGATATTGGAAATGAAAGTTTCATTTATAAGGATGCAATTAAAGCATTGCCAAGTTAAAAATGTCATGTTGCTCTTTGTCAATGAGGTTCATTATGCTATATTATTATATCTGTGTGAATCCTTTCTTCTCAGGAGCGAAATGTTCTTTCTGAATATTAACCAACTGCTACAAAATTCTTCAGAGATTATTATTCTTTCAAATTACATGAATTTAAAAATCATTTACTAATGAATCCTCCTGAATTTCTCAGAAAAAGAAAGAACTCGAGCAGATTTACCCATTGGTAAAGGAAACTGCCCCTTCTCTGATATTGGGTTGGTTAGTAACCATTCAGTTGCATTTTTCCTGCACTTTCATGTAAGTCAGTCATAGATGCAGAAGGGCATCCTGGTGGGAAGTAGCATTTTACAGCCTTTAAGCAGACTGTTTTTCTAAATATAATAACAATGAAAACTATTTGGATACACATGTAAGTCCTTTGTGAGGCTTGAGTCTAGATGAAATATCAGAGTCTACTGCAACATCCAGTCTGAGGGTGCCTTTGAACCATTTCAGGACAAAAGCAAATTAAACTTGGAATCCTATCCCAACTTCATTACCTAGCTGAATGTACTCACAGTTCATCTAACCTAATTGCTCTTCCTGCTTCCTCCTGACAGTAAATGAAATAATAATGACAATTATTTTAAAACAGTAAAGGGATATATAACTTAGTGGTTGTTATTCTGATTACTACTGTGTGTCTCCTCTGCTTCACAATGGGTAGAGTTTAGTTTGATGGGTGGTTCACCTTTTGGCTCCTGCTATTTGGCTTAATTGATGATTGGCAGGCAATCTGGCTTAAATCTGATGACCTTTCTTCAGGAAAGGAAGGGTGAAATGAAGAGATGGTAAGAATTCCTCCCATATTTCCTGATCTATCTTTGGTGGCCCAGGCTTCCAGAATTCCCTGAATCACACTCCTCTGCAGAATCCTTGCAGTAATGGTTGACCATAGTATGGAGAGTGACTGTCCTGTTATCTACTGTTGGTGTGGCTAGACTTATTCTGCCAGCTTATCTGCTGGCTCCCAGGAACCCAGTGGAATGGGAGTCCTGGCATGCAGTGCCCTGTGAATTCAATTTCCAGGCAAAACCAAGGAAGAGCTTTCCTTTCGAGAATGCAGCTGACACTGACATCCTCAACAACACTTTAAATACAATGATTACAGTAAACAAAAATACAATGTCGTAAAAAAGAAAAATGACTCTTAGATATTACCCAGCAAGGAAACCACAGTGTTCCAGAGAATTGTAATGCCCCATGATAGCCCTTAAACTCCCTCACCACTCCTACTTTTTGATAGAAAGATCTGTAAGGGCTACATGACCTTAGGCTCTACTCCCCAGCAAGGTCAGTTTTGTTCTATGGAATATACTATAATGTTGATTGTTGTGTTCCCATAAGGTCAGCACATCTCCAAGGTCTGTCCTAACAGATAAACTTTTGGATCAGTGGTGAGCAGACTAGGACAGGTATAACATGTGCTCCCTAACCAGCTTCCTGAAGTGGCTCATGGTTGAATTTTTGGGAATCCTTTATCACAAAGATGGAGAAATTGGGGACCAGAAGGTTGAATGTAAGCCAGTTCCTTTTCCCCAGAGGCTTCCCTCTCACCTGAAAGGGCATTTTTGGGTGAGCCTCATCGTTGAAAGAAAGTGGGATACAAACAAAACAAAAAATAAGAATGTGTATTGGCCCCCAAGCAGACACCCTAATTTAGGGATTAATGGATATCATAGATATAAGTACACACTTAAAAAAAACAACTAATGCTCTTTGATAGCTTAAACCTTAAGTCTTTAATTTTATGCACATTATTATTTTTTATTTTCCAATTTAAAACATTTGCTTCGTTAAATAAAACACACATTAAGGAAACCACATAGGACCATGTGTGATATAATAAGTTATCAGAAGGTTGAATTCTTACATTTACTACTCAGGCTAAGAAATTAGTCTGTGGCCATGCTGGAGCCCTGTGTCCCATCCTAAGTTTGTTCTCACTCTCTTTCTTCAAAAGAGATCATTATCTTGGTGCCTAGTCCTTCATTTATTTATTCACTTATTCAACAAGCATTATGGTGTGCCTGGCATATGTCAAATCTTTTCCATCTGAAAGATTCAGAATGGTCTCTTAGGTATATGAGATAACATTCTAAATTAATTTTATTCTCCTGGCCTGCAAATTTATTCTCAAAAACTGCTAGTTATATGGTTGCTCTGTTTACTTGGGGACAGGTAGGCTGGTTCATACATTTACTAATTAAATTACTTTTATTGCTAACTCTGAATATTTAATGCCTTGTTTGGCAATTATGAGAGATATGAGTAAACCACAGTCTTTGCTTCTACAATGATTATACATTATCCAAACATAATGCAAAGGAAATGTTACCAGTAAGAATGCCAGAGGCCCTTTTCCCCTAAATTCTCATGTGCCTCGTTCCAGGAAGAAAAAAAGAAAGATTTAGGATGTTTCTTTCTACATCAGTCATTCCCTTGGAGACAAGAGAGAATGAGGCAAGATGTATTGGATTGTTCCTTAGTGTTTTTCCATTATGCCTCTCCATCTACAGATTGTGCCCTCCAACAATTTCCTCCCTCTAATTCAAACGCAGTGCTCTTGGGAACTTATTTTATGTGTACCCAATAAAATGGCATTAATCTGATAGTGGTTTGTTCAAACTCACACAAAATTTGAAGCAAGTGCTGTGTTCCACCAGCCAGATGTCATATTTGGTAAAAGAAATATGGGGTAATCAATTTTAAAGTCCTCCAAGTTTTCCTATACTGTGAAATTTAGGGAGGTAAAATTAAGATTGAGGCAAAAGGATCTGGATCTCCTGAAAAAATATGGTTGTGCACTTAGTGTTGTACACATCTTTCCTAACCCTCTATTCCTTGGACTGTTTGTACTCAGGGTCAGGGAGTGGTGAGGCTCTCATTGGCATGACCATTTAAGGGGTTCAGGAGGTGTGTACTCCACAGAAGGCATTGCTGAACCTGTGGAAGAAATGCTAACAAGAATTTGAAGAATCAGACTCCAGGAATGGGAAACACTATTCTGAAATAATGGAGGAAAAGAGACCACATTCCTTTCTTGGGGGCTGGGATCAAGAAAGGGCCCCCAGGTGGGCCAGGAACTCACCTGGGCTGGATCCATGCAGAGTTTGTTCATGGTTATTAGAGATTATGCCTTTAGAAGTGACACTAGTGGGCACCCCTGAAATGACCTCCAACACACCCCCTAGGGGAGTACACCCTGAGTTTCCCGAAAAATGAGGAACCACTGACAACAGAAAGAACTGGTTTTCTTTGTGTGGAGGGGTTAGTCCCTGGGAGGGAATAATCTTCCTTCAGTCTCAATAGCTAAAACTGTGGGGAAGTGATGAATGGTAGACTTGAGACTTTCCTTTGCTGTTAAGGATGATGGACTAGATGATGGATGCTGTTAAAGATGATGATGTTTTGGGACATCAGAGCAACCAATAACTAAACAGCAGCCTGTGATAGGCTGGAGCAGGTTGTCACTAGGAAGACAGGGAGTATTCAAGTCTGGCTTTCTCTAAATCGTGAAATCATTATTCTCACTTTGATGGTTTTAGGCTAATTTGACTTGGTAAAGCAAAGATTACATAAAAAGTTCAGATTGTGGCTGAAACACAGGCATGTCCTTCAATCTGTAAAAGATAAAGGCAATTAAAAAATGAACTGTAAATGAAGACATATTTTTGCTAAATGTTGGAATAATTGTTAAAAATAATTATTTTGCTTTATAAACATATATTTCCAGGAGGGCTGTCAAAGGCACTGTGGTTAGGATACATACACTTATTTTTTAAAAAGTTAAAGATCTGTTTTTCTTATAAAACTGTTCATCCCTTTTGTGCTTGACACATGCTACCAGAGATACAAAGTAGATGGAAAGGAATCATGCCCTCTCAGAGTCACGATCCAGCAAAGAACCTGAAAATGACAATCTGACACCCAAGTCCAAGCTCTTAACTACTATTTTACACTGATTCTCAGAATTGCTTGGAAGATTAAATAAGATGATAATAAGAGTGCATCATAACCTTATGGCCAAATAGAATACCATTCACTAATAAAGCAAATGTTCTGTACATTTCCTTCCATATCTATATCAAATTATTCATCAAGAACATCAAAATGCTATTATCCATCCACAACTAATATTTACAACCAACATTTTAGTAAGTTAATTTTAGGTAAATTAATTGAAACACGGCCTGTATATATATTTTATGTGAAAGTATTAATAGTGAAGTCAGAAACGTTGCATGAGTGTCTCTCCTTAGCTTTTTATACCTATTCTGTGGAAAGATAATTTAAAGAAGGTGAAATAGCCCTTGCAAATGATAGCTGGCTGGCTGACTCACTGCTATGACTTGCTTTGGTAGCTGCTGCTTCTGTCTTGCCTGTGTTTTAGGGGGAAAATATACCTGGCAAATTCCTCTAATGTGCATTGCACCATACTTGGAGAAAATGAAATCTTCACATAATGTCAAAGAAAAAACCAGCATCACACAGCCTTTTTGTACAATTAGGGATAATTCTACCTAAGTGGAAGAAGGGAAGGGCAAAATAGAACATTCAGCAGGTCATCTCTCCAGGAAGTGTTTAATACTGAGGCGTTTTGGGTGTTCGTGTTGTGCTTTAAGCTGTTACCATCTCTCAAGCCTCCCTACTTATTTATTATAAACATTTAAAGCTGAGACCTTTACAAAAGGCCAACATTAACAGTGAGTGCATTCACACAATGAAAATGTATTTGAATGAGATTTCTCTGCTGTTAGATGGATCGTCAGTGGCATTGTCTCAAAGGATATTTGTGCTTCTCTCCTTGTCATTTGGCTTTGACAATCAGAATGATGAAGATTCCTGTAGTAGAAGTGTGCATGTAAATGGAATTTTTTTAACCTATTTTATGAACACTTCCTGAGTCCCTACTGTGGACTGGATGTGCATGTTCTTGAAGAACTCATAATCTAGCAGAAGATGTAAATAAATCAATCTATAGAGTAGAATGTGATGAAATGTTGGAGAGAAGGGTGTTTATTTGCCCTGGGGACCCTAAACAGGTTGTGGCTAACTCCGCCTGGAGGATTTAGGGGAGTAATAATGAATAAAACATTCATTATCTTATTCAATCTGTATTGAAATGGATAAAACATTTATTGTCTTATTCAATCTTTATTGATTGCTTCAGTGTATGCCATGCACTGTATTTGGTGCTAGGAACACATGGGTGACAAGACAGCATTGTGAAGAACTGCAAAAGATCTGAGGTTTCTACCCTCCTTGCCAGCCAATGAGCTTAAGGCTTTCTCTCCGTCTGAGAAACCATCAATAGTCGATGTTCCCTTCCTCTTCCTGCTTGCTAATACTCCCCAGAGCAATTCTACCACTGTTTGAACTAGCCACTGAATAGGAGGACACTGACAACTTTGGGTGGCAGCTTTCCAGTTCTTCAGAAACTATTAAACTGGCAACAGAGAAGAAGCGGAGCTTGCTGGGACTAGGCCTGCAGGTTTGAAAGTTGCTTCAGCAGCAGAGCACCAGCATCTGAGCTCCCTTTTTTGGCTGCATGTCGGCCCTGGGATGACAGTACAGTAGTGACATGAGAAAGAGATCTATTAGCAAGAGACTCAGCTGCTTCTGAAGAGGTGGGCTTTCCTACCAAGTGAATATTCTTTTGATGGCAAGCCTACTACAATGCGCTCACTGTGGAACTAACCTAAGGACATTCAAGAATACTTCAGATGTCCTAAAATGTGAGAATGTACTGCTGAGCCAAATAAGACATTCCTGATGTGTTGGATTTTGGAACTTAGTTTGATTTAGGACAAAAGACCAGGAGGCATATCTCTCTACATTTTTCTAGCATCTGTGACATTGAAGACAGAAGAAATGTTAAATTTGTTTGATTGTTAAAGACAAAACTAACATGTGTCAAAGACAATGTCATAATTTATTTTGTTTATTCTGGGATAACTTTCTAGAGTAATGTGTATCAGATTAGTAATGGGGTCTTGATGGGAGGCATTGTTGTTCATAGCGACTCTGAAAGACCACATGCAGCAAGGTATTGGGATGCTTAGAAGATTTGCCAAGTATTCAGGGTGAAGTAGCAGGTGCACAAATGGGCAATCAGGGCACAGCCAGGTCGGCAGAGCCAGAATTGTCCCTGCCCTGCTTCCATACCTCTACCAACCGTCACCTGCAGGCTGCACACATTTCCATATGAAGAGTGATTCCTGACTCTTGAGGAAACATAAAAGGTGTTGTAACTGAGATAAAATTTGCTTCAGCTTAAAGAATTCCTTCTATTATTTCCTGTGACTTGCATTTTATTTTTTATTTCCTTTGACTTGTGTGACATGTAGGATCCTTCTCTCCTGAGATCTCTCTTGACTGTAAACTAATTACCCATTGTGACATGAAAACAAAATATGCTTCAAATTTCCAAGAACTGTGGATCTTAAAGAGAGTCATTGTTTGTTCAGTGGAGATGAGGGGTTTGAAGATGTAATTGGAAGAGGTAAGCTTTTGTGTATGAGGAAAGGAAATATAAAGACATTGGGGAAGATCTGGGAGAAGGAGAACTGCTGGGGTGGAGGAAGAAGAAATAAGAAAAACCTGGTTGCTGAGGTGAAGAAGACATTTGGGAGAAAAAGGAATACATGTAGAGAAGATTCCTTCTCCACGCCCCAGTAAAGTCTTCCCACATAATATGTAAAGTCAACCCTTTTCCTTGCAACTTCATGAAATCTTCAGGAAGATAGTGGTTCCTCATTCATCTATTGAGAAGTCAGAGCTATTTATTCCCTGCTTTTCCTACCAGAAGTTCCATGAGGGCAGGAGGACAGCCTGCTTTGTTCTCTGCTTTACCCCGGCACCAAGGACAGTGCTTGGTAGAGTGGATATCCAGAAAATACTTCAACAAATAGATGACTTACTTATTTACAAATAAATGCTTTTGTTTACAAATAAATGCTTTTATTTTTGTGATTGTGTTGAACAAAAAGATTTTTCTTCACATATCATCCTGCTTCAAATAATACCTATTTCTAGAATGATTTTTTACCTTTCCTAATGATAAAAAATATATAAATTATTTGATATTTTAAAAATACACAATAATGTGAGGCAAGAAAGCACCCACAATATCATCGATGTTAGGAAACTTAATTCTTTTATGTAGTCTTTCTTGTCTTCTTTGCATACACCATTTTTATACAGCGTCATTTCTGGCTGGTGTTTTAAGGCAAAATGGATATATTGAGGTCACAGAGCCATTGGAACAACTGAAGGAAGAGATTTTAAGACTGGCCTTTTGGAAATAACTTTAAGGCAAAATAGATATAATGAGGTCACAGAGCCATTGGAACAACTGAAGGAAGAGATTTCAAGATAGCTTTTGGAAATAACTTCACATTTATCCTGTTCTCTTTCCAAGTTGCATTCATAAAACTTAGATTGTACATAGGGCATTGCTCGCAAGGGAGTATGGGAATGTAGTTTTTAAGGCACCAAACCTTTTCTTGTGTATTTTTGTAGTTTTCTTTTGTCTGGACCTCTCTTTCTGCAGCTGGCTCTACAACTAACCTATTGACATATTTCAAATCTGAGTTCAAAAGTCAACTCTGATGAGACGAGAGACTTTATCTGCTCACTGACTCACAGCTTACCTCTCCCACTTACTCTACCTTATTACCCAGTTTATTTTCTTTGTAGCATTAGTGGCAATCTGTAATTATTTATTTATGTCTCTTGGCTGTCTCCACTACTAGAATGTAAGCTCCATAAAAGCAAGAACTTTGTCTTTCAATACTGTATCCTCAGTACCTAACATTTTGCCAGGGCTTTATGTATTTTATACACATTTGTAATACGATCAATTCACCAAAAGTTGTACATTTAGTTTCTTTCCAGTTTACTATAAACACTGCATGATGAGCATCTTTACATAAAAATATTTGTCTACGTTTCTGATCATTTCCATAAGATAGACTGGTAGGAGTTATTGAATTGGTAGGTATGGAACATCTTATCTCTTATATTTGCCAAACTGCTTTATAAGAATATGGTTCTATTTACTTTCCTGCCAGCAAAGTGTGAGCTTCCATTTTATCACATCATCACTGGAATTGAATATTTTCATATTTAAATATTTGCTAATTTTTCTCACTAAAGCTTAGAGGGTGTGTTTTCTGATAAATATTAAGTTTTATTATATTATGGATATTTATGCTTGGTCATATTTTTGAAATAAAATTTACATTGTTTTATTCTATGTTAGAAGTCTTACATTTATATGTAGTCAAATCAATTGATTTTTTATTTGTGATTTCTGTCATTATTAAGAAAGTTTTTGTCCAGAGCTCAGATGAATATTCCATATTTTGTTCTTTGATGTTTTCAATATTTCAACTCTTTGAGAAACTTTTTAAATCAAATTTATTGTAATAAACTGTATTTTAAGGTTTTTTAAAAAATTCTCTCCTTTCCCAAACTTGAAACTGGCTCCCGTTAGTAAAGAACATTGGCTCATATTAATAGAAAACATTGACTAAGGAACCAAACATAAATCACAAACAAAAAAGAAAAGAAAAGTAAAGCTTTCATATCTGTCATATTAGTCCATTTTCATGCTGCTGATAAAGACATACCCAAGACCGGGCAATTTACAAAAGAAAGAGGTTTAATGGACTTATAGTTCCGCATGGCTGGGGAGGCCTCACAATCATGGTGGAAGGCAAGGAGGAGCAAGTCACATCTTACGTGGATGGTGGCAGGCAAAGAGAGTTGTTCATGGAAACTCCCATTTTTTAAACCATCAGATCTCATGAGACTCATTCACGATCATCAGAATAGCACAGGAAAGACCTGCCCCCATAATTCAATCACCTCTCACTAGGTTCCTGCCATGACACCTGGGAATTGTGGGAATTACAATTCAAGATGAGATTTGGGTGGGGACACAGCCAAACCATATAGTCTTTTATATCTGTTTATTCTTATACCAGCATTAAGCAACTCTGAAAATCACATTCAAACATTCATCCCTCATTTTAATTTTATTTACAAACATAAATTAATATTCTACCCAGGTTCTAAATTGAATAATACCATTGGACCCGGTTTACTTAGCACATGTTGTGATTGTTTCAATATTAACCGATATTCAATATCATTATTATTATTGGATGATAAGGTTTGTACATGGACCTAATTTCAGATTTGAAACTGATCATAGTGACTTCCCAAAGCAAAAATGAATGGGGAAATTTTGGTTTTAGTGATGCACAAAGCCAGTCATCCTCCGTGTCTGATTCCAGAGTGAACAGAAATGACTTCCCATAGTCCCTTTAAAGTTTTAACCTATCAAATAAAGTCCTTTAGTCTAATCTCCTTGAAAAACACCATTTTTCAAGTTTCCTGTTATTAACTTCATGTCAGAATTCAAATCCCCAATGTTTTAAAGAATGTCATTGGTTACTATAACAATTAACTTACTTAATTCAACAGAGTGCCTTCCTAGACATGAATTATGCAGTGATCTTGAAAGAACAAAAGATAGTACAAAAAAGAAATCCAATTTCTCTTTTTTTTCTTTAGGAGTACTAGCTTTAATTAATTTATCTTTTACTTTCAGCTTTTATTTTAGATATAGGTGGTACATGTGTAGGATTGTTACATGGGTATATTGGACCCAGGTTGTGAACCTAGTACCTAATAGGTAGTTTGTAAACCAGTGCTCCCTTCCTCCATCCCCTCCTCTAGTAGTCCTCAGCATCTATTGTATCTATGTTTATGTTCATGTGTATTCCATGTTTAGCTTCCACTTGTAAGTGAGAACATGTGGTATTTGGCTTACTCTTCCTGTATTAATTCACTTAGGATTATGGCCTCCAGTTTCATCCATGTTGCTGCAAAGAACATGATTTCATTCTTTTTTATGGTTGTGTAGTATTCTATGCTATATATGTACCATATTTTCTTGATCCAATCCACCATTGATGGGTATGTAGGTTGATTCCGTGTTTTTGCTATTGTGAATAGAACAGCAGTGAACATCTGAATGCAATATAATGATCTATATTCCTTTGGATATATACCTAGTAATGGGATTGCTAGGTCAAATGGTAGCTCTGTTTTAAGTTCTTTGAGAAATCTCCAAACTGATTTCTAAAGTAGTTGAACTAATTTACATTCCCACGAACAGTGTACGAGTTCTCTTTTTCCTGCCAGCCTTGCCAGCATCTGTTGTTTTTTGACTTTTTAATAATAGCTATTTTGACTGGTGTGAGATGGTATCTCATTGTGGTTTTGATTTGCATTTTGATGATGATTAGTGATGAGCATTTTTTCATATGTTTGTTGATCACATATATATCTTCTTTTGAGAAGTGTCTGTTCATGTCTTTTGCCCACTTTTTAATGGGGTTATTTGTTTTATGCTTGTTAATTTGTTTAAGTTTCCTATAGATTCTCGATATGAGACCTTTGTTGGACACATAATTTGTGAATATTTTCTCCCATTCTGTATGTTGTCTGTTTAGTCTGTTGATGATTTCTTTTGCTGTGCAGAAGAAGCTCTTTAGTTTAATTAGATCTCACTTGTCAATTTTTGTTTTTGTTGCAATTGCTTTTAGGGAGTTGGCCATAAATCCTTTACCAAGCTTGATGTCGATGAGGATATTTCCTAGATTTTCTTCTAGGAACTTTATAGTTTGAGGTCTTACATTCAATTTTCCTAATTTATTGTTTTCTTTCTTAGAATAATCATTCTCTTCTACTCCAATTTGAAAAAAAAGAAAACTTCAGGAGTAGAAAGAGAGATGACTTTAATTTGCAGAAAGTATGGGTTCACCTATTTAGGCCTTATCAATGAGAACTCTTAAAGAAACAGCCTTTGAGTATACAGTACTGTGGCACACACCCCTAAGGAACCTTCTATGAGTCATGACCTTGTATAATTCCTTTTTCTTGAGTGGAACCTGAGACTTGCCTTTAGCCACTACAATATGACAAAAGTGATAGAATGTCACTCCAGTGATTTTGTTAACTTATACACAAAGGTGAAAGGATTTTTGCAGAAGCATTAAGTCCCTAGCCTTTTGTTTTGAGCTAATCAAAAGAGAAATTTTACTGGGTGGGGTTGACCTAATCAGGTAAGCCCTTTAAAGGAAAAGCCAGGCCTTCCCTGGAGTTAGAGCTTCAAAGCAGCAGAGACTCTCGCCCTCCTTTCCTGGCTTTGAAGAAGCAAGTTTCCATACATCCTATAGCCACAAGGAAATGAATTCCACAAACAACCTGTGGTTGCTGGGAGGTAAAGTCTACCCCGTTCAAGTCTCCAGATGAGAATGCAGCCAGACATGCACCTTCATGTCAGCCTCCTGAGTGGAATACCCACCTAAGTTGTGCCCAGACTCCTGATCTGCAGAGCTGTGAGATCATGAGTAGATGTTACTTTAAACATCTTGTTTGTGGTCATTTGTTATGCTGCACTGGAAAATGAAAACCAGAAGTCTCCTTGATGGCATCAGCTAAGGGAGGAAGAATTCCTTCTCTCAGACATACCAAAATGTGCAATTTCCTTTTCAGTCTGCAGATTAATTTGAATGTTGTCATTCTAATTTGAAATAATACCCCTCTGACAAATAGTAGCAGTTACTCCTGTGGATTTTGTGTTTCTTTGTAATTCGACTACTCGTCCTATTTTTTCTATCCTCATTTAAGTCATTTTACTTCCAAGCTCAGATGGATATCCCTCTTCCACTTGCCTTTGTGTTTGATGATCTGATCTCTTCTTCTGCATGTTATTTCTACTTTGCCTTTGCTGGGTTATTTCTGTATTTCTTCCTCACTTCTCGCTTATTTCTATTTTTATTCCCATTCTGGGTCCACTCGTGCTTCTCCTCAGGCCACTCACCATCCAGGAAATTTCTGTCTCCACGTCTCTTCTAAGATTTACCTGTACTTAAGAATTTCCATTTTCTGAATGATGTTTCAAATTTAGAAATGTGGATTTAGGTCTATTTGCTTTGTAAGATTTATGTTTCACAAATTTATTTATTTTCCTTGAGAATTAGTGAACAAATGGTTAGGTAACCTTGAGTGGACATGAAGCTTTTCATCGGAATTGGATACAGATTGTATTTAAACACCTCATCAAAGATTTAGGACTGTGGGATTGTCATTCATAGGTTGTGAGTGAGCACAAGGACCCTTCCCATGGGGTGGTTGACCTTTTGTTTTGAGAGCCAGAGTGCTGCAAGGAAATGTAGTTATTCTTTGACTGGAAGATGTCTTTTCTGTTCTGAATGTTCTGAGGTATGTGGATTCTTATCTATAATTACCTTCCCTTAAGTCAATCTGCATGCTAAAGCCTCCCCCAGGTCCTGCATCTGTGCCTCATTCTTTGAAGCTGGGATTCAGAATATATTATAACAGAATAAATTATAAAGATTGCTTGGGTGTTTCCTGTACCAGGACATAGCAGTGGTTTGGTGTCCTGCCCATTTGTGTGGCAGGAAATTCTTTTGTTTGTGCTGGTGAATCGTTTTGTCTGGGGCTTCTTTCTTTGCTAAAAATCTTGCATTCTTTCATTTGGCAAGCATTTTGTCAACAACTTTAACTTGCAAGAACTATGGGTCCACCTATTTAGGCATTATCGATGAGAACTTCTAAAGGAACAGCCTTTGAGTGTACAGTACTATGGCACACACCCCTAAGGAACCCTCTATGAGTAATGGGTTTGTATAATTCCTTTTTCTTCAGTGGAACCTAGGACTTGCCTGATATTCCAGAGAGTGTGAAGAGGGATATTTAAAAATAAAAATGAAAAAGTGTTGCCCCCATAGTATGTAACAAATGCCTCTCAGGTGTGACAGATGTGAGTTATACTGTGAAGGTGATATTGATGAGTCTGGGTAGGTGTGCAACTGCTTATGGCATAAGGCAGGTACACAGTAAGACCAGTAAGACTAAATGAGAATTACTGGGTATGGAGCTTGGGGATCCAATAAGCCTCCCAAGTGATTCCTGTGTACACTGAAATTTAAGAAAATTATTACATGGTGCCAAAATTTTGTTGTTGATCATGATGATCATTGGAAGACAAAATACCAAAAATTTTATCCAACGTATTATGTCTTTAAGAGAATGTTATAATTTTAAAAGAGAAATTATATACTCCTTAAAATCATTTTCATTAATCAAAATTACTTATGGCTAGAATTCCTCTGCCTTTATAATGCTCTTGCACTTCTAAGTCTAAAGCCTTTAAAATGGTCAGTAATTATTATACTTCAAATTAATGAAGAACCATTGACCCCATGAAATCAAGTTCTGAAATTGACCAACAAGTAATGAATTGTTAACGAGGATGTATTATTCACATCTGCAGTAATTATTTTGCACCAATATTCTAGATTTAAGTGATCTTGGAAAATATCATACATGTGATACTCCTGATCTCAAAGAACAACTTAGTAATGTATAATTATTTTTATTTTTCTGCAATAACTGAGAATGAAGTGCATATTTAAATAAATATTTATATAGTGTTTGTTTATTCAATGTGAATTTCATCATATAAAGTTAATGCCCTAAATTTAATATCTTTTGCATTATTGTGGCAATTGTGATAGTTAACACATCTGTAAACACAAACACATGTTCTGTGTTTCCATTTGATGACCTATAAATGAAGACACATTCTAAAGTGAGACAAAATAACTATATCCTAAATATTCTATCCTAAACGTCCCCATATTCTTGCATTGTATGAAGAAGTGTGTTGGCTGGTGTATGCTAATTTAATAGTTAGATATAATTTGGTTGCTTGATGGAAGATAAAGGGAAACTTGCAGTTTGAAAGCAGTCAGAATGTTAACATCTGTTAAAAATTTGCTAAGTTTCATCACTGAAATTGCCATGACTTAGTACTTTAGAGGGAATAATTATCTCCCTTGGAAAAAACTAATCACTTTAGAAGTGCATAAACACTTCTAAGTCACAAAGGTGCTGTTTCATGAATGACATCAAATTATTATTATTTTTTTTGGTTAGGAATCAGTTTTAGGAGCTAATTTATTTCCTAAAGTCTCTCATTTCTTCTTTAATGTCATTTGTGTAGTGAGAGATATTAACAAGCTACTCTACAAATGATGAGAAATATAAAAACAAATTAATTGTATCTATTAATAACCGTATCTGTTAATATTATGAAATTTCCATATTTCTCCCCCTAGCTGTTGTCAACATCACATCTATTTATTGTCTGAATTTCAATTTCTTTGTTATCCCTCATATATGAAAGTTTAACCTTGAACCTGAAATGACCACTAAATATACTGCCTTAAAAACTGGAATACACATGGGTGTGGTATGTGTGTACCCTCACTTATTCCAACTTAGATGCCTTCCATTCCTTCTATCCACCTTTGCTCCTGAGGTCCCAGGCTAGGGGAATTTGGGTTGTACTAATAAGCACTTTAATATTGGCCACCAGAGGGCTCCCATATTCCTTCCATCTAAGTATGAAAATACAAAGTGCAACTAACATAAAGTTCACCATCAAATAGAAAATATTATAGGAATTTATGATATAGTTCTCTCTAGAGTGAAAGTGTTCCAAACCCATTGTGTTCTTATATAAAATACTTACAATGAACCAATTTGGGATACTCAACACTTTCATTAAAATAAAGTTATGAAATTATGTTTGGTTTTGTCTTTGTTTTGGGAGGTTATGATAAGACTTATAATACTTAATTGGTGATTCCACATTTTAAATATTAATGTTAGTAAATCTGGATGTAAATCCATTATTTACATATGAATGATGTAAAATACAACTGATTCTAGTCATAGGAGTACAATTTTTTATCACAAGCTAGCTATATAAATAATCCTCTATTAAAACCCCGGGTATTTTTTTTTTTAGCCCAGCATTTTGATGGTACACAAAACTTTAGACAACAAGATGGTAGGGTTTCTTTAAGTGTGTGTTGGTAGTAAGAAATAGTTCCATTGGAGAAAAACAAAGAATTGCTTCGTTGGTGAGTCTTTCCACTAGTTCTTGTTGGGTTGTGTTAGCCGAGAACCATTTGCAGTTACTGAGACATGCTGGGATACCTCTCAGGGTTTTAGAAGCAGCAAAGGTATCTGCCATTTTTTTTTCTTTTTCTTTCATTGATGGTAATTTGTTTGGTTTTGTACTGACCAGGTGCTGACCAAAGTATTTATGTATGCAGACATATTTCTGCTGTGCAGTAGAGGGTAGGGTTAGCCAATAGTGAAACTGTTGTAATTGACAGCGGAACAGACTTTGAAGTTTCTTTAGGAACTCTTTGAATCTAGGTGAAACATTTCATATGAGTCATCAGATTGATCTTCTCTGCGATGTACTTTAAAAATTACAATTCATTTATCATCAGTAACCGAAAATGGCATTTAACCATTCTACCTTTTTCAATTGCTTTTCTTCTAGAACACATTACTTATATTTCTGCACTTAAATGTGCATCAAAGAGGATAGCAACATGGAAGGCCTGATTAACTAACTCAATTATACACCCACACCTAGATGCTGTCTTTTTGACTGTGAGACTGCAATGTTGTGTTGCAGAAGAAAATAAAACAATCTGTTCCCCTTTTTTTATCCATTATGTTATTCTGGTCTGAGAATTATTGATTGTACTTTTTCTTTAGAAAAAGAGAATAAAAATGAGCTAATTTTGGTGCACCTTGTATTTATTGAAATAGTTTTAAAGCAGTGTTTTGAATTATGTTTTGATATGTGTTTTTAAAACGGTTTTTCTGAAAGCAGGCTTTCTTTGTTTAAATCCTCCTCTGTCCCATCCTTTGCTTTCTTTTCATGAGACAATTGTGATTAAAAAGCACTCTAATCTCTAGGGTTAGATTATCATGTCTAAATGAAATGCGGTTATAAAACTATCTTTGTATACAATCTATTTTGGAAATTTGAATAGTTTTATTCAGAATCACATAGTAACAAATCCAGTCCAGTTTGTCCTGATGATTCAGTGGGATTTTGATCTGATAATGTTCACCAGGCATTTGCATTCAATTTCTGCTCAAGGAAATCCACAATATCGCAACTAGTAATTGACTGCATTTTAAAAATATGCACAAGCAAAAGAAAAGGTAGAAAAAATGCAACAACCAATTTTGATAGTGACTGGATATTATCATAGCCCAAAAGCTAACTGTATTATGTTCCTCTTAGAAGTCTTTGAATTAACAAGCAAGGCAAATTTTCAGGGTTAGATAGATTTTATTCAGGAACATCTTTGTTAATTATCATATTATTTCTAAGTTTATACTGTCTAGGAATAAAAAATACCTGGAAATGTTTTAATTAGTATGTTCACACACTTCCATGTAAACTGATTTGGGTTCCTAAGTTTCCTGAATAATTGCTCTAATTTTGAAATTCAGCATTCTTAGATACCACTCCAATTGTATGTATTTACCACTTAGAGAGAAAGTTTATTCCTATCTAGCTTGTGTGAAATCAAATTGGCAGAGAATGAACTTTGGCTTAAAAGCTTCTCCTGACATTTATTTGCAAAGGTTTCTATGGCTAATATTCTTGCACTCAAGGTGACATTAAGCTTCCTTGGTCACTAGGGAGAAATGTGGCTTTTCTCTTCACTGATTCTGGGTATGAGAAGAAAAGAATGACTTGAGGATATGCCAACCTCACCTTGCTTCTGTCTGCCCCTAGCTATATTTTATATTTGCATTTCAGGCAAGAGACCAAAAAACTGAATTCCCAACACAGAGAGACAGTGGCGAGCGAGAGGACCTGCATCACCCAGCTCTTAAATCCTACATCAGTACCTATGCCTAAAGCCACCAATGATATCCAGAGACCTTCCTATCTGAAGCTATTGATGTTTATTTTTTTCAAGACTTTAAGACCTCTCAAAAAATAAAATATAAAATTTAACTTAGAATACTGGTGCTTAATTGTGACTGCACGTTACGCTCATCTAGGGGTGCTCTTTAATTCCTAATACTCAGGTTGCATCACTGACCAATTAATCAGAATGACTGGGATTCAACCAGACCTCAGTAGTTTTGTAAGCTCTCTCTCATGACTGTGACTACACTATGGGTTGAGAAGCACTCAAAGTTTGAGAACCACTGTCTTGTAAACCAGGACCACTAAATGATATCATAATCCTACATCCTGACATATGTAAAGGATAAGGATCTTAGACTGCAAATCCAGATGTTCAAGAAATACAGGTTGATTATGAGTTGTGTGGTCCAAATTCTGTAATTCAGCCAGTGTGGTGGAGGGTTAATCTTGGCCAATTCAGGGTTCTTCCTTTCCATGAGAATGCAAGTGAATTACAATGGGTTCAGAGAGTGCTACATTATTTGGGGGTAGGGCTGGAGAGGACTCTGTCCTGGGTGGCTACTTACCTGTGCCAGCCTTGCTGAAATGTGCACCAAGGCATCTGTCCACAGTGGATCAGTGGTGGCTCAAGTCCCCACAGCACTGCCCCTTCACCCCACCAATAGGCCATTTTCTTTCCCCCATGCCATGTTATGGCATGACGTGAGCTGGTGTGTACCTGCCGTGAAGTGTCCCTCAAAATTTTTTCCTCTTCGGTCTTCTCCACACTTGAGAAAATGACTACATGTTTGTTGTTTCTCAGAGATTTGACCTCAGATGAAAATGTTAAGAAAGGAACCAATCATTAAACTGAGACTCCTGGTCAGTACAACCGATGTTTCCTCTTCTTTTTAAAGCAAAAGCTTGTAAATTCCTTTTTTCAATTATAAGGAACCATAAAATCATGCATTTTTGTCCTGAAGGAACTTTTTTAGTATGCAATAATTTGATTAAAAATAATCACTAAAAAGTATATTACCATCAATCGTTATGTTAAGATACATAATACATGAAGTGTTCATATACATACATTGTTATGTTGCTGGATAAATCTAATTCATCTCTGTTTTCCCAAGGTACTTTTGTCATCTGTCCAAACAGTTAAGAGTCACGTTTAAAATGGTATCAACTGATACCTACTCCAGAGTATTTATCTTAATCTAATCAGTGTTATTGCTCCTGTCATTCAGAATCTTCTTAATTATTGATTTGGATTAATTACCTGGTGAACATTTAAAGCCAATTCAAGGGGAGAAAAAGAACAGTATATTGATTAGCACCATTACTGAGGATATCATTTCAGTTTGTCTTAGACAGGGATCCCCCAGGTATGTATAATATTGGCCTTGAGAAAATGTAATTCTGCCATACAAAGTCTAATTCAAATATAATGGCATTTATGTTTTTATCAATGTAACAATAATTTACATTAATTACATTCTTACTATGTGTTGGAGACCATATTAGTACATTGTAAACACTGTCTTGCTTAATCCAATAATCTCATGGGGATATTTACTATTTTATCTCCACTTTACAGTTGAGGAAACTGCTCAAATCACTTTTCCAATTACTCAGCTAGTTACCACAGTTAGGACTTGCACTATGTTTTTAGCTATTATACTTAGACATACAAGTTGAAGGCAGTTCTTGATGTTTTAAAGTAATTGTTGTAAAGACAGATACATGCACACCCACATGCAGAAAATACTCCTTTTTCTAATAGATACTAAACTTTAAAAATAAAGTCAGTGGTACGCATTAAAAATACGTATGTTCAAATCCGTAATGGAATATCAAGGGGAGCCTGGAAATATTTTGAAAATAAACCTTTTTGGGGGTGATGTGAGAGACAGTACCCGGGCCTCTGCAAAAATGTTTTTGATATGAGAATACTGCACTAAGGGCACCATAGTCTACCCCAGGGCTGCCTGATACAGCTATATGCAGTGATGAAAATGTTCTTCATTTGCAATGCCCAGTATGGTTGTCTATTGAGCACTTGAAATAAGCGTAGTGCAAATTAAAAACTGAATTTTTAATTTTTAAAATCTTAATTAGGTTAAATCTAAGTAGTCATATGTGGCTATTGGCTACGGTACTGCCAAGTGCAGGCTAATCTGCACTTACTCTGCTTCTTTCTCTCTCTCCCTTTACTCCCACCACTCCTTCCTTCCTGCCTGTCTGCCTGCCTGCCTGCCTGTCTTCCCTTCTTCCTGCTTTCCAATAAAGAGAATAAATATAAAGTTTGGATCAGACAAATAAAATTCGCTTTTTAATAATCTGAGTAAATGCATGCGTTTTTCCTTCTTAAATGCAAACAGTAAATAACAACACCTACTTATATCATTATTTTTAGGACTAATGAGACAATAACAGATCCTGATTATGGTAATTTTTTTGAGCTAATTAGATAATATATGTAAAGCATCAAGTAGACTTCCTGCTATAAATGATGATCCATTGGTGATGATAATGATTATGATGATGGTGATACTGACACTAATGCTGTATTCATTTAGCAAATGGGATAGAAGGAGGTCCCCATTTCTACATCAGTGTCTCATGTGGTAAAAAGATTCAGATATTTACTCATTGATGTAGTAATATATTTCCTGTCAATAAAGCCATGTGTGTATATAGTGATTTATTAGTATGGGGTAACTGCTCATGTTTGAGCATGTCGACATGCTTTTTGAGTTTAGGGTTGAAATATTAGCCTTGTGTTACTAGTAATAAAACGAAAATCCAGTGAGAGGGATTTGCTGCAGATCACATAGAATTTGTACTCAAGTTCCTGTCTTCTTTTCCATCTACTTCTCTTTCTGTGTTATCATAGTTCCCATAAAAAAATAATATGAAAGACTCTAAGATTCAATGAAAAACATAAATTTTGTGGGATTTCTTCATAACTTTTTGACACAAAATAAATAAGATGTTAGAATCAGTGGTTGAGTACGATCAAAACTCCAGATGAAATTATTTTTTGCATCTCTTTTTTTAACCAATTATTAGCAGTGCTTTTTAGAGAGCAGCATTTATTTTGTTTAACCTTGCAATGAGAGAGTTTCAGGCCCAGTTTTTTAAATGAGTGTGATAGTAGCCAATGATAGAGAAAAATCCAGTATTCCTAGGGAATAAAAATTGAAGAAGTAATCATCTGGCCTTGGAAGTATGTATCAGCATGGCCAAGTCATGTATCAGCTTCCATCTTTCACTGTTGCCATAGTTCCATGGAGGTGATGGAATCCAATCATGTTCTTTTAAAGGATAACCACTGCTCTGTTCAGGGCACCCTGCTCACTCCGTGGGGAATGCTGGAAGGATGTGGGACCCTGCAAGGCTGCCTCGCTGGAACCAAGGGATTTAGCAAATGCTAGGAAAGAAAAGCAAGTTTAAGCTGGGAATGCAAGTCATTTGCTGAGACGGCAAAACAAGAAGAGAGAAGCCAGAGGATTGCTGGCCATCACAAAGCCAAGGGGCCTAAAGGAGGTGGAAATGCAGCATACTAGAGGCCAGATGTGCTTCCACTCAAACCCATTGGTGGCAAGGGCCTGAGAAGGAAGTGGTAATGAGTCACAAGCAGGATGATACAGTATTAACCCACATCCTTTAGAAGGCTTGAACATCGTCCTTTTGTAGCTGATTCCTGTCTTAGATCAGAATGCCGACTGAGAGACAGGATTTTGACAGAAATAAAATAATAAAGGGTTACCAAGTGAAAGAGTGATAAAAAGTGCTGGAATGGAAAAATATGTAGTACATTTACAAACTCTGGGTCGATTCGAAAGAACAGAACTTTGCTAATGTAAGAGCTGTGTTTGGGGCATAGATTCTGAGATAATATTGGAAAGTTATTCCTCATCCTTTTATTCACTCATTATTTCACTTCTTCATTCATTTCCAAGCATTTTTCTAGAAGCAAGGGACATAGCAACAGATACAACTGACGAAAATCTCTGCTTACATGCATCTTTCATTGTAATATGGGAAACAGACAATAAGTGAGAAAATAAGTAAAAAATAAAGTAGGTTAGATGGTGATAAATACTACAGAAAAATTACATGGGAGGGAGGATCAGGGATTTTTGGGCCGATGAGAAGCAATTTTAAATTGGGTTGCCAGGGAAGGCCTGCAAATCCAAAGGACCTCACTTTTGTATCCAGGGAACAAGACAGAGACCAGTGTGCCTGGATCTGGACCCAAGGGAATGAGAAGGGAGGGTGGGAGGAGATGACGTCAGAGGAGTGATGGGTGGGGACAGAAGATGCCATGGAGTCTCATCGAACCAGCTCGAAGACCTGGACAGAAGAGGATTGCTTCTCCATCCTGGCAGCATGGAGAAGGCCTTGTTCCCTGTGTGATTCCCACAGGAGTGCCGAAGAGCATCCTGCCCCTTTCCTGATGTATCCATTTACAATCCGCACAAGTAAAATTGCAACAGCTGTCCCTCTGGACTAGTTCTTTTCCTTTCTTTCTTTTTCCTTACCTTTCCTTTTCTTGCTTTTTTTTTTCTTTTTGTCTTCAGCAACAGAAATTCATTTTCTCATAGTCCTGGAGGCTCAGGTTCAAGATCAAGATGCTGTTAGGATTGGCTCTAGGTGAGGCATCTCTCCTTGGCTAACAGACACCACCTTCTGCTGTGACGGCAACATGGTCTTTATGCTCACAGTGGGAGAGAAAGAGAGAGGGAGGAAGAGGGAGAGAGAGAAGAGAGCAAAGAGAAGAGAAAGAGATTGAGTGCTCTGGTGTCTTCCTATTCTTATAAAAACACCAGCTCTATGAGATCAGGGCCCCATCCTTATGATGTCATTTAACTTTAATTATCTCCTAAAAGGCCTTGTCTCTACTTACAGTCACATGGGAAGTGAAGACTTCAACATACGAATGTTGGGGGGACACAATTTGGCTCATAATAGTATATGAACTAAAGATGTAGCATTAAAAAATGTCTATATTATACTAATAAAGACCTTACAGACTAGTTACTTTGCATCCACAAAGCTACACTACAAGAAGGAGAAGAAGAAAGATACTCTTACTATTCCCTCCCTCCATTGGGCCAGCCCTGGAGGTTATGATTTCTGTTATTCTTAACACATGTCATAGAGAAATTTGAGTTCAGCTGTGAAGAGCCATTTAAGCCTTTTGAGAAGAAATATACCTTGATCAGAACCGTGATTTAGGAAGATAAACATGAACTGCTTTGTGGGAGGTAGGAAGATTAGGAGAAGGGAGACTTATCAAGTAGATTTTAGAGTACTCTAAGAAAAATTCGATGTGGCTATTATGTGGGACATTGACAGAAGTTTCCTCAGTCAGTACATATTTACTGAGTGTCTACAATGTGCCTGTATCTACTGTAACACATTTATACAGTTCTAGGTGCCAGGAACAAGTCAGGGCTCTTTGTTATTTGCCTTTGATAAAAATGATGACAAGTCAGATTTGAGGAGCTTTAAACCCAGACACAAGAAGACATTGTTTTGATCCAGGCAGACAAGTGACAAAGAGCAAGCGCAGAGAGTAGGAATGGAATAAAGTCTTGGAGTTAGGACAATGAAGCAATATCTACAAAGGACAAGCCGTTGGTTACATCGCTGCAGGCAAAATAATGCCAAATGGACAGACATCTCAAAATGCATTCCTCTCTCGTCCAAAGATTTCACCTCAGATCGCTCAGAGATGTTTTTTCTTTTATGCAAGTTAAAAATGCAGACAAATGGAAATAATGCTGCTTTATGAAAATTCAATCTTTAGCTACCTTTATTAGCACATATCTGTTCTATGAAACAAATGTTATTTGTCCATCCTAGCTCCATTTGTCCTTGAAATAAATATTTGGCCCTAGCTCCTGGATTTCTTAGGAAATTCAATTTATTGCTGGACATGTTTCAGTAATCTGTGAATGACCCCAAATTACCTGTTCATAAGAGAAGGCCAGGCCTGGATGACAAACACAGAAGGCTTTTCATTTTTCCCATGACTTCCTTTTTTGGCAAACCATCCTCTTTGTGAGAGTCCGCCTCCAAGTTGGATTAGAAGATGTCCTGGAGCGTGCAGTTCACCACCCACTATATTGTAAGCTGAAAGTGTTTTTGCTAACTGAATGTCAAATTAATGCGGTTTTGCTATCTACATGGCATGTTTTGACAAAAATACTGTGTACCTTTATTGACAGTGAACCTTCTGCTCCGGAGTAATGCTAATCCAGGACTGCTGGTTTTTCATGTTAAAACCCATAAACTTGTTATTAGAGCAGATGACTTCCAAAACGTCAAAACTAAAGATGTTGCTTATTCACTAGAGGAGTTTATGTTGTTCACATTTAAGATGATTTATTTTTATTCACTTGACAACACTTCGAACTTCAAATGGATGCACACAAGCCAATTCTTGGAGGGGTTGTGACTGCAGAAAAAAAATTAAATCTTGTGCTCATGTGTTGCTCCATCATAGTAATCCTCAGTTTTGTCCCAGAAGTAGCATGTGTCACTTCCAGTGATTCAGGACCAGCTGGTAGAAAGGACGGACATTTCATGCTGCCATGAGCAACTGCTGTGTGGTCCAGGATGACTTTTCCAAAAGCTTCACTCACTGCTCCTCAGACCACGTCTGTTTTTGTAGAGGCAAAATGAGATGGCTGAGAGAATTGTGGACTCTGGCCAAATGAGTAGTCATTCCCTGGCTGTAAGTGGGTGAAAGAGAGGTGACAGAACCATTTTTACTGCAGTGCAGTGTGATTAATCTGTGTCTTCTTAATGAGATTAAGGGGAAAAACAAACTTTTTTTTTAATTTTTTTTTTTTTTTAACTAGCTCTCCTCTATACTGCAAGTTAAACAACTTATTCTGGCAGAAGGTTGAAAGAAGGGAACAATTGCTCCTTTGCTAGAAATTCTCTTCATTAGGAGCATAGCCTTTCAAAAAACAATGCCACTCATGATATGCTTCAGATTCTATATAATCATCTCATGTTGCACTTCTCCTAATTTATTTTATAAAAGAAGTTCTTTTTTGGTGAGAGATAGATTGTAAAACTCAATGTATTCTTATTCTTTTTTTTTTTTGCAATTATTCCTGAATACAAAACTTAAAAAATGACACCAGGGCTTTATGTCTAGAGTAGACTGTGAAAAAAATGAATACACATTTATTTGGGAAAGATATTGGTGGTCATTATGCCAATTGACATATAGTTGTCATCACTGATGTAATTTTGCATTTGTTTGTGTAATTATTTAATTAACATCTGTTTCTCCTACTGTAGTATCAGGTTCTTTTTTAGTGAGAGATAGATTGTAAAACTCAATGTATTCTTATTCTTTTTTTTTTTTTGCAAATATTCCTGAATACCAAAATTAAAAAATGACACTAGGGCTTTATATCTAGGGTAGACTATGAAAAAAATGAATACACATTTATTTGGGAAAGATATTGGTGGTCATTACGCCAACTGACGTATAGCTGTCATCACTGATGTAATTTTGCATTTGTTTGTGTAATTATTTAATTAACATCTGTTTCTCCTACTGTAGTATCAGGTATATGTAGAGGTAATCACAGATGCATCGGCTCAACACTGCTTTTGGAGGGCTGCACACAACCTTGGCACATGGTTGGCACTCCATTTGTATGTTTGTTGGTGAAAGGATGAATGAATACCTATAATTGAAATTTTATGCAATTTATTTTTTATTTTTGTAGTGCTTGTCCAAGCTTTTTTGAGCACCTCTAGCTATAGAGAAAAAGTTTTCTTCATAAGGGTGCTCAATGTGTTTTCAGAAGTTTTGGATATTACAAAGTTTTTTCTTTTATTGAACTGATATATGTTCATATATAGACTTTACCATTTAAAAATAAAATAATTGTATAGAAAAATGACTGATATTAAGGGACAACCTTCTTTATGTAATTTATGTCCTGATTAATGGACTTTTCTTGTTTGGGATTCATTCCTTTTCATTCAAGCATTGTTCACAAAACTGGATTAGTTGTTAATTACAAATGGCCTAAACTATTTTAAGAAAGAATTTTATTATGGAAAAATAAGAGTACTATAAAAAAAGTTAGTTGGGGTCACCTTGTCTATTGCAACTAAAATAGAATTGACTCAGAGCTACATTTTCATCACCTCCTTTTCTTGGCCCCCTTATTCTGGCCTTAGATTACTCTGCAGAAACACAGGCACCTTGTTTTTTTTTTTATGTGGAAAAAATTAGGTTTCTTTTTCTTATTCTTCCACTATTCCAGATGAATTCCGTGTCTATTTTCTAATAAATGCTAACTATTTTGAAGAGAAATGCATTACTCCCATAGAAAGAACAAATACTTGCAATCAGTGATGTTTTACACTTACTATTTCTATTTTAATTTGTATTTATTATAAAAATAGGGGATATGTGCACACTTGAAAACATTCTCGTTGTGTAACATTAGAGTATTACAGTTAAAACTGAAGCCCTCTTTAAGCAGTAATACCTCTATTATTAAGCATTTAAATATATATGCATATATACATATATCATTGTTTTTATGGGTTTTGATATGTGGTACCTCAAGACTCTCTTCTCTCTATTTTTCCAAATCAATATCAGTGAATCATAAATTTTGCATTTTCATATATGTTCATATATATTTCTGATATATGTTGTTTGTTTTTACTTTTGAAAAATAACAACCCTATTTTGATTACTTCACATCAAGAAGTCTGTTTCACTCTTACCTTTAGATTGTTCTGCCTTCAAATACAAACATTTTACTTGAAACTGTGGCAGTAAGAACTCTGGAGCCAAAGGCTAGTTTCTTCTTCTTCTTCTTCTTCTTTTTTTTTTTTTTAAATACTTTAAGTTCTGGGATACATATGCAGAACGTGCAAGTTTGTTACATAGGTATACACATGTCGTGGTGGTTTGCTGCACCCATCAACCCGTCATCTACATTAGGTATTTCTTCTAATGCTATCCCTTCCCTAGCCCCCCACCCCCTGACAGGCCCCGGTGTGTGATGTTCTCCTCCCCATGTCCATGTATTCTCATTGTTCAACTCCCACTTATGTTTATTGCAGCACTATTCACAATAGCAAAGACTTGGAGTCAACCCAAATGCCCATCAATGATAGACTGGATAAAGAAAATGTGGCACAGATACACCATAGAATAGTATGCAGCCATAAAAAAGGATGAGTTCATGTCCTTTTCAGGGACATGGATGAAGCTGGAAACCATTATTCTCAGCAAACTAACACAGGAATAGAAAGCCAAAGGCTAGTTTCTAGGCGCTCTTTTGGTTTGATTTTGAAATCTGAAAAATCAGCATTGAAGTTATATGTGTGTGTGTGTGTGTGTGTGTGTGTATGTAAGAAAAGTTCAGTAAACACCTTTAGCACCCAAATTAAACACTAGTTAGCATTTTTCTATAATATATTTTTATGTTTATTCATCTATAATGCCATCATAGATTTATGTATTATCTGCTTATAATTTTTTCTGAATTATTTGATAAGTTGCAGGTATCATGGCATTCTACCCCCAAATACTCCAGCTTGCATTTACTAAAAATAAGAACATTTTCTTGTATCAACATAATGCCATAATCACACCCAAGAAAAATAATAATTTCTTATATAATATCTAATTTAAAGTAACATTTTCCTATTATTTCCAGAATATTTTTAAAGCTAGATACCTTCTTTGATTCTATGCCAACAAAAATTCAGACACCCTAGTTATGTCTCTTTAGTCTCTTTTTTAAAAAATCACATCTATTAAGATAAAATTTGACTTCAATGAATCGCACCCATTTAAAGTATACACTTTAGTGCATATTGCCCATACATGCATGTTTGATTCTAACTTCATGATCAAGATACAAAACAATATCATCATCTCCAAAATATTTCCTCATGTCCCTTGACTATTCATCTCTCCTTCCATCAGCCCATAGGCAACCACTGAGCTACTTTCTGTTGTTAAAAGTTAGTTTGCATTTCCTATAATGTAATATAAAAGGAATGTTGTACATTGTACTCTTCTGTGTCCAACATCTTTTGCTCTGCATGCTTTTGAGATTCATCCATGCTGTTGCATATAGTAGTACATGTATGGATATATCACTATTTCCTTCACCATTCAACTATGGATGGTCATTTGAGTTGTTTCCATTTGAGGCTATCATGAATAAAACTATGATGTATATTCATTCCTAAGTTTTCATGTAGGCATGTGTTTTGTTTCTCTTGAGTAAATGCAATAATACATTTAATTTTAGAAGAAACTGCGAAACAGTTTTAATAATCCTCAACAATGTCTGGGAGTTCTGGTTACTCTGTATCTGTCAAGACTTGTTTTTTTCAGAGTTTTAATTTAGCCATTCTAATAATGTGCTCAACTTTCACTGATATCAAATTTCAGTTAAATTTTACTAGTATCAAATTTCACTGATAAGTATGTTTTGAATATTTTCATATGGTTATTGGCCATTTATATACATTCATTTGGAAAGTGAATGTTCAAATTTTATCGTATTTATTTAGGAATTTGTCTTCTCATTACTCAGAAGAACATTTATATATTCTTGATAGGAATCCTTTGGCAGGTATACATATTGCAAGTAATTTTTCCCATTCCATAGCTTGCCTTTTACTTTTCTTATTGTATGCTTTGAAGGTAAAATGTTTATGGTTTTGCTAAAATCCAATTTGTAGATTATTTTTTCTTTAATGGCTCATATGTTTTGTTTGCTATATAAGCAACCTGGTGTTTTCTTCTTGGAAAATGTTTTATTACAAAGTTATTGTTTTTATATAAAAATATATATAGGTTTATTAATATTTAATGGTTTATTAATATTTTTCTTTTTTGTCAGTTTTTATATTTCTGTCTTTCAGTGAATTTATCCATTTAATCTAAGTTTTCAATTTATTGGCATAGAGCTATTTATAATATTGTCTTATTGCCTTTATAATATTCAAGGAATCTCTAGTTGTGCTCACTCTAATTTAGAATATTGTAATTTGTTTATTACTTGTGTTTTTAACATAAATGTTTGTGTACATTGTTGTTTATAAATTTCAGTGATCTTTCCAAGAAGTCAGCTTTTGGCCTCATTGATTTTTCTCTATAGTTTGTTTTTTTATTTCCTTTATTTTAGCCCTTATATTTATTAATTTATTTGTGCCATGTTGTGTTCTTCTTTTCCTAGATTCATAAGGAGAACTCTTAGATCATTGATTTTTAGCATTTTATTTTGTTATTATTTTGCTTAAAATATTTTTTAAATTTATTTGTGATTTCTTATTTTACCTATGGTTTAGAAACAAGTTGTTTGTTCTCCACATACTGAATGTATATAATGAATGTTCTGTCAAAGTCGTTAAGTAGTTCTTAAAATGAAATTAACAGAAGAGGGAGCTTTGTAAAGGTAAACAAGGATTTCTGAACTTCAAAATTATGGATCAAGTAATTTTCTATAAAAATAAGCATAGCAAAATATTTAGGCCCAATCCCATAGTAAGATATTGTAAGACAAAAGAGAATGAGACAAATAACATCCCTAGAGGTAATAAAAACTAGTCAAATAAAATAAATAAAAATATCAACTTGTATTTCAAAACTAGCTAAATGACATTAAGAATATAATGCAAAACATGGAATAACATTATAAAACAGAATTAGAAAAACTCAAAAATTAGGCACTATACCATAGGGAAAAATAGAAATGAAAGAAAATAATAATTTCAGAAATGAAGACTAAACTAGAAATATCAAAAGAACAAATAAACACATGGATAATGCTTTAAGAAAAACCGAAGTTGAAAGTAGAAAAAAATTGAGAAAGAGAAATGCAGAAAGAAATACATATAATTTGAGAGAGAAATTGAAACGTGGAATATGAATAAAGAACTTCTTAAATATGGTTAATAGGCATCTCTAAAGAAAAAAAAAGCAAGGGAAAGAACTGATACTAAAATCTATAATTCAGAAAAAGTTTCTGCAGTGAGAAAAAGATGAAAAAGATTTCAAACTACGTGTTGAAACAGCATACCAAATGCCACATTGACCAGAATTAACCAAGACCAAAATATGTTCTAATAAAACTACCAGATTCTAAAGAAAAAGAAAGAAAAAATAACAACTGGGCATCCAGAAAGAACAGTAAGTGACACTGGAAAAAGAAAACTATGTTAGCATCCCTATTTTTGGCAAGTATAGTTTACTCCAGAAGAAAATGAGGCTACATAGTTCATGTGGTTTGGCTCTGTGTCACCACCTTGAATTGTAATCCCCACGTGTTGAGGGAGAAACCCAGTGGGAGGTGATTGGATCACGGGGGTGGTTTCCCTCATGCTGTTCTCATGATAGTGAGTGAGCTCTCATGATATCTGATGGTTTAAAAGTGGCACTTCTGCCTTTGCTCGTTTTCTCCTGCCGCCATAAAAGACTTGCTTTGCTTCCCCTTCTGCCATGATTTAAGTTTCCTGAAGTCCCTGCAGCCAAGTAGAACTGTGAGTCAATTAAACCTCCTTCCTTTGTGAATTACCTAGTCTCAGGTAGTTCTTTTTGGCAGTGTGAAAACGAACTAATTCAGCAGTTAAGATAATCAAGAAAAAAATAACTTGTGAGCCCACAATTTTCTATCTAAAAAAATCACCTTCCAGTATAAAAGGCGTAGACAAACTGTTATCTATAAGGAAGAACTCAGGGAATATTGAGTAATCTAATAAAGAAACAGCCTAAAACAACCAAAATGCCTAGAGAGAAGAGACAGGTGGTACACATTAAACACTGGTGGGAAGCATTAAAAACATAGTTACTTTTGTTGACAAGTCTTACTTTAGTACGAAGACTAGAACAAGTCTTAGTGTAGAACTATGACTAAATGCAGGTTAATGGGGGAAAAGTATGAAATGTAATTATATATAGAGAGAGAGAGAGCGCGAGGGGAGAGAGAGAGTAGTGATGGACAATCAAATTACATTTTCACTTTAAAGAAAATAATATACTATAGTGATGTCTACTAGTATCTTATAAGTAAGAGTAATTATAATAATATTAGCAATTGCCTTGCTGCTTCTGTGCCAGGCATAATTGGGTGCCATGTATCAGGGTGATCCTTTTCCCCACCCAGGGTTTTGCTTAGATGGTTCTCCCTTAAAAATGCTTTTGCCACTGTCTTCTAGTTTCCCAGCCCTTCCCTTTTGGTGGAAGGCTTCCAAAACCAAGACTGAAAGTCAAGTTTGTTTATGCTGATGTGTACTCTCTGGACATTTTTCTTGTAATAGAAATCAGTGTTATTTTATTTTACATCCTGATATTTTATATATTTTATCTAAATTTGTTTGAATATGTTTGGTAATTTACATATGTAGCCTTTAGCTTACAAAAAAATTAACACACACATTAAATCTTCAATTTTATCTAATCTAATACACTGATGAGATTTTGATTCTTTAGGTTGGCTATTGACCTAAAAACACATTTTTGGGATATGTCGCATGTAAGCAGCAACAGTTTCTAATGAAATCTTCTTGGACTGACTATCAACTTCAAATTCTTGAAGGGCAAACCACATTTACTTAGTGTCTGGTTGGGTCTAGATTCATCTTAAAAAATCACTAAGAAAAGTAAAATCATGTTCGAAAGTCCATGGAGGTTTCTTGTCTTTCTTTCTTTGAACTACTAGAGGAGCTGTAATATAGGAAGAAATATTAGAGGATTTTTTTTATTTTAAAAACTTTGGAGGCATACAGGATAAACTTTCAATAATGGCTAAGTTTATGAAATTTAACTGAAATGTGTGTACTATATATTTAGTTGTAACTGTTGATTTTAAAAAAACGTATACTAGTTGGTTCTAATCAGAAATTGTCAATATTTATGTAATGTAAGTGACTAAAAGTTATGGAATACAAAAAAGTAAACAATTGTTTACATGATATGTTTTCGGGGCTCTGATATTTCTGCTGCTGCTCCACTGAATTGCAGTTTAACTTAGCTGTAACTTAAAGTTTCAGTTTCAGTTTTTGCTAATCATTAATATTCATTCACTTATTCAGTTCTTAAATATTTATCCAGGTCCTGCTACTTTTGTGGGTGTGATATTGTGCTGTTTTAAAGCAATACTCTGGAAAGGATTAAAAAGCCATTAACAATATAGAGTGAAGTCAAGGTCAGTGAGTAGGATTTTGCAGAATTGGAAGTAAGACATTTGCACTCGAAAACAGGGGTAGTTGGTTTCTGGAACACGCTACACCCGATTACTTCATAGCGTATTTTTTGGGGGGAGGGGATTTACTTTATTTCTTAAGTAGTTTAGGTATTTTATTAGTGATTTTGATTTTTCTTGAAGGTTTTATTTTTTTTATTTTGTTATTTATTTATTTATTTATTTATTTATTTATTTATTTATTTATGTTTTTTAGACGGAGTCTCGCTCTGTGGCTCAGGCTGGGGTGCAGTGGTGCGATCTTGACTCACTGCAAGCTCCGCCTCCCAAGGTTCATGCCATTCTCCTGCCTCAGCCTCCCAAGTAGCTGGGACAACAGGCGCCTGCCACAGGCCTGGCTAATTTTTTTTATTTTTTTGGTAGAGACGGGGTTTCACCGTGTTAGCCAGGATGGTCTCGATTTCCTGACCTCGTGATCTGCCCACCTCGGCCTCCCAAAGTGCTGGGATTACAGGTGTGAGCCACCGCGCCCGGCCAGTTTTATACTTTTTAATTTACTCTCCAATATTCAAGACATACAACATGCACATCTTAAAATAAGTTGTGTATCTGTATTTAAAGAACGAATTTTTTTCAAGTTATTTCTTAGAAGTTATTTATTTGAAGAGATTATTTTTAATCATATGGTTGCTGTTGAATAAATTTTTAAAACAAAATATGTAAAGAAGTACACAAAATCATTTTCAGTAATTCTCTCCTTATCCAAGAAGGCAAGTTCTATCTTAAGAACCTGCACAGAGTAAATATTCAGTACATTATCTATCAAGTAGTGTGTTATTCACTGCAAATTGAAAATCATCAAATTCCTAGTTGTTCTGCTTAATAGATGCTTAACTATATTTTAGCAGATTCCAAATATATGTTAATATATATTTTTGGAATTCAGCATGAGTATCTTTAGATGCTAATTGCAAGTTAATCTTTCTTCCTAGAATGTAAGTTCCATGGATTATAAACGTTATTCCTATTGCAGATTTTCTAAATAGTGTTTCTGCTGGTGAAGTCTTCTTCACTCTCTGGTGCTTAAGATTAGAAAGAAAAAAGGAAAGTAACTGAACAAAAGAAATTCTTTGAACATGAAATTATCAAATGAAACTGTACATATGCAAAGGAATTTTAAACCATTGCCTTGCAAAGTCTTTTTTTGCATAACAACGTTTTGATAAAATGAAGAGACTGACCAAAGTAACAACTCTAAATAATAGCATTTCACTGCCATAAGGATGATTGTAATTATCAGTGGAAGCCTAGAGCATTAGGTCCCAACTCCTAATATTAGTTTCAACTTTTATAGCCTGGTTGTTCAAAGACATGCAATTAAACTAACCTAGTATTATTGGAATAGAAAATAAAGAACTACTGTTGGAAACACAATTAACAATACATAATAGAGGGGCCATATTTCCAATGGCTGCATATTAAAATCAACATTGAGCTAAACTAAGCATAGGCCAAAGCTGAATATCATCATCATAGGACATACTTCTAGGATTACAAGAGTGTATCTGAAAGTGACTACCACTTTAATGATATTAATTTTATCATTAAAAGGTTTTATGGTCAAATTTCAAAATCATGGCATTGTAATGTAGGGTGAAAGTTCCTCAGCACTGCCATGTGATTATTTCTGCAATGAACCTGCTGCACATTTGCCATTCTAAAAGGACACTGACTTTCAACTTGTGTCTCTGGAAGAGCCAGACCCACCTCTGCTAGTATAGCTTACTGCTAATAGTCATGCTGCAGTAACAACATTATCAAGCTTTTCTCCTTCTCTCAAAGAAAATGATTCAGGTAATGCTTTGCTTCCTTTGCAACCCAGGGATTGGACCTACTGTCTTCAAACAAAGCTCTGTGCAGTGTTGGTAGAAATGGTTTCTGAATATTTTTAGAAGCAGACTTAAAACTGTAGCATGATTTCTTGTATTTTCCACAAATGCACTTGATGCTTTACTCATTCATTGAGATACGTAATCCTTCAAGTCTGGATCCTTCCCTATATTTGATGTTAAATAAATGTTAAATGTATTGGTTAAAACTTTTTGATTAGAAGTTAAGTGTAAATCCAAACACTAAGTTTTGTTCATATTATTCACATTCTGAAACTCATTTGGTATGATATTAAACTTTATAACAGAGAAGACTTTGCAGCAGGTAATTGAGTATTATGATTTCCAATGCTGAAGTACAATAAAAGAGTTTGGCTAAGCATCTCTTGGCTAAGGCCTAACATTAGTGTTTTCCTAATATGATTCATAAAACATTCTTTTCTAATAAAAACAATCTATTTGGCTGCTACTTTGGACACCTTGAAATCAAAGAAGATTAAATATTCCATTAATAATGTTAAATTAGTAAAGTAGGAAATGGTCCAATTGTTCAAATCTTTGCCTATTTTCCAAGTTAAAAAATAAGCCACTAAGGAAACAAAGAAGAAATAATCAGAGATAGAAAGGCATTCAGAAAATAGTGTGTCAGGGAAGACAAAGATAGTTTTTCAAAGAAAAAATAACTGGCCAACAGCATCATAATCAGCACAGTCTAATTAAACAAATATAGACTACCGTTCTTGTATCCACAGCACAAATGTCATTGTCAACGTTGAAAAGAATAGGTTCAGGGAGTAATGACAGCAAAAGTTTGGAAGGGGAGAACCATTAATGGGTGGGGAGGAAGGAGAAACAGCAGGCATAGGCTACTCTTTCCAGAAGCTTGGGTTGGGAAGGAAAGGATAAAACAAGAAATAGGTACGTAAGTCTTAGAATTGAGAAAGGTTGCTTTCATGTTTGCTTTTGTTTTTTAGAAGAAGAAATAGGTAGGAATGGTTTTAGGTTGAGGGCAACACACTAAAAGATAAGACAATTTAAAAGTGTAAGAGAAAGATGGATCCAAATCCAGGAGGAAATAGAAGAAGGACTCCAAGATTCACATACACCAGTAAGGAATCAACAGGCAGTTTCCTGTTTCCTCTAAAAATGGAAAGACCCTGGAAAGGGTCAGTGCAGAGGTTGGACAGTCACAACTGACAGGACCAGTGAGAAGAAATCTTAGTTCATGATGGCCTCCATCTTCCTGATGAAGCAGAAAAAAAGGCAGCCTGTTAGCACTGAAAAGGCTGAAGCTTAGGAAGAGGGTGTTAAATGTTCATAAAGGTCAAAAAGTTGAAAGAAGGTGTTGGAGGGTTTTTTAAGGCCGTAAAGGGCTTATTAAGCTGTGTTGAGTGCTCAGAGAAATCTGGAGACCATGATTTTCATTCCATAAATCTGCACATAAGTACAATTTTTTTCCAGCAGTAATTATTAATCCAGGTGGAGAGGAGAGATTGTGAAATTAACCCAGGGTAAAATAAAACAGTGTAACATAAGATGTTCTGGTGGTGCTACAGCAAGGAGAGATGGAGCATTTGTCAAAGATGATTGTGACCACCATGCTTATGGCCTTCATTCTGTAGCTTTGTTTGTCATATTCCTCTTGTCTTCACAGTATCTTCGTCAGAAGCATCATTGCTTTTACTCCACTTGGGATTGGCTTTCCATAATTGACCCCAGAAAGAGGCTTTTCTTTCTCTGCTGTCATTGGCCCTTAGCTGCATTATGCTCAATATATCTACGTGGTGATAATGCCCTATTAAAGGTGAATCTTCACAGATGATATTTTAGGAATCTTAAGTATGTTTTTATTAACTCAAAAAAAAGAGCAAACTTTCACCTACTCCAGCAGAAGACTAGGAAAAGTGTACTCTGATGTTACCCAGACATTACCTTTTGATGAGGCTTCACCCACTCTTTCAGAGCTCCAGGAGGCTGTGTTCTTCTGGGAGTGCTTGGAGTTAATGCTAGACCTTATAGTTAGAGAATATGATGTTAGCTGGCAGAGACATCCTGGTCAAATTATTTTAGTTTAAACTTTCAACCTCTCTCAAAACATCTTTGAATCCCTATTAAATTCATGACCAGACAGTTTTCTAAAATTCCTCTGACTTGAGAATCTAGGCTGACTCAGAGCTTGTCCTTGTGAAAACTTTATCTAAACTTAATCTAGGTTCAGACTCTTTCCTTAAGGATAAGTTGAGAGTTCATATATCAGAACTGAAAACATGTTGAAGCTAATTGACATAATCTTCACAAACAACAACAATGACAATAACAATAACAACTTGTTCGGAGATGTTCTTAAGCTCTTCAAAGATGATTTGATTCCAAAAACTTTTGCGAAGAGTCTGAAAAAAATTTTTCCTTGCAAAATTTTGCAATTCGAATCTCTTCTTCATAATCATTCTTAAAAGTCCAAGTGAAAAGTTCTCATATGGCTGTTAGGAACTATAAGTTGAATATTGATAATTGGCTTAATTTGTGTTGAAATAGAGTTTTTAAAGTATATTTCTCATGGTTAGTTCTGTACTTTAGCTTTTGAAATAGATTTTGTGTTTGATCCTCAATTTATTCTCTTTACCTTAAATATGAATATCTGGGGAAGGTTGGTGGCCCTTTTCTATCTTTTTTTTTTAAATTATACTTTAAGTTTTAGGGTACATGTGCACATTGTGCAGGTTAGTTACATATGTATACATGAGATACCATCTCACACCAGTTAGAATGGCCCTTTTCTTTTAAAAGGACTCTGCGTGGCAAATAATCAAAAGACTAGGCTATACTTGTTTCTTCTAAAAACAGTATTTGTACCCTATCCCTCCCTGAAGTCAGGCTTACTAATAGAACAAATTGTATTTTTATTTTTAACTTCTAGACGCTTTCAGTTTCCAGAAGAGGAAATATAAAAAACAACAACTATTTTCACCAGAGTGACTAATACAGGAAAGATTATTTAGCATAATTTCTAAACATATATAATTGTAAAATAAATAACCATGAGGGCACGCATTTTCTTGAAAGCATTATTGAGAAGAGGCAAAATTGAGAGCAATTGTTGAAGCTGAGTAGTATTGTAGAAAAGAGAAGACCATGGATATTAAGATTGAGTATAACTTTATGATTTGAGGCAAGTCAGTTGGTCTCCCTGTTCTAAATGTTGGCTTTCTCATTCTCAACTCATAAGTTGTGGTCAATAATTCATTGTGCTAATAAATTTGAGGACCTAGGTACAATATGTATTCCTTTCTTACCCTCAGGATTTTTAATCTGCCTCATAAAGACTTCTGAGTAAATTGATGCAAGACTTCTATTATTTCCCTATGGTTGTCTCACTAGTAAATAATACCTTTCAATACAGAAGATGATTTCTGGTCAAATTAATTTACTATAATCTCATATTAATAATTATTTCCAGAAAATATCTGGAGCAGATGTCACTGGAGCATATTTAAGAAATGAATGGCATTTAAAGGTTTAATTTAAACTGATCACATTTAATAAACTTTTAATACATAGATATTCTTTGCTTATCTCTACTTTGAGAAGGATGCTTTTGTCTGTGATGAAAACTTATCTACATTTTAAAATAAACCATTTCCTAAACCTGTTCTAGCACCCAGTGTTTCTATTCCCCATTGGATAAAACGTATGTAAGCATATAGAGGTGACAAGGTTAAAGTCGTACCTTCTCTAACATTCAATAATCAGTCTCCTGAGACATGTGAAATTCATCATATTCTAATCAACTTGTATATTATCAGCCCTGAAACACAAATATTATATCAGCTCTGACTGCCTCAAACCACATCTTAGCAGTCAGAGACTGGCTCTCCAGGCTATTCCATCTCATTTGAGAAGAAAACCAAGAACCAAAACAAATTTTGGTCAAGTAACTTAGGAAATATTTAAAATGGAATACATATTTCCAGTAACAAATGGATGATATTAAAATAATTTTATATGAAACTTAATCTTTAGAAAAATATAACATTTCAAAGGAAGGCTTTGAACTCAGTCATGAAGTCTGATGATATGTGGCAATTTTGGGATGCTGTTGCTCACTGTGGCCTTGGAAAAGGTCAAATTAAAATGAAAGTGTACATTTTAAATGACAGTTTGTTTCACTTAGCATAGAGCAGTATGGTACCTTCACTAAACTTCCTAGATTCAAGGTTGATTCAATCATCTTAACAAAACTAAATTATTAATTTAAAAACACACATTTTTCATGTAAAGCAGAGGGTTCCCTCTTATTTCCCAGAGAATTAAAATTGTCATGTGGATCACAATGTATTAAATTGCTTTGATCAACTCCCAGTCATTTTTACCTTAGAATGAACTTTACAGGTAGTCTATATCTTTAGCTTTGTTTAATGGATTCTAAGATTGTTTGCATGAAGATCCACTGAGTTTTAGTCATTATGATTGACAGGTGGTCAGTTGCAGCTTAATCAACTTAAAGAATTATACAATAATTTCATGAAGAACTGTTAATCCTATGTCAAACTTTGGTTACATAGATTAAAAACTATGTTTGGATCATGCTTTAAAGTCTCACACTAATTAAAGCTTATTAATAATGTCTATGCACACATACATCATAATTTTATCAGTATTAGGATAAATAAGTTATTTGTAAGAGTCATTTGAAGGATAATTATAATTTCATGTATGTAAAACAGGTTTTTGACCGAGACTCAAGTTTTAAAATTTATATTGGTGTAACTAAGGAAATGTATAGTAGGAAAATAGGATTTGTAGAGACAAGAACTAGATCCATATTCTACTTTTGCTATTTATCAGTGGTGTGCCCATAAGCAAATAGTTCTAAAGAAGATGAATTCTTAGTTCTAAAGAAGGAAACAGTTTACTGGGGTTGGGGGGCCGTGTAAAGAGATGATAACAGACTAGAAGTAATGAATATGAGGAGGCATACTGGGGGGTCTAGAAAAGTTTCCTCTCCCATTTGAGGGTTAAGAAGGCTTTCAAATAGTAAACAAAAAGGAAGAAACACTGGCTTACAGTTGTTGGTAGAAATGAAAATTGCTTATAACCATTTTAAAGAACTATAAGGCCATATCTATGAAACTTATGAAGATTGGATTTTTTAAATTTACCTTTAGAAATTCATTTTTGAAAAACATAACACGAACATAATAAACAAAACTCCAGAAAAAAAATCAGCACCTGAAAGATCTCACTATAGAACTATAAATTATGAACAATTTTTATTTTACAAAATTAAAAAGAAAGTGTTTCATTCTAATAAGCTAATGGATATGTTAACTTCCTGGAAATAAGAGCTCAAAGGAGAAATGTCAGGCATGTAAGGGAAAATTACATGAGAGCAGAGATAAGTTCTTTTTTAAAAGGATTTAAGAAATACTTACATAGTGTTTATTATGTGACAAACACTCTTAAGCAGTTTATAGTCATTATTTTACATAGAAATTCTGTAATGCAAATACTACCATTTTCTCATTTTACAGATGAATATTCTGTGATATATAAAGAGGTTAAATAACTTGCTCAAGTTCACACAGCAAATCCATGTAGTGGAGCTTTACCATCAGTGGTACGGTTGCGGAGTGTGTGACTTTGAGATTTATGCTGTGCTGCTTCTTTTTTTTTTTTTTTTTTTTTTTTAAGTTTTAGGGTACATGTGCACAACGTGCAAGTTAGTTACATATGTATACATCTGCTGTGTTGGTGTGCTGCACCCATTAACTCGTCATTTAGCATTAGGTATATCTCCTGATGCTATCCCTCCCCCCTCCCCCCACTCCACAACAGGCCCCAGTGTGTGATGTTCCCCTTCCTGTGTCCATGTGTTCTCATTGTTCAATTCCCACCTGTGAGTGAGAACATGTGGTGTTTGGTTTTTTATCCTTGTGATAGCTTGCTGAGAATGATGGTTTCCAGCTTCATCCATGTCCCTACAAAGGACATGAACTCATCATTTTTATGGCTGCATAGTATTCCATGGTGTATATGTGCCACATTTTTTTAATTCAGTCTATAATTGTTGGACATTTGGGTTGGTTCCAAGTCTTTGCTATTGTCAGTAGTGCCGCAGAAAACATAGGTGTGCATGTGTCTTTATAGCAGGATGATTTATAGTACTTTGGGTATATACCCAGTAATGGGATTGCTGGGTCAAATGGTATTTCTAGTTTTAGATCCCTGAGGAATCGCCACACTGACTTCCACAATGGTTGAATTAGTTTACAGTCCCACCAACAGTGTAAAAGTGTTCCTATTTCTCCACATCCTCTCCAGCACCTGTTGTTTCCTGACTTTTTAATGATTGCCATTCTAACTGGTGTGAGATGGTATCTCATTGTGGTTTTGATTTGCATTTCTCTGATGGCCAGTGATGATGAGCATTTTTTCATGTGTCTTTTGGCTGCATAAATGTCTTCTTTTGAGAAGTGTCTGTTCATATACTTCACCCACTTTTTGATGGGGTTGTTTGTTTTTTTCTTGTAAATTTGTTTGAGTTCTTTGTAGTTTCTGGATATTAGCCCTTTGTCAGATGAGTAGATTGCAAAAATTTTCTCCCATTCTGTAGGTTGCCTATTCACTCTGATGGTGGCTTATTTTGCTGTGCAGAAGCTCTTTACTTTAATTAGATCCCATTTGTCAATTTTGGCTTTTGTTGCCATTGCTTTTGGTGTTTTAGACATGAAGTCCTTGCCCATGCCTATGTCCTGAATGGTATTGCCTAGGTTTTCTTCTAGGGTTTTTATGGTTTTAGGTCTAACATTTAAGTCTTTAATACATCTTGAATTAATTTTTGTATAAGGTGTAAGGAAGGGATCCAGTTTCAGCTTTCTACATATGGCTAGCCAGTTTTCCCAGCACCATTTATTAAATAGGGAATCTTTTCCCCATTTCTTCTTTTTGTCAGGTATGTCAAAGATCAGATGGTTGTAGATATGCGGCATTATTTCTGAGGGCTCTGTTCTGTTCCATTGGTCTATATCTCTGTTTTGGTACCAGTACCATGCTGTTTTGGTTACTATAGCCTTGTAGTATAGTTTGAAGTCAGGTAGTGTGATGCCTCCAGTTTTGCTCTTTTGACTTAGGATTGACTTGGCAATGTGGGCTCTTTTTTGGTTCCATATGAACTTTAAAGTAGTTTTTTCCAATTCTGTGAAGAAAATCATTGGTAGCTTGATGGGGATGGCAATTGAACCTATAAATTACTTTGGGCAGTATGGCCATTTTCACGATATCGATTCTTCCTGTCCATGAGCATGGAATGTTCTTCCATTCGTTTGTATGCTCTTTTATTTCATTGAGCAGTGGTTTGTAGTTCTCCTTGAAGAGGTCCTTCACATCCCTTGTAAGTTGGATTGCTAGGTATTTTATTCTCTTTGAAGCAATTGTGAATGGGAGTTCACTCATGATTTGGCTCTCTGTTTGTCTGTTATTGGTGTATAAGAATGCTTGTGATTTTTGCACATTGATTTTGTATCCTGAGACTTTGCTGAAGTTGCCTATCAGCTTAAGGAGATTTTGGGTTGAGACAATGGGGTTTTCTAGATATACAATCACGTCATCTGCAAACAGGGACAATTTGACTTCCTCTTTTCCTAATTGAATACCCTTTATTTCCTTCTCCTGCCTGATTGCCCTGGCCAGAACTTCCAACACTATGTTGTATAGGAGTGGTGAGAGAGGACATCCCTGTCTTGTGCCAGTTTTCAAAGGGAATGCTTCCATTTTTGCCCATTCAGTATGATATTGGCTGTGGGTTTGTCATAGATAGCTCTTATTATTTTGAGATACGTCCCATCAATACCTAATTTATTGAGAGTTTTTAGCATGAAGGGTTGTTGAATTTTGTCAAAGGCCTTTTCTGCATCTATTGAGATAATAGATGGTTTTTGTGGTTGGTTCTGTTTATATGCTGGATTACATTTATTGATTTTTGTGTGTTGAACCAGCCTTGCATCCCAGGGATGAAGCCCACTTGATCACGGTGGATAAGCTTTTTGGTGTGCTGCTGGATTTGGTTTGCCAGTATTTTATTGAGGATTTCTGCGTCAATGTTCATCAGGGATATTAGTCGAAAATTCTCTTTTTGTTGTTGTGTCTCTGCCAGGCTTTGGTATCAGGATGATGCTGGCCTCATAAAATAAGTTAGGGAGGATTCCCTCTTTTTCTGTTGATTGGAATAGTTTCAGAAGGAATGGTACCAGCTCCTCCTTGTACCACTGGTAGAATTCGGCTGTGAATCCATCTGGTCCTGGACTTTTTTTTGGTTGGTAAGCTGTTAATTATTGCCTCAATTTCAGAGCCTATTATTGGTCTCTTCAGAGATTCAACTTCTTCCTGGTTTAGTCTTGGGAGGATGTATGTGTCGAGGAATTTATCCATTTCTTCTAGATTTTCTAGTATATTTGTGTAGAGGTGTTTATAGTATTCTCTGATGGTAGTTTGTGTTTCTGTGGGTTTGGTGGTGATATCCCCTTTATCATTTTTTATTGCTTCTATTTGATTCTTCTCTCTTTTCTTCTTTATTAGTCTTGTTAGCAGTCTATCAATTTTGTTGATCTTTTCAAGAAACCAGCTCCTGGATTCATTGATTTTTTGAAGGGTTATTTGTGTCTCTGTTTCCTTCAGTTCTGCTCTGATCTTAGTTATTTCTTGCCTTCTGCTAGCTTTTGAATGTGTTTGCTCTTGCTTTTCTAGTTCTTTTAATTGTGATGTTAGGGTGTCAATGTTAGATCTTTCCTGCTTTCTCTTGTGGGCATTTAGTGCTATAAATTTCCCTGTACACACTACTTTGAATGTGTCTCAGAGATTCTGGTAAGTTGTGTCTTTGTTCTCATTGGTTTCAAAGAACATCTTTATTTCTGCCTTCATTTCGTGATGTACCCAGTATTCATTCAGGAGCAGGTTGTTCAGTTTCCATGTAGTTGAGCGGTTTTGAGTGAGTTTCTTAATCCTGAGTTCTAGTTTAATTGCACTGTGGTCTGAGAGACAGTTTGTTGTAATTTCCGTTCTTTTACATTTGCTGAGGAGTGCTTTACTTCCAACTATATGGTCAATTTTGGAATAAGTGTGGTGTGGTGCTGAGAATAATGTATATTCTGTTGATTTGGGGTGGAGAGTTCTGTAGATGTCTATTAGGTCTGTTTGATGCAGAGCTGATTTCAATTCCTGGATATCCTTGTTAACTTTCTGTCTCGTTGATCTGTCTAATGTTGACAGTGGGGTATTAAAATCTCCCATTATTATTGTGTGGGAGTCTAAGTTTCTTTGTAGGTCTCTAAGGACTTGCTTTATGAATCTGGGTGCTCCTGTATTGGGTGCATATATATTTAGGATAGTTAGCTCTTCTTGTTGAACTGATCCCTTTACTATTGTGTAATGGCCTTCTTTGTCTCTTTTGATCTTTGTTGGTTTAAAGTCTGTTTTATCAGAGACTAGGATTGCAACCCCTGCCTTTTTTTTGTTTTCCGTTTGCTTGGTAGATCTTCTTCCATCCTTTTATTTTGAGCCTGTGTGTGTCTCTACACGTGAGATGGGTTTCCTGAATACAGCACACTGATGGGTCTTGACTCTTTATCCAATTTGCCAGTCTGTGTCTTTTAATTGGAGCATTTAGCCTATTTACATTTAAGGTTAATATTGTTATGTGTGAATTTGATCCTGTCATTATGATTTTAGCTGGTTATTTTGTTCGTTAGTTGATGCAGTTTCTTCCTAGCCTTGATGGTCTTTACAATTTGGCATTTTTTTGTGGTGGCTGGTACTGGTTTTTCCTTTCCATGTTTAGTGCTTCCTTCAGGAGCTCTTTTAGGGCAGGCCTGGTGGTGACAAAATCTCTCAGCATTTGCTTGTCTGTAAAGGATTTTATTTCTCCTTCACTTATAAAGCTTAGTTTGGCTGGATATGAAATTCTGGGTTGAAAATTCTTTTCTTTACGAATGTTGAATATTGGCCCCCACCCTCTTCTGGCTTGTAGAGTTTCTGCCGAGAGATCAGCTGTTAGTCTGATGGGCTTCCCTTTGTGGGTAACCCTACCTTTCTCTCTGGCTGCCCTTAACATTTTTTCCCTCATTTCAACTTTGGTGAATCTGACAATTATGTGTCTTGGGGTTGCTCTTCTTGAGGAGTATCTTTGTGGCGTTCTCTGTATTTCCTGAGTTTGAATGTTGGCCTGCCTGGCTAGATTGGGGAAGTTCTGCTGGATAATATCCTGCAGAGTGTTTTCCAACTTGGTTCCATTCTCCCTGTCACTTTCAGGTACACCAATCAGACGCAGATTTGGGCTTTTCACATAGTCCCATATTTCTTGGAGGATTTGTTCATTTCTTTTAATTCTTTTTTCTCTAAACTGCTCTTCTTGCTTCATTCATTTGATCATCCATCACTGATACCCTTTCTTCCAGTTGATCAAATCGGCTACTGAGGCTTGTGCATTTGTCACGTAGTTCTCGTGCCTTGGTTTTCAGCTCCATCGGGTCCTTTAAGGACTTCTCTGCATTGGTTATTCTAGTTAGCCATTCGTCTAATTTTTTTTCGAGGTTTTTAACTTCTTTGCCATGGGTTCGAACTTCCTCCTTTAGCTCGGAGTAGTTTGATTGTCTGACGCCTTCTTCTCTCAACTCATCAAAGTCATTCTCCATCTAGCTTTGTTCTGTTGCTGGTGAGGAGCTGCGTTCCTTTGGAGGAGGAGAGGTGCTCTGCTTTTTAGAGTTTCCAGTTTTTCTGCTCTGTTTTTTCCCCATCTTTGTGGTTTTATCTACCTTTGGTCTTTGATGATGGTGACGTACAGATGGGGTTTTGGTGTGGATGTCCTTTCTGTTTGTTAGTTTTCCTTCTAACAGTCAGGACCCTCAGCTGCAGGTCTGTTGGAGTTTGCTGGAGGTCCACTCCAGACCCTGTTTGCCTGGGTATCAGCAGCGGCAGCTGCAGAACCGCGGATATTGGTGAACAGCAAATGTTGCTGCCTGATCGTTCCTCTGGAAGTTTTGTCTCAGAGGAGTACCTGGCCGTGTGAGGTGTCAGTCTGCCCCTACTAGGGGGGTGCCTCCCAGCTAGGCTCCTCGGGGGTCAGGGACCCACTTGAGGAGGCAGTCTGTCTGTTCTCAGTTGTCCAGCTGCATGCTGGGAGAACCACTACTCTTTTCAAAGCTATCAGACAGGGACATTTAAGTCTGCAGAGGATTCTGCTGCCTTTTGTTTGGCTATGCCCCGCCCCCAGAGGTGGAGTCTACAGAGACAGGCAGGCCTCCTTGAGCTGCGGTGGGCTCCACCCAGTTCAAGCTTCCTGGCCGCTTTGTTTACCTTCTCAAGCCTCGGCAATGGCGGGCACCCCTCCCCGAGCCTTGCTGCTGCCTTGCAGTTTGATCTCAGACTGCTGTGCTAGCAATGAGCAAGGCTCCATGGTCATAGGACCCTCCAAGTCAGGCGCGAGATATAATCTCCTGGTGTGCCGTTTGCTAAGACCATTGGAAAAGCGCAGTATTAGGAAAAGTGACCCGATTTTCCAGGTGCTGTCTTTTATCCCTTTCTTTGACTAGGAAAGGGAATTCCCTGACCCCTTGTGCTTCCCGGGTGAGGCGATTCCTCACCCTGCTTCAGCTCACACTCGGTGCGCTGCACCCACTGTCCTGCACCCACTTTCCAACACCCCTCAGTGAGATGAACCCGGTACCTCAGTTGGAAATGCAAAAATCGCCCATCTTCTGCGTCGCTCACACTGGGAGCTGTAGACTGGAGCTGTTCCTATTTGGCCATCTTGGCCCCACCCCTATGCTGTGCTGCTTCTAAAACAGTAAGATGAGCTGGCGGTGTTTTGGAGAAAAATATAGAAAAAAGTAAAAATACTCTAAGAATTAACAGTGTTAGAATGAATGTTGTCACAAGAAGAATAGATGCACACAGGCCCATTGGGAACAAGAAACACAGGCTTAAAGGTATTAGAATTGAATGAAAAGTAATCAAGTGTTACACCAATGAGTAGAGAGAAAATAATATAGAAGGAAAAAAGGGAAATCCAACATAAACAAAATTGGTGCACTTGCTGAAGAGAACAGAAAACATAGAATAATTTTCAAAGATGTAATTCAAGATTACTTGTTGAAAATATGTACACTTTTATCTGTAGACAGGGAAAAATATGTCCTGGGGGAAAACAAATATTTTAAAAAAACGACATATAATTCAGCAGTAAAATCTTCCATGGTAAAGTTAGTGCATTCAAAAGATAAGGAAAAAATCTAATGGGAGAACCAAGCTAAATATAAACAATAAAAAAAGTCATCTTCTTCAGGGAATTTATAGTAACAGCCATCACTGGGGCCCTCTGCTGGGACTCATGGACCAGCCTATGATTCAACAACTAAAGGGAGAAGGCAGAGCAAAGCAGCAAGCCTCTGACTGTTGTATGTTCAGATTGGTTACTCCTAGTTAAACATTTTGAATATTATACCTGTTTATAATTACATTCCTAGTATGACAACTACTGAAGGCAATCCCCAAAGTCCCACAGCAGAATAAAGAATAATTTTTTAAAATAATCATACAATGAACTATATCAAGGTGAAAAAGAATGAAATACAGCTACAAGTAGCCAAATAGATGAATCTTACAATATTATAGATATTACAAACATAATATTGGGTAAAATGTTATGATAAAAAATAATAGCTTTGAGTGACAGAGTTCATGTAGTATGATTCCTTTATGAACGTTAGAACATGTGAAATTAAACTGGTCACATGCATATTTAATTCAATAAAACTGTAAAGAAAAGCAAATAAATCATAAACATAAAATTCAGGGTGGTTGGTGCAATTGCAGTGGGCTACAAGGGATACTCATGATTTTGGTTTTCATTGTCGAGGTGGTGGTTACATGGCTTTAATTTCATTATTGGGTGTTAAACGATAGGTAGGGTTTATATGTACACTTTAGTGTGCATGATATTGTGGAACAAAACAATTCACATGGCAGAAATGAAACAAATGAAAATGAACATTTTAAGGGTCCAAAATCGAAGTAAGAAAATAACAGAATAAACCTAAAAAAGTAAAGAAAGATAATGAAAACAAACAAAAATGATAGAAATAATTTAAAAAGTCAAATGTTAAGTCTTTGTATAGTCTTCCTGCAAACTTAATTTTAAAAACTAACAAACTCATAACAGAACAAACAAAGGTGAAAAGCAACAGACAAACCTAACAGAAAAGCAACAAAGAAAAAATTGGTAAATATATTAAGAATGAAACTGTATACATTAACTATAGAATTAGCATAGAATTAAGAATATAGCAAGCAACTTTTATCTAGCAAGCTTATAAATTTAGATGAATCTCAATTTCCCAGAAATATTTTTTAATCTGACTCAAAAAGAGATAGAACATGTTAAACTATCAGGAATTAAATAAGGTGGCTAATAATCACAACTGTTTTCATATCTTACTGAAGATGCTACCAAGTGAAGTCAAAGTAGCATAGCAATGTGAAGGAAAAACAATTCTCAAATATTTTAGTATCAGTAGATCTCTATAATTTTAGAAAGAAAAGAATAATAAAACCAGAGAAAATAAAACACAAAATAAAATCCTATTGATTACTAAAAATATCTCTTGGAAATCTTACAACAAAAGTCAAACCCAGACTGCAGACCACCAAGATTACAAAAATAATGAAAATCCTGAATATCAGAAATGTGTTTGTGTCTATATAACCTATTTATATTGTTTATTGACTTAGCACTTTATTTTCCTTTTAGAATTTATTGCTAATTTTTTCTTGTTTGTTTTGTGTATGCCTATATTCCTCCTTTTTGAATTTATTATGAAAGCTAATGACTTTGCCATTTTACTAGCTATTGAACATATTAAGCTCACTTACTCATGTGATTATTTTCTAATTTATTAACTTCTGCTATCATCTTTAATTAGTCCTTCTCCTTTTCTAAGAATTGATATTTAATGACTTTATTTTTAATTAAAAGATTAATTTTATTCTTTCTTGTTTAGTAAGAAAAATATTTTAAAATACAGCTTTTTTCCTTAACACCTCTTTGGAAGTATACAAAAAGAGTGTTGCAAATAAAAAAATCTTTATGCATGTAAATATTAAAGCCTAGATGAAATGGATGTCTGGGAAGGGTAGTGGGGAGGGAACTGAGATGGTTAATGGGTACAAAAATATAATTACATAGAACAAATAAGATCTAGTATTTGACAGCTCAACAGGATGGCTACAGTCAAAAATAATTTATTGTACATTTTTAAATAACTAAAATATTGGATTGTTTTTTAATACGGAGAAAGGATAAATGTTTGACGTGATAGATCTGCATTTACCCGGATATGACTATTATGCGTTGTATGCCTGTATCAAAATATCTCAGGCACCCTATAAATACATACACCTATTATGCACCCACAACAATGAAAAAGAAAAATTGCTTTCTTACATTAAATATGTGTATATATCTCTGTGTGTGTGTATATATATATATGTGTATATATATACACACATGTATATACACATACACACACACACAAAAAGAGATAAAGCAAACTCTAAAAAGGTTTATTAACCATAGTTACCATTTTAGATGTTTAAAAGTCTTGTTACCACCAAGTGCTTAAAACAAGACAAAGTGTTTCACAGATAAACATAAAACTTTTAAGAATAAGTTTAGTTCCTTCTTAAATTCTGTTAGAATGTAGAAAAGAAGGTCAATTTCCAAAGTTTATTCTTCAAGGCTGCAAAACATTGACTATATCCCCAGATAAATATGACAATACAAAACACTATACCAAACTCACTGGATTGCTAAGCCTTTGAGTAATGTATTAGCAGATAGAAATAACAGCATGTTTAAGGATACTATGCTATTACTAATGGTGTCAGTACAAAAGAGGGAAGGCTGGCTTAATCTTAGTATCTTTTAATATCATTTTCCATATTGAGAGATCGATCTACTTTAAAAATCCTGTGATCATTTCTACAGAGATTGAAAAGCTATTTAACAAAATTTATCTTAATCTATGCCTTAAATGTATGACCACAATTTAAAATGGGTGAATATTTTCTATATATGAAAAGAATGCATATCATAGTCTTCCCCAAAAAGCAGCATTAAGTTTAGTGCATTTAAGTGAAGAATAAGAAACATATATCCATGTCTGTTATCATTTTAAACATTGTTTTATACATAGAAGGGAAAATAACAAAATAAGTAAAAAATTGTCTTCACTATTTAACTATCATTAACTTGATAAAGATCTTATTATATAGCTAAAGCAAAAGAAAACAAAATATCTGAAACAAAAGGATTATTAGAATTAATAAGAGAATATAGTAGACAATTTATTGAAATTGACAAACTGTTTCTATATTATAAATTATTGTATATCTGTGAATTTACCTTACATTAATCTTTATGTTTAATGTGATTAACTACTCTCTCCAAGAAATTCCAAGATTTATTTTTGGAATTAAATAAGCTGAGTTGAAAAATAAAGGCTTAAAATGAAGAATACAAAAGGGACATCAGACCTACCAATTATTTTTTAAAAATACATTATTACACTTGAACATTTAAAAGTCTGGCAGTCACACATGAATTCACGCATAAATTGAGATCAGCAGATATCAACATAAGATTATACAGAGTTGAGAAAAAGATAAATATTCAGGAATGTAGTATTTAACAAAGGTGACTTTAAATAAATGAGAAAGAAATAAGTTGTTAATTAATGGTCCTTCAAAAACCTGTCTAGCCATATGGAAAAAATAAATATGGACAGTAACCATATTTTATGGACATACGATAACCATATTTTATGTCCATATTTATGGACAGTAACCATATTATCTTACAGTATAAAATTTCCAGATTTATGCATAAAATCAAACTTTCAAGAAGAAAGCATAAGAGAATTTGATCATATGATTTAGGAGTGTGAGAAACTTTATATATGTCACAAAACTTAGAATTCATAAATTAAATAATTTTCAAGCAATAAATATTAAAATTTTATGGAAAAATGCCATTTATTAAAAGTCAAAAGATCAAAAATAAACTGAAAAATGGCTGCAACATGATGGAAGTAAAAGGCTGAAAACAACATACAGAATTGAATGCCCAGAAAAATAATGAAAATGTTCAAGACTCAGTAGAAAATAAGCCAAATATATGAGGAGAACTTCTAAGAAAATTTTTTAAAAGATTTTTTATATAACAAAAACGATTTATAAACCAATGAGAAGATTTTGAATCTTATTCACAGTTGACACATGTCAGTGAAAATATCCAGTATAATTTTCAGTGCCAAGATTGACACAAGTTATTTGGTAATTTTTTTTTTGTTATGTGTTGGTAAGTGTATTCTTACACATTGTCGGTGAAAATAAATTTAATATAACTTTGAAAACAAATCTGGCTATATCTATTAACAATGTATTGATATACATAGCTTTCATCCGTAAATTCAACATATAATAATTGATCTCAGAGGTCTAGTCACACTTCTGCACAAAGATGCTCCTGTAAGGAAGAATATTTATGATGATATAATTTGTAGTGGTAAATGGTCAAAAACTAGTTAGTTAATAAAGGACTGCTAGATGATTATGGCTATATACTATAGTCACAAATTATGCATCTATTCAAAAGAATAAGTCTTTTTCTATGAGCTGGGATATAGATATGTTTAGATATTGGGAGAAAATTCTCCATGGGCCTCTTGTGTTTGCATATTTTTGTCAACATAGGCCCTGACTAATTTTGTTCCAGACTATCTTTTCATGGCTGTTTGTTCAGAGAACAGCCTGGGAAGACAGACATGGTGCCTGCCTCTGGAGAAAAAGAGTATATTTATAGCATAATATAATAAACTACTGTCTCCTTCTGGGGCAAAGGTCAGGAATACTTACTGCCCACTGTGAAAGAGCAGGGACCCCGTATCCTGAGGGTTCCTCTCCTGGAACACAACCAACTGCATGTTCAAACACCACTTGGTTCTCATTGTGTTGCCTTTTGGGAAGTAAAACTTGATAACTATCTCAAATTGATATTCCAGTTACTGATCTTGCCATTATAAAGCCCCTTGACGCTGATTCAAGAGTCTCATGTCTTCTGCCAGAATCCGTGAAACTGTGGCAGGCTAATTTGTTAGTTTGAAAGTAAGGTGAAATCTAATCCCAGTCCCCTTTCACAGTTCTCAACAAAAGTTCTCCAAGATATATTGTAGGTGGAAAAATAAACCAAGGCTCAGAGCAGTATGTATGGTAGAGTAATAAATTTAAGAAAACTGATAAGTGTGTGCTTGTGGAAGATTAAACTTCACATTCTTTATCTTGAATGTGCAAAGGAAATATTTCTTTTAATTCCTTTCTATTTTCTCTGATGTTTCTCATGAGCTTTCTTCCTATTTTTCAACTGCTCACTGAATGCCAGGAAAAAAAATAGAACAAAGCTTAATAAAACATAACTTAGTTCAAGCCTACTTAAAACTTAGTGTGATTCAGTCATGTGAAGAATATCTTTAGGTTTAATTAACATTCTTCAGAATACATGTTCCAGTCTTGTTCTTTTATTTGCTTCATCGCTTCTTGGATGCACTGGGGTGTATGGATTTTGCTGACCCTCTGTCATCATGTAGGCATGATGGAGAGGGGTGAGGATACAGAGGAGGATGGGGAGGGTAGGAGAAAGAAGAGAAGTTGTCAAAAGACAAAGAAGCAACAAATGAGGTAAGGATTTAACAGGCAATTGAACTAAGCAGTGAAAAGCATATTAGTTTATCTTAGAGAAATGTCAGTAGGATGGTGGGAATAAAATCTGATTGTAAATAAAAGGTGAGTCTTGGAATGAAACCTACCTTCGCCTAATGTAGTACTGATTATATTTTGTAAAGAACAGGAGACACTTGCTCAGTTGTATGGTTTAAGGGGAGGTATCGAAAATGAAGCCAAGGTTGAAATAGAGAAGAGAGAGGAATTCGGGACCCAAAGAACCAGAAGGCAAAGAAGTCAAGGCTCCTTGAAAGGAATGGACCTAGACATGGCCTTGGGGGCTGGAGAAAAGGGAGCAAGATGGATCAGGAAGGAAGTTCAGGAAGGGAGGGGATTTCTGTCTTGCTCCTCAGCTCCAGGGTACCTGAGCTGGGTAAGTGACTTGAGAAATTGGCTAAAAATTTGGAGGAATCATGAAAAGACATTCACCAAGAATTTCCTTTTCTAGAAGTGAGGATGATTATGTTTTCTGTTTTTCATGCCATTTTGCAAGTCAAAGTGATTTTTAACTCAGAAGATTAACATATGCTTATGTTATTTTATGCATTATAAACTTGGTAAAGCTATTTTCCAAAGTAAATATTGGTATGCCAATGCAAAAGGAAGACAAGATGTATTATCTAGAATGATTAAAAATGAGATAGTTTGTAAATGTAAAACTAAGTGAAGATTATCTATCATGACAGATTTTCAGAATGTGGGGTGATATAGCCCATGGGTCAAGAGCAGGGAGGGCAGCCTTGATGGGGGTGGTGAGTTTTGAACTGATCATATTTTCATGGGAAGATATTCCTTTTTGTCGAAGTGATTTCCACCACTGTTTTCATGCTCTTTCCTCAATCTCCAAGCTCCTTGGTTTTAAATGGCTTCAAAACAGCTGTGCATACTGGCCACTCTAGCAACCTTTCCTTAACTGCATACCTGAGTACAGTTTGCAGTCCCTTTACCAAAATACATGATTTCTATGAGAGTTCTACTTGCTGAATGAACTGTGTCCAGTGTTTAGTCCTCAAGAAAGGAGATGGGGCATCAGAACAGAGAGAGAGTATCATATCCTGCAAAATATTGCTTGGCTTATGGATTTATTCTCAATTTAATTTTTCTGTCTACTGATCTAGGTGTTTTTTTTTAAATAGAATCAAAAGTGACAATTCATTTGAAATATTTCTCCCTTGTCCATGAATTGCTTTGTAAATCTTGTGAGCTACTTCACGAGTTATGAAGTTTTTAAGAATAAATAGCAATGAACTCACTTTAGTCTCCATGCCAAATGCAGATGTTTTTGTGATAGCTGATCTTGTTTTGTAGGAAAACTCTTGCCTTCAAGTCCTTCTATTGGCTTTCAAGAGAATAATTTCCTTGTTTTAAGTCAGATCAAGCAAACTGTCAATAATGTTTATTAACTACCCACTTTACAACAGCTTACAGTGGAGGTTCCCTAGGGAGTTAGAGTTAATAGAAAAGTCATTGCAATTAGAGGATTTACAATAAAGTTAACTCAAAATATAAATGTTTGTTAATTTTGAACTGAGTGAGAAGGAAAGAAAAATAAATTATTGCAATCTTCTCCTTTTCAGTTGGGTGAGGAGAAGATAACATTCCAAAGAATTGAGTGATCATAACATTTGTAGATCATAAGGTGATTATTGGTAATCTTTGTGTTAGCCATTTCACAAATTTATTTGAAGGAGCAGTAAAAATGTTCTCTCTGTCTATGAAACATCTTCTCCTCAGGCATAATTTGTCAGCTTTGTGTGGGGGATTCTTTACACAGCCCACTGGAATTCAGTGATGCAATGTTGTTAGTAGGAGAGGACTGACATTTTTTTCAGACAAAGAAAGTGGTCTTGTTTTTTAGACAACAAACTTTGGGGAATGGAGGAATCCCAAGTAGAATTAGAAAGAGAAGTCATGGAGAGACATTTGGCCTGTTACTTAGTGATTGCCTCAGCTGTGTGTTTCATTATATGGGAGATTTCTATTGCTTTTCTTTCCTACTGCCTTTAGACACATGTTAGCAAGGAGAAATATATACTTTTGTTAAGAACTTTTTGCCTTCTGATGTAATTTTCAGGATGGCCCTGGGTATGTCAGGTACAATATTCAGATTTAATTATTTCTCCCAAGATTCATGTAAATTTCAACCCTCATTTATGAGGTCACCTCTTAAGCATATATATTAAAATGCATTAATATGTCAATGTGTGGCAGTTACTTTTTGAAACTGCAAACTCAGAAACGCAAAATGATATACCTTCATTTTCCTACAATTTTTGAAGACTGTACCTTGAGTTTCTGCCTTGGTTTGCAAGGGTTACTATAACAGAGTGCCACAAACGGGATGGTTTTGAATTACAGAAATTTTTTGTCACAATGTTTTGGAGACCAGAAGGCTGAGATCAAGGTGTTGGCAGACTTGGTTCCTCCTGAGGGTTATGCGAGTGGCTCTGTTCTATACTCCCTTGGGAGCTTCTGGCGGCTGATGACCCTTGGCTTGTAGACACATTGCCCCGATCCCTGCCTTCATCTTCACAAGGCATTCTCGGTGTGCCTGCCGCTGTGTCCATATTTCCCCCCTTTTTTTGAGACAGAGTTTCTCTCATTGCCCAGGCAGAAGTCCAATGGCACGATCTCGGCTCACCGCAACATCTGCCTTCCAGGTTCAAGCAATTCAACTGTCTCAACCTCCCAAGTAGCTGGGATTACAGGCATGCACCACCACACTCAGCTAATTTTGTATTTTTAGTAGAGACGGGTTTTCTCCATGTTGGTCAGGCTGGTCTCGAACTCCCAACCTCAGGTGATCCTCCTGTCTCGGCCTCCCAAAGTTCTGGGATTACAGGCATGAGCCCCCGCTGTGCCCGGCCGAGGTTTCCCCTTTTTATAAGGATAACAGTCATATCAGATTAAGGGCCCACCTAATCCAGTGTGATCTCAACTAATTCTATCTACAACCACCCTATTTCCAAATAAGGTTACATTCTGTGGTACTGGGGTCTAAGTTTTCAATATATGAATTGTAGGAGGACACAACTTAGCCCATAACAGCTCTCAGTCCACTGATGACAGAATGTTATTAAATTCCATTTAGGTTGCTCTCAATCAATGTGGATTTTCCCTGGAGTCAAGACAATAATCCTTGGGAGTAAACTGTTCACAGTTCACAGGGCTTTGCCACTGTCACCTGGTCCCTGCTTATGTCTCATTTCTCTAGCTGCTGTCTTACACGATGACATCTGTATTTGCCATGTGGTCAATGGTGGGCAGTCCTTGTGGGCCCATCTACTTGTTCTCACCATAGGTCCTCTTCAGACAGCAACCTTCCTTTGAAGCAATTATGGTTGTTCTCATGAGCCATGCTGCGTCTGTGGAACATTTGGTGGCCTATGTCAGGCATGTGTGGCCTTAACAGCCACAAGTGCCTTATTCTGTTGAAATTGTTCTGAGATGATTCAGAGAAAATTTGCAACTCTCCAGGGATATGCAGTTTGGACCTGAGGCTCTGTCTTTCCCTGTCTGTACTCCACCCCTCCTGGGGTGGGGCAGGGGACAGGGCCCTTTTGTGGAGTGCCACACAATTCATAGCTTTTCTATGCATTTCTCATACTGGCATCACATTTTTCTGAATAATAGTGTCCTTTTCATTTAAATAGTCATTAATTACATTCTCTTGGCTCTTCACAGCCCCTCAGGTTGCAAAGATTAGTATTACTCTGTCTTCCCCCAGGCAGTGACTTATGAATGTGTCAGGATACTATGAGTTGTAACATCTCTTGATTTCACTGAAATCCCAAAACAACATCATAGTTAAACAACATCTTTAATATTACTGCTTATAGAAAGACTGTTTCTGACATATGTTTTTCCTTTTTTAAATTTTTGAGTGAAATATTATCATAAAGTATAAAAAGTGACAATATTAATATTGTGTGTTCATCACCCAGCTTAAAAAATAGAATTTTTCTTATAGCTTTGCAAATCTAAGCTTACATCAATTCAAAACTTTTTTGATTACACATCAAAAGTGAAACTTACACATACATGCATATTCATTTATAATTTATATAGGCATATTTTACGTCAATATGTTGTGCACATAAAATGTACAAAATAACCATTTTTAAAGATAAAACAAAAATAAGGATATGTATTAATTCTAGTGTTTTCTTCTTGTATCCCAAATATTTTTTTTTGTACTCCCTCAACGAGGGCCCTATATTTTGGAAACCACCAGTGTGTATCAGGACCTTTGCTCTGAAGATGAAAAACACAGAAAAATTAATTTTTGCTGTTGGTTATGTTTCTATTGCTTTTCCAAAGGCAGCTGATGTCAAGGTATAATATGGATATGGGAAGGGGTGGCGTTTAGGAATCTTAAAATAATACACAGACAACGCACACAAGAAAATATATATGCATGTATTTAAGTATCTACATATATGTATGTGTATATATATGCATGTATTTAAGTGTTTTGTGTGTGTGTGTATGTTTTATATAGATAAAACATTGGTTAGCACTTTAAAGTCTTTAAATTCTTATCTGGCTCCAATTGGTTTTGAATTCATCTGTTAGTAGGTTTGTCTGTTAGTTTTGTGGACATTCTCCAGGAAAATTTCTTATCTCTGTAACCCAGATGCACTATTAGTATTTGATCAGGGATTTTTGTGTGCTATATGAGAGAAGGACTCAGACTCAGAATTTTCACTTAATGTCCTTTATTTCATTCTGCAAAAGTACTTCTTCATTTAAGCTTAGGGTTGTGATGGTCAAGACAGTTGTGTTAGGGCAACCTGCTCTCCAAACACTTTCAGTGTGGATAGTAATAGCTATGATTTGACTGATAAGCAGTGTTCTAAGTGCTTTGTGCATACTGACTTATTCCATACATTTAACAGCTCTATGGGAGAGGGGCTATCATTAGCTCCTTTTTCACAAAGGAAGACGCAGAGATAATGAGAGGTGTTATGAGTTGAACTGGATCTCCCCAAAAGATGTGTTGAAGTTCTAACACCCAGTACCTCAGGATGTGATCTTATTTGGAAATTGGGCCTTGCAGAGATAATTTATTAAGTTGAGATCATACTGGAGTAGAGTGGGTCCTTAATCTGATATGGCTGGTATCCTTATAAGAAGAAGAAAAGAAGCTGGGCACGGTGGCTCATGCCTGTAATCCCAGCACTTTGGGAGGCCGAGGCAGGCGGATCCCCTGAGGTCGGGAGTTCGAGACCAGCCTGACCAACATGGAGAAACCCTGTCACTACTAAAAATACAAAATAGCCAGGGGTGGTGGCACATGCCTGTAATCCCAGCTACTCGGGAGGCTGAGGCAGAATTGCTTGAACTCCAGAGGCGGAGGTTGTGGTGAGCCGAGATTGTGCCATTGCACTCCAGCCTGGGCAACAAGAGGGAAATTCCGTCTCAAAAAAAAAAGTAGAAGAAGAAAAGAGACACAGAGACATGACTGGAGAAGGCCATGTAATTGGAGTGATTGGAGAGGCAAAGATCTGAGTGATGCAACTGTGAGCTGAGAAACTCCAAGAAATGTAGGTCACTGCCAGAAGCCAAAATAAGGCAATGAAGGATTCTACTCAGAGTCTCAAGAGACCCTGGTCCTGTTCGCACCTTGGTTTTGGACTTCGAGTCTCCAGAAATATGAGACAAAACATTTTTGTTGTCTGGAGTTACTCAATTTGTGGGACTTTGTTATGGCAGTTCTTAGGAAACTAATATGATGGATTAAATAGTTGCCTAAAGTTACATAGTGAGCAAGTCATACAAGCAGAATTTGAGTCAAGCAGTCTGTCATTGGAGCCTGCACTCCACAGCCCTGCCTTATCCCTCCTCAGGGGACAGACAGAGCGGTGCCATGCTGATGCACAGCTCCTGCTGGGGCATGAGGAATAAGGCTGTGGGCAGAGATTTTTCCTTAGGCAACCAGTGGAACTTAGGATGAAGAACGCAGCACTGTCAGATGAAGAATATTATTAATGTTTATCAAAGATGCACATTCAAGATTTCTGAAAAACATTTTCAACACTGGAAGGCATGTTAAATATCATCTCATTACACAGTGCTTTTACTTTGAGTCGCCATTTAAAAGATAAAGTTTATAGCCTTGCTGATCTCCTTGGCATATGCTTACATACATATGTGAATACATAGACACACATATATGCACATATAAATGTGCATGTCGTTCTTCATTTAACCAGATTCCTTGTGCCCCTGTATTAAAAATGGTCAAGTTTCTATTTCAAACCATGCAATAATTATAATATCAGATAAAGAATTCTTTCACAATCTTTTCTTAGAATTCTAGATGTGACTTAGTTTCCTTCCTCTACAGTGAGGGAGGAAATAAGAGTGATTTGTGAAGATGCATATTTTTTTTCAGTAAAACAGGGGAGGTTTCACCTATCTCGGGTCTCCTATTCTGGATACAACATTTCAAGAGTCTTGGATTCCTGTTTGATTATCAAGTTCACTTCCACTGACCAATAAATATTGGTAGACGTTAAGTTCTCAGGCTTGAGAGGCTTCTGTCATTTGGTGTGTCCGATGCTAACAGACACTCTTAAATAAAATGCCTCATGAGGGGCCGGGCACGGTGGCTCATGCCTGTAATCCCAGCACTTTGGGAGGCCGAGGTGGGCGGATCATGAGGTCAGGAGATTGAGACCATCCTGGCTAAAATGGTGAAACGATGTTTCTACTAAAAATACAAAAATTAGCCAGGCATGGTGATGCACTCCTGTAATCCCAGCTACTTGTGAGACTAAGGCAGGAGAATTGCTTGAATTCGGGAGGCGGAGGTTGCAGTGAGCCGAGATCGCGCCACTCCAGCCTGGGAGACAGAGCAAAACTCCGTCTCAAAAAAAAAAAAAAAAAAAAAAAAAAAAAAAAAGCCTAACGAGAAGGTAAAAGAGCAAGGAGGAAACTAAAGCAAGGATTACTTTTATTGCAAAAGAGGTGGAGGAATCTTTAAAGATTTCTGATACAGCAGAAAATCAGATATTGCATGTTCTCACTTACAAGAGAATGAGCTAAACAATGAGTACACAGGGACATAAAGATAGACATAAGATACTGAGGACTCCAGAAACGGGGAGGGAGGGAGAAGGTGGAGGTTGGAAGGTTACCTTTTGGATATAATGTTCATTATTTGGATGATGGGTACACTAGAAGCTCAGTCCCCACCATTAGGCAATATACCCATGTAACAAACATGCACTGCTACCCCCTGAATCTAAATTTTTTAAAAAAGATTTCTGACAAATAGAGTCTTAGAACTGAAAGCTAGAAGGTGACAAAGAGAACGGAGAATGTCTGTCATCAAATCTAGTGGTCTTCCCTTTCTCTCGTTCCCTTCTCAGGACACCTGAGATATGCCATACTCTCTTTTATTATCATGGATTCTCTGGTAGGGAAAGGGTCACCAAGTTTTTGGGATTTACGTGGATGAAACGGCAGAGGAAGATAATTCCGATACCCTCTTAAAGGGACATGCCTTGCCTCCCTCAAGAAATTCTGATCTCATATACATTTTTAATTTACCAGACAAAAATATTGGGACCAGAAAAATTAAAAGATTAACCATCTGGCTGAAGGCCACAGAGCTAGCAGTGACATAATCTATACTAACACCTAGAGGTTTCCTGAATCCCAAACTAGTGCTTGTGTATTTGTATTTGTGTGTGTATGTGTGTGTGTGTGTGTTTATATAACTTTCATGAATTTGATACATGAATATATGTTTGACTTTATAAAATTTTCTAAGTTCAGCCAAAATACTGTGTTTTGCTTTACTATAATTTCAATTTCATCCTTTAGTCACAGGTTATTAGAAAACCCCCTAATTTTAGTAGCATTAATGCAAACACACCTTAACAATAAACATATCATGATTATCTGCAATACTTTAATGGATACTCTGAATGACACATAGAATTTTAACTGGTCATGGTTGCTTTTAGTAGCAAACAAGATCTGATCACAATTAATTGATGTCTGTCACCCCCTTGTTTTAATAGATTGAGTGCCCAATTTGAAAATACTACTTTGTTGTGAGAAAAAGAAAATAATTGAGGATATAGTATGGGATTTTGCAGATGAAGGGAATCTTGGGGCTATTCAATCCAATCTCTTAATTTTGCATGTGAATACAGTGAAGTAGGTCAAGAAAAATTTCATGACTAGATTTCTGAATTATTTCATGTAGTTTTAGCATTATTCAATTTTAAATCGTGAAGTTCAATAATTTACTGTTATAGTTCTTTCACCAAGGATTGTGAATAATCCAATTCTAAGCATGTGTGTTTCAAAGGAAGCAGTAAAAATAAAACCAGTGCTATCCAACAACCAATCCATAGCTTTTACTAACACCACTCTTCCTACAGCAAAAGAGTCCTTTCAAGTCCATTGCTAAATTCCAGAACTAAACAGATAATGTTGGCTGTCATGGGAAAAACATAGCTTTTGAGCTTACCAGCTATATGACCTTGAGCCAAACCAAACTACTTAAACTCTGCTCAGTCTTTTCACTTGTAGAATGGAAAAACAAAGCCCATCTCACTGGCTCATTATGAAAATCAGACTAACTTGCATAAAGTACTTATCATAGTACTGGAAGCCAATAATTATTAGATTCCCTTTCTTCTCTTCTTTTTTATTTTCCTTCAAGATTACATGGCTAGTTAGTGTCCAGGCAGGACAAGAGTGGAGACCTTTTAATTTCGAGGCAGTGGAACCCTCTATATTCTTCCGTTGTCCACATGAAAATGCTCTCAGGAATGAAAAGCAGAAATACCTAAGGAACATTTTTTTTCTCAGCTTGAGAAGCAAGCCAGGGACTGGTGCCCTGTCTTAAAAATGGTGAAGTTTCTATCTCAAATCATGAAATAATTGTACTGTCAGATAAAGAATTCTTTCACAATCTTTTCTTAGAATTCTAGATGTTACATTGTTTTTTTGTTTCTTATTACTAGAGAAGGCTTAGGAATCTATGGTGGCTCAAAAATGACTAGAGAAAAATTGAGTTTATCTGTTATAAACTGAGCATATTTGAATACACTGGAAAATAGGACACAAAACAGGTTTTTGGAATTTACATATTTGAACAAAGCAAATGAATTTTAGCTGGCAGAGTCAACTAAGTGTTCAAATTAAAATACCCCTATTTCAAGGTTATCATGAGGCTGTAGCAGTGGTACACCTAGCTTATCAGATGCACAGAGAGAATAAATTTTTAATACCTATCCTTCTCTATGTGATAAAATTGTTGCCAGTAATAATCATGAAGAGATAATTAACAATCAGATTTTTAAATTTGTTTTTTAGTCTTAAAACAAGTAACAGTGTATGTAGAATAATACATTTACTTTTAAAAGATATTGCAAAATTAAGTTAAATAATTTATATATGAACAAAAATTTGCACTTACCTCAAAAGTTATGCATTACATCCCTCTGTATGCTGTTTTAAAATGTAAAACAAGTAAACATTCCAAGTGGTTAAGAAGACAAATACAAGTAACTCAAATTATCCTTTTTTTGTATTTACAATCTCTGAGCTATAATTGTTTATTTCCAATATACATGTAAATGCAGGGCTGTGTAGCATCACAGGTTTTGGGGATGGGAGCTATAGTTATTCTTTACCCTTGATGAACTTATTTGCAAAGTGTCTGTAAGATTTTGGTTTCCACTTAGGGATGTAGAAAGTTACAAAGTGTGATTCCCATTCTTACACTGAAGAAAAGTGGGACGAATTAAAAATCCCCATGTGTTTCTGAATTCATCCAAGATCTGAAGTCACAGGAAAAGCAACTGGCCCCAAATCTGGAGATAGATAGGCAGATGAAGGGAGAGAAATGAGCTCGGGCTTAGCTGGGTAGACATAATTAGGTGCTGAGAAGGGTGGTGGGAAAGTTGGTAGCGGCCAAGTATGCCCTCGTGAATGAGCATGAAGCCCCGGGTGCTGCAGAATTTGAGAGAGCCCAAACCCTCTTCAGATTTGTATCTATAAATCCTACTGAGCTCTCACAGAAAGGACTGGAAGATGCTTTTGAAAACAGATCCAGGAAGTGGGGAACTCAAGGAAGAGAGGAGCAGCTCCTCCAGGATGGTCATGAAACTATCCAGACATTTAGTACCTGTTTCCCCTATAAAACAAAATCTTTCACTGTCGGGGAAAGGGTAATACATCTCCTTGCTCTTAGGGCACTTGTAAGTATCCATGGCAGCTATGGGAAGGAAACAGGAACATAAATAAATGAAAGCTCAACATAGATAAATAACGAAGAAAACATATCACACAAAAACAAAGAGGTGGACTTATCATTTTCAAATTACCAAACACAAAAACAAACAGAAACTCTTACAGGCAGTTACAGAAAAAGAAACATATGCAGAGGAACAAAGATACTAATGACAGGGGACTTCTTGTCAGAAACCATGCAAGCGTGGGGAAAATGGAGAGACGTCTTTGAAAGCCTGAAAGAAATAAATGTTAGCATTGAATTCTATATCCAGCAAAAAGTATATTCCAGAAATGAAAACAATTAAGGATTTTTATGAGGCTATTCATTACAGCAGACCTACCCTAAATAAATGTAAAGGAAGTTCTTTAGACAAAAGGAATGTGATACTTGACAAACTTGAATCTACACAAAGAAATGAAGAGCAATGAAAATGGAATAAATTAAAGTGTAATAGCATTATAGTTTTATTTTTAGTTGCTCTAAAAATAACTGACTGTCTAAAACAAAATTAATGGCAGTAGATTGTGTGTCTATAGGAAATGTGTGTGTGTTTATGCAAAAATAAAATGGCACAAAGAATGGGAGGAAAGAGCTGGGAATTTAATGTTTTAACTCTTACAGTTTTAACTCTTTCCTAGAATTACATATAAAGTGGTACAATATTATTTGAATGTAAACTCTGGTTGGTTAAAGATATATAATGTATACACTAGGACAACCACTAAAAATCAAAGTATACAAATAGCAGAGGAAATAGAATAAAAAATAATGCTCAATAAACAAAACAGAAAGCAGAAAAAAGAGGCAAAAACAAGAACTGATAAAGCTAATAAAAATTGCTTAGAAAGTTGGTAGATTTATATCCAGCAATGTAAAAAATCATGTTAAATGTGATCTCTTTAAACTCACCAGTTAAAAGATAGAGATTGTCAGATTGTATAAAAACTGAGACACGACTAATCTATAAGAAATGACTTTAAGACATTGACAGGTTAAATATAAATGAATGGGAAAGGTATTCTATGCAAACACCCGTCAAATGAATACTGGATCAACTATACTGATGATAGACAAAGTAGGCTTTAGGACAAGAAATAATATCAAGGATAAAGAGAGATATTACACAATGAAAAAGTAATTATATCCTAAGTTTTAAAATGCTAAGTATATATACACATAAAGCATTTCAAAATACATAAATTTAAAGAATGACAGACTGAAAGGGGAAAAAATCCACAATTGTAGTCAATGTCAATACTCCTTTCTCATAGTCGACAGAACAAGTAGATAGAAAATTAGTGAGGATATAGCAAACCTGAACAAAACTATATTACCAGCTTGACCAAATTGACATTTATAGAACAGCAGAAGATACATTATTTTAAAATGCACAAGGAAAATTGAACAAGATAGATCATCTTCTGGGTCATAATAGAAGCCTTCAGAAATTTAAAAGAAACTGTATTATCATATAATAATGTGATTAAACTAGAAATTACAGAAATAGATCTGAAAAAAATTTGAACAACACACTTCTACATAACCCATAGGTTAATAGGAAATCTCAAAGGATATTAAAAATATTTTAATGAATGAAAATAAAATAATTTATAAATAAAAATATTTAACTGAATGAAAATAAAATATAACATATCAAAAATTTGTGGATTGCAGCTAACATAGTACTTAGAGAAAAATTTACAGAATTAAATGTTTATATTAGAACAGAAGAAGTGTTTAAAATTAATTTATACTTCTACCCTAGAAAATAGAAAAAAAAGACCTAATTAAATCCAAAAACAGGAGAAGGAAGAAAATAATAAAGATTAGAGAAAAAAATAGTGAAATTGAAAAGAGAAAAACAATAAAGAAAATCAATAAAACCAAAAGCTGATTATTTGAAAATAACAATAAAATTGATTTATTTTTAAGCAGACTGATCAAGAAACATACAGGACATACAAATATTACCAGCATCAGCATGAAATAACATACATAATATCCAACACTATGCATGTTAAAAAGATAGTAAGCTTATGATATAAGCAAGTCTATGCCTGTTAAGTTCAGGAATTTAAATGAAATGGGCCAAGTCCTTGAAAGACACAATCTGCCAAAAATCAATTAAAAAGAAATAGATGACTTGAATAGCCAATATTGGTCAAGCAAAGTGAATCATAGTTAAACATTTGTAAAAATGAATATTCTAGGCTCCAATGATTTTACTAGCAAATTCTACCAAACCCTTAAGGATAAAATAATGCTGATTCTATACTACCTCTTCCAAAAACTAGGAGATTAGAGAATACATTTCAAATCATTTCACTAGGGCAAAATTTTCCTTATCCTAAAAGTAGACAAAGACCTTACAACAAACAAAACTGCATGCCAGTATGATTTATAAACATAGAACACCAAATCTTTAATAGAATATTAGCAAATGGAATCCAATATATAAAGAAATATATAAAAATATAATACTTATTACCAACCAAATGAGGTATATCTCAAGATGCAAGGCTGGTACAACATTAAAAAATCAACCAATGTATTTCACTGTAGTCACAGACTAAATATTGTTAAGATGGCAATTCTCTCTACTTTTATCTATAGATTCAATGCAATCCCTATCAAAATCTGTGCAAGCTTTTTTGCTGATGTCAACATACTGATTCTAGACTTTATATAGAAAATCAAAGGAACTACAAGAGCTGAAATAATTTTTTAAAAAGAACAAAGTTGGAGTTCTCAGAATACTTGATTTCCATACTTACTATAAATTAGGGTAATCAAGACTGTGGTTGTAGCAGAAGAATAAGCCTAGAGTTAGGCAAAGGTTTTTCAAGTAGATACCACAAAAACCACTATTAAAGAAAAAACTTGATAAATTGGATTTAATTAAGATCAAAACCTTTTACTCTTCAAAAGATACTGTTAATAGAACAAAAGGCAAGTCACAAATTGGGAGAGAATATTTGCAAATTACATTTGTGACAATGAACTTCTATCCAGGAGATACGTACATATATATGTATATACAACAATTTATATACATATATATCCGTACATATATGTATATATAACAATATATAACAATTTATGTACATATATATGTATCCTGGATATGCATGTATATATGTGTATATGTTGATATATATATATGTTTTTATATATACATATATATGACAATGAACTTGTATCCAGGATAAACATACATATACATGTATGTATAAATTTTAAAACATATATATAGAAACACAGGTATATATGTATGTGTATATGTACATATATGTATATGTAATTATATATGTTATATAGTCATATATAAAAAATGACTCTGCAATTTCAATACAAAAATGGGCAAAAGAAGATAGATGTCCCTAAAACTTAAAGTATAATAATAATAAAATTTAAAAAAAGAAGATAGATGTATTGCAAATAAGCATATGAAAGGATATGCAGTATCATCAGAGCAGAGTTACACTGCCACAAGCCAAGAAATGCCCAAGATTACCTGCAACCACCAGCAACTGAGAGAGAGGCATGGAACAGTTTCTCCCTCAGGTCCTCCAGAACTAACCAACCCGATTTCAGGTTCCAGTCTTCATCACTGTGAGAGAATAAATTTCTGTTTTTTTAAGCCACCAAGTTTGTGGTGCTTTGTTATGGAAGATTCAGGAAACTAACACATAACAAATAAATTATTTTGAAAAATGAGGTGTTTTTTGAAGCCATGTTATTGACACTGTAATGGAGATTACCTTGCCACAATAATATAGCAACCTAATCCCCCGAGGTCTGCTAAAGCTCTTACTAACCTTAGAAAAAATTGTAAACAATAGTCTGAATACTATTTTGTAAATATATATTTATCTTTAAACAAGGTTACACAGGCTATTTGATAATTCTTGACAGTCAGAAATCAATTCCTATTCAATGAGTTTTCCTAAATGGAAGAAAATGAATCATGGAACCCTTACTGGGCATAAAGCTTAGAAAGAATGTAAAGGCAGATGGCCCTGTCTGACATTAGCTGTCATCTTTGCCTCCAAACAGATGCTAAGGAAGAAGCTGAAAACACATTACAGTGTCTGACACAGTGTTAGTCTAAGCATGTGCCTAAGATGCTAATACAGGTTATGAGAAAAGGGGCCTCGTAGCCAAAGTTTTGCAAATTCTAAGCTAAAAAAATTAAAAATATTTTTCATGATAGGATATATGAGGCTCATTAGTGTGCTGATATATATCGTGACACATTAGAACAGAAGACAGCAGACTCTTTTCCATGTTTATTTTACCCTAGAATCTTCTGTGAAGAGAGTTTCATGAAACTGAGCCTCCATGAACCCACTTCAGGGGATAAGCAACTTAGAATATTGCTTCTATTGATGCGTCATTGGGTCAATTTGGAAGGGATGGATCTCTCCCTATCCTGTATACATTTTGTTTATTTTCCCCCTTTCTTTCTATTTTTAACCATCTCACCTTTAAAAAGATGTTCCTTTGACCCACAAATTATTTCCCATCTCTACTGTGTATACTTTAGGATCTAAGATGTCCTATTTAATATAAAATTTAAAAAATCACATTGAGTAGTCTTTTATTCCTGATTCACCAAATTACTGCTACCATAATGCTTTATCTTCTAAATCATTTCTATTTTCTTTACTGTTTATTGGTGTGGAACCATAAGAAACAGCTGATATTCAACTTATGAAAGTGGCAATTCCATATGGTTCAACCAAATACATTAATGTTATTAAAGAGTCAACACAGTTTCCAAGATAGTTGATTTATCAAAGAGCCTTAACCACTGCAAGAATTTGGCTTAATGCTTTTATAAATAGGCTAGGTGGTTGACAGGTGAGATCACTTATGCTTAAAAATGATACCAAGTTGGGCAAGACTGACAATATTTTGTAGGGCCAGGCAGGAATGCAAAATGATGCAGTCAATTTGAGGGAGTAATGTGTGCTGAATAGAATGAATTCCTAATAAAATACTTGCAAGGTTTTGGTTATAAAATAGAATAATTAATTTTATAAATGCAACAGAAATAGGAACATTTACATGGACTGGTCCACATAAAGAGCAGTTTTAAAGTCACAGCCAATCACAGATTCAGGCTCTGCCAAACATGCCCAAATGGGCAGCCTCCAAGCCATTCATACTGACCAACCATCTGGACCTTATCCCTTGGATTTCAGCTACCATGTTGAATCAGATCAATGACTTCATGTGGCCTATGAATTTTAGGCATTTAGACATAGTAGTATTGTCTTGAGTAATATATGTACACTCTTCCTGTAACCCATTCAAAATCTGCTCAACTTTCAAGGGCCAGTTAACAGTCAAGGAAGTCCAGAAAGTCTCTGCTGTTACGTCTATAGGTCATAGACTTTATCGCTCAGCTTAACTCAAGGTGACAATCACTTCTGGCTGACAATCACATCAGCTTCTTTGTATATTAGCCTTGACTTTGAAGTTTGTACATTCTTTGAGGACAAGGACCAAGTACTGCACATGTTTTGCACTTCTGTCAGACTAATGTGCAATCAATAAAAACATTAGTAGGCTTCATCAAGCAGGACTTAATAACATTACTGATCACAACAATGAAAACAACATGCATTAAAGCAAAATGACTATTGAGAACATTAAAGATTGAGAAATTTATGTGGAGGCAGATGAATATGAAACAAAATATATACGTATTTTATGTCCATATTACTGAAGTTGGTATTTAATATATCCATAAATTTCATTACATGCTTAATTCGAGTTAACAGTAAGGCCAGTGTTTAGTTTAGTAGAGTTTCATGTAAGAGTCTTTATTCATGGTTTGTGGTTTAATGTGTTATGTAAAATACAGTAAACTAGAAGTATTTTTTCGTTGGACTTTTGTCTCTTAAATACTGAGATGCTGGATAGAATGGTTTTTCAGTGCTGAATTTTCTGACCCTGTGATTTATTAGGCTTTTTAATGTATTATCCTAATGTCTTTATAAATTAATGTTTTTATAATTTATCGGTTGACTATTGAAATAAAATTTTCATATTCCATTGCATTTTATATAATAGCATTACCCCTCAGCCACTGCGATATACATGAGTTTCAATTTATTATAGCTCAGTCCCAAATCAATGTCACTGTTAAGAGTATGTGTTACAGTAGTGGTTATCTTTGGAAAACAATTTGAGTCTGACTAGATGTTGTTCAATCCCCAGGCCATGGTAAGTGTGACTGTGGCAAGTGCAAGTGTGACCAGGGATGGTATGGGGATGCTTGCCAGTACCCAACTAACTGTGACTTGACAAAGAAGAAAAGTAACCAAATGTGCAAGAATTCACAAGACATCATCTGCTCTAATGCAGGTAAGAAGTATACCCTGTGAAAATTGTTAAGTGGAATAATCAAATTTTGTTTTTAATGGAAATATGTGGGCGTGGAGAAATGTTGAATCTCAGAGTGAGTCTGCTTTTGAGTATGTTTTTTAGAAGTGAAATTCAGATAAATCAATAGAAAAAAAATGCCATCTTGCTGAGACTGGCAAGTTTGATGCTTTCCAGCTGTTCCAAATGCCTCCTTCTAGCAGGATATTCACTGGAAACAACACCCCAACCACATTTTATGTAAATTGTGAGCCATGATATTGAATACCGGATTACATCTGTTAAAAAGGATTTATATAAACTGACTTAATTATTTTCTGTTACAGATCACGGGTGCTTTGAATTTTTACCTTCGCAAAATAGAACCAAATACTTTAAATTTGATAGAAGTTTCAGATATACTGGTTATAAAGCTCTTTGAAGGATACAGTCACAGAAAGATTTTTTGTTTGATCAAAATATTTTTTATTTCATAGAAGTTATTTGAAAATATTTTTTACAAAATTGTAGCAATGCTGTTAAAATTTATTAGCAAAATCATATAAAAGAGTTGCAGTTTAGGTTTCAATGGTATTTAGCGAGTGTTACCGTAATTAAATATTCTTTTTACATTTGGGCAGGTGAAGCCTCAAAATCAGATTTTCTCAACCGTGGTTGAACATCAGCATCCCAAGGAGAAAGGAATAAACTGTCAGTTCTCATGTAGTACACCAGAGGTTCTGTTTCAAGTGCTTTGGTGTGTGGCCTTGACGTTGGTGGTTTTTTTAAAGCTCTCTGGGTGATTTTAATATAGATGAGTGTGTGACCCATTGCTCTAAATGCTAAAGGTGAGGATTTGACTTCACGAATGAGTACCTTTCTTCCTGAAGCTCACATTGTTGGTAGGGCCCATCTCTAACCAGAGCTGAGAATTCCCCACAGTCTGATTGCAACAGATTGTGTGTTTTAGACTGAGCTCAGTTAAAGGTGTTTTGCTGATAGGAATCAGACCATATCCAAAGCGAGGTGTGAGTGGATCCGTCAGGGGTCATGACAAATGGTCTTAGCAGTTAGGTCCCTTTCTGTGTTCATGATGTTCTCATCATATTTCTCTAGCACTTCAGTCTTTCTTTCTTCTTAGTAGGATTTCTCTACGTCCAATTCATAACACCCACCCCTCCAAACACACACACACACACACACACACACACACACACACACACACACACTTCTCTACTTCCAATTCATAACACCCACCCCTCCATACACACACACACACGCGCACGCGCGCGCATGCCCCATAGCGTCTTTCATCTTGAAAAAATTATTCTTTTCAAACTTGTTTCAGTAACAAGACTTGAATTCTGTTTTGGGTTTGAAATCTATTTTGGGATTTATTTATTTATTGTTTGCAAATCAAATTTAGGGTTTTTTTTTAGAGAACATTATAATCAAATGTGGTAGTCTAGGATTCTAAAGATGTTTAATATTAAGGAATCTAAACATGTAATTCACCACATTAACATATCTTAAAGGAGAAAACATACAGAAGTGTTTCAGTAGATGATAAAACATATTTGATACAATGTAAACGCATTTCTAGGACATCTGTACTCTCTCATTTTTTAAGCATGGATGCAATACCTTTGTTCATAACCTGCTTTAGTCAAGGGACCCAGTAATGTCCTGTATAGCGTTTTCCTCTCCTTACAGGATTCAGACTATTGAAAATGTTATGTTTATATCTCTCTTTAGTCTTCTTTAATCTGGGTCATTTCCACAGACTTTGGCTTTAGAGCATTGAAACTTGTGAAGAAAGTTGTCCCCATTTTATTAAAAGAAAAGTGTACTTATCTTGGATTTGTCTGATGTCTCCCCCGCCATGATTAGATTCATAATACATATTCTTAGGTAAAACACTAGAGAAATGGTTTTGTGTTCTCAAAATGTTTCATCTGGAAGCACATGATGTCCATCTGCTCATATTGGTGATGTCAGTTTTGATGAGCTGGTCAAGGTGTTGGCTGGTGTCTTAACTGTGTTATTTCTGACTTACCCTCTTCACAAATGTGCATTCTATGAGGAAATACTTTAAAGCCATACATGTATCACATTCCTCACTAAAATTACCCCAGATTTAACATCCGCTGATGACAATCACCTGACACAGTATTGACAATGATGACTGGAAAATGATGATTTATGAACTGTAACATTCTCTCTGAATTGACTAGTTGGCACTCAGTATTCCACCACAAACAGGAATCCTCCTCTCTCATTTATCAGTTATTTGTTATTTCATTTACTTAGTGACTTATTATCAGTCTAGAAGCACAATTCTTATTATTTCATTGATTTGTTATTCATTTTGTACATAATTATTCTGGTGCACAGAGTTTTCCAGATTAGGTATTAAAGCCCATCAGGCTAGCTTTTGTGTTTTTGTGACATGCCTGCCTTTTGTTTTTGTTTTTTGTTTTGTTTTTGCAATTCTTTACTTGTTGGCATAATAACATATTCCAGGGTCATATTGGACCTGCTTCACTGCACCTTTGGAATCATCCACTTATCCAAACAGCCCTGATTCCTTTTAGTGAAAATGGTATTTGAATAAAAATTGTGGGCACAGGGATACTTATTTCCACTGGAGGGTATTTGCTTCTTGGCCCTTTCTGCAAATAGGCTTGTGTCAAAAAAGTAGATTGAAGCATAATACAATTTTTATTTTATCTGAGCAAACAATGATTCATGAATCAGGCAGCTCCAAATCAGAAGTGATTCAGGTGCTTCATTGAGGGAATGCAAGTGGGAGGCTTTTATAGGGTGAACAGAAAAAGAAAGCAAAGAAAAATAGTTGGTTGGCTAATGTTATATGGTTGCCTTATTTAGTCTATCCTGTTGGAAAGTCCCTAGTTATATAATTATAAGTTTGTTGGTTGCTTCTGATTGGTTAAACTTAAGTTCTGTTCTTCTTTAATGTAGACATTTATAAGAAATAACTTAAGCTAAGTTTCACTTATTTTTGCCTGTCAGGCAAGGTTAGGATCATTTATGAGGCCTAACTGGCTTAGTCTGCTCAGGGGTTCTTTAGGCCTTGTCTCCATTTTAATTTATCTTGACACTAGTAAATATATGCCTGTGCATATACACACAAATACATATACACATACTTGCACACAGATATGCATGTACACATACACATACATGCATATTTTAGAAATCATGAATTTACACCAGTGCATCTAATTCCAGTCCAACCTCACAGGATTACTTCTTGTTTTCTCCATTCCATATTTGCATGTCCCATTTTCACAGGGAGAACCCTGGCTCCCAATACCACCAACATATTTACTTATTTGCTCAATCCTATACTACATCTCTAGTTACTTCTAGAAGTGCTGCAGACACACCACTAAACCAAGCAAATGTACCAAAAGAGATTAGGATTTGCAGTCCACCCCTCTCCACTTCCCCCCACTCACTGTACCTCAATCATGCCCAAGATTGGGGTATGTAGTCGAATGACGTGTTCATAAGTCACTCAGACTTATTTTATTTTCTTCTCTTTTAGTGTGGTTATGGTACTCATTTGAAATACAATTTAGCTTATTTATTTCAGATCACTTTCAATTTTAGGTTTTATAATTCCTTCCCATCTGTATTAATATATTTTATAATGTATAGTACACTAACATGCTTCTAAAAGTCATAACTATGCAGAAAAGTATACTCAGAGAATCATCCCTCTCTTCCTCAAACCTTGCACCCTGCTTACCCTCACCTTATAGATAACCAACTTTATTGCTCTCTTCCTTCTCTGTGCATGTATTTCTTTTTGTGTAAAGATAAATAGACATATTTGTGTGTTATTATTTCTCATTTTTTTCCTGTGCAAATGGTTGTGCTTTCATTCCATGTGTTCTTTTGCACTCTGCTTTTACGACTCAACATAATCTCCTGGAATTCACTCCAAATCAGTTCATAGAAATCCTTCTCTTTATTTTTTCAAAAGCACAGGACTGGATTCTATGTATGCAATGTAATTTATTCAATCAAGCTCTTATGCTTGAGCATTTAGACAGTAGTCAGTATTTTGGATTGTAAATAATAGTGCACAGAATGATCTAGTGCACATATATTTTTATATTTTTGGAGGTGTGTATTCAAGGCAAATTACCAGAAATGCAATTGGCCAAAAGATACATTTATATTCAGTGTTACATTTAATCTTTTCTGTCTCATTTACTCTTGTAGAAATATCTAAGCCTTTCATGTTTACTTTGGCAGTCTCATTCTCACCTGTCTTTCTTTTAATACCCACTTCCACCCTCCGAGTTCAGGACCATTTCCCCCAAATTGCATTAGCCTATGAAGTCTCTCTATTAATCCTTCCCTTTCATATCACAGTGTGGTTTTCTGAAGTAGTTTGGAGCAGAAGGGGAAGAGGAGTTAAATGGATTGGGGAATGAGACTGAAGGGCAGAATGAGGCAGAGCTGGGGATCAAAGTGTTCCAGAGGCTAACTTTGTGGGAAAAGTAGAAGGGAGGTCCAGTGTGCAGAGCAGGGTGAGGCCCCGGCACCACTGTACAGGAGTGTGGGCTGGTGTACATGTCTGGTCAGTCATCCTAGAGAGAGTCAGTTCTATTGGGCACTATGAAAAATGAGAGCTAAAAATCATCAAGTGTAAGGCAGAAGACCAGTCCTAGAGGCTGAGTTAACTGGCAACCACGAGAGAGAAGCTGTGTGTGTCATAGCATGAGCACAGGAGTCTGGAGCTTTTGCCTGGGCGTCCATATGCCATGTCTTGGAGGCTCCGTTGTGAATTCTGCTTTATGGGTGAGACAGGAAGTCTCTGAGCTGTTGTAAACTTCCCACATCAGCCGGGAATGTTTCCGATGTGTGGATGAGAGGGAGCTGCCTATGGGGGACTTCAGTGAGGAGTCATAGAATTTGGAGGCAGAGGCTGTTCCTTCCCATCTTTCCTGAAAAAACTTCCTCATACACAGTCCTAACCAAGTGACTTCCTGCTCTCATATTATATATGAGAGGCCCATATTATATATGGTTACATGTATAATATTTGTATAGGTTTATATTTGTAGTTATAAAACAAGAAAACATATGACACAAAGGCTTTTGCAATAGACTTGTGGCAAATGCTATACAAAATGTATTAATAGGGTATCTCTTCCTGGTCTATGATTTACTTAATTTTAAGCATCTCATTATTTTCTATAGCACTTAGTTCCTTGCAAACAACATAACAGATAACAAGAAAGCTTAATGGCTGGATATGTGGGTGGTTGAGAGACAGGATGAATAAATGTGAAAATGAAAAAGAAGGGTGATAATTAGAGAACAAAAACTAGATGAAGCAATAGCATAAATTATAGCATTAGATTTCAAATTACTTTTATGAATTGAGTTAGCTTTTAGGGAAAAATGCAATAAAATGAAGTTTAATGACAGGAAAATTCACATGAGTATTTGCAAGATAGAAAAATAAATTCTGCAAAATCACCATTTATATGTAACTGTGAGTGAAAAATTTATAGATAATAGTGACTTGCAAGTGATCTGGGTAACAGAATCATGCAGAGGATATGAAAACAAGGATATTGTCAGCATCCATAAATATATTTTCTGGAGAAAATGTTTGTAAATATGATGAATATACTCTATATCTTAATGGGAGAAGAGGAAGAACCCAAATTTTCTCAAATCCTACTATGTACTAGGTGCAGCAGTGCTTCTAGAAACATGACTGGGTACATATTCATCACTTGGTATTGGCAGCAGTTCTATGAAGCAGAGATTATTTGCAGATATGGAATCTGGGAATTAGAAATGAAAGCAATGCCTTTAAAAATGCATAGCTCATGAGGATTAAAACTCGGAATTCAGCTACAGCTCTACCTTACTCACAAGTTCATTCTCTTTCTAATAGATCACATATAGATTTGCTAATATCTAGTAATTCAAACCAAATTAGCAACAGCTTCCTTGGTTCCTTCCCATCCTTCACCCTTTACACTCAGTCACCAAATGCCCTCTACTCTTTCTCCTAAAAATATCCCCAGATGTATTTGTTCCATTCTAAACTCATCGCATCATGTGTCTAGCCACTGTCTTCTTTCCTGCAGACAAATATAACAGCCTTTTAACTCATTTCTTTGCATCCACTTTTGCCTCATTTCAGTTCATTCACTCTTATGCTATTGCTTCATCTAGTTTTTGTTACATGACAACCAGAGTAATCTGGTAAAAATTCATACATGATCACAGGACTCCCTTGCTTCTATGTCTTCCAATTATTTTTGGATTAAAGCTGGAAATCTTTAACATGACCTATAAGACTTCCATGAACTGCACCTCAGGTTGCTTTATTCATTTCATGCCACTTTTCATGCTGTTCTCATGTGGTGTTTTTCCTTCACTTCCCCTTTTATTGCAGAGCCTGTGCTATTGTCTCATGCTGGAAGTAAGCCTCTTCACCATCTCACTTCTCTTAGCTATGCTTTTTCTCTTGGCTTTTAGTTCTCAGCTACTTCCTCAGGGACTCTGACTTTGACCTACTGGTCTCAGTTAAATCCCCTTGCTATGTGCTTCTGCAACACTTTGCACTTCTGTATTTATTTTATCACATTGGTTTTTGCTCATATAAAACTCTGAGAGGAGGGTTATGGCTGACTTGATTCCCGTTGGATTTTCAGAGTCCAGGGTGGTTTCTTGTGAGAGATCAAGTCTCAGTTGATACATGGTGATGGCTGTGATGAGCATTAAAACTCAAAATAGATAAATTAACAAGGAAATTTCTCAAGTGGGCATTCTACCTCTCAAAATTGTTTGAGTGCAATATTAATGTTGGTGAAATTACATTTGGGGGATGTGGTAGAATCTTCAGACTTGGATGAGTATATGGCTCGTGGTAGACCAGATGACTACCATGCCTCTCTAACGTGGAGGTCCCCTGAGAATCTGGTGAGTTACCAGCAATCCATGCCTAAGGAAATCCACTCTTGTCCCATTATTGTAAGGACATGTGTATCAGTATAAGTTAATGCTGAGGAGGAGAAATTATCAGGGGCACATATGATTTTTATTTATGCATTTGATAATAAATTATTTCCACAAATATTTATTATATAAATAGTATGTTCAAACATAGTGCAAAACATTGAATAAATACTGGTGAGGAAGATAAGCAAGGTTGCTTCCCTCACAAAGCTTAGAATTTGCTGCTTTATTTCACTTCAGACCCAGGTGTAATCAGAAGACATTCATGCATTGGTTGGATGGCTATATGTGGAGTAGCTCTGCACTTGGAGAGGTCAAATTTACATTCATTAAACCATTAGAGGTCAATAATAATAGTTGTGTGATCTAAAATATAATTGCCATGCTAAAATAACCTCAAGAAAGAGTAGCATGTGCTTTACCTCACCATGCCCACAGAAATATCTAATTGAAATATTAAATTGATTTGGATTATCTACTCTCTTGAGAGAGATGGTATAAAAATTCATTAATTATAATTTTATGTGCATGTAACAAACAGTCTTTTTTGTTTTCATGGTTTAGGTACATGTCACTGTGGCAGGTGTAAGTGTGATAATTCAGATGGAAGTGGACTTGTGTATGGTAAATTTTGTGAGTGTGACGATAGAGAATGCATAGACGATGAAACAGAAGAAATATGTGGAGGTATGTATATTGGCTCTGTAGAAATTAATAAAAGTACCTGTTTTTTTCACCTATTTCATTGTTCTTTTATCTCTACATAAGTTTCTGCTCTAGGTGTGCTAATGTAGTTTAAACCTATGTTTATCTGGAAAACATTTCACATAAGGAGAGTGAGACTATGGCATTAAGAGTAGACTAGTACTTTTTAGATGCAAAGCCAAATTGTCCCCAGAGGAGAGCTGTGTCATTATGGCAACAGGCCAACTGCATAGCTCTGAAGTAGTCCTAGTAGAATACCATCTCCTCTGCTCACCTTAGTCACTTTTATTTTCCTTTCTCCTACTCTCTTAAGTGTACATTTTCATTTCTTTGTTTTTCCCTTTCTAAAACATGAGTCTCATGTCCTATCAGGGACAATGAAGGTCAATAGGGTTATTAGCCTAGAGTTTACCTCCCCCTCTCTGTCCCTAAACACTTAAATAACATTTTCAATGACCTTTTCTGTGTACCACCATTACTCAATTCATTTTTCTGTTGTAGCAGTTCTTGCATGTTTGCTAGTGACAAATTCTGCAATAAGTGCTTTACATTCATTATGTTTTGTCTCACAACATCACTCTAGGCTAAGAATTATGTTTATCTACATAGATAGATGTGGAACCTGGGACGTGGATAAATTAGGTAACGAACCCAGGGTCAGTCCACCAATAATAGTAGAATTTGGGCTCGTGTCTGTGTGATGCCAAAGTCTATGTTCCTGATGCCTCACCACTCACGACTGCATCAGTGCCTTAGAGCTCAGAGCTCCACAAGAGGAGTCTCTCCTCACCACTTGCAGTTTTCATCTCTTCTGCTCAACCTGCAAGCCTGTGCCCAGAGTTCCCATTTGCAACCTTGACTGGTGTAGGAAAAGAAAAGTAGAAAGCAGAGAGAATCATTTGGTTTAGGTAAATTTTTCTCTGCTCTGAACTTATATTTCACTCCTATCTCATGGGATTCCAGTTGAAGGAAGACTGCCCTGCGTGCAGAAATGGTAGTTTTAGAAGTATTGTTTTTCTGGAAGGACTAGGGCCCAATGGGGCCACGTGGAACCAGAGAACCCTGAGAAACTGTGGCTAGCATAGGACAAGCTTGTTCTTTTGTTTACATTTCGGTAGCTTCAATTCCTGTGAGTCATCCAAATACACTTATTTTAGGCCTGATTGGCCCTCCCTCCTTGATCTCCTGGCTGTACAAACTACCTGGATAAAACAAACAAACACAAAAACCTTATTTTCATTTTTCCGAGCCAATGACCTAAGCAAGATGCTGCTCAGACAATTCTTTCTTAAAGGGCTCAGTCCAAAATAATTAGATCAATTAGACAAATCCATCCACAAATATATGTGTTTGTCCTCTTGATGTTTAGTTTCCAATTATTATAGATGGAAAAAAAAAAAAAGAAGAAGACGGGAACATGCTTTGGGGCCAGTGTGTGTTGATAAACACCACAAAAGCAGAGTCTATTTGCATGTATCAATAGAAAAATGTAACTTGAAACAACACAACAGAAAATGTTTAACTTTCAAACTTTCTAGTTGTTATTTCCATTTGTTTGAGGCTTAAGCAATTTCATGGTGCAAAGTCTCTGAACAAGGACACCAGCACTGCAGTAAACACCCTCTGGGGGTGACATTGCCTGGGATTGTAAATCTTTCCATGTGTCATTCACATGAAACCAATCTGCTGAGAGATGATTCCACAGTTCATCAGTGAAGTAGTACAAATAGACATTTTCTTGCTCTATCAGTTTGCACAAAGCAAAGAATTATGTTTATTGTCTGGAATATGTATTGTCCTAAAGCACACATTTTAATCTCAATTATTCAGATGTGTCTTGTTCAATATTTTTATTTGAGTTATGTGGATATTTGTTTAATTTTCCATACCTGCATAGACGTGTATTGTTACATAATTTTTGCTTCCTTATTTACCTCTAACTCAAAGGTTTCTTAGTAAAACCCTAATTCAGTACTGAATTGTATAAATATTCAAAGAATTTGGATGTGAGAAATATAGATTTTCTATCATTTATTAATATAGTAATCCTTACTTATGTTGCACCTTCTGTATAAATTTTCTGAAATTACAGAGAAAATAAATTCCGTAGTCTAAAAAGGTGATTGGGTCGTACAAACCTGACTCCTAAGAAAAGCAATTAATATACACTATTGCTTTTTTTTCAGTGTAATCCTTGAGTTCTTGAGGCCTGTGATATATCACTAGGATGTGATTTGTGTGTGCAAGTAGACACCATTTTAAGTTCATAAATAAGATATATAGATGATATATTCTGTACTGATTAAATCACTTGACAGCCTTTGCATTTGCTTAAGTAAACAAATTTAAAATTCAAATTCATTGTGGAAATGGTCATTGATTTTTAGGTTAACAAGTGATTTTCTTTGAATATCCCAATTATAACTTATTTAGACAGAGAACATGGCATTGGGTCCCTGTCTCTTTCTCTGTGTCTCACTATAGCACTCTTTCTGTTCATCTCTCTGGCTCTGTCTCTCAGATGTGTATCTTCTTGATGGAAGTCTCATCTGCTGGACATGAATAGCGTAGGATACCAGAATATTCTGTTGTACTTCTTGCTTCTTATGTGAGTTTTACAGGTCCTATTAATGTTCTTGCCATTGGCCAGAAATACCATAGTGTTAGAATGATAAATATGCTTATAAGACAATGAAAAGTAGTCTCATAATCAGTTTTGCATTGTCTTTTGGGGAGTTTGGCTGTAAGAGAAGAGAGATGGAAAGAACAAAGACTTTAGCCATAGACTGATAAAACACAAACTCCTATAATACAGAAAGAATAGACTAAAAACAAAACAAGAACAAGGACATACATTTATACTTAGGTGATATAACTACAAAGATGAGAGTATAAGAAGTAAAATTTGGGATAAATGCCATCTTTGGGGAATTTGCAGAAGGATTGCTAGGTGTGGATGAGGAAAGCAATGGTGCGATAATTCACTACAGATGGCTTGGAGGCAAGTGCAGATGAGCAGGTAACAGGTTACAGAGAGGTGGGAGCTGAAAGAGGGCATCTGGACACAAAATGGTGAGTGCCCTTACCTGTCATTTGTATCCCCTTGACAAGTAGAAAGGGAATTTGATTGCGTGGCCAAGGGCCCATGGTATTTTGTTTGTCTAAATGAGGATTAAACATGGACTAGGCTGAAAACCTCTCTTTCACATGGTGGAACACAACAGCTTGTGGGGCACAGTTGAGTGAAAAGATGAAATATTTATTCTGCTTTAAAGAGTTGTTTGGTCATTCATAATGTCTATCTAGGTAAATATGCACCATTGGTTTCTCAATAGTTGATTTCAAATGAAATATTTTAATAACTAATTCAAGAAACGTCCTTAGAGTGAATGCTCATATATATTTGGGTTTGATGTGTGCATTTGAGATGGAAAAGTAATAGACTGTCATGGTCATTCATGTCATTTCTTTAAAAATACTTTTAATCAGTTCCCTGTCTAGGCCAAGTTAAAGGACACTTTGCTCTTTTTGTATGATTAAGCAGGTATAGGCACAACCATGATGTGTTTGGAGAAAGCTGTATAATTTGATTATTTTAGGCAAGGAATGTGGAGCTGTGACAGTATTTCAGAAGGCAAAAATGATCACAAAGAGATAGAAAGTTAATTCTGCTTATGAAAGTTGCTTTTTTCCTCACTGTATAAAATTCATTTTGGGTAAAGGCCATGGGAAGTGTTACTGTGGAAACTGCTACTGCAAGGCTGGTTGGCATGGAGATAAATGTGAATTCCAGTGCGATATCACCCCCTGGGAAAGCAAGCGAAGATGCACGTCTCCAGATGGCAAAATCTGCAGTAACAGAGGTGTGTCATTCATACATGTTACTACATAATGGGGAGGCAAACAAAGCTTTTAATTGTTAACACTTCTTTTCTTTGTATTTCCTCTAGTGTGGGAGGAAGTTATCTTCTAACCATTTACTTTGATGTAAATCAACATTTACTATCCCAACAATCTTTTCTGTCTTGTTTTTTATTGAGTAGAAAAGAGAAAGATAAGAAAGTTGCTGTCATTCTTTAAGCTTCACTGAATAAACAGTTAACTTAGGGACTGTAATTTCTTTGGCAGCCCTCCAGACATAGCACAGTGCAGCTAAAAGGCAATTCCTTTAGATACTTCTGTTAAATGTCTCTTGACTAACAGAACCATCTACAGCATGAGCATCTAATTATCCGTAGAGAATTCAGAAAACCCTCTTGTCTTAATTATGAGTATATGGAAGGCTTGGTTGAAATGCAGATTTGATATGGACTAATTTAACTTCCGTGTGCAATAATAAAAATTTGATATTGAATACAATAGATATACAAAGTATGTATCCAATAGCCATAGGAAATGTACACTGACTTTACAAAGGAAGTTAACAAATATATTAATATTGCTAAACTATAATTTAAAGGTAGTTAACTAACTTTTGATGTAAAATCAAACAGTTTAAACATAGTTTTAAAATTCCTTGAAAATACTTAATTTTCCCTTTGCTGTAGTGATAAAGAGAGCCATACTAAAGTTTTCATTGCCTATCCAATGGCATTAAAAAGTGATTATACTTCTTTAAAACTAAAAAAATCTAGATAGCTGGAAAACTTTTTTTCATTTCTATACATGAATAATGCATTGCAATAGGTAATGCTAATACAGAAATCGTAGCATACCACCTGTCAGAAATTGACATAGAGGAGTAAAATGTGCCACATTTCTTTACATAGAGAAAATAAATAAAAAGGCAGGAACTTGGAACAAAATCATGAAGTCTTCCTTTGTGGGGACTAAATCTTACTATATATCATACTAATTTACCTTATGGTTTCTTTTTATTATTTATTATTATTATACTTTAAGTTCTAGGGTGCATTGCACAACGTGCATGTTTGTTACATATGTATACATGTGCCATGTTGGTGTGCTGCACCCATTAACTTATCATTTACATTAGGTATATCTCCTAATGCTTCCCCTCCCCACTACCCCCACATCACAACAGGCCCCAGTGTGTGATGTTCTCCTTCCTGTGTCCAATGTGTTTTCTGCATAAGTCCTTTTATGCAGTAGGGGTCACAGTCACCATTTTTAAGTATATGAAGCTTGAACTCTGGTACTGTGGAAAATGACTATTTGGCTGTCAAAAAGAGAGAGGTGGAAAATGGAATTGGTTGGGCTGTGGATTAAGGTCAGGTTCTGCAGCAGAGTTACATTGGCTGTGAGAGACGATGTCCTTCAGAAACATAAGCTAAGCCACCTGCATCCCACTTCGCTGTGCTTGGAGCATTCTGACCTGGAGCTATGGCAGAGGCAGAATGGGAAGCAGCTTGCCTGAGCGAGGCTCACAGCTTCTGAGATTCAGGGGTACTTGAAGACAGGGCAGAAGTGGGCGCTGAGATGAGTCATTTTTTTTTCTCAAAAGATAATACTCCTGACTACCCTGAAAGCATTTCTGCATCATTGCATCCATAGGTAATAGAAACACACTGGTCCCTGCACATACCTATCTTGTCTTCCTTTTTCCCCATCTTCAGGGGCCAAAAAACCAATGTTGCAGACATAAGCATTAATAGAACAAATGTCCTCTATTGCCCATCTGTTTTATTGAGTTTCATAGTGGACCCCTTTACACGTGGCTGAGAAGCTGCTTCTTCGTCACATCTGCATAGCTCCTAGTCCCTGTTCCTCCTGACCAAACTCATTTATCCTATTATGAGAGCAATGCATATTCATTTTTTAAAATCTAGATAATAAAGTAGAGTACACAGAAAAATAAGAAAGTGACCCATAAACCTAACTTCCAGGTGTAACCTCCTTTTACATTTTGGTACATGAGCTTTCAGTCCGTATTTATTTATTAAAATTCATTTTTATGGCTGCCCTATCCCTGTATTTCCTTCTTATTAAAGAAAAAAAATCAAATCATACTGCACGTGCTGATTTGTAATTTTACAGTTTTATTTCATGATATATGTTGTTTATCTTTCCATATTTATGGGGCAAAAACCTAATTTATTACTTAGTGATTGCTAGGTAGTCCATATGTGTGTACCATTACTGCGCTAATTCCCCATTGAACAATATTTCGGTCACTAGTAATTTTTCAAAAACATAAATACAACTATATTTTATATTTCTGAACATACACTTGTGTGTACTTTTTCTTTCTGTTGGGTACATTAATTAAAGTGAGCTATAAGTCTGAATAATAACACAGATATAAAAAGTACATATTGCAAAATCGCTACCCAGAAAGTTGTACCATTTCGTACTCCCCTTCAGGGCAAGAAAGTACCCATTGTCCCACACCTTTACCGAGTCTGGATCCAACAATATTTTCCACCTCTGACGATCTGACTTCTAAAATAATTGCCAATCACGATTATTTTGAAGATCTGCCACTGCTACCCACTTAGTAGTGGTTGATTGAGTGATAAACATTTTTCATCTTTATCTGTCATTATTTCTGTATGAAATTTCCTTTTGTTCTTTCCTTTTGTCTATTTCACTTTGGGCATATTAATCCTTTATATATTCAATTCTATGATTTATTTATATGTTTTTGAAATTGTTCTTTGTCTTTTACAGACATATTAACTACTTGTTTCAGCTTTGTCAGTCTTTTTTTTACAGTGTTTTGTTTCCAACCAAAATTTTCAATTTTTATGGAAATTTTCAATTTCCTTTTTTAGTAATTGTGCTTTGGGGTCTTGAATAAAAAGAGTTTAGTTCATATTATACAGTTTTATTTTGTACGTTTAAATCTTTAATCCAACTGGTACTTATTTTGATGTAAGAGGTAAGAAAAGGATTTAACTTTATGTCTCTATCAAATGATTAGCTGGTTGCCCTAAAGACAGTTACTGATAATCCACACAGAGTAAACATGATGTACAGCTGGGCATTTCCCTCTGCAAATCTGCAAATGACCAAGTTTATGTCTCTCAATCTGATCTCCAACATTCTCTATAATCTGGGCTCATCTGATCTAGCAAACCTTACTTCTTAGTCTTTTTTATTTTTTAACATGCACCTCAGGGTCCCTATGCCCATCCCTACCCTTCTTTGCTCAGTCTTTTTTTCTTGACTTTCTCTTAGTTCTACCTCCAATGTCTCCTAGAACATTTCCTCTAATCCCTATATATCCAATCCATCCACTGCTAATTACTCCAACACTCATTGATCCTCTTTCTCCAAATTCTTAGAGCATTCATGTCTTAGTTTACAAAATATTTGCACATTGTTTTTAGTGTTTGTTAATTTTTCTTTCTAATTAGCTTTCTATTTGCCAAATAGATTGCAAGCTTCTTGGGGGAAAGGATTATATCTTATATAAATTGTTTTAGTGTTATCTTTGAAGGAAACTAACATAATACTAATGACACATTCCACCAACTCACATAATTATAGAATAGATAATAACTTTTGTTTATTAAGGAATCTCTATTATCAATATTAGATGGTGTTTTTCCTTTTTAGAATATTTTTGTCTGAATATATGTGTTTTTTTCAAACACAAAGTAAACAGAAAATAATAAGCGATATGTGAAATGCTTTCTTTCATGGTTTTTCTTGACTGGATTCTTATAAAATTCTTCTTCCCACCTAGGGACTTGTGTATGTGGTGAATGTACCTGTCACGATGTTGATCCGACTGGGGACTGGGGAGATATTCATGGGGACACCTGTGAATGTGATGAGAGGGACTGTAGAGCTGTCTATGACCGATATTCTGATGACTTCTGTTCAGGTAAGGGCTCTTCCAATTCCTGTTTTTCTGGAGGGGGAGGTGGGGCTTGTTAATGGGTAAAAAAAAAAAAAAAGCAATTAGAAAGAATAAATAAGACATACTGTTGGATAGCACAATAGGGTGACTATAGTCAATAACTTAATTGTACATTTTTAAATAATGTAAAGAGTATAATTGGATTGTTTGTAACACAAAGGATAAATGCTTGGAGGGGATGGATACCCCATTCTCCATGATGTACTTATTTCACATTGCATGCCCGTATCAAAACATCCCATGTACCCCATAAACATATGCATCTACTATGTACCCACAAAAATTTAAAAAGTAATGAATAAAAAATAAAAATGCATATTTCCCTGTTTTCAAGATTTCTGATTCTCACATACCCTGTAAAAGAAACTGAATGTGTATTCTAAAGCATCTTATATTTGCAGTGCTCCTACTGGTAACTTGGAAAACCTCCAGAGAATTCCCAAAGTTGGCAAAGACTAGAGATGAGAGGGCACCCACTCTTTTAAAGTTAGTCTAATTCCTCACCCAGGAGAACCATTAGCTCTAGATAGCTACTCAGTTCAACTCTGAGACTACAAAACTAGCAGAGCTGTTGACAATGAACAGGATAGTTATCATTAGGGCACCTATATTAATGTATTACAAAACAGGATAATACAGTGCTCAGGGTTATTTTGTGCATTAACTCTTTGATAGGCTTTAATGTTATTCTGCAATGTAGTCTGTAATTAAATATCAATTAGTAGATTCAAAAATCTTTGACTGTAAATACTGTGGGGCAGATACTGTCTGTTAGGGACTGAGTGACATCTGGGCTACTGGTGTAGTAGGAGCCAGTAGGGGACAGGAGACAGCCATGAACTTTGACTTCATGGAGTTTGCAATCTAAATGCAAATAAATAAAATATGTAAGTCCAGGATGTCTAATAGTGCAAAGAAAAAGAAAGCAGTCAGAAGTCTATCTGAAAAGGTATCATTTAGCAAAAATGGAGTTATAGATTTTCAGTCCAGTTCTATTTGATAACCCATAAGGTAGACACATACACATATACATCTTGCTAAGCTTGACTGCCTCATTGGTGCATGCAGATGGATAGAAACTCCTCTGGTCTCCTGAAAGTTTGCCAGCAAAGGGAGATAAAAGAACTGTCCCATTTAATTATGAGTGTGCAACTTCAAAGGCTTCTCCAGACTGACTGGGGAAAGCCTGCTGCTAAATCTTCCCATTGCAGAAGGGTTTCCCTCTTCTGATAATCTCTTGTGCTCCAGAGGATTTCCTAAACATTTTGTGAACACTATTCTCTTGAGGGTATTTTTTTCTATTATTAATTATACATGCTCATGTTCTTCATTATCATTGCTGTCAACACAGTGGTAATAAAAGAGCTCATGACTAGTGAGTGGCTTCTGTGTTCCAAAGAGATGATGAGAATAGTGGGGAAGAGGCCTGTTGGAGATTTTAATTAGGATGATGTGGCTCTTCACAGTGGTGGTGATGTAGGGCTCATGAATTGCAGGAGGCTATTGGATCACAGTGCATGTGGGTTTTATCCTAAAAAAAATAGGCTTGCAGGTAAAGAAAGATGAGAGGGGCATTCCAAGCAGAAGGAACAGAGGGATAGAATCTGTGTATAGGACCAGACTCAGTTTGAAATTACCAGAATGCAGAATTAAGGAAGCATGTGGTAAAAGGTAAAGTTGGTTGAGAAACAAGAACTGGGGGGCTTTTTACCTTCCTGCAGACCCAGGTTTTATTCTAAAGGCAATGAGGAGCTAATGATGGTTTTAGGCAATAGAGTGCTGTCATCACCAGATTTCTAGTCTGAGTGTCTGGGAAAATGTTGGTGCCATTTACTGAAATAGGGAATATGGAAGGAAGCTGTCAAGTTTGTTTCTAGACATCTCCAGCATAGAGGGCAAAGGGTAAGCCAAAGTTTATATTTTTTCCCAGCCTGTTGAATATGTGAGTCAGGGTCAGGGTTAAACCAAGAGAATTTCAAGTTGTAAGCATAGAGTTGGTGGTTAAAACTATGCTGGCATTCAGGAAATGCCATTTGACAATACCATTTTCTTTTTTGAGATGGAGTCTCCCTCTGTTGCCCAGGCTGGAGTGCAGTGGCATGATCTCAGCTCACTGCGAGCTCCACCTCCCAGGTTCACACCATTCTCCTGCCTCAGCCTCCCGAGCAGCTGGGGCTACAGGTGCCCACCACCACGCCCGGCTTATTTTTTTGTATTTTTAGTAGAGAAGGGTTTCACTGTGTTAGCCAGGATGGTCTCAATCTCCTGACCTTGTGATCCGCCAGCCTCGGCCTCCCAAAGTGCTGGGATTACAGGTGTGAGCCACCTCCCCCGGCGGCAATGTCATTTTAAGATTGCTTTTGAGATAAACATGATTTGACACAATTTAAAATAAGAAAATAAGGGAGGCATATAAAAGGCAGTATTTTAAAATTGTAAGTGTGTGACTTGCTGATATGGAGCCCCTTTTTCCTATGGGTATTCACTCTCTTGTGAAATCCATAATTCTGATGTTGATCCTGATTTTGGACTGGGGTTGAAAAATTCAAACTAACTACATTATAGCGATAATTCAGGGTCCTGTGAGCCAGTCCATCTCACTGTGAGGGAGTGGGGTCATGGGGTAAAGATGGGTGATCACTCCTGAACTGACACTTCAATCCTCGTGTAAGCTTGTGTGCAATTCCCGCAGCGTGTCATTTAGTCTTGGAGTGCTTACTCTAGGCTGAGCAGGTGAAGTGTCATTAAGGAGGCTGCACTGGAATCTAATTTTCCACCTCACCTATTCCCCTCCAACCCCTCTTCCCTGTTTTCCTTTTTCTCACATTTTCCTTTCTTTCATACCCTATGAGATTCCACACAGTGGGTATGGACAGGTAGGGGTAGGAAGAGGTGATGGCACAATTGGCTGTAGTTTGAACAAGAAAACATCAATCTATTATTGTGATTTTATGATTCGCTGGTTGAAGTGAATTGAACATGGCCAGCTTTCCACAGCTTGGCTCCCACACTTAGAATGAGGAATTGAGGAAAGAGGAAGAAACTCATATTTACAGAGACTCTACTCTATTGGACCCTTGCTGAGTTCTTTTATAAACCTCATTCCATTTTATGTACACACTAACTCAGAGAGGGAGGCATTATTGTCTATAGTTTAGCAGAAGAGAAAATACATTCAGAGAAATTAAGTAACTTGATAAAGTTCACACTGCCATAAAAGTGTCATCTGAAAACACATATAGCCTGACTACTCATGTAACTTAATCTCCAGGTGATGCAAATACAATTCTCCAGTTTTACTTTATTTTTCTGAGGAAGAACTGTCCTCTGGGTACTCAGATTTTTTTAAAATAAAACTAAGCTTCTCTGAACATCATTACAATCTGGAGCAGACATCAACCTCTGCAGTATTTCATCATTCTTACAGAATCTGTAGAATTCTATATACTGTATGGTATTATGCTTATTAGTCTTTAAATTTTTCCTAATTAACAGTCTAAGTTGCAGTGTAAGAAGAGTGCCATATAGTTGATTATTGAGTATATTAATACCTTTGTGTTATGAGACAGAAGTAACCCAATGACATCAATATTCTCTAGTCTTTCATGCAAGACTAGAACATAATAAGGCTCTGATGAAATGAACTTTTATTTTTAGCTCCTATTCTTGCCATCCTGAGAGTTTTGGTCTTATTTAAGTCCAAGGGAAGTCTCTGGACGGATTAGTTTAAGTTAGCTCTTTTAATTGACATTCTCATTTTATTCATTCATTTCCATTCTCTCCATTTATCTGTTCAATAATGCATTTAAATGTAAATATTTTATGCCTAACACATCATGAATATAGGGAACACAAATATGTTGAAACATGGTCCCTGCACCCACCAAATAAATCAATTTTATTTACTTCTTTTAATCCTGTCTGTTGTTCATCATCCACAAAATATGTGTGTTTGTGTATGTTCATTTGCCCATACACCAACATGACTGTTATACTACACACATACACGCACCCCTCAAAGACAATACGGTTGACACAATTTGAGTGTGACTGAAATGATCAGGGCATGAATGGGCATCCTGACGTGTCCCGACTGTCCTGTTTGTTACACCCAATTTACTTTCTGATTCTAATATAACTGCTTTATTCCTAATGGCCGCTTACCACTCAGGTCTATTTACCCAAATCCCATAATTGGAAAAATACGCTGCAATGTGACCTTAAACTTTATCGTTCAGCTTTCCCTGCCTAAGAAAATTATGAAAATATAGGGAAAGTTTTGGCTTAGAGTTACATTAGTTTGGAAAATGGAATATTTTGATAGAACCATATTATGTGGTGAAATTTGTCCCTGTGGATTGTCAAAGCATTAAGAAAGAAACTAAAGGAAATGATTAAGTATATCCAGACCACATTTTCTTGAAAGGAAAAATTAATATATTGAATTTAAAAAAAATAGCAAGTACTACCTAGATCTAAGTTATTCCCCAAAGCTTTTCTCTATTGATGGTCTTCATGTTACTTTGTAAACATGTTAACAGACGATTCAAATTCACAGGCATTTTTTGATCCTTTAAAAAGAAAGAAGTATCCTCTAAAGCAGAGAAGTGTTTGTCTGGAATAGATGCAACTGCACTTGTGCTGAAACACCTGCACCTGTTTCTGGAGTTTGGATAGCATAACTCCAAAGAACACAATAGTTACAAATAAACAAGAAAAAGTTTAGTTAACACCCTTTCCTATAATGGCCTGAGAACCTTAATAATTCCTGCCTTCCCAGCATGGCCTTTGGACCACTCAATGGCTGCTCTTGCTGCAAATCTTCCTTTTCGTATGGGTATTTTGGGCTGCAGTCATTTTTATGGTAGGTAGATTATACCAACACCAAGCACTGTATTCTTCCATTGTGTGTGTGTGTGTGTGCATGTGTGTGTACATACAGAGAGATCTTTAGAGAGCATTTCTCTTATTTGAATTCTTCTGATGTTCGATATCAAGACAAACAGCACCATGCCGAATCTTTCATCTCTATTTCATTGATCTTCTGCCTACACAGTTTAAAGGAATACTGGTTAGAAGTAATGAAACTAAAACCTGCAGGCTTAACATACACATAAATTTGACAAACCAGCATGGAAGCATTGCATTTCAGATCCATGTGGCAAATTGATCTTTTTTTAGTTCTGTCATTTGAAAGATAAAGCAATTTGAGATAAGGCCCAGAAAAGATAGTGGCACATCAGATGAAGGACACAAGTCTCCTGATTTCTTCTTTTATGACCTTTTCACTATTTGTCTATTAAAAAAAAAAAAAAACCTGATGTAATGTTATGGCAGTCTAAAGGGTTTTCATGCTAAATAGATACCATTATCTCTAAACTCTTCTATATAGCAAAACCCAACATTTTCATCTTCTTGACTTTATCTCTACCAAATGATTCCTTCTTTGGCATAACTTTTAAAATTGGAATTGAGAAACTGGTAAATTCACAAGAAAAGTTGCAATTTTGTTTTATAATTTTCTGTCTTATCTGAAAAGCCCAATACCTGCCTGAGAATCTGGTACCAACACCTGATATTTCTAAGTGATTTTTAAACTCTACCAGTTAAATATCACAAAGGATTTTGTAGGACATGTACAGTTTCACTTAAAGTGGTATCTCTAATATTCTAAAATATATTTTGACAGCACATGACTAACTTCTTGAAATATGTAGTATATAATTTTTATTACTGAAAAAGCAAAAGTTATGTTTCTGTTTCAACTCTGTCAATTAATCTGTAATAAACATTTAAATTAGGCAATACCATTGTCGATACTATTTTTATTATGGTAGGCTAGAATTATAGAAAGTTTATCCATGCACTTTTATGCTTGCTTCTTCTATGATATACAGTAAGATATCTTGTTTAGAAAATTCTACTTTCCCCAAACAATAAAACCAGTTCTACTCTCCCCAGACAATAAAACCATCAAACACTTTCTGTGCCACTATTTTGTCACTTAAACTGGTGACCATACATTCGCTGACTTTCAGGAACTTCATTCTTTATGGATGGCTTATGTATGTCACTCATATTTAAATACCTCTTCTTTCCTTAGCTTGAACTTGTTCAATTAATATCAAATCCTGGTGGTAAAGCATAGAAGACATATCAGTGGATGATTTGAGGAGGAACATTGGCCATCTTGAACTAAACAATGTTCTCCCACTTTGATACTTTCCTGTTTAGGGCTAAGGTCTTTTATCCTTCAGCCAATCACAGCAATGATACAATCTCTTAAATTCATCCCAATGTGCAAGCAATTGGCTGCAGGTGTGTTATTGAGAAGATTATTGAGGAGTCATCACACACATGCCAAAGTAAGGACACATATATATTCTTCCCAGCTTTGCTTATAGTTGGCAATGCCTGGAGGTGAAGCACGCATTTAGAAGCATGATCCTGGAGAATGTTCATGATGTTGCATTAAGTACACAGGAAAAGAGGTGTGGGAGCTTATAGGCTGTATTTTCCCCCTCATGTTTGTAGAAGAGCATCAGAAATAGCAATGGGATATAAAAATAAAGCTGCAATAATAGAATTATGTTAGGGGAAAAAGGTTGAGAGAATTAAAAACTGAGAAAAATAAAATGATAAGAAAACAGAACGTGCCTATGGGAGAATAAAGGTGAAAGACCGCCAAAGATTTCTTCCTGCAGGTCTAGAGCATCTGAACTTAAAAAACGAAAAATTATTAAGGCTTCCACAGCTAATCTGGCTTTTGTTACTAATTGGATAGGATTCCAACTTTAAAAATCTCTTTTGAATAACTTCTGCCTTTAGGATTTGTTTTATTCTGCCACATGTTTTTAAAGATGTCAACATGTGAATGGATTTCAGATAGGAAAAAATGGTTGCTTTTAAACATGGATTCCGACTATGCAACTTAAGAACGTTCTCCCTTCAGTCGTGTGTCTCCCTTTGTACCTGCCTTTATCCCCAAGGTTTCTATTTTATTTTCCCTCCCCAGGGAGGGAATCCTCCTGTGGGGCACGTCACTGCTTGTGAATTCAGGTGGGCCTTAGTGGCAGATGACATTCTCTTGGGCAGTTAGGGACTTCCTGGGTCCCGCATCGGCTAGATGTATTGTTCTAACCTTCACAGCCATTAAACTTTCAAGAGTGGAGAAACTTTTTCTCCCTCTTCAATCTGGTTTTCAATGTTATTGTTAAAGTGTCAACAAGCAATGTTATTGTTCCAGTGTCAACAAGTCTCTCGCAAATGTCAGCATGTTCTGTACTTTGCCCAGTTTCCTCACAACAGATCTGTCGCTGAAATAAAACCACTTGTCTCCAAGAATTTCAAAGCCATTGGCTCCTGTGAAACAACAGAATTGACTGTACTTTAAATGTGAAATATTTATGTGTTAAAATCATTATTTATATAGGCATTTCCAATGTAGATCTGTTTGCAATGTTTGTCCTTAACCTTACATGAGGGCTGGAAATAAAGAAAGATAGGAACTTCTTTGTTTTGTTTTTTTTGAGTTGGAATTTCCCTGTGTCACACAGGCTGGCGTGCAGTGGCACAGTCTCGGCTCACTGCAACCTCCGCCTCCTGGGTTCAAGCAATTCTCCTGCCTAGCCTCCCAAGTAGCTGAAACTACAGGCATTTGCCACCATGCCCAGCTAATTTTTGTATTTTTAGTAGAGATGGGGTTTCACCATGTTGGCCAGGCTGGTCTTGAACTCCTGAACTCAGGTTATCTACCTGCCTTGGCCTTCCAAAGTGCTGGGATTATGGGCGTGAGTCACCACGTCCGATGGGAACTTCTTAAACTGAGATGAATGAATGGCAAAAGCCATAGAACCCAACAACCTATGAAATATAATTGTTAATAAGCATAAACCGTTACAAAAATTCCCATACTGTAAAGTCTAATCATATTCATATGTCATGTATGTTTATTAATAATAACAATTTTCTTTTCCTTTCAACTGAGGTCTAGAACAGATAATTATGGCAACAATTTGTCAAATAGACTCTGTTACATAGCAGATGATCAACAAATGAGCATCTGAATTGAATTGAATTTGGGATTAAATGAGAGATTTAAATTCAGTGATCCCTAATGTCTCATTCCACTTTGATTTATGATTTTGTGATTTTTTTTTTACTAAAAATTAGTTAAATGGTGAAAAGCTTCTACATATGTGTATTGTCCAGTTTCTTCAAATTCAGAAGATGGAACCGCAAACCTCAAGGAATATTAGTAAAATGGTCTAGTCTTTACTGGAGGCCAATTTTCATATTGGATGATATACATTAATATCAGATGCTAAAGACAGCATGCATTTTCATCCATTAGCATTTCTATGTACTTTTAAAAAGTGTAATTCCACTTTTAAAATTCTTCATGCATTTTTGCAGCAATTATAGAAATCTACTTTGTTCTATATCTGCGGTGATGAGTAGCTTCATGTTTATTAGGAATTATGGAAAGCTCAGTTGAAACTGTGCTTTCCTCTACTTGCTTATAATGTGGGAACTGATGAATACAAAAACCAGTAGCTCCTTTTTATGTAGCTTTTAAACTATTTAATGTACTTCCGAAGAAATGTGGATTGATAATATATTTTCTTCCTTTTTAAAATGAAGAAACTGAAACTCAGATGTGGTCATTTGACCAGCCCCACTCTGTAGGAAGCAGAATCAGGATTTGAACCCATTATTTTATTGATAATGTAGGTCGATTTTTGCTAAACCACACCGTTTCTCACAATTCTTTGCAAACTGTATATTCATGTGTTGAAAAATTTAATATCTTTTCTGACTTCTTTGGAATACACTAGGCTAATCTTCAAGGATTGTAAACTCCATGTAGGTTACTGGTTTTACTCTAAGGGTCTCCAGGCTAAACATGTAGTATTTGCTTAAAAAGTGCATGAAAATAAAGTGTGGAGACTCCATAAGATAACATTCTGCTTCGGTGAAGTAACCAAAACAGAAATTAAGAAAACAATTTTATCTGCGGTCGTGTCAAAAATAATATACTTAGGAATAAAATTAACCAAGGATGTGAAAGATTATTGCACCAAAAACTGTAAAACATTGATGAGAGAAATTGAAGACACAAATAAATGGAAAGATATCTCATGATCATGGATCAGAAAAATGAATATTGTCAAAATATTCACACTACCTAAGGTGATCTACAGATTCGTTGCAATTCCTATCAAAAGTCCCATGACTGACACCCAACTGATTTTCAACAAAAGTGCTAAGAACACACATTGGAAAAAAGATAATATTTTCAATAAATGGTGCTGGAGAAATTGGATATCCATATGCAGAAGAATGAGATTAAATCACTACTTCTCATGATATACAAAAATCAACTGAAAATGCATTAAAGTCTTAAATGTAAAACCCAAAGCTACAAAATTACTAGAAGAAAACATAGGATAGTACTTTACTGTGGGCAAGAATTTTTAAAATAAGACCTCAAAAGCAAAGCAACAAAAACAAATAGATAAATGGAAGGACATCAAACTGACAAGCTTTTGATCAACAAAGGAAGCAACTAAAAGAATGACAAATAGACCTACATAATGGGAGAAAATAGTTGCAAACTATATATCTGACAAAGGATTAATATTAAGAATACATAGGGAACTTAACAGCAAGAAAACAACCCAAGTAAAAATAGGCAAAATACATTAATAAATATTGCTCAAAAGAAGACATTCAGATGTCCAACAGGTATATGAAGATATGATCAAGATCACTAATTGTCAGGGAAATGCAAATCAACTCCACAGTGAGATACCTCTTCACTCCAGTTAGAATCGGTTTTATTATAGAATTATAATAAAAAAAGACAAAAGAAAACAAATGTTGGCAAGGGAGGTAGAGAAGAGAACACTGACACACTGTGGGTGAAAATGTAAATTAGTATAGTCACTATGGAAAACTGTATGGAGGTTCCTCCAAAAATTAAAAATAGAGCTGTGATATGCATATAATTCAGTAATTTCACTACTAGATATATATCCAAAAGAAGTGAAATCAATATGTCAAAGATATATCTGTACCCCTTTATTGCAGCACTATTTACAGTAGTCAAGATATGGAATCAACCCAAGTGGCCATTAACAGATGAATGGATAAAAAATTGTGGTATATATACACAATGGATAATTCTGCCATAAAAAGAAAGAAATCCTGTCATTTGCAACAATATGAATGGAACTGGAGGTCATCATGTTAGGTTAAATAAGGCACAGAAAGACCTTATTTCAAAACCTAAAAAATTGGAATCTAAAAATAAAATTGAAATCATAGAAGCAGAGAGTTTAAAATGTGGTTACCAGAGACGGGAGGAGGAAGATGGGAGGATAGGGAAAGGTTGGTCTGTGGTCCAAGTTACAATCAGATAGCAGGAATAAGTTCAACTTCTATTATACAGTAGGTTGAGGACAGTTAACAGTAAGATATGGCATATTATAATTAGAAAATAATTAGATAAGCTTTTGAATGCCCTTACCACAAATGATAAATGCATAAGGTGATCATCATGTGAAATACCCTAATTTGATCATAATGCAACCTATATATGTATCAAAACATCTGATTCTACCCCATAAATATGTACATATAATAATTTTTAACCTCTCCTAGCATTTTTAATAGTAATAACAAAAAAATCTTAAAATTCACATGGAACCACAATATACCCCAAATAACTAAAGCAATCTTCAGCAAGAACAAAGCTGAAGGCACCATAGCTCTTGATTTCAAATTATATTACAAAACTATAGTAATTAAAACAGTATGGTACTAACACAAAAACAGACACATAGACCAGTGGAACAGAATAGACAGCATAGAAATAAACCCATACATTTATAGCCAATTGACTTTAAACAAAGATGACAAGAACACACAATAGGGAAAAGACAGTTTATTCGATAAATGGTGTTGGGACAACTGGATGTCCACATGCAGAAGAAAGAAATTAGAGTCTTATCTCATACTGTATATAAAAATCAACTCAAAATGAATTAAAGACTTATATGTAAAACCTGAAATTTTAAAACTACTCGAAGAAACGTAGGAGAAAAGCTCCATGCCATTGGTCTTAGCAATGATTTTTTTTTGGATATAACACCAGAACACAGACAACAAAAACAAAAATAAATGAGTGGGACTGCATTGAACTAAAACGTTTCTACAGCAGCAAAGGAAACAACAGAAATGAAAAGGCAACTTCTGGAATGAGAGAAAATATTTGCAAACCATATATCCAATAAGGGGTTAATATTCAAAATATATGAGTTCTAGTCCATTTTTGCATTGCTACAAAGAAATACCTGAGGCTGGGTAATTTATAAAGAAAATAAATTTATTTTGGGCCAGGCACATGGTGGCTCATGCCTGTAATCCCAGCACTTTGGGAGGCCGAGGTGGGCAAATCAGTTGAGGAAAGGAGTTGTAGACAAGTTTGACCAACATGGTAAAACCCCGTCTCTACTAAAAATACAAAAATTAGCCGGGCGTGTTGACGCACACCTGTAGTCCCAACTACTGGGGAGGGTAAGACATGAGAATCACTTGAACCTGGGAGTTGGAGATTGCAGTGAACCGAGATTGTGCCACTGCACTCCAGCCTGGGCAATAGAGTGAGACTGTGTCTCAAAAAAGTAAATAAATAACTAAAACCAAAAAACCAAAAACAGGTCTATTTTGACTCACATTTCTGCAGTCTGTACAGGAAGCATGCCACCAGCTTCTGTTCCTGGTGAGGTCTCAGGAAGCTTCTGATCATGGCTGAAAGTGGAGGCAGAGCTAGTGCATCACATGGCGAGAGAGAGGAAGACAGAGGGAACAAAAGAGGTTGGGAGGAGGCGCCACACTCTTTTAAACAATCAGATCTTACGTGAACTACCAGAGCAGGAACTCCCTCATCAGCAAAAGGACAGCATTAAGCCATTCATTAGGGATCTGCCCCCATAGTCAAAACACCTCCCACCAGGCCCCATCTCTAGTTTTGGGGATTGCATTTCCACGTGAGATTTGGAGAGGACAAACGTTGAAACTATATCTAACTCATACAACTCAATAGCAAAAAAAATCAAACAACCAGATTAAAAAAATGGGCAAATGACCTGAATAGACATTTTTCCAAAGAAGATATGCAAATGGCCAGTGGGTATATGAAAAAAGTGCTTAACATCACTAATAGGGAAATGCAAATCAAAACCACAATGAAATATGACCTCACAACTGTTAGGATGGCTGTTATCAAAAAGTCAAAAGATAGATGTTGGCAGGGTTGTGGAGAAAAGGAAAACTTCCATGTTGTTGGTGAGGATGTAAATTGATACAGCCATTATGGACGATACTATGGAGTTTCCTTAAAAAATCAAAAAGAGAATTATATGATCTAGGAATTTCTGGATTTATGTATAAAGGAAATTAAATCACTATCTTGAAGAGCTGTCTGCACTCCCATGGTCACTGCAGCATTACTCCTAATAACCAAGATATGAAAACAACACAAGTGTCTGTTGTAAGATGAATGGGTAAAGAAAATGTGAGATATATATCTATATATGTAACATGATGTTTTGATATGCATATGCATAATATGCATATATTTACATATGTGTGTGTGTGTATATATATATATCTATATATACACAAATACCCAGTGGAATAGTATTCGTCCTTTAAGAAGGAAATCCTTTCATTTGCCACAACATGGATGAACCTGGAGGACATTCTGCTAAGTAAAATAAGCCAGACATAGACAAAAAAACACTGCACGATCTCACTCATATGTGGAATCTAAAAACGTTGAACTCTTAGAAATAGAGTAGAAGGGTGGTTACCCAGGGCCAAGGGGTAGGAGAAATGGGGAGACTTTGCATACAAACTTTCAAAGTTATAAGATGAATACGTTCTGGAGATCTAATGTACAGCATGGTTACTATAGTTTGTAATACTGTCTACTTGCATTGTATGAGGAGAGTACATCTTAGATATTCCCACTGCACATAGACACACACACAAAGTTAACTGTGTGAGGTGATGGATATGTTTATTATCTTGGTTGTGGTAATCATTTCACAATGCATATGCATATCTAAACATCATGTTACATACTTTAAGAATCTACAATTTTTTGGTCACTTATACCTCAATAAATCTTGGGGAAGAAAAGAGCGACCTCTTCTGAATTCTAGATTTCATGCTTTTTGTCAGTTCATGGCCCCCAGTTTGACCGTGGTTGTGAGACCTTAATAAATAGCGATCCATTAAATGGTTAATTTAAAAAAATCCTGCTCTGAATAATATTCCATTCTTTGGATATACCACAGTTTATTTATCCATAGAGGAATCTTAGATGCATATTACCAACTGAAAAAAAAACTGAAAGGACTACATATACTGTATGACTCCAACTATATAACATTAAGGAAAAGGCAAAATTATGGAGGACAGTGAAAAGATCAGGTTGTCAGGGATTGGGGAAAGGTGTGGGAGAGGGACGGATGACTAGGCAGATCACAGAGGGTTTTCAGGGCAGTGAAATTACTGTGTATGAGTAGTGAATTCATGTCACTATATGTTTACTCACACTCATACAATGTACACTAAGAGTGGACCCTAATGTCAACTATTCACTTTGGGTAATAGTGATGTGTCAATGTACGCTCATCAGTTACAGCAAGTGTACTTCTCTGGTGGGAATTGTTGATAATGGAGAAGGCTATGCACGTGAGGGAGAAGGAGGTATATGGAATATCTCCGCATCTCTCTCAGTTTTGCTGTGCACCTAAAACTGCTCTAAAAAGAAAACAGTCTTAAAAGAATATGTACTCTCTCTGATATTGTTTGTTAGCGTGCTCTATAAATGTTAATTATGTCTACTGGGCTGTTAATGTCAACTTTTCTATATCCATACTGATTTTAATTTCACTAATTGCATTAATTACTGAGAAAGGAGCGTTTATATATTAAAAAGTAGTCTAAAAAGCAAAAAAAAAAAAAAAAAAAAAATCCTGCTTCAAAAATACAGTTAGTCCTTCCCTGTGACTGCCCTCCATGCAAATTAATTGCCAAATCCACCAAATACTCCTTTCCGTTTTTTCTTTTTTTGTTGTTTTTTTTGTTTTTTTGTTTTTTTTGAGACGGAGTCTCCCTCTGTCGCTCAGGCTGGAGTGCAGTGGCATGAACTTGGCTTGCTGCAATGTCTGCCCCCCTGGGTTCAAGTGACTCTCCTGCCTCAGCCCCCTAAGTAGCTGGGATTACAGGTGCACGCCACCATGCCTGGCTAATTTTCATATTTTTAGTAGAGACCGGGGTTTCACCATGTTCGTCAGGCTGGTCTCAAACTCCTGACCTCGTGATCTTCCCTCCTCGCCCTCCCAAAGTGCTGGGATTATAGACATGAGCCACAGCGCCCGGCCCAAATACTCCTTTAAGGCCCCAGCAAACCAATACAATCACATGCACCTGGAATTTGACAGCTTGAAGTTTATAGCCTTACTAAACTGTTTATCTTATCTGTTGCTTTTCTCTACCCCTCAAGATCAATTCATATAAGTCAGTTATTTAAGAATTTGAGAAAAATGTGCGTTTGCCTTAATATGTTATATTATGTTCATCAAGATCCTGACTCATTTGTGACATTTGCTGTTAGAATGAAAACTAATTCCAACTTCATTATCTTTATGTACATTTTTATTTTTTGCCACTCTCACTGTGAAGGTCATGGACAGTGTAATTGCGGAAGATGTGACTGCAAAGCAGGCTGGTATGGGAAGAAGTGTGAGCACCCACAGTCCTGCACGCTGTCAGCTGAGGAGAGCATCAGGAAGTGCCAGGGAAGCTCGGATCTGCCTTGCTCTGGGAGGGGTAAGTGAGGTCTCTCAGGGCTTCCCACGGCCTCTCCATCACAATTCAAATGAATTCAATGCACACACATCTTTTTGTTTGTTTGTTTGTTTTTTGTTTTCTGCTTTTTGGTTTTTTTGTTTTTTATTTTTTTATTTTATTTTTTATTATTATATTTTAAGTTTTAGTGTACATGTGCGCAATGTGCAGGTTTGTTACATATGTATACATGTGCCATGATGATGTGCTGCATGCATTAACTGGTCATTTAGCATTAGGTATATCTCCTAATGCTATCCCTCCCCGCTGCCCCCACCACACAACAGTCCCCAGTGTGTGATGTTCCCCTTCCTGTGACCATGTGTTCTCATTGTTCAATTCCCACCTATGAGTGAGAATATGCCGTGTTTGGTTTTTTGTCCTTGCAATAGTTTGCTGAGAATGATGGTTTCCAGTTTCATCCATGTCCCTACAAAGGACATGAACTCATCCTTTTTTATGGCTGCACAGTATTCCATGCTGTATATGTGCCATATTTCCTTAATCCAGTCTATCATTGTTGGACATTTGAGTTGGTTCCAAGTCTTTGCTATTGTGAATAGTGCCGCAATAAACATACGTGTGCATGTGTCTTTATAGCAGCATGATTTATAATCCCCTGGGTATATGCCCAGTAATGGGATGGCTGAGTCAAATGGTATTTCTAGTTCTAGATCCCTGAGGAATTGTCACACCGACTTCCACAAAGGTTGAACTAGTTTACAGTCCCACCAACAGTGTAAAAGTGTTCCTATTTCTCCATATCATCTCCAGCACCTGTTGTTTCCTGACTTTTTAATGATTGCCATTCTAACTGGTGTGAGATGGTATCTCATTGTGGTTTTGATTTGCATTTCTCTGATGGCCAGTGATGATGAGCATTTTTTCATGTGTCTTTTGGCTGCATAAATGTCTTCTTTTGAGAAGTGTCTGTTCATATCCTTTGCCCACTTTTTGATGGGGTTGTTTGTTTTTTTCTTGTAAATTTGTTTGAGTTCATTGTAGATTCTGGATATTAGCCCTTTCTCAGATGAGTAGGTTGCAAAAATTTTCTCCCATTCTGTAGGTTGCCTGTTCACTCTGATGGTGGTTTCTTTTGCTGTGCAGAAGCTCTTTAGTTTAATTAGATCCCATTTGTCAATTTTGACTTTTGTTGCCATTGCTTTTGGTGTTTTAGACATGAAGTCCTTGCCCATGCCTATGTCCTGAATGGTATTGCCTAGGTTTTCTTCTAGGGTTTTTATGGTTTTAGGTCTGACATGTAAGTCTTTAATCCATCTTGAATTAATTTTTGTATAAGGTGTAAGGAAGGGATCCAGTTTCAGCTTTCTACATATGGCTAGCCAGTTTTCCCAGCACCATTTATTAAATAGGGAATCCTTTCCCCATTTCTTCTTTTTGTCAGGTTTGTCAAAGATCAAATAGTTGTAGATATGCGGCATTATTTCTGAGGGCTCTGTTCTGTTCCATTGATCTATATCTCTGTTTTGGTACCAGTACCATGCTGTTTTGGTTACTGTAGCCTTGTAGTATAGTTTGAAGTCAGGTTGCGTGATGCCTCCAGCTTTGTTCTTTTGGCTTAGGATTGACTTGGCAATGTGGGCTCTTTTTTGGTTCCATATGAACTTTAAAGTAGTTTTTTCCAATTCTGTGAAGAAAGTCATTGGTAGATTGATGGCGATGGCATTGAATCTGTAAAGTACCTTGGGCAGTATGGCCATTTTCACGATATTGATTCTTCCTATCCATGAGCATGGAATGTTCTTTCATTTGTTTGTATGCTCTTTTATTTCATTGAGCAGTGGTTTGTAGTTCTCCTTGAAGAGGTCCTTCACATCCCTTGTAAGTTGGATTGCTAGGTATTTTATTCTCTTTGAAGCAATTGTGAATGGGAGTTCACTCATGATTTGGCTCTCTGTTTGTCTGTTGTTGGTGTATAAGAATGCTTGTGATTTTTGCACATTGATTTTGTATCCTGAGACTTTGCTGAAGTTGCCTATCAGCTTAAGGAGATTTTGGGCTGAGACAATGGGGTTTTCTAGATATACAATCATGTCATCTGCAAACAGGGACAATTTGACTTCCTCTTTTCCTAATTGAATGCCGTTTATTCCCTTCTCCTGCCTGATTGCCCTGGCCAGAACTTCCAACACTATGTTGAATAGGAGTGGTGAGAGAGGGCATCCCTGTCTTGTGCCAGTTTTCAAAGGGAATGCTTCCAGTTTTTGTCCATTCAGTATGATATTGGCTGTGGGTTTGTCATAGATAGCTCTTATTATTTTGAGATACATCCCATCAATACCTAATTTATTGAGAGTTTTTAGCATGAAGGGTTGTTGAATTTTGTCAAAGGCCTTTTCTGCATGTATTGAGATAATCATGTGATTTTTGTCTTTGGTTCTGTTTATATGCTGGATTACAGTTATTGATTTGCATATGTTGTACCAGCCTTGCATCCCAGGGATGAAGCCCACTTGATCATAGTGGATAAGCTTTTTGATGTGTTGCTGGTTTCGGTTTGCCAGTATTTGATTGAGGATTTTTGCATTGATGTTCATCAGGGATATTGGTCTAAAATTCTCTTTTTTTGTTGTGTCTCTGCCAGGCTTTGGTATCAGGATGATGCTGACCTCATAAAATGAGTTAGGGAGGATTCCCTCTTTTTCTATTGATTGGAATAGTTTCAGAAGGAATGGTACCAGCTCCTCCTTGTACCTCTGGTAGAATTCGGCTGTGAATCCATCTAGTCGTGGACTGTGTTTGGTTGGTAAGCTATTATTGCCTCAATTTCAGAGCCTGTTATTGGTCTATTCAGAGATTCAACTTCTTCCTGGTTTAGTCTTGGGAGAGTGTATGTGTTGAGGAAATTTATCCATTTCTTCTAGATTTTCTAGTTTATTTGCGTAGAGGTGTTTATAGTATTCTCTGATGGTAGTTTGTATTTCTGTGGGATTGGTGGTGATATCCCCTTTGTCATTTTTTATTGAGTCTATTTGATTCTTCTCTCTTTTCTTCTTTATTAGTCTTGCTACCGGTCTATCAATTTTGTTGAACTTTTCAAAAAACCAGCTCCTGGATTCATTGATTTTTTGAAGGGTTTTTTGTGTCTCTATTTCCTTCAGTTCTGCTCTGATCTTAGTTATTTCCTGCTTTCTGCTAGCTTTTGAGTGTGTTTGCTCTTGCTTCTCTAGTTCTTTTAATTGTGATGTTAGGTTGTCAATTTTAGATCTTTCCTGCTTTCTCTTGTGGGCATTTAGTGCTATAAATTTCCCTCTACACACTGCTTTGAATGTGTCCCAGAGATTCTGGTATGTTGTGTCTTTGTTCTCATTGGTTTCAAAGAACATCTTTATTTCTTCCTTCATTTCGTTATGTACCCAGTATTCATTCAGGAGCAGGTTGTTCTGTTTCCATGTAGTTGAGTGGTTTTGAGTGAGTTTCTTAATCCTGAGTTCTAGTTTGATTGCACTGTGGTCTGAGAGACAGTTTGATATAATTTCTGTTCTTTTACATTTGCTGAGGAGTGCTTTACTTCCAAGTATGTGGTCAATTTTGGAATAGGTGTGGTCTGGAATGCACACACATCTTAATTTAAAAAACAGCTGAGATCCCTGAATGAGGGGCTATTAGTCTTTTTAGAACTAATAATAAATCCAATTTCCATGAATGAAAGTACATGGAGAAATATGATTCTCTTTCTCTCTTTATATATATCTTTTGCACACAGACACTCTCACTCACTGTCAGCCTACTTTAGCCTTAAGGTATGTTCAATTTCAGTTCAGTTCAGTTCAATGTTACATTAAAAAACACAGTTTAGACGTTTGCTTAAAGTTTTCTGAATGAGACCATCTAATTGTCCACTGACATTTATGAAACCCAGTAACATTATTTTGAGGACAGTGTTGGCTTTTGAAAATTCATTGTATAAACAAATAGCTATGAATAAGCTTTTGTCATTTGAGAAGGAAGGCATGTAGCCTCAGGTGTGTTCTTGGTATCAGATCAGTACAAATTGGAGAAGGACAAATTCATCTAGAAGAACACGTGTTCCATTCCTCTTGATTTATCAAAATAAGAAATGCAATTTCACTTCCCACATGAGAATAACAAAGTTAATATGAAATATGCTTTTGAAGAAGTCGTAATTGACATTATTACCAATTTTGTTCAAGAAAGGAAACAAAGACTTTCTTCACTTGAACATTAGATCAGAAATTTAATTTTATGTTGCGTTTTTCTTTTTTAAAAAATATATGTTAATAGAGATATAATTCACATACCACAAAATTCACATACCACTCAGTATTTTGATATATTAACATAATTATGCAGCCATCACCACTGTCCAATTCCAAAAAAAAAGTTTATCATCATAAAATACCCTGTTACCCTATAGCAGCCACTCCCCATTCTCTTGTCCCAGAACCCCTGGAAACCACCAATCTACTTTGTCTCTATGGACTTGTCTATTCTGAGTATTCCATACAAATGGAATCATAAAATATGTGATCTTCTCGCATCTGGCTTTTTTCACTTAGCATAAGTGTTTGCAAGGTTTATCAAAGTTGTAGCATATGTCAGTCCTTCATTGCTTTTTATGGCTGAATAATATCCTGTTGTATGGATACACCACCGTTATTTAACCCTTCATCAGTTAATGGGCATTTGGACATAGGATTTCTACTTTTTGGTCGTTATGAATAATGCTGCTACAAACATTCCTGTGCGACTTTTTGGGTGGACATGTCTTTTAATTTCTTTGGGGTCTGTATCTGTGAGTGGAATTGCTGGGTCATAGAGTGACTCTGTTTTACCTTTTGAGGTAGCACAGGACCGTCTTCAAAATGACAGTACCATTTTACATTCCACCAGCAGCGTGTGGAGTTTCCAGTTTGTCCACATCCTTGCCATTTCTTGGTATTGTCTGTCTTTTTGATTCTTTAGAGTATTCTTTATAAAGAAAACTCCAGAAAGTGTCTCAGGTTGTTTGCAGCACAGATATTTTCTCATATCCATTATTTTCCCCTAAGGGTTGTAAGTAGAAGAGTGGAGGAGTAGGATATGGGTATAATAATCTTTTTAATGTCAAAAGTATTTTTGACTAGCCCTGTATTTCACCAGTAACCCCAGACAGGAACCATTGTTCTATCTGCATTGGAATATTGTCATTATAGTGCTGCATAAGCCATCATGCTTTTAAAGTAACAAAGATTAAAATTCATATCCCTCAGACTGCTTAGTTACCAACACTTGTAATCTACAGCAAAAAATAATTTTACATTATTATTTTACATTTACACAAAGCTTTATCTGTTGGGCCCAGACATGTAAAAAAAATGACCATAGGAAGGCTAACCACTGTCTCTTTTTTAAAAAAAATGTGTGTGTATTTTCAAAAATGTATTATAATCCTAGGGACAATTCCATTTCAAATTAAAAACCTTGGGAAGTAAAGAAAATGACTTCATCTCAAAAATAGATTTTTGATCTTGAGGATACTTTTTCAGTTACATTTAAGTTAGAGAACTTTAGGTACAGTGATTTTTACTGTTATCTTAAAGTGGTAAACAAAGCAAAGGGTGATCTGATATCTTAAAACATTATTTAAAGGGTTTACATTTGGTAAAATTATTTAAACTCCAAATGGTTATGTTGCTAGTAGAAGTAAACAGAACAGAAACCAATAGGGATATGCACTTATATTTTAAAACAAAGAAATGAACAAAATGTATACTTTTAACAAATGCTTTTATATTTTGAAGTTAAAAATGTCAAACCATATAATAGAAAGATAAGAAAAGCATACAAAATAGCTCTCAAACAGAGAAAATCACTGTAAGTATATACTTATAGCAATGGTTTTTCATTTGTCTCTAAATTTTTTAATATGTAGAACAAGTAAAATGAAATTATTGGGGACTTAATATATTGATCTTTTATAAACTCCACTAGGTTTTTCCTCAAACATGCATGTTTCCTGTCTTTCTGGAGATTCACTAACTTATTTAGCTACCATTTTTTAAGCAATAGAGTATGTTTAAACTTTATTTTATTAAAAAGGTGTTGAGTAAATGTATAGAATTATGATTTTTAAAATTGTTTATAATTCATTTCAGCCTCTTGAAGTACTTTAAAACTAAATAAGCTTCATCAGTTTCCTTACATGAGCAAAGTAATTTTGCAGGGAATCATGACAGTATGTAAGATTTTTGAAAACGAAAACCAAGAATTTATGACAGCCAGTTGAGTGCCTTTGGTCAAGGTCACGGACCCTTTCTTTCTCATAGTGCTACATCTGCAAACACATTGGTACTGGATGTTTTGAAGCAAATGACCAGTATGAAAACTTGTAAAGAGTTCGTTTTGCAATTTATGAATGAAAACTGCAGCTGTGGTTACATGAGTTAGGAAAGCAATTATAAGACCCATCAGTTTCTCAATCCTGACAGCCGCCATCACCTCACCAGCTGGAAAAAAAAATCCTAGAAGAATATACTGAAGTTTGTCAGGGACCAGGTGAAGGCAATATATATATATATATATATATATATATATATATATATATATACACACACACACACATATATATGTGCATATATGTGTGTATATATACGCATGTATATATGTGTACATGTGTATATGTATATATACATATATGCGTACATGTGTATATGTATATATACATATATGCGTATATGTGTATATGTATATATACATATACGCATATATGTGTATATGTGTATATGTGTATATACATATATGCGTATATGTGTATATGTGTATATATGTATATGTGTAAATATACATGTGTATATGTGTATATATACATATGTGTGTGTATATGCGTATATATGCACATATAGACATAGGCATGTGTGTATATGCGTATATATACACATATAGACATAGGCATGTGTGTATATGCGTATATATACACATATAGACATAGGCATGTGTGTATATGCGTATATATACACATATATAGGCATGTATATATGCATATGCGTATATATATATACACATATCTAGACATGTATGTGTGCATATGCGTATATATACACATATATGGGCATGTATGTGTGTATATGCGTATATATACACATATATAGACATGTATATGCGTATATATACACATATATAGACATATGTATATGCGTATATATACACATATATAGACATGTATATGCGTATACACATATAGACATATGTATATGCGTATATATACACGTATTTAGACATATGTATATGCGTATATATACACGTATTTAGACACGTACGTGTGTATATGCGTATATATATACACGTATGTAGACATGTATGTGTGTATGCGTATGCACGTATGTAGACATGTATGTGTTTATGCGTATACACGTATGTAGACTTATGTATGTGCGTATATGCGTGTACACGTATGTAGACATATGTATGTGCGTATATGTGTGTACACGTGTGTAGGCATATGTATGTGCGTATATGTACTCGTGTGTAGACATGTATGTGCATATGTGTATATATATGCATATACATATGTATGTGTGTATATGTGTATATATACACATATATAGACATGTATGCGTGCATGTGTATATGTACACATATATAGACATATGTATGCGTGTATGTGTATATATACACATATACACATATATATGCATATATGTGTATATATATGTGTATATATACACATATATATGTATATATGTTATATAGCATATATATGATATAAGGCTATCCTTGTATATATATGTGATATATATATATGCTATATATATATATATGCTCTCTCTCTCTCTATATATATATATAGCCTTCACGTGGTCCCTGATATACTTCAGTATATTCTATTAGGATTTTTATATATATATATATATAGCCTTATATCATATATATATGATATATGTATCAGAAATTAAGTTAAATTTCTAATTTCTTATTTCTGCTGGTGGTGACTAAGTGTGATCATTATGTCTTGAAGGTAGAATAACTTAGATGATGTCTTACATTCTGTATCCTGTGATTCCTTGATTTCTATACCATATTGGCTGTAGATATATTTTCATGTAACTAGATGTAGCTCATATAGCCATTATAGGTATAAAGACATTCGTCCTAATTTCGGTTCCTGGGAGTAAAGGTGGGAAAACACTTTCTCTAGTCTCCTAGTGTTGTGCTCAAAAACTATAATGGCTTATGGTAGGCTAAACGTTAGTTTTACATTCTTCCTGATTAAAGAATACATCATTATTATTATCGATGTTCTCCTGAGCATCAGTTTGACTTTGGTTTAAAAAAATGTGAGTAAAGTTAATTTGCATCACATCTGAGCAGAAGCTATAAGAAGCAGTGAAAAATCTGCCATTGTCTCAGGCAGGAGGATTTGCAGTGCTGGAGATCGTCTCTGACCCATTAGCTTGGCTCTCTGAATGAGGATGGGCAGGAGAAACCTCTATTAATCCACCAAGGTTCTATGATGTGAATGAGAAAGAAACACCTGTTGTTTTAAACAAGTGAGATTTTGGAGGGAGGTGTTCTTGCAGGAGAATCCCTGACTGATAATCGGTTCCCCATATAAAATGTAGGGAATGTGGTTAAGCCAAGATAAACAAACACAGCAAAAATCATGTTTACATAATTTATATTTTGTATTATATACATAATTTATAAATGCCATAATTTATATTCTTGTAGCAGGATTCATGTACAAATCTCTTAGTATTGATTCTTGGATATGGAATACATAGGTCTAAAAAAACCATGCATATATTTTATAAATGATGTGTTTATGCTCTTCTGTCAACAGCATTTATGTGCACTTTGTCAACAGGTAAAATGATAAGAACATTGAATACATTTTTAAAAATTTCCTAAAAACACAATGAGGTAGGAAGACGTATAATTATTATTCTTTTTACAGAAGAAGAAATTAGATATCTGAACAGTTTGCCATTTTACATAATTGCAATGGTGCAAGTTTAAAAAAAATTAATACATGTTCTCTGACTCCAAGGTTGTTGTTTTGGATAACTTACAGGTTCTTGTTACATGCCAATTTATTGGACAATATATATTAAACATATTTCCTGTTACAAATATAATTCTGCAGAATAATTGAAATGGCTGCATAATATTCCATTATATAGTTGTAGCAAAATAATTCAATCAATCCTCTTTTTATTAGATATCTATATGTTCTTTTATTCAAGTTCTAAATGCCATAATTTATATTCTTGCAGCAGGATTCATGTACAAATCTCTTAGTATTAATTCTTGGATATGGAATACATAGGTTTAAATGAAAAAAAATAAGTTAAATATTTTGAAGAAAAAAGTCCAATTTATAATCTCTAAAATAAATTATACAGGTGTGCTCTCCTGCCGGGGGCTTAAGAAAAGTCTTCTTCCCCCACCACTAGTGACAATTTAAATTATCAGTTAGCTCTTCTCAATGTATATTGCTGTTGGTGTTACAAACTTTTGCCATTTATCAAACTTCTTTCATTGACTTCTATAATCATCAAAACGAATGATTTATCTGCAGGCATTATTATTCAGAGGCTTGTGTTTTCAGTATTTGCCTTCTTTGATCATCGTTTGTCCTTGTGTCTAAGTCATCCTTTCATTTGATACTGCAATCCCATGTGCTTTTCTTATCTGTCCTGTTTGCCCTTTGGTTTTCTTTTATCAGACTTGTTCTATGCGGTATTGCATATGTTTTAGTTCCTTAAACACATAACCATACACCCCCATAAGGGAAGGTGTGAAATGGGGGAAGAATGATAGATGGAGGCTAATTATTTAATATTGTAACTTCTAGAAAATAGAAACCATGTCCTCATTTTTATCAATTAGCATGCTTTAATTAATGAATTAAGAATTGTTTCAATTCCCTTACCTAGGAACATACTTTCAAAGAATAGTAGCATGCCAAATTCTCACCATCTGGATATTTTTCAATGAAGTCACAATTTATCTTTCCTTTTTATTGGGAAAGCCCATCTTTAATTTCCTGTTTTATTTTTCAGAGAAGTTTTCATGATACATGCTTTCTTTCCTTTTTTTTTTTCTTTTTGACCTGTGTGTTTTTTACTCTATGTAATTTTGGACAGCTGAATCATTACCTTTCTTATTCATGTTTACAGAGAGTTTATTTATTTGGAACAAAGAGAAAGTTTAAAAATTTGGAAGTTCTCCAAACATTTTCAGTTAAGCAGCATACCATATACAGTGATTATGATTATATTTTAAAATCCTTTGTGGCTTAACTAACCATCTTATCATAAGTTTGCTGCTGCAGGAAATGTGCTGAGTGTTTAGGTAACAAGGGAACCCCCAATGTGTTCTTCCAGTAGTACTTTGAGAAAGCAAGTGGGATTCAGATTTACCCTATTCTGTGCTTTCTGCTAGATTGATTCATTATTTCTGCCAGTGCTAGAGGACCCTGGAATAGTCATGAACTGAGTTATGCCATTTGAAACCTAGTTTTTATAAACTATAGCCAAAGATGATAAATAAATGACCCTGCAAAATTAACTTATTTACTATTTCTTATCCAAGAGGAATGGTCCTGCTTTTAGTGTGCATCAAATAGGGAGAAATATAAATGAATTGGTGAGTTTTTTCAGAAGGAAAGGCCTGGACTTTGTCATGTTATGGACATTAAATGACAAGAATAAGCCTGCATACCACCAGGGAGTCTTCCATGCACCTTTGATCATGCTTTGAACTGACAATGCCCACTATTATGGGTTGTATATGCTCTATTACCATGCAATAGCCCATAATAGTAATATTATATGTAGAAATAGAAGAGCCTGTTTATCATTTGCTTTCTTTATACTCATTATGATATCTTAAACTGTATATGCATCATACATTTCAGAACATGTCGGGAATGTAATTGTTATTTATTATGAGGTTATTAAGGATAGTACTGATATGAGAAGACTGAGATGGAGGGAGAATTAAATAGGGTGCTTCTGGTATCCTTTATCTATCTTTATGATGCACTTGGATTTCTGTGTTGGGACATTGTGTATTCTCATAGAGATAGCCAAAGGTGCAGGTGCTCAGAATAGTCATCTACTTGAAGGTCCTAGTTAAATCCAGTATTAAATCTCTCAGTCATATGATGAAGCAGCATTTACTAAGCTAATGACATAATCTGCATATGTGAAAAGAAATTATTAAAGGGAATGGAAAAGAGCCTTGTTAAATAGAAGAGACGATCTCATTCAGGTTGATTTTTCAGAGATTCCCCTTTGCAGTAGGTATTTATGTTCCTTATTTCTCCTCTTGTGTTTGATCTTGCCTTTCATCTTGCTATTGTTATATTCAACAGAACAGAGAGAAAAGAAGAATCCAGAAGCTGAATTTAATACTTTTGTTTATTTTTAAGAGATGGTAGAAAATAATTCAGTGGAAAATAATAAACATAATATATTTTAATTAACTGAGGTTTTTCTAACTAATAGTCCAGAAAACTGTATTACTACCAAGTAAGAGAGAGTATTTTTTTCCTGTTCTAAATAAACAATCTTTATCTATGGCAACAGAACAGTTTGTATCAAAGATAGGAATTGATCCAAATAAATAGACAAGTTTCATTACATTTTGCATTATTTTTATGTTGTAAGTTGAAAACCAGTGAAATTCTTTGGCTAAGATAACTTCCTAGTAAAGACTGCAACCAGTATTGTCAAAATGTATTTGAAATGAAAATAGAAAATTGGACTTGAATTTAATTCCAATTTCTCCAGGCAAGCTTAAAATAAATGTGACAGTTATGAAAATTTTGTTACTATGATTATATATTTATTTCTATTAAAATACTAAAATTATAGTGCAGATTGTAGTGGAGAGCTTTAGCAGTTATTTACCTGATTTCATTCAATATAAACAGGCAAACCAGATACTTTTATGGGAAACAATTTGCTCTGGTTATCAGCCATAATCTTCATAGAATCAGCCTCAACAGATGTTCTTTCTAATAGAAAACCAATGAGGCACAGTGTTATCCCTTTGTGTAGCCTGTAGAGTCACATAGCTGATCAGAACCTGCGATGCCCCTCTTAGGATACACAAAACTTAATAGGGCTGGTCATTGTGCTATAGTTGCAAAACGAATGCAGATACTCTACACTCACAGCATACAGACAACATGTACATCATATTTTCATAAACGATGTTGCTTATCATAATCAATCTAATATTTATTGATCTTACCACCATGTATCTCTGGGCTAAGCTAGTGGTCAGAAAACTAGGGTTAGGCCTACATTCTCTTTTTGTAAATAAAGTTTTATTAGATCATTGCCATGCTCATTTGTTTACGTATAGCTACTTTCTTGCTGTAATGGCAAAGTTGAGTAGTGGCCACAGAGAGCACAGGGCCCACAAAGCCTGAAATATTTCTCATGCAGCCCCTTACAGAAAAAACCTGCTACCCCTGAGCTAAGCATTTGTGATAATTGTGACAAATATGTCGGGAGAAGGGATTGAGTGTCTTGAGAATCAGAGGAAGATGACATTTGCTCAATTTGTGTGCAAATATGGCTTCATGAAATGAGTGAACCTAGTGGGTATCTGCAGAGATGAGTAGTAGCATTAGGCAGATAATAATTTAGAACAAAAATAAAAGGACATCCCAGGTAGGAGGAAGAGCAGGGACAGAAACTCTGAGTTATGATGGGAATAATGTGTAAAGAACAGGAAGCATACTCACTTGTGATGATTTAGAAAAAATAAGAAAATGGTGGGAGACAGCCTGGGGGGAAATATGTCTCTCCCTCCCACCTAACTTCTTCTTGTGTGATTGACAGGTTTCAGACAGAAAAATCCACTTCTTTGCAGAGCTCTCTATGTCATAATTGTCTTATGAGGTTAATTGTTAGTAAAATGATGTCATAGAAATGCCAAGTTAACGTTGCTTCATGCCCATCCATTGGGTCATTGCTAAAATGCCAAGTTTTATTTAACTGAATTTAGCGAGATTCAAGTTTTTCCATGAACAAGACAAATACTTTAACATCCTTTCATGTGCCCTTCTGCACCTCGTATCATGTTTACTTAACTACTGACAGAAGATGAGAAAACAAGCACAAATCCAAAATTGTTTTATTCGAAGGCATTTATATCAGCAAAGTATTAAAATGACAACTGTCAGCAGTCAGATTTGTATTTTGAGAATGAGATTACTATTATCTAGATATTGGGTATGTATATAGATGCCTACATGTTTAAAATGGGAAAGGGTCACGTTGCACAGTTAGTTGAACAGTAAGCTACTGGGATAGAGGTGGGCAGACCCTGAGTTAGTCTGGGTTCAGTCACTAGCCAGCTGTGTGACCCAGCAAGTCATACACTGAACTGGCAGCAGAACCCTTCTCGGTGACCTTGAACTTAGCTCCATAAGCTTGCATTGCCTCCCTTTAACCTCTCTTTGCAATAAGTGAATTTGACACTGTGTTCTGACTCATCCGGACCCCTAGATTTTATATCTACTCAAATGGACACCATGCCTGTCATTTCTGACATACCTTCATAGCAGACTTTGTGTCTGGTTTTGCAAAGCTAACTAGACAGACTAAGATCTGACTAACTACGTCTCATGAGAATCATGTGACTAACCCATCGTTCTTTCAGACTCTGCTTTCTACCAAGAGTCTGCTTGGGATTCAAACTAATATATTCTTCAGTTATGGCATTCTTTCCTTTGGAATATAACAATTTAAGATGGATGAGATTTTGGTTCTCCATAAATATTTATTTTTCATGTGTTGCCTACTATTTGGATAAAGGCAAAAAGGCAAGATTCTTTGGCTTCCTATTTAAGTTTATAAATAATTTTGGCCTCTTTGATGCTCAAAATATTCATGCCATGTGGATGTTGGTAAATAATACCAAATGGCCTGGCATGGTACAGTTGTAAGCTGCTTAAGATTTGGATGGTCTCTAGGGTGAAACAGCAAATATTTTGAGGTCATGTATAAAGTCCTTTATAAAGATGTGAACTCTTTTGCCAAGATTTCTTTGCAGAGCCCTGTATTGTATAATAGTTAACCAAAGGAAGTTAAAAGGAATGTGAAAAACATAAGAAAATATGGAGTATGTAGTGCCTGGTAAAGTCTCTCCTACTGCTTCCTTTAATTTGCTGGAAGTCTGGGTATGGTTAATGATACTGTTGAATTACAGTTGCAATGGTGAGAGAGAATTGTAAAACTCACCCTCTTGAGTGTAGCTTAATGTAATTATAAAAAAAAAGGTGGTAGCAAAATCCAAGTGACATAATTTATGCTTGAGTCTAGATATATTCTGGATAACTCTACATAGAGAGGAAAACCCAGAGGGATTGCAGTTTTTAGGTTAGGCTTCTTAGTAAATAAGATTTTGGATGTGTTAGGAGGCCTGGAGTCTTGTGACCACACAAGGGTATGACAGGGTGAGCACAGGGCGACACTATTCACCCCTGCTCATCTATTCATCAGTGATACTCTCCTCTTCACTGGCAAGGTCCCTGGAAACACTATTAACAGGCATCAGTTTCTTGTTCGGGTAGAAAGACACACATGCTGCCAACACCGTGCCTTCCCTCAGCGTCCGTAGCTTATCAAAACAGCCAGGCTCCAACTGTGAGGGCGTGTGCTCTGAGGGGGCAGGGATGGAAGAGATGGCCACGTGGCTGCATGACACCCTCATAGAGCTGATGTCTCACACCACTTATTATTAATGTGACTTTGTAGAGTTTTGTATTTTTAAAAAAACTTTTTGGACCCTTAACTTTGTTATCTATAAAAATGGCATTAGAACAATTGCTGTTTACTCTGAAATGTTGTTGTGAGAGACCCTTGAAACAGTATATATGAAACTTCTTTGTTAACTTTAATATACAATTTTACGGGCTTACAAGGTTTTAAGTAGATGGCATAAAAATGACCTCCAGGGCATACGATTTAATAGAGAAAACAAGGTCAACGTTCATTCATTCATTCATTCATTCACCCAGTCAACATATATTTACCAGGGTCCTCCTGTGTTCCCAGAACCACTCTCAGTGCTGAGAAAAAATAGACAAGGCAACGGATGTCATAGAGTTTGGGAAAATAAGTTAAACCAGAAAACAAATAATTTCAGATACTCCTATGAGAAGGGAAATCAAGAGAATATAAGAGAGTGGCCAAGATGAAGTCTGGGGGCTGCTGTAAGTACGGAGGGCAGGGACCCTCTCCCAGGAAGTCATATTTGGCCAGATTGGAGTATTGAAAGTGGGCCACATGACAACTCAGGGAAGATGGCAGAGGAAACAGGAAAACAATTTCAGACTCAAGGGATAAAGTTTTCTGGAAGGAGATGTAAGTCAGGTGGGCTTCATCCTTTAAAAAAATCATGGAGGAGATGAGGGCACTTGGAGAGCTTGCAGAAGTATTTTTAAAATACCAGTGCTGAGTTCCCACCCGACTTGATTTGTCTGCAATATGGCCTGGGCGTCCGGGATTTTAAAAGCTCCCTGGGTGACTCTGCTGAGCAGCCACATGAAGACTCACCACTCTGCAGGGTTGTATAACAGGCACGGTCCTGCAGCAGGAGGATGGACACTTTAGTTTTTGCCCTACTTCCCACTGAGCAAACAGGGCTTTAGGGAGTGCTTAAAAGTTGCACAAAACTTATTGCTCTGTGGTGTCCTTTCCCAAAGCTTTGTTGAATAGGGATAGGAGGGAAAGGAATGAGTCAGGGACAAGAGGGGTGGGTGGGTCGGGTAGGGGTGTAGAGAGAAATACAGAGAGGAGATCTTGAACAATGAACCACCTTAGGCACGTTTGAATACCGGCAGCATACAGGACAATGATTATTTGTTCTATATGAAAGATAATTGGCTGAATAGATAGAATTGTCAAAGAGTCCAGAAAAGGGGCTTTGTCAGAAATGCATTTTGGGTTTTCGCCATAGATAATTTCTGCTTTGAAAAATAATATGGAGGAATGTATTTAGCCACTCTTTTTCCTAGAATAGCCATGGTGATATTTAATAATAAAATATTATTTAGTTCTGTTACCACAACAGTACTAATTGTTTTCCATGTTGTCTTTTTTCCCATGCATATTTTCTTATGTGTTGAGGAGAGGCATTCCTCAGGATTATATTTTCCTTGTTAATGAAACTAAGAATTTTGTGGATGAGTCTGTGTAGGTGCAGTTTGAGCACATTTTCCATTATTAAATCAAAGAACTGACCAGCGAATCCATATCAGCTCCCTACAATCTGTTCCCAGCCCAGCCTTCCTGCTTGGTCCGCTGCTAAGCTGGCTCCTTGTCTGCTTTGTCCCCAGGTTTTTGTTTGGGCTTTCGCAGCTACGGTGAGAGGCGACACTTCTGAGAAGTGAGGCGCATGCTCAGGGGAGCAATGAGCCAAGGCGAGTTTAGCAGTAAAACCATTGCATGTTGTCCAGAGAGAGGCTCCTCAGGACCAATGCTGGGAGATAGCCCAGAGAGAGTTAGGCTGTCCTCAGATGCTCCCCAGAAACCCTTCATTTGCATAGTGCTTCTTTTGAAGAGCCCGATTTTGAAACACCACTTCTGTCTTAGCTGCAGGTGACCCCTTGTGATCCACATTGGAGGTATACCCCAACCCTGCCCTCAGGTTAGATTCCTAGGGCTGCAAAAACAAATGACCACATATTTGATGGCTGAAAACAACAGAAATTTATTCCCACAGCTCTGGAGATCAGAAATTTGAAATTGAAAAATGTCAGGATCCCTCCCAAGGATCTAGGAGAGAATCCTTCCTTGCTGTTTCTAACTTGTGGCTTTTGGCGTTCCTTGGCTTGTGACTGCATCACTCCCTGCTCTGCCTCTCTCTTCACATGGCTATCTTACCTGCCTCTCTGTGTGTCCAAGCTCCCTTCTCCTTTCTCCCATAAGCACAATAGTCTTCGGACTTAGGGCCCACCCTAAATCCAGGATGATTCAGCTCTAGTCTTTAATTATATCTGCAAAGACCCTATTTCCAAATGAGGTGACACCCTGGGGTCCTAGGTGGACATGAATTTTGAGGAACACTATTCAACTGATTATACCCTCTTAGGGGAAATCAAGCCCGCTTCTACCAGAGATATTTATTCAGAAAATAAATGTCTTATCCACCATATACTACTTTATTTGCTGATTTGTGCACATTACTTTGGCCTGAATGTTTGTGCCCTTCTTAAAAATTACATGTTGAAACCTAGCCCCAAAGTTGATGATATTAGAAGGTGGGGTCTTTGGGAGGTGATTAGGTCATGAGGGTGGAGTCCTCATGAAAGGGAATGGTGCTCTTACAAAAGAGACCCCAGAGTGTGGTAGTACATGCCTGTAGTCCCAGCTACTCAGGAGGCTAAGGTGGGAGGATTTCTTGAGCCCAAGAGTTTGAAGCTGCAGTGAGCCATGATGGCACCACTGCAATTCAGCCGGGAAGACAGAGACCATGTCTCTAAAAGTAATTATAATAATAATAAAATAATAAATAAATAACAAAAGAGACCCCAGAAAGCTAGCTTGACAATTCCACCATGTGAGGACACAGTGAGAAGGTGCCATCTATGTGTAGGAAGCAGGCTCTCGCTAGACACTGCATCTTCCGGTGGCTTGATCTTGGACTTCCCAGACTCCAGAGCTGCAAAGCATAGATATCTGTTGTTTATGAGCTACTCATCTATGGTATATTTTATAGCAGCTCAAATGGACTAAGACAAGTATCAAAGTTCAATTAGATACAGCGTAAAAAAGAAAGAGAAAAACATAAATCATTGCAGTAGAATGTAGTAAATGCTCTGACGGAGATATTTGAGGTGCTCTCTACCAGCAAAATTAAGAGGGTGAGGGAGGTCTTGAATGGTCAGAAGTTTGCTCCTGGAGAAAGGGGGAAGAATATGTCCAAGACAGGAAATCCCATCACGAAGCACAGAAAGATGAAAGGATATGATAAGTTCAGGTAATTGTTTCATCCAGCTTATGTATATCCAAGGTAGGATGGGAGTCTTTATTTGTAAGTAGATCTCCAGTGTGAATATGAAGTATTTTGGCTTAAATTCTGGGGGTATAAATCTGTTTCATAAAACTTTCCTTCTGTGGTATAAGTTGCTCAGAACTCTGAGATCGGCTTTCTGCCTTCATAGCTAGTTTTCTTTCTTTTTCTTTTTATAATTGTTTATTTTTTTTAAATGGAGTCTCACTGTTGCCCAGGCTGGAGTGCAGTGGCGCTATCTCAGCTCACTCCAGCCTCCGCCTCCCAGGTTGAAGCGATTCTCCTGCCTCAGTCTCCTAAGTAGCTAGGATTACAGGCATGCACCACCATGCCCGGCTAATTTTTGTATTTTTAGTAGAGATGGGGTTTCACCACATTGGCCAGGCTGTTCTCAAACTCCTGACTTCAAGCGATCTACCCACCTCGACCTCCCAAAGTGCTGGGATTACAGGTGTGAGCCGCTGCAGGCAGCCGATAGCTAGTTTTCTGAGAGGTACTCTCTGATGTGCTTCCTTGGCCAGAATAATCTGCATTGTAATGAGGGAGTTGGGGAATCCCATATCCAGGGACTCTTAGCCTGGAATTCATGCAACCCCAGAGGATGGTTAGGTATCAGACAATGAGAACACCTTAAAATGGCACAAATATATTGTGTTTACCTTTTAATATTTTTGTGCAGAAGGAGTCCATAGCTTCTTTGGCTAGATTATAAAAGGGCTCCATAATATCAACAAAGGTGGCAGTGATTTAGACATCTCTGCATAAAATCAAACAAAGACTTTTAGCTGTCACAATATATTATTTTGAGCTACATATGCTTTAACTAGGTACTGTATTGTTTACTAAGTAAATTAGTAAATTATTCAAAAGGTAGTCAAACATAGAAGTACCTTGTGATATCCAGTTTTATTTATAGTTTTTGATTCTGCTTTTAAAAAATTGGAATAAAAAGGTAGACCAAGCCCCAAATTATTTTACTATAAGTCATAAGAATTTGTCACTGAAGTTTCTTTTAAGGATAATTGGTAACAAGCAGAAGTTCAAGCAGAGAAAAGAATTCCTCTCCTGTTTTACTCTCAGAAGACAGTGATCTTTGTTCTATAATTCCTTAGGTTTTAGTGTGTATCCATGAGAAGGATCTCTATTCTGATTAATGTGGAAGCACTGGATGCTCATATGAGTACAACCTGGCATCCTAGAAATAATAGGAATACAGAAACAAGAAGAGAAATAATTTTAATTTCTATGCTAATCAAGTTTCATTTGAAAGTCTTTTAAGCAGACTCATCTCATTATATAAAAATACAGTCTTTTATTAAAACTATAGAAATTTAATAAAAAATATAATTGATGTTTTGCATTTCCTACATGACTCTAACCTAATATTTAGCCAGTTTATAGACTGGCTAAATCAACCTTCAGCCGTATTATTACTGTTTTAACTTTGGCTAGTGAATATCCATATGAATCTTGTGAATGTGTGGGATATGGCTAAATTGTCAAAGACAATTTCAGTGTGGCAGAGCACCCAGAACCTGAGGAGACAGTAGTGAAGAAGTATTAATGGATCATGAAGCAGTAGTAACAGTGGTTTGTTGATATTGAATGATCCAGGGCCTACCTCCTGGGCTTAGAACAATTTTTTTCACTATATATTCATGTACTTAATCATTCACTCAATGTGATTAGTTACATTGGCAATATAAGGTAACTAGAGAATCTTCCTAGTATTCACTTTAGTGAAATAATTTGGGTTGCTGCTATTTACCTCTTACATATGCTGCTTATAGATTCTGGTTGAATCCACGGACTTTGTTTCTATGCTATTAACTAGCTACATGGGGGGAAATTATGTTTAGTGAGAATATTTGCTATTATTTGTTCAACATAGGCAATAGATTAGGAAAGTGTTAAAGAAGACATGGTTGATGCCTACTATAGATCAAAGACTTAGCAACAAAAAGCTATGGTGTTGCTGGTACCAGATCACACTTTGCAGCAATCTCCAGTTTGGGACATATAAAGAGTTGTTCTTCGTTTTCTATGTCCTGAAAGAATTCTAGCTTCCTTTATTACGTTTTAAAATCCTTTGTCATTAGTTATAGTGCTGAGCATATAAGAAAACTATACAGCATCTATTTTAATTAAAAGACCTTAGATGAAAGTGGCAGAATCCCAATTCAAACAACCAGAAACAAATAAATGATTTATGTGCTCACAAACCAAAAAGGACAGGGGTACAGATGACCTTTGGGAAGAATGGTAAAGGGACTTAGACAACCTCCCACAGACTCTCTCACTCTTTCACTTTCTGTATCACACCTACACCCGTGTACATACGCATGCACATGGGTTGACGCAACAGCCTCCAACACACACGTTTCTGCTTTTATCAGCCCTTTAATCTGAATCTTGTCTACTGCAGATGGATTTTTCTCCATACAGGAGGAACATGGATTTTAGCATCGTCTAAGGTTATAGTTTTACTATGCTCTGACCAAGAAAGATTAAAGGCTTTTCCTTAGCAGTTTAAGGGAGAAAAAAAATATTCAGGGGGAAAACTCAGATTGACTTTGCTTGGATGAAATGGTCAGGTTTGAACCAATCACTGATGATAGAGGGATGGTAGCGTTCTAAATTTGGGTCACCACTGGGGGCAGGTGGGAATTGGGGCAACGAGATGTGAGACTGTAAGACTTTAAGGAGTCCTTCTGAGCAGACCACAGTTTTCACTAGATACAACTGCATTCAGGTTGATATTGATCTTGAGTATCATTGATTACGTGTACAGCCTTCTTAATGTAACAAAGATGATACATAGCTTATTTTCAGACTTATAACCAAATGACAGCACAACAGGACAAAATAATTCATTGATGATTGTGGTAGGTAGAATACTGCCCCCATCAAAGACACCCCTGTAATCCCTTGAATCTGTGAATATGTTAGATTACATGGCAAAAGGGACTTATGATTGCTAATCAAAAGATTATACTAGATCATCTGGGTGTGCCCAATACAATCACAAGGGCCCTTACAAGTGGACATGGGAAAGAAAGAGTCAGAATCAAGTGATTCAACATGAGAAGGACTCAACCTACCACTACTGCCTTTGAAGATGGAGAAAGGGGACCAAGAGCCAAAGAATGCAGCCTGTCTCTAAAAGCTTGAAAAGGCCAGGAAAGAGATCCTAAAGCCTCCAGAAGGAATGTAGTCTTGACGACACCTTGATTTGAGCCCAGCCAAACCATTTTAGACTTCTGATCTCCAGAACTGTAAGACAATAAATGTGTATTGTTTTTAGGCATAAAGTTTGTGGTAATTTGTTATTGTAGGACCAGGAAATGAATACAGTGATCTTTGGACATATTCTTTGGCATAGTCAACAGAATATACATCAGAAGCTGTTTCTGAATTATGTATTCCCATGTATTTTGAAAAGCTTTTTTACAAAAAATCTGAAAAAGAATTATGTATAAAAGATTATTTCCTTTACTGAGAGTATCTCAACTATAGGCATAAACATAGATTAGTTGAGATATGATTTTCTTCTTGGCTTTTTTCTTGCTTTGTCTTAAAATGAAACCAGTCCTCTTATAACTTTTTCCAAAGCACAACTTTATAGCTTACTCGTTGCACCTATTTGAAGTCTTACAATTTATTCCATGTTGTAATATAATCTTGGTATATTGTTTTTAATGATTACACATTAACATATTTTAACCAAGCATAATATGCATTATATTCCGTCGTTTAATCAATTTTTCTATTTAAATGGCCCATGAACATAATTACAATATTTTAATATTATGGCCTAAATTGTTTTACTATTTTTACATTGTAATTCTACATTGCAATTTGGGATGCATGTCTTTGTCTAACGTAGATAAGTAGATTCACATTTTGCAGGGTTTACATTTTGGGAGTCCTTTTTAATAAAATGAATTCAAAATCAAAAGTACAAAGTTAGTTAAGGTGAATACTAACTTAGGATGAAAAGGCAATCAGCACAAATTACATTTTTATATCAGACAGATACCATAAACCTCACAAATCTAGAATATGATGTAATTATAATTTTACACATCTGTTGTAAGTGGCTCTGTATATTTCAAAACTTGTTCATTCTCAACTTCTTAAATGTGGGCTGAGCATTATAGGATGCATACAATTTTATTATTTGATCTCTCGTCTTAAATTGTCATGACCCAAGAGGGCTACAGCAGTATTTCTAGAAGGCATTTCTATACCCTGAAAAGCCACAGAAGTGATGGTACCCCACTAATAGCAAAATGAATGTGTCCTCAACCCACCTTCTCTTTGGCTGAATCTCAGAAGTACCTGGAGTCTTTCCAGAGCCACTGGACATGAGAGGAAATGTGGATGAGTCAAAGTTAGAATAGAAGGAGAGTCAGTCATCTTACTTCACTCAAAATTTCTTATTTTGGAAAAATTTAAAACACGTATGTCATCTATTGTCATGGTCCTTCTCAGTGCCAGAGACTCCCACCAGTGAGGAAATCTAAAGAATAGTTGCTGTTAGTTCCATGGTAAATGTGCCTGTCTCTTTGATGATTGATACTGAACAACTGCACCTGGGGCTGTACCCAAAGTGGAGAACAGTGAGTTTCTGTGTCGTGACTGTCATTGACCTTCCACCTTTCCTCTCCAAAAGAATAAGAAGCAAATCAATTGTGAAGATGGAGCAGGTGCTGTGATTCAGCCTTTCTTTATATCACCAGACAAGGTGAAGCCTTCCTGGGTTTATCATGGTCTCCCAAAGGACTGTTGACACCTTTGTACCTACGCAGCTTTCTGCTGCTTGATGCTAATATCATACACGTTCTTCTGAAATATTAACAGGAAAATATCTGTTTGAATAAATAGCTTTGTACAAGTGTATGTCTCCATCCCAGGCATCCTTCCACTCCCTGGGTGTGTATGGAATTAGAAACATGTACCACTTCATCAGCTTTCAAACACATTTTTTAAAATCTGGAAGTGTATAGCCTGGGGCCTCAGTGTTTCTATTTCTGTTTATTTGTCATACAGAGTGTTGCTTCTCACCTGAACCCCTTGCAGACATTCCAGCAAAATGAAAACATGACCTTGAGCCTTAGTTTCACAGTCCATGAAAAGCTCAACTTTTATTATAGAAATTCAGGGTTAGAGCCCTTCTTTTTTTTCTCCCACTTAAAAAGGGATAAAGAAACTAACCCACCCAGATTGCTGCTAAGCCTAACATGAGCTTTGCATAGCCATTGAAAAAGGTTCCCACACTCTAGAATTTTTATTCCACCTTTTAAAATGCTCTTGTCCATCTCTTCTGAAGACTTTGGAGACAGGAGATTTTTCAGTCTTAATGCATTGAAATGAAGATAATACAAAAAGAAAGCTTTTTCAAAATTTTTAGTCTCAAAAAGTCTTCTCTTGGGAAAAGGCAGACCTTTATCTTAGTCAAAAGGGAATGAGACTGTTGGCAATGACAAATTAAAGTTTGAGGGGATAATTGAAATAAGGAAATGGAAAAGTATGGCTGATTATCCCCAAAGCCTGGATCAGACAAGGAAATAAGCCAGAGGCAGCATAGATTTGAGTGAAGATGTGCACCCTCAGGTCAAGAGCTGAGGCTGGTTGGGAGCAAAGAAAAATAATAGAAAGAAAGAAATGGGAGGAAATGTTTTAATACATTTAAGATAGTGGAATATAAATAAGCAGGCAGGGGTTTCTATTTCTATTTATTGTGTTTCCTTTGCCTGCACAGAGTGTTGATTGACTTCACCTTTCTCCGTATCCAGAAATCCATCTATGTGATTAAACTTTTGTTCTTAAACAAGGCTTCTAATATTAGATGGAAGATTTAATGAATAATAGTAGTTAACATTAAGTGAGTACTTATAGAGTTCTAGGCACTGTTCTAAATGTTTGACTTATGTCATTTAATAATCTCATCAACCTCATGATGATGGTAGTATCATGATTATCCCTACACAGCTAGTAATAACACCAGCGTCTCTGTCTATATAAATTTAATCATTCCTATTTCCATCAATACCAATTCAGTCTAGGTTCTTGCTTTTGCCCTTCTCTCTGTCTAGAATAACCACTGACACCTTGTAAGCCTGAAAAAAATGCAACCTCACATGTAGCTGTGATCACATTTTCCTCCATATTCCAGCTAAACCGGTGCGCACTTTTAGTTTTGTATTTGCCGTTTACTATAATTATTTGTTGGTGTTGGTCTCTCTGACTCCATGAGTAGTGTTGATTTTCTTTGTATTTCTAAAACCTAGAATCTAGCAAACATTTGACTGAATAAAGAATAATGATTGACTGTGAAACAAATGACTACATGAGCGCACAGATGGATCCAGTGTTTTTTTCTTTTAAATAAATGATCATGTACCAGTAATTACAGAACTGGTTCTAAACATGGATTCTTATGTAGTTAGAGATCCATGAATAGAAAATCTTTATTTAATTTAATACGAGGCCTCTAGCCTAGTATTCAGTTAGTTCTAGGTTCCCCAGCACTGATCTGGAAGGGAAAAGAAAATTGAATCTGAAATGAGGCTGGGATGTGTGTGTGGGGTATGTATGTGTGTGTGTGTGTGTGTGTGTGTGTGTTTTCCTGTAGTTGTGACTTAATATCAAAGACAATTGCAGATAATATGAGAACTTTTCATTATTTATGCTTGTTTTCTCTAATTGAGATTAGATTATATTTTGCAGATAAACAATTTGAATTCGTTAATAACGTGATTTTTGAAAATCACTGACGCTTGTTAATGTTAACTAGGATAAATATTATTCTCTATTTAAATTGTGTGTTTTGATCTTTCCCTTTAAAAATAATTTACTACAAATTTTAAAATATTAAATATTAATATGATAATGCAATCCGAGGTTTATAATTTAGCTTGATCCCATGACAGAGTAAGCTAATGTTAACTATATAATCAACAACTTGTAAAAAATGTTCAGAGATTACCTCTTAAGGCCCACAGTAATAAAACTATCTACACTTTTCTCTAAAAGTCATAAAAATGTTTGTGAAATAAAATCAAGTTTCATATCTTTGTGTACTGAAATTAGTTTCTTATTCCTACCCAATTATCTAACATACAATTGTCATTTTGTTATGAGATACATACACTTCTCATTACACATGGAGAAGCATTATGTCATTATTTTTATAAAAGGCTGATAAATACAGTTGTTCCTTCATGTATGGCTCCCATACAGATTCCTGGTAAGATGATTCTATAAAATTATATAACTCAAATCTCCTGTTGACTTTCATCTGAGGACAGGCAGTGGGTTCACCGTGAGTCACTGTAGTTCAAAGATGTAAAGAAATCTGTTGTAATCACACTTAACCTTCGCAGAGCACAAATTTAAAGGGAGACTCATGATTTAAAAGTGGACAATTAACAAATGACCTTTCTCCTTCACATTAGGTGAGATCATCAGGGCAGTGTGGTAAGTAGTCTGACTGTAGAATATTTTAAAGGAATGAAAGTTTTTTTGGGTATACCTTCTGGCCTTCTGGGCCTGTTTTTGGCCTTCTGGCCCTGTTTTAAATCCCATTTTTAAAAACCCTATTGCTTAAAACAGCTAAAAGAACAAATTTTGTAAGCATTCCATTAGACTGGCTAAACATCTCCCCCCACCCAGTTTACAATGTATACAATCTCTTATATTCATGTGGCTTAGTGATTTGTACAGGATGACCTAAAGCCACCAGGATTCCTGGAGATATGCTTAGATGTTTACTAGGTTGCTTTGGAGAGTGAGAAGAAATCTGGGCTTGTTGAGCTTTACCTACCCTACCTACTGCTTTCTCTGGGCAAATTCACTTACATATGTTTTATTTAGCATGGATCTGTTAATACTTTCATTTGGAATGAAATGTTTCTGCCGGTTTCTTTCTGTTCTTGTGCAAATGTGAAAACTATTGCTTTAGCGAAAGCAAACACCGTTACTTCCTGAATCACAGCTCCCTCCAAACCACTCCTCTCCAGATAAACATTTATGTTTTATGCCCCAATAACTACACTTCCTTTTATTTTCCCTGCTCTGAGCCTTGAAGTGTTCACCTGAAAGCATTTTAAAATAGTCTGTAATTCCAAAGGAAATGAAGTAATTGTCCATGGAAGGGAGGTGAGGACTCAGGATACAGATTGACCTGGGGTTGCTCATGAATTGAGACCAAAAGAAAAACAGAGGTAGAATAAAATGAAAGGGAGAAGAGCTCAGTGAACATCTGTGCTTTCTCTTTGCCGAGTCCTGACACAGCGCTCACTACCCCTCTGCATTTTATCCCTGTCACCATTTGGAGAATCAGGCAGGAAGGCCCAGCATCAGGGATTTCCTCTCCCTTCAAATTCTGGTCCCTGCAACCAGCTGGAGCCACCCACAGATTCCCTTTGTTGATGAGTGCTTCCGGAAGGTGAAGGAGAACCTCCCCATCAGGGGGCTGCAATGTTCCAAACTGCAGCATCATTCATGACGTGGCTAACATTTACCTTCATTTTCGTAGGGGGTGGAGAAAGGTATTTTTTTATAGTAATAAAATACAATCTGTGAATTCTGCCATATACCAAATTAAAAGAGGTTTTGCGGTACAGCTTTCCATGGAGACAAGGAACAGGTAATTATTCAGAGATAATGCTTCTGAAACAGAACATTGTCAGTATATAATGGTTCCCTGCCGGTAGATAAATGCAGAGGCAAAGACAGCATATTTATTTTTTAAAGCAAGAGACATTCAGTGATGCAATTGCAACTCTTGAAATTACCTTTCCTGTTTTACCAGATGAAAGGTTGTAGATTTAATCATCATGCCTGATGGAGCACTGGTGTCACAAAGTGACAGAAATAAGCCCAGTGACAGCAGCCCTGCTGTGTACAGATTGACTTAGTAAACACTCTTGGCACAGACTTTAGCCGTTGAGGAACTTCTTAGTTATAAATGGGTGGATTCTCCATATAGCTGCTCAAATTCTAAATTCATTATATTCCTGCCAGTTAAGCCTTCGTATGTCTTTGCTTTGCCAATGAAAACTCAGCCGGCCAGGAACAAATCATATACAGACTTAATTTGAATTCAAGGGATGATATTGCTTCTTCTGTAGGTTAAGGGTTGCAGTGGTAGCTCGATAGTTGTGTAACTACACTGCACTGCAAGGGCTCATCAGGTCCCACTCAGTATTTTATTTCTAATAATAGTAATGGCTAATTTTTTTTTTTGAGATGAAGTTTCACTCTTGTTGCCCAGGCTGGAGTACAATTGCACGATCTAGGCTCACCGCAACCTCTGTCTCCTGGGTTCAAGCGATTCTCCTGCTTTAGCCTCCTGAGTAGCTGGGAATACAGGAGCCTGCCATCATGCCCAGCTAATTTTTTGTATTTTTAGTAGAGACGGGGTTTCATCACGTTGGCCAGGCTTGTCTTTAACTCCTGACCTCAGGTGATCCACCCACCTCGGCCTCCCAAAGTTCTGGGATTACAGGCGTGAGCCACCGCACCCGGCCAGTAATGGCTAATTTTATTGAGCATTTAATGATGCGTTAGACACTGTTCTAAAGACTGCACATGTATTTTTCATCAACCCTATAATGTATTTTTAAAATGCGGTAGATTTCTCTTTTACCCAGGGAGAAAGGAGAACTTAAGGGAATGGCTTGGATCTGATCACATGGCTAATAAATGGTAGAACTTCGACTCATTGAGTTGATGGGCCTCTTAACCATTGTACCTTTGCTATTCAAAGTGTGGTTTGTAGACTAACGGTATCAGCATCAAATTGTATTTCAGATACAACTTCAGACCCAGTTAATCAGAATTTGCATTCTAAAGAGATCCCAGGTGATTTGTAGTCTTCATAGACAGTGTCTACAAACTTTTCTGGAATGCTTTTGCTATTTTAAAATGAAGATCACTACCACCCATGGATTTTTATAGCCTTTCTCATCATCTTTGATCTATTAAGCACTTTGAAAATTACACTACAATTTAATGGCACAGAAAAGAATGAGTTTTGTGGACATTTTAATTTTAGAAAAATGTCATTGTAAGTGAATAACAATTTTCTCCGAAATAAGCAGCTTACCTTAGAAGTTAGCTTGGGACTGATTGATGTGAGTCCCCGAGAGATAGCCCTTTTGCTGAATCAGACAGATCTTTCATCTATCTCTAAAAAGTACCATCTACTCCAGGAAACCTGGCAGTTTCTACTACCTTTATCTGCATTGCTTTGCTTGTGACAGTCCTTTGCATATATGATGGCCTTTTTCAGTGCTTTCTAAAGCTATTTTTAATACAAATGAAGGATTTGAATTTAAATTAAAATCCAGCTGCACACATTATTATTAAAGATAATTTCGTTGTGGAGAAAATCTAATCAGTAGATATTTTTATTGATGTTAATGTGCCAATTCTCAGACAATAGGAGTACATCTTTTTTTATAAAGAAATCATTTTAAAATTGATCCTAATTTCAGAAACCTTAAAATATGAAAACAACATTTTAGAGTTAAGGGTTTAGCTAATTAAATGTTTTCCAAATTTAATCTTAGTGTTTCTTCAATAGGGAGACACTGGTATATCTTAAAAAGAGCCCTGGACTAGGAGGCAGAAGATCTGAGTGAAATCCTGATTCAGACACTTATAGGCTGTATGACTTTGCGTAGGTCATTTAACCTTTTGGAGACTCCTTCATCTTGTCTGCAAATAAAGATAAAACACGAGAATTAAATAAGGATTGAAACTTGCGGTTTTCTGTTTCACTCATTTCTGTAACAGGTTTCATGTTTTACTTTCATTTTCACTGCTTCTCAAAGTGTAGTCTGAGTTATAAGATTCCTCTTTCATGTAATTTTTTTTTATATTTCTTACAAGTTTTTTTGGAATTATGACCACAGACCATAGCTTGTAGAAAACATGTGATATTTCAATGCTTTTTGTAATACACTTTATTTTTTAGTGCACTTTTAAGTTCACAGTAATACTGAACAGAAAGTACAGGGAGATCCCATATACTCCCTGCCCTCACCCATGCATGGCCTCCCCTGTCATCATCCCCCACCCCACCACAGTAGGTCTATTGGTTACAAGTCAGGAACCTACATTTACACAGCACTATCCCCCAAAGTAATTATTATAATTTACCTTAGGATTAACTCTTGGTATTGTATTTTCTATGTGTTTGGTAAATTTTATAATGACACGTACCCACCATGACAGTAACATATAGAGTAGTTTCACTGCCCTACAAATCCCCTGTGCTCCACCTGTTCACCCCTCTCTCCCTACAACCCCTGGCAAGCACGGATCTTTTTACTGTCACCATAGTTTTGCATTTTCCAGAGTGTCATACAGTGTGTAGGCTTTTCAGATTGGTTTCTTTCACTTACGAATATGCACTTAAGTTTTTTAAGTGTGTTTTGATGGCTTGAGAGCTCACTTCTTTTTATTGCTGAGTAATACTGCCTTGTCTGAATGTACCACTGTTTATTTAACCATTCACCTACTGAAGGACGTCTTGGTTGCTTCCAAGTTTCGGCAATTATAATGTAGCTGCTGTAAACGTTGGTTTGCAGGTTTTCATGTGGACATTAAGTTTTCAGTTCCTTTGGGTAAATAACAAGGAGTGTGATTGCTGGATCATATAGTATGTTTAGTTCAGTAAGAAACTGCTGAACTGTCTTCCAAAGAGGCTGTAGCATTTTGCATTCCCACCAGCAATGAATGAAAGTCTGTGTTTTCTCCACATCCTTGCCAGTGTTGGGTGTTTTCAGTGTTCTGGATTTGAGCCATTCTAACAAGCGTATAGTGGTATTTCATCGTTTTAATTTGCATTTGCCTGATGACAATATATAATATGAAACATCTTTTTATGTACTTGTTTGCCATCTGTATGTTTTCTTTAATAAGGCATCTGTTAAGATCTTTGGGCCATTTTTAAATTGTTTTTCTCTTATTGTTGAGTTTTAGGAGTTATTTGTATATTTTAAGTAACAGAACTTTATCAGATATGTCTTTTGCAAATATTTTCTCCTTGTCTATGACTTATCTTTTTGTTCTCTTGATATTTCTTTTCTTTTCTTTTTCTTTTTCTTTTTTTTTTTTTAAGACAAAGTCTCGCTCTGTCACCCAGGCTGGAGTGCAGTGGCATGATCTCAGCTCACTGCAACCTCTGCCTCCTGGGTTCAAGCAATTCTCCTGCCTCAGCCTCCCGAGTAGCTGGGACTACAGGCGTGCACCACCATACCCAGCTAATTTTTTTTTTTTTTGTATTTTTAGTAGAGACTGTGTTTCACCATGTTGTCCAGGATGGTCTTGATCTCTTGACCTCGTGATCCACCCACCTTGGCCTCCCAAAGTGCTGGGATTACAGGCGTGAGCCACCACACCCAGCCCTCTCTTGATATTTCAATGCTTTTTACATGATCTAGTATATGATGGATATCTCTATTTTTCATAAATGTTCTGTGGATAGTTTAGAGAAGGTTGATTAGAGTAAGAGGCAAAGTTGACATATTAAATAAATTATCCTTATTAATTATTTTGTTCTGAGTTATATAATACTGCTTAGACTTTCTCATAATAGTAATCAACTTCTCATCTGTTTCTAACAGTTTTTATGTCATATATATTGATAATGAGTGATATTGACCAAAAATTCATGACTTCACATATTCCTTAACATTCAAATTATAGAAAAAGAAAATCATATGACCTTTTTGTTTTGTTTAGTTGTTTTGTGTTAAATTCTGCTGAGTCTGAAATTTAGGCTACCATGCCGTTTTTCTATATGCTTGATAAATCTTTGACAACCCTTTACATTTTATTCTTCTTCATTCCTTTGAGTCAGATTTGTCACTTTGGGGCAGCATACACTTTGATTTATGATTTTGTTAATTTTTTACCTAATCTACAAATCTTTGCTGTAAGAGAGTAGGGATTAAAATATTTGAGTTTACTATCATAATTGACATATTTGATTTTATTCCTGCCAACTTATTTTATCCTTTCTTCATACCATTTTTAATTTTGTGTCTTCTTTCAATTATTTTATAAAATACACTGCATACAGTTTAATGCCCAATCCTTTGAAAATAAATATATATTTTTATTTATCCTAATGGTTACCTTATATTATTTTAAAAACATTGTCAGTATTCATTTTATATCAAGGTCTCAAATTTAATGGTGTCATTTGTTCTTCATCTATTTAAAATGAAAGATATAGCATTTTTTCAATTTTCCTCCCATCTTTACTCACTGGAAATTATTAGTATAAACTTTGCTTTTTATAACTAGGTAAATAAAATTTTAACTATTTTATAGTGCTTCTGTTTTAATCATTAATTTTGATATTTCCATTGAGTTGTATAACCGTATTTATAGTGGTCCTTAAATCCGACTACTATAGGAATTGATTAACGTAATATAGACAGCCCCATTTTCCAATTCTCCCATATTTTGAGCCCATTTATTTATTTATTCATTTATTTTTTGAAATAGAGTCTTGTTCTGTCACCCAGGCTGGAGTGCAGTGACACAACCTCGGCTCACTGCAACCTCTGCATCCAAGGTTCAAGCAATTCTCCTGCCTCAGCCTCCTGAGTAGCTGGGATTACAGGTGCCTGCCACCACGCCCGGCTCATTTTTTGTATTTTTAGTAGAGACGGGGTTTCATCATGTTGGCCAGGCTGGTCTTGAACTCCTGACCTTGTGATCCACCCACATTGGCCTCCCAAAGTGCTGGGATTACAAGCTTGAGCCACCGCGCCTGGCCTTATTTATTTTTTTGTTAAAATTTCAAAGTAAATTTTGAAAGAATTTTATTTGGACAATTTGTTTTCTAAAACCTTGAATACCTAAGATTACTTTTTCTATTGCCCTAACCATGAACACAGTTTACCTTTGTTATTTAAAATAAGTATTGTCATTCAATATTTATTTTGAAAATAAAATAAATGACAAATCATTCAATATTTTGAATGACAATATTTTCTTTCTCTCTAAATGCTCCATTTTTGCTGTTTTAATTGTAAGAAATCTGATCCTTTGTAGGTGGTCTACATGTATTTCTCACTTGTATATTTAAATTCTTTCATGATGTGAATCTCTTAATTGATCTACCCACAGAGCATGGTAAGTTGTTTCTAACTTCACATTGAGACCTGGTTTTAGGTACAAAATGTATACTTCAATGGTTTCTTCAACGTCACATCTGGTACTGTTGCACTTGATTTTTCTTAGAGAAGACCCATAACTCCTAGATTGGATAGTTCTACATCTATCATCATCTTCCAGTGATTTTCCCTTATTCATTTCCTATGCATTTTTGAAATACTTTTCAGTTTGTATTCCAAATCATTGTTAGATCTCCCCTGGTAAGTGCTGATCTGCATTGTTTTCAATGGCAAATTTAATTTTACAAGTGTACTTTTATTTTCTTTGTTGTTATCTCTTTCTTACCTGCTCCCTTGTAATCTTAGTTGCCTCTCTGTCTCTGTATGGCATTTTTGTTATTGTTTAATTGGAGCTATATCTTTTACTGCAATCAGTAAAGATAAAGACTTCTTTTAGTGTTTCTGCTAAAATAATTTTGAAGCATGTGTTCTGAATTCGACTTGTCGCTTTGCTGGTTCTGTAGCTCTATCTTATGCTCCAACTGATCAGACATATGTTGATCACTCTGTCCTCTTCTTGGAGATGTTCAGCACTTGTTGGTTAGTTAAAGACTCTGATATATCCTGCAGTAAGAAAAGTCTTTAACTCTGTCCAACCAATATTTCCTGAAATTAATTGATCCTGGAACTTTTCTCCCCATGAAACACCTTACAGAGCTACTGTTTCATGAAATCATATTTGATCGCAAATGGTTAAAAATATGTCGTCTTATAGTTAGTAAATATCTTGGGGAATTCTTTCACTGCTATGATTATACACTAATATTCATCTTCACCTTAAGGATAATTTATTTGATTTTCTATTTAATTGCAGTTTCTTTACAAATGAAAAGAAATTGTGATGCAGTTTCCCAGTGATTTTTTTTTTTGCAATGTAAAAATGATTTGTAGATGTTAAGTCTATATCTCATAGTTCTTTAAATGAGGAGGAAAGGCATTTAATGAGTTTGTATAGACACATTTTCAGATACCCACACAGAGAAACTGCAGAAGAGAAGTGCAAACACATTTACACTGTCCTACTACCATAGATGATGTTGAAATTTTGCAAGGGATTACTAAAAGATGTCAAATGAGCTAACTATAGGATGTGAAGTCATGTTTTTGCCTACATTTGCTAATTGAAGAACTGTGTGTGAGAGAGGTTATTGTAAAGTGTCAATGACTCATTTTTTGTGTATCATGAAAATTTTGCTCCATTATTTTATAGCTACATAGAATATGAAAAGATATTTACACAAAAGTATCTGAAAAATGAAAGTCAAGAGGGTCTCCACAGCTACAGCTAGTTGCCAAGGCAAGTTAATGAGTAAAGGAAACATTTTAAACAAATGGTACTAGAACAATAATATAAATGTTTGAAAAAGAATGAATGGACCTCTTCCACACAGTATATACAACCGAATGTAAAAGTCTAAACTAGAATCTAGAAGAAAATAGGAAACAATTTGTTTTGACCTTGGGTTGATGAAGATTTATATACGGTACACAAAAAAAAGCAAAAACTATAAAAATTGATTGAATTTCTTATAATTAAAACAATAAACTTGGCTTATCAAAACACACTCTTAGGAGAATGAAAAAGAAAGTCACACATGGATAAAATATTCTCTCTCTCTCTCTCTCTCTATATATATATATATCTGACAATAAGCTATACCTAAAATATATAAACCACTTTTATTACTAAATAATACAAAGGTAAACAACCCAACTACATAGGAAAAGGACTTTATCAGATGTTACAAAAGAAGGTATATGCTTGGCTAGTAATCACTTGGAAAGGTGCTCAATATCATCATCAGGGAAATATAAATTAAAACCCCAATGAGTTATCCCTGCACAACCACTAGAATGGAGAAAATTAAAGAGCCTGAAAAGCACCAATATGTTGGTTAGGCTGTAAAGCCCAGAACTCTCATACATTGCTGTTGGGAGTATAAAATGGAACACCTGCTTTGGAGAAAGTGCACACCTACTCTGTGACCTAGCAATGTCACATAGGTGTTAACCCAAGAGAAATGTCTGCAAACAATATGTATTGGTAAGTGAACCACCACTTACCAATTATTCCATTCATAAAATGGAATATTACTCAATAATAAAGAGGAATAAATTACTGATAAAGACAACAATATGGATTTATTTATATAGCTTGTATTTTATCTCCATTCATCAAAAATCTCTACTTAATTTGGGTGAAAGATACACATTTTCTTTCTTTACCTGAGTTTTTCTTGAAAGAGACTATCAGGTTTACAAGTTTAGAAGTAAGAATGTTAGTCTTCTAAAACATCACTTCAGTAGAGGAGAACTTTTGAGTCACAGACTAAGTCTAGCCTTCAGTTTAATTTCACCTGATGATATTGCTTTGATCAGATAATGATTGTGAATGGCAAAGCAGAGGTTCTCAAACCTTAATGTGCATGGGGATCCGCTGGAGTTTCAGATTTAGCTGGACTGGAATGAAGCCTGAGATTTCTCATTTCTCCCAAGTTCCCAGGTGATGCTGGCACTGCTGGTCCAGGATAGATGAGTGCTCTGGATAATGAACTTTCTGTTGGAATTGGAAGGGCTGAAAAGAATGTATTTTCACAATTTGTATTTCAAAGAGTACATGGATATCAGAGCGTGGTGAAGCCTGCCCTTTCAGGCATATCACAGTTGGGACCACCGTCTGAGTTCATTTTAAGCCATTTTAGGCACCTCCATAATGAATGTATCTACTTTTGCCCCAAATTGACCGTTTTCCTTTCTACTTGACCTGTTGACCTGAGGAGAAGCAATAGTGAAATGATGAACTAGATTAAGAAGGGTATGCATATTGTTTTGTATCTTCTAATTGACCTGGCGTTGACAATTTCAAAAAGTGTATGAGTTCTTAAGCCATCTCGTTGATTTACTGAAATAGGTTGAATGCTGTGGTGGCTTCATGACTGTGCCCAGTTCTTCCATCCATGCATGTTGCCCTGTGACTTCTATTGCTGTGAAACTCATGTGAGTTGTCAGCCAAAAAAACCAAGTGGAATGTGAGTCTGACAGTTCTGAGCAGAAGCTTTGAGAGCCTCCCGTGGCTTCTCAGCCTTTTTGCTTTTTCCCTTCTGCAGTAAGAATGGCACGTCACAGATAGTGACTGATCTTTCGGCCAAAGTAAGAAAAATACGTGAAGAGTTGCAGCTGACATGTAACCTGAGCAAGAAATAAATAATTGTTGTATCTCAGTGAGACTTTGGGGTTATTATTGTGGCAAAATCTAGAAAAAATCCACAAATAGTCTATATCTCATACCTGGTGTCAGGTATTGGGATAGGCTGATTATGTATTTTATTTGTATTAGTCATCACAATAATGGTTACATAATTTTTCTCAAATCATAGGGGAGAAAATAAGGTTTACAGAGAGTTGACATCACTAATTCTGGGAAAAGATTTATTTCAAATGTACTGTGGTGTGATGATGCATAAAATTATGAAATATGACTAAGATTTTGTACAAATATAATGAGAAAAGTTATCAATAGTACTAGTTTAACCTTTTAATTATAATATTCTAATCAATGGGCAGAATTAATGCAATTATAGACAATAGCAGAAACTCCTTTTCACTAGAATTGGCTTTCTCATTCAAATTCAATCGAATATATTTTTAAGAACTGAAAGCAAAATGTTCCAGTTAAAAATTTCTACTCTGCAAAACTTGGAGTACAATTTAATTAGCTTTCTTGGAGTAAATGAACTGAGATTTTGATCTTTGAAAGTGGAAGATGATAGACTCCAATGGGGAGATGACCTTAGCCTAGTTAAGAAATGTTTAGTCAAGTAAGTCAACATGATAATGTAACAGATCATTGGTATTTTGGTTGCTAATGAGGCAGAAAATGAAAGCTTCATAGGAGACATAATAAAGGCCTTGATATCCAAGTTTTGTGCTTAGGAGGCTGGTTTTAATGACGAGATTAAGTTTAGGGATATGCAAAGTAAGATACTTTTCCAGTGAGATGGGAAAGATTTCAATAAAGATGTTATATAAAGAAAGTTTTGAGAATCCACTGGGCTAGTCATTTGGGACTAGCTTTCTTAAACATTTCATTCATTTATTCCTTAATTACGTTTTTACAGTGGACCTACTCAGCTAAGAGTGCCAGGTGTGTGTCATATGCACTGAATAGGAAATTATCCTGTTCTCACAGATGTCTTACATTTCAGTGGGGGATATAAACAAGAAACAAAGGAATTCCTTTTTAAAATCAGAAGTGCAATGAAGAAAATGATAAAAGAAGAGTGTGGCTATTTGCAAGGGGCAGGGATAGTATTTGCAAGAGGAAGGGGTGAATGAAAAGGGAGCTGATAAGGAACCAATGTTTTATCTAAGACCCGAATGAACTAAAGAAGCATAGATATACTTTCAATATAAGCAAAAGGTGTGTGTGTGTGTGTGTGTGTGTGTGTGTATTTCTAGTTTTATAGGCAATTATGCTCAATTTCAATTCGAATTTCCTTTTTTTTTAGCTTTATGTGCATATCTTAACTGTAGCAGCTATGCTGGGAACATGTTAAATTGTATATTATATAGTCAAAAGAAAATGAGAATGTACAATTATCTGGGAAGGTTTCGTATCATTCATACAGACTTTTAGAAAAAAAAATTGGTTCCCTAAATTATCTGTGTTGCCTCAGCAAATAAGAGTCTCTCAAGCTTTTGTGGCACAAAATATCCTATGGAGCAAAAGATTTAGTCACTGAGTTATTTCCACCCCTGGCCTACCTTCAAAAAAGAATGTCATACCGAAGGAAATAAAACACATGTTAAATATCTGCATAATAAACGAAATAAAAGAACCGAAAATAACATCTATTTCAATAGAATGAATAAGAATATAATCTCTTTGAAATAAACTCCAATTTAGTCATAAACAAATAACTCATGCTAGTCATAGATATTATTACATGCCATGTAGTTGTGTGAGGTTTAAAAAATCAGTCTCAAAGCTTATTAAAGGAAGTACAATTGTATTATTTGCTCGTAGAGTCAAGAAATATATGAAATGTGGCCATATTTCAATGAGTGCTATTGTTCAAATACTTGCTGATTCCCATGGTAAAGACAGAAGATACATTCTTAATCTGTATGCACTCAGGTACTATAGATTAAATGTGCAGCTCTTTGTGTATTAGAATTCACTCCAGTAACTAATGTAGACCCAAACCATATAGGAGGTAGTAATTATATATGCATAAAGAAGGGCAGATTAAGTCATTTCAAACACTTTAAAGAATATCTGGGCTAATTTTCTACTCTCATATGGAACTGAATAAAATCCAGATCAAAATTGCATCCACCATTTATATTTACCATAACTTAATTGTGGCATAATTCAATCAGTATCTAAAGAAAACTGAGAGGAAACAATTACTGTTTACCTAACCAAGTTATGTCTGTTTTAAATGACTTAATTTCCAATTAACTATTAAAAATTAAAGAACATAAAAATTATACAAATTAATTATTTACTCAGTGATGAGAACTTTTTTATCCCAACAGGCTGAGACCATATTTAATACTTTTCCTTGTATTTTATTCTTCCATGCAATACACTTTTGAGTTTTCAGAATATGTTCCTCTTTTCAGTTTGTCCCTATATGTTGGTCAACAGATTCCTAATGGCAATTCAGAATAGAAGAGTGTTTAACTCTAGAAATTTGATTTTGGGTACCAACAGCCTACTGCAGACACTTTCAGGAAGAAAAACTACTTTCTAATTGGCCAGTGTCAAGGATCCAAGAGTCACCTATTCCTTTAATACTCAAACATATATCCACTTAGTGGGAAAGTTACCTTAATTTATCATTTAATCATAATCATTTTCAATCTGAACAAATCAGAAACTTATGACATGTTTAATCAAGGGCTAACAGGAGGAATTGGCACTCTGGATCAATATAAAATCTCCATATTTGTTTAGAAGCCTATTCAAACATGTATAGACTATAGGCTTGTTAATATGTTACTTATATTTCTTCAGTATTTTTTAATGAACAGAACTATTGAAAAATTAATTGGAACCTTCTTATTGACTTTCGTTGGAGACACCAAGTTCTACTCCTAGGTTAGCAGAGGATTAATAGCATTGAACTACTTAAAAATAGCTGCATCTTGTGCTTTGCAGAAGTGGGAAGGAGAAGCTAAAGAAAATAATTATTCCTCACACTGTGTAATACACTGGTCCTGGTGATTTTCAATATTGAAATACGTTCTATCATCTCTAAAGTTTCTAATATTGATCCTGCTGTATCTTATTCTGAATATATTATTTCATATTATTTATTTGGATGCCAAAGACTCAGTCTACTGCTTTGATAAATTTTGTTCTAGCTCATCACATCAAATTTTTTGTGAAGGAATTTAATTAAATTAATTTTACATGTTATATCAAAATATCACATCCACTTAATTCTGAAAGCAACTCTTTACTGGGGCTGAAGTTTAAAATTGACTACATCTAGAAAATTCTATGGGTATTCATTAGACTATTTTTATAGTTATAAAGTGTTCATGTGCGTATCACCAAAAATAACAAAATGGGAAGATACATCAAAGTTATGTAGAACAAGTTTGCTAATGTTCCATATGTGTAGGCACTTTCAATGACTTGGAGGTGATGATATTTTCAAATAAAATAATTTAAAAGCATACCTCAATTCAATGTTTGTTATATACCCAAAGAAATTTGTGTATGTATGTAACCATACTTGAAATGTCAAGTATGGTTTGAAGTTAAATCGGTGCTGGGGACAACAAAGTCAAAATGATTGGAACAGTATTTTTTTTTTTTTTTTTTTTGAGACAGAGTCTCACTCTGTCACCCAGGCTAGAGTGCAGTGGTGCGATCTGGGCTCACTGCAACCACCGCCTCCTGGGTTCAAGCCATTCTCCTGCCTCAGCCTCCCGAGTAGCTGGGACTACAGGCACGTGCCACCACACCTGGCTGAATTTTTGTATTTTTAGTAGAGATGGGGTTTCATTGTGTTAGTCAGAAAGGTCTCGATCTCCTGATCTCCTGATTCACCCGCCTTGGCCTCCCAAAGTGCTGGGATTACAGGCGTGAGCCACCATGCACCATGGAACAATAATTTTAAGAACATTAATTGTTGACATCTTGGCTGCCATCACACCAACAGAAATACTACCATCACTCTAAGCCAACTCTCTCTTTTACCTTTGGTTTACATGGGCATACCATATCTGGCTACAGAGAAATTCTCCAGGAGTCTGCAGTACACTTTCACATTGTCCAGCAATGCTAACATTCAATCTTAGAGGTCATTTAGCAGCTCATGACTGAGTTGATTTTGTGCAGTAAGGCATAGATCTATAATGAAAAACAAATCTTCATTTACTTCTGTTGCCCCATTTAATGATTATGAAGAGTAAACTCTTATAAAGTAAAGTAATACTCTACTTGAAAGGAATATTCCTGTTACACTATAAAATATATTACCAGATATTAATTTGATGGTAGAACAAAGGAAGGATCTGCTATAAAATATATCAAGTAAGGTTTTACATGTCATTATACACAACTGCAGAGTTTTTTGAGAGGCTCTAATGAAAGGGTACTTCTCATGCTTTGGAAGCTCAAGTCTTCCTCCTCAAAGAGAGTCAATGACATTATTTTACAGAGGATTTTGTAGAAATGAAAGGTAATTAATGCCATATAAAAGCAAAAACATTACATCTGTAATTGCTACATAGCATGTGCATGACAAGTTGCTGGTGCCCATAAGGGACAGCACTTGAAGGTCAAAGGAAAGAGCATACCCTTCCACCTCTCAGTTTGATTTGAGTATTAAATGAGCTAGCACACAGCTTGGCACATGTTAGGCTTTCAGTATTTACCTTCTTTCTTAAAAAATAAAAAAAAAAAAACTATTTGTATTAGCCCGTTTTCATGCTGCTGATAAGGATATACCTGCAACTGGGCAATGTACAAAAGAAAGAGGTTTAATGGAGTCACAGTTCCACATGGCTGGAGAGGCCTCACAATCATGGTGGAAGGTGAAAGGCACATCTCACATGGCGGGAGACAAGAGAGAATGAGAATCAAGCGAAAGGGATTTCCCTTTATAAAACCATCAGATCTCATAAGATTTATTCACTACCATGAGAGCAATATGGGGGAAACCACCCCCATGATTCAATTATCTCCCACTGGGTCCCTCCCACAACACATGGGAATTATGGGAGCTACAATTCAAGATGAGATTTGGGTGGGAACACAGCCAAACCATATCACTATTATTCAGAGTAATTATGATCAAATGCAACAGTGAGATTGAAAATATTATTTAATATTGCATTTTGAGTACAAATAAATTTTGGCTTTTAATCGTGAACAGTCATAATGTTGAATGTTTTACTTAACTGTATTTATTATTAATTTTTTGAAATGGTAAAAAGTAACAACTAACAAACTAAGAAAAAAGAGAAAGGAAATGAACAGTGTTATAGGCAAGTAGATGCTGTGGCTTACAAGCATATGGTTTTCTCTCAGAAACGCCCCAGTCCTGTCTCCTATCTCATCTCTAGGAGCCCACATCTACACATCAACCTTTCCTACCTGAAGTCAAGACCTAAAATAGCTGTTTACATTTGGAAGATAGTATTCAGAGTATTCGCTTTAAATATCTTATCTAGAAATTACAAAAAAATTCAGACTTCTCATAGATTTTCTATACCATATTTTCTACTCGTGGCCAATATTTCCCTGAGACAAAGTTTTCTTTTGTTCTGAAATTCATGGGATAAAATAATTGCTTGAATAATCAATTTTTGGAAAGACTGATAATGTTGCTCAAGAATTGAAGATACACATATCTAATCATCATTTGGAATTGGGTGAGTCATCTCCAAGTTATTTCATATGAAATAAAATCAAATCCATTATTTAAATTACAGCTCACAGATATTTCTGAAATTACAATTCCTTCAAATATATATAAGAAGAAGTTAAATATTTACTTTTAAGATTTATTCTAAAACAAAATAGTTTACTACATTGAATAGACTCAGATTTCAATTTGGGTCTTTAGGTATAAGTAGGACCTGTCTTCCTTACTTTTAATTTATTTTAGCATGGCTTTATTATTCTGCATTACACACCGTCTTGTGTGTTTCCAATTACAAACCATGTTTCATTGGGTTCTCTCAGCATTTTAGTTTTGTTTTTGAAATATTTGGTGGTTGCTTCTCCTCTAAAATGCTTTAATGCAATTTCGGTTAAACTTCAGATCATCCAATTATCAGAATAGCACTATATAGACAACACATGAAGAAGTGAGTCATTCACCCATTTCCTGTCTTTTGTTTCTTTACTGATTGAAGGGTTCAATAAATTCCTTCAGCTCATAATGACCATGAAAGTTAAATACTATTTTTATCCATTCAGCTGGGTTTTAAATACAGCATGTGGACCCATCATTCTGTCATGGGCAGAAGCTCTGGAAATTCTTGACAACTTATAATCTTCCCTGCCCATATTCACAAGTGAAAATGATTATACTTACAAGAAAGAACTTTACACACTAATTTTTGAATCAACTTTCAGAAAGACAAGAAGTCCATGAAAATCAGTGTACACTATTGCTTTTGAGAAAAAAATTATCTGAGTATAAAGCATTCAGGATTTAAGGGTTCAACTTATTACTTGTTTATCACAAGTTAAAGTTCTTGTTTATCACAAGTGGAATAAAATCAATTATTCATGATAACACTTTGGCTTACTCAATGTAAATTTTCTTGGATTAAAGTTAAATTTTAAAATAAGGCAGTCTGTTTGACAGAAAATGAAACTTTTACTTTAGGAGAAGAATACAATGTCCCAGACCACTCAATTTAGATTACACCAGGCACTCTCTTGATTTATCCCATACCCTTGTATATTCTACCTGGGTACATTTTTTACTACCTGAAATCTCACCGTATATTTTTTTACTTCTAGAAGTCTATTTTACCTTTTAGGATAAAATTACAGAAGAACGCACACTTTTCTTATTTAGCTTTGTGGTCTTTAAATTTTTTTAATTTGCATTTATTTTATTTTAAAACCTTCAACTTCCATTTTGGATTCAGGGGGTACATGTGCAGGTTTGTTACATGGGTACACTGTGTGATGTCAAGGTTTGGGGTAGGAATTATCCCATCACCCAGGCAAAGAGCATGGTACCTAATAGGTAGTTTTTCAGCTTTTGTCCCCCTCCCTCTCTCCCTTTCTAGTAGTCCCCACTGTCTATTGTTCCCATTTTTATGCCCATGAGTACCCGATGTTTAGCTCCCACTTATAAATGAAAACCTGAGAGCAGTACATTAGCATGTCAAGTACTCCAGTGTCCTAATAAATAGCTGATGACTAACGTTGAAGGAATGAAAAATATCCATCATTACTTATTTAGTATTAGTGTACATTTTACTACCATGGCACTTATGACTAAAGGTTTTGAAATCTGCACTGCAGAACTTCATGGGTCTTTTTTTATGCCTATGTTCTGAGTGTAATTATTCCTTAGTTGTTTCATGTGTATATATGAGTTATTTTTCTCAATTAGGATGCAAACATGCTGATGGCAGGAACTTACAATAGCTTCATCTTTTGAGTTCTATCATGGCTGACATAGATTAGCAGCAGAGTGTCAATGTGTGCAGTGAGGGAATGATGAGTCAATGTCTGAGTGCAACAGTAGGTGTCAAGTAATGGTTGTTAAATAAATGCATTACTTTAATAATCTGCCAGTCAGTTTATGAATAAGGTGAAGAAATAAACATATATTTCTTTTTATTTTTTTGCATATTTTAAATTATTTCCTCTTGGTCTATATAGAAAAGGAGTTAAAATGTGTGCTTTCTAAAGTCTCTCTGATTTTTTGATTGTCTATTTATGTCATTGTGGTTTTTATTCTCAATTTTGGGGTGTACTCCTTCATAACTTGTGTTTATGTGTCTTTCTTTTTTATTTTATTTTATTTTATTTATTTTTATTTTTTCTTTTTTTTCTTTTTTTATTATGCTTTAAGTTTTAGGGTACATGTGCACAATGTGCAGGTTTGTTACATATGTATACATGTGCCATGTTGGTGTGCTGCACCCATTAACTCCTCATTTAACATTCGGTATATCTCCTAATGCTATCCCTTCCCCCTCCCCCGACCCCACAGCAGTCCCCAGAGTGTGATGTTCCCCTTCCTGTGTCCATGTGTTCTCATTGTTCAATTCCCACCTATGAGTGAGAATATGCGGTGGTTGGTTTTTTGTTCTTGCGATAGTTTACTGAGAATGATGATTTCCAATTTCATCCATGTCCCTACAAAGGACATGAACTCATCCTTTTTTATGGCTACATAGTATTCCATGGAGTATATGTGCCACATTTTCTTAATCCAGTCTGTCATTGTTGGACATTTGGGTTGGTTCCAAGTCTTTGCTATTGTGAAGAGTGCCGCAATAAACATACGTGTGCATGTGTCTTTATAGCAGCATGATTTATAGTCCTTTGGGTATATACCCAGTAATGGGATGGCTGGGTCAAATGGTATTTCTAGTTCTAGATCCCTGAGGAATCGCCACACTGACTTCCACAATGGTTGAACTAGTTTACAGTCCCACCAACAGTGTAAAAGTGTTCCTATTTCTCCACATCCTCTCCAGCACTTGTTGTTTCCTGACTTTTTAATGATTGCCATTCTAACTGGTGTGAGATGGTATCTCATTGTGGTTTTGATTTACATTTCTCTGATGGCCAGTGATGGTGAGCATTTTTTCATGTGCTTTTTGGCTGCATAAATGTCTTCTTTTGAGAAGTGTCTGCTCATGTCCTTCGCCCACTTGTTGATGGGGTTGTTTGTTTTTTTCTTGTAAATTTGTTTGAGTTCATTGTAGATTCTGGATATTAGCCCTTTGTCAGGTGAGTAGGTTGCAAAAATTTTCTCCCATTTTGTAGGTTGCCTGTTCACTCTGATGTTAGTGTCTTTTGCTGTGCAGAAGCTCTGTAGTTTAATTAGATGCCATTTGTCAGTTTTGGCTTTTGTTGCCATTGCTTTTGGTGTTTTAGACATGAAGTCCTTGCCCATGCCTATGTCCTGAATGGTAATGCCTAGGTTTTCTTCCAGGGTTTTTATGGTTTTAGGTCTAACGTTTAAGTCTTTAATCCATCTTGAATTAATTTTTGTATAAGGTGTAAGGAAGGGATCCAGTTTCAGCTTTCTACATATGGCTGGCCAGTTTTCCCAGCACCATTTATTAAATGTGGAATCCTTTCCCCATTGCTTATTTTTCTCAGGTTTGTCAAAGATCAGATAGTTGTAGATATGCAGCGTTATTTCTGAGGGCTCTGTTCTGTTCCATTGATCTATATCTCTGTTTTGGTACCAGTACCATGCTGTTTTGGTTACTGTAGCCTTGTAGTATAGTTTGAAGTCAGGTAGCGTGATGCCTCCAGCTTTGTTCTTTTGGCTTAGGATTGACTTGGCGATGTGGGCTCTTTTTTGGTTCCATATGAACTTTAAAGTAGTTTTTTCCAATTCTGTGAAGAAAGTCATTGGTAGCTTGATGGGGATGGCATTGGATCTATAAATTACCTTGGGCAGTATGGCCATTTTCATGATATTGATTCTTCCTACCCATGAGCATGGAATGTTCTTCCATTTGTTTGTATCCTCTTTTATTTCCTTGAGCAGTGGTTTGTAGTTCTCCTTGAAGAGGTCCTTCACGTCCCTTGTAAGTTGGATTCCTAGGTATTTTATTCTCTTTGAAGCAATTGTGAATGGGAGTTCACTCATGATTTGGCTCTCTGTTTGTCTGTTATTGGTGTATAAGAATGCTTGTGATTTTTGCACATTGATTTTGTATCCTGAGACTTTGCTGAAGTTGCCTATCAGCTTAAGGAGATTTTGGGCTGAGACAATGGGGTTTTCTAGATATACAGTCATGTCATCTGCAAACAGGGACAAAGAGGAAGGCTTTATGTGTCTTTCTCCATTGCATTAGTATGTTGGAATAAAGTCCACTGTGATCACAGAACACAGTTTGTGGAAAATAAAGTCTAGGACTTCATTTTCTCATATGTAATCTTTAGTCACCAGTGAGAATGAGCTGCTTTCATTCCCTCAAATTTCTAATACAGGGTACAGGGGAGCAATTTGAGAACCAGCTGGATCCACTGTAGGGGCTGGGAGAGTAGCTTGATCTCTTCACTTCTCTATCCCCTCACCTGAGTTCTTATAAATAAGTCTTAGAAATAAGTTCTTATAAATAAGTGACTTATTTATAAGTTTTGTGTTCAGCAGTTCTGGTTTTGCAATGAGAAGTGCTACAACTTCTCAATGAATACCAAGCTCTTTCTCTTCTTTCTGGGGTTGTAAACTGGCGGTCCTCCAGAGTGGCCCACACAACGTTAGCTCCATTTCAAACTTAGAGCCAACATCCAGATTTCTGGAAACTCTTTGAAAAGTGGAAGATCCGGCAACTTTGGCCCAGATCCCTGGCTGGCCGTGTCACCTCGGGGCATAGTAGCTGCTGTCTTTGAAGGATGCATGCTTGGCCCTCCCTGTTGCTCCCTTACCTGAACCTTAGTGGAAGCTTCCAGTTACCCTCATACTTGTCGAGTACAGTCTAATGGAGAATAAAACACTGACTCTGCACCTTCAATAAAAACTACTTTGGTCACTAGATATGTGAGTTTGTTCTTTCTCCACCAGAATATAAAACAGTGGAGTTTTATGTATAAAGTAGAGGGAGATGGTCAGGCTCAATTTTATCCTTTTCATTGCATTTGGAATCTGAGTGATATTCATGGAAAGGACAACAAGGAGTTCAAATATTAGAAGTGGTGTCTAATGTCCACTTCAGATAATGGTGAGATCAAATGATTGCGATGCCTATGGACACTGATGTCGCCTTGGAGATATTAAGTAGGATATCCTCAGATTTATAACTACTCTATACTCACAGTGAGATTACAGCAGGAAAATGAAGTTCATCAAATTTTCATTGAAAAAAGTAAACAAAAGCTGCCAAATAAAGATTTAAATTCCTCTTTAGGGATTCAGCAAATACTTGAAAAGCAAAGTCATCCTTATATTTACATTTATATTTTGTTCAAAATGCGCTGTAACCATTTTGAACAAAATGTAACTACGCCTCTGAATTTGTCTAAGAAAAATCCAGTAACTCTTTTTTAGATGAGTAATATTTACTCATTTATGTGAATAAGCAATTGACAAATAAAGGAATAAATTAGATATTGTGGAGTACCTAATGAAAATATTAGAATGTATAAGGCATGGATTTCTAATTCATGTAATACCTTAAGAACTAGATTCTTGGAGAGAAAATATTGTCAGTTTCAGATAAAAGGATTTTAGATAGAAGATGAATGTCATCAAAATAAGCAGCAATGGAAAATAGAGACCAGATAAGTAAATTGGAGAATTGCATTACTCAGGAATAATTTTTGACTCAATAACAGACACACCCCCTCCCAATCAAATGGCAGTTTAAACAAATTTTGAGGGAGGTCTTATTTTGAGGAAGTGTAAAGGTAGGCAGGTTAGGGCTGGTGTGACCACTGTGTAACATGACCAAGTCTCTCATCAGAGACCAAGGCTTGCTTTGGCTTGTGGTCTGTAAGATGGAACCACACTTGCACTCATGCTCTAAGATATCTGCAGGGACCCTAGAGTCATCCCTGCGTCTCAGGAAGGAAGAAAGTAAAATGCCAAGGGAAAACAAAACGACATTGCTTATTCTTTAAGTAAAGAACTTGACACCTTTAAAGCCACCTTTTCAGGAGCCCACTCAGTGGCTTCTGTTTCTTTTTCATACAATTATATTTCATTGACTTTGATTGCATTCGACAGGATATAGCTATGCCTATCTGTGAATGAGCCTGGGAATAGAGCTTCGTATTTGGGCACATTATAAACCTGAAAAAAAAAATTTGTCTCTAAGAAACAAGGGGGTCATTATATTGTATAGGCAACTAGCATTCTCATTGCTTTTTCTCTCATTCGGGGAAATTAAGTATAATCAATACCTTGAGGCATAGTTTGCAGGTTCTATGCAAAAGCCTTCTCTGGGGTGAGCCAGGTAAGCAGCCAGGGAGTGAGACAGGGAATCTGAATACGGGCTCTAAGAAGTGAAGATGAAAAGCTCAGGGATGGGCATAGCATGAGGTTCATGCCCCGCAACTGCCTCACGCAGGAGGGACACGTGGGTAAGGAGACTGAGTTTAGGTAAGTGTGTTTTATAAATTCTCATTTCTCATATTTTGTGTTCTGGGATAATTTATTTTTTGTTTTTTGGAAATTAAGTGGGGAAAAATCCTAGTATTTAGCTTTTGATATTTGAATTTTTTGTTTTCTCCAACTGAACTTCTCTTGCATCTGACTTCAGAAACAGTCTCCAGTTTTGCTGGAGGAGCAATATAATGCTGTTCTCTGCCTAATGAAAGCAGTTAATAATGATTAATGCCAAAGAGTGAGTGCTCAGAGGGAGGAACAGAGCTGCTGGACAGTATCCACCTTTGATTGATGTGTTTCCATTGGCTTTTACCCTTCATTGTTTCTTTGCATCTGCAATGGCGTGAACTGCAAGCACCATTTTGAGGACAGTATGCTTCTTGTTGTAGTCTCTCACATATTCCACCACTCCACTGAGTTTCCCTAAGAATAAAACTCTTTTACAGTAATGGGTGTTTCCTTTTGAGAGCCACCAGGTGTAATTATTTTACCTTGTTGTATTTCAGTTAAAAAAAAATCATTCTTAATGTGAAAAAGCCTAAAAAATATATGAAGATTGCAAATTACATAAACGAATGGTCAAAGAACCTTAAGAAATAACTTACCCAAAGGTTAAAAAAAAGTAATTAAAATGTATATATAAAAGTTCCATTAATTTGGAAATATGAAACTTTTTTACTTATAAATTGGAAGGATGTTTTTAGTGACATTCAGGGTTGATAAGAATTCACCGTGGAGTAACTGGCCAGTGTGAATAAAGAGCCTTAAACATCTATACCCCTTTCCCAAGTAGTTTTATTTTACAGAGTCTACCTCAGTAAATGCTACAAAATGCAAAGGTTTATATATATGTATTAATACAATCTTTGAAATTTAATTTCTAATATTGGAAAAAAGAAAGCAACCTAAAAATCTAATAAGAGAATTAAATGGTTAAATAGAATGCTGAACCACACTAAAACAAAACAAAACAAAAAGGAAAAAACTTTTCAAAGGACAGTGAAAGACATGAGATGTTACTGATGTCATATGTAAAATAAGTAAGATTCAAAGATGCAAGAGAGGTTCAGTTGGAGAAAGAAATTCAAATATCAAAAGCTAAATCCTGGAGTTTTATAACATATATTGTATATAATCCGTTAACAAGAAATAATAGAAATTAAATGGGCCAAAAATCTAAAAGTAATAGACCCTGAGTGGTACAATTATGTATTACTCTTGTTTTCATCTCTTTTTTTATTTTCCCATTTTAGACAGTGAATCTATATTTGTTCAGTCATTAAAATGTGTTAAATATCTTAGTTAGCATGATGTTTGTTATTCACTGAAATATATGAAGTCAATTTCTAGGACAGATGAGAACAAAAATGCCACATAATCATGAGAATAAATTTTTAGACTTCTGTTTACCACAATTATAGAAATTAATTAACCTCAAGCAAGTAATTCAGTAGTAATAGAAATAGTTATCCAAATTAATATTTTTCATTTTCAAAACCATCTATGATGAGAAAATATTTGTCTATAATTCATTTATAATACAAGATTTTTATTGAAAAATTTTATTGTTAACACATTTTAAAAATTAATATGTGGTTCAGTTTCTTTTTATGATGAAATAGTTTTAGCAGACCAATGCTACTGACAAAGTCAACAAGAAAAGCTGTATAAAATACCAACAAAAAAAAATATATTTGAAGGAATGGGAATGCCGTTAAGGCAGCCAGTGCTTGAGAAACCCAGATCTCATAGGGAAAAGAAGCTGATTTGGGTGTGCAATTCTTCCCTCTCAGGCCATTTGCTGAATTTTACCCTGTGCAGGGAAAGAGGGTGAGAAGTTCAGCAGATAACTTGGATATAAGAAGAGAAGATGTCAGAACTTTCTGGGTTCTTACAGGGTTGGAAGAAAATATAGAAGGTTGAGACTTTTAAAGCCACCAGCCCTTTTGGGTCATGACCTTGGAGACAAAGGAGGTGCGAAAAAGGGAGCCAGCTATTCCACCCTGGTTTTTTTCTCCAAAGCATTTGCCAATTCAAGAACAGTGAAAGATTAGAGAATAAGAAGCCAAGAAGAAAGTGACTAACAAATTGATTAGAACTGGTGGGAGCGCTGGTGTGCTTGGAAAACAAATACTGAATTTCAACATCCATGAAGAAGCATGGACCTCATGTTCTTACAGAAGCGTATGGAAGTATTGGTGAATCAGAGAGATCAAACCTAGCAAAGACTGCCACCTCCCTGGCATCAGCTCAGTCGCTGATTGGACTTGTGAGATCTACCCCTAATTTTGATGACTGCCAGACAATAGGATAAATTATTTCAGGAGAATTATTACACCGTTCAGAGCTTCTACAGTGTCCTACATTCAATAAAAATATATCCAAACAAACAAAACAAATAAGCAGACAACAACAAACTAGGACTGTTAGGAAATACAGATGATAGAAAGAGAAAGGTGAGACAGATATTGGAATTATCAAATATGTGTGATATATGTTTAAGAGAGGACAAGATATAGAATTCAAAAGATATTTAGAATCAGTAAAAGAATGCAGTAACTAAGATCGAGAACTCAAGTAGTGCGTTTAACACAGATTGGGCATAACAGAAGAGAGAATTAGTCAAAACAAATAAGAGATAGACATTTAATGATGAAATATTTAAAGCTTTCTCCCAGTGATCGAGGACAAGGCAAGGATGCCTGATAGCACCACTTGTATTCATCATTGTTTTGGTGAACTTAGTCCATATATAAAGGCAAGAAAATTATAAAAAGACATAACAAATGGAAGGGAAGAAATAAACTGTTATTGTTCACCAATGACATAAAGTAATTTCTGGAAAACCATTAAAATTATTAAATAAAGTTCATAGAAAATAAGAATATAAGAAAAAATTAGTTGTACAACTATCCTAGCAACAATGTTAGACATGAAAGAGTATATTCTGCATAATTCCAATTACAAAAATTTCAAAAATTGATCTACAGTAATAGAAGCTAGGTTAGTGGTGGAGTTGGTGGGGGACAGAAGAGGAAATCTGGGGGTGTTAGTAATATTATTTTCTTTCACTTGAGTGTTAAATTGATCTGTTCACTTTATGACAATTCATTGAGTCATGAATTCATGATTTGTGCATTTCTCTGTATATGCATGATAAGTGATACTAAGATTGACATACTAGGAATATGAGACATCTACATAAGATTTTAAAGAGTGATAAGAGCCATAATTAAAATTATGATTAACACACTTTTATTCTTAATAAAGAGGAGTATGCATATGAATCAAGAAATTGGTAATTTTAGTTTTAGAGTCTTGTTGGCTTTTAAACATCTGTTCACTTTTGTGGTTCACAGATATTCAATTTTTATTGAAATTTAAATGTGAAAACACATCTGTTTCTCTGATTCATATTTTTATGGTCAACTCTGAAATGAGACAGTTGTGAACTGAGAAATTATTCAAAACACAAGGGATGTGTCTTCCTATTATTTGTGAGGAGGAAGTACAATAAAGTCCTGAAATCAGCAACTTGCATTGGTGGCTTGTTTACATAAGGAATATATTAAATATTTCCTTTTCTACTGTGGATTTCTGTCTTTCTCAATTAGACTATAAGGTCAATGTAAGAAGGGTTCCTAAATAAATGATTAAAGAAATTAAAGTGTGAATAGCAGAGCTACATTTTGAATTAGAGATTTTTAAAAATATTGTCAAGGTAAGGGACCTGCGGATGATATTTCTCATGGAAATCTATACTTGTTTAGATATTTTTTTTCCAGTCCAATGAGGTAATGTCTGATCGCCTAGATGCTTCTGTCACAACCTTAGCAAGGATCATGATTTCTCAATTGTATTGCTCAAGAGCCTTTGGCTGCTCTTACTGACCAGCCTATTACTCATCTTGTACACTTTGATTTATGTATTCACCACACTACCTTCAAGGTAATCTGGCCAAAATTTTATTTTCTAATTTTTCAGCTTAAAGTTTATTAAGACTTTAGGACACGTCTAGATTCCTTTCCTCTACCATACCCTCTTAGTTTCACTTCAAACCTCAGTGAAAGTGTGACCTTTTTCAAGAAGCTCTCAGGGCTGGAACCAGATATCTGTGATCTAGTTACATTTCCCACATTCTTACCACCTTGAGTTATAACATGTAGGATTATTTGTCTGCTCTGCCCAATAAAGTGTAAGACACCTGAGAAGGATTTAGAGTAAGAATAAAAGCAAGAGAGAGAGAGACTGAGAGAGATAATTAGCGTTTTTTTCTGAAAATGCATTGTCCTCTTAATGCTCATGGTACTGTTGGGTCTCAGCTTTCTCATCAGATTCTAAAATGCTCAAAAACTTTTTGATTAAAGTAAATGTAATTGTTGCCCTGCACCGTGGTCTTATATTTTCTCAGATATATACTAACAGCATTAGAAGCTGTACTTTACTTTCTTTCTTTTAGGAAGAATATTAAGTTAGTTTGTGTTTAAATGAACTAATTGTTTTGCAAATGTGTTTATAAGGAGATGATATACATTTTTTTTTCTTGTACCTTATGGTAAATACTTGAATGTTTGTATTATATATTTTCCCAGTATCTTCCTTTGACAGTAATTTTTATATCATGACCCTTATTTCATGTTGAAAAGCATAAATACATTCATGGTAATTGAAAATATTAATTACTTTTCTTTAGCATTTGTCCAAAATAAAAAGTAAGTATCACCAGTGATTTAAAATGCAAATTTTGAGAAATACAAAAATTGGATCAAGTTCTGGCTCCCCATCTGCTGGCCAGGTGACTTCTTTTTTTTCTTTTTTTTTTTTTTTAGTCAACTTTTAATTTCTAGGGTACATGTGCGGGATATGCAGGTTTGTTACATAGGTAAACATGTGCCATGGTGGTTTGCTGTACAGATCCGCCCATCACCTAGGTATTAAGCCAAGCACCCATTAGCTTTTCTTCCTGATGATATTCCTCCTCCCATGTCCCCCTTTTGACAGACCCCAGTGTGTGTTCTGCTCCCCCACAGCCCACTGATATGTCCATGTGTTCTCATTGTTAAGCTCCTACTTATAAGTGAGAACGTGCAGTGTTTGGTTTTCTGTTCCTGTGGTAGTTTGCTGAGGATTATGGATTCCAGCTCCATCCATGTCCCTGCAAAGGACATGATCTTTTTCCTTTTTATGGCTGCATAGTATTTCATGGTGTATGTGTACCACATTTTCTTTAGTCTATCATTGATGGGCATTTGGGTTGATTGCACGTCTTTGCTATTGTGAATAGTGCTACAGTGAACATATCCATGCATTTATCTTTATAGTAGAAGGAATTATATTCCTTTAGGTATATACCCAGTAATGAAATTGCTGGGTCAAAGGGTATTTATGCTTCTAGATCTTTGAGGAATCTCCACACTGTCTTCCACAATGGTTGAACTAATTTACACTCCCACCAACAGCGTAAAAGCATTCCTTTTTGTCTGCAACCTCTCCAGCATCTGTTGTTTCTTGACTTTTTAATAAAGGCTATTCTGACTGGTACGAGATGGTATCTCATTGTAGTTTTGATTTACGTTTCTCTAATGATCAGTGATGTTGACCTCTAATGATCAGTGATGTTGACCTTTTTTCGTATATTTGTTGGTCGCATGAATGTCTTATTTTGAGAAGTTTCTGTTCATGTCCTTTGCCCACTTTTTAATGGGGTTGTTTGTTTTTTTCTTATAAATTTGTTTAAGTTCCTTGTAGACTCTGGATATTAGACCTTTGTCAGATGGATAGAAGGCAAAAATTTTTTCCCATTCTGTAGGTTGTGTGTTCACTCTGATAATAGTTTCTTTTGCTGTCCAGATGCTCTTTAGTGTAATTAGATCTTATTAGTCAATTTTTGCTTTTGTTGCAATTGCTTTTGACGTTTTCATCATGAAATTTTTGCCCGGGTCTATGTCCTAAATGGTATTACCTAGATTTTCTTCTAGGGTTTTTATAGTTTTGGGTTTTACATTGAAGTCTTTAATCCATCCTGAGTTAATTTTTATATAAGATGTAAGGAAGGGGTCCAGTTTCCATTTTCTGCGTATGGCTAGCCAATTCTCCCAGCACCACTCATTAAGTAAGGAGTTCTTTCCCCATTGCTTGTTTTCGTCAGGTTTGTTGAAGATCAGATGGTTATAGATGTGCAGTCTTATTTCTGAGTTCTCTATTCTGTTGCATTGGTCTATGTGTCTGTTTTGTACCAGTACCATGCTGTTTTGGTTACCATGTGACTTTTTAAAAAAAATTATTTATTTATTTATTTATTTTTAGAGACAGGATCTCACTCTGTAGTTCAGGCTACACTTTATCTTAGCCAAAAGACCAAGAAGTCATGTCGCCCAGGCTAGAGTGCAGTGGTGCATTCATGGCTCACTGCAGCCTCAAACTCATGGACTCAAGAGATCCTCCTGCCTCAGCCTCCAGAGGATCTGGGCCTGCAGGTGCATGCCACCACACCTAGTTAATTTTTTTTACATTTTTTCAGCAACAGGGTGGCCATGTGACCTTATGTAAGTTACCTAAACCCTGTAAGTCTATGTGCCTCATCTGAAAAACTGATAAAAACAGAACCCTCTTTATAGGGTCATGGTGGAGAAGAATCAAACAGTGGACAAGGAATATTTAGTATAATGCCAGGAAACTAGTTGACTGGTCATAGTCACACAGATGCTTCAGGGCAGGCCTATTTCTTGCATACCTGTGATTTCAGGACATTTTCAGAAGTCCCAGACCTAGAACCCATAGGTGGAGAATCCAAATTTTTTGTCTGAGGACAATGAAGGTGTCAGTGAATATCTACTCCCTTACAAGAGCTTTGTTACAATTGTTCAAACCTATCAACTTCTAGATGGGGAAGACTGGAAGAAGGTTCAAGAAGTGTTTCCTCAGAAACACCCAAAATGCACGAGAAGGAAATAGACGCACCAAAGTTACCTCAATATAGTGATCATCACAGAATAAGAAACTTGAGCGGCCGGGTGTGGTGGCTCGTGCCTGTAATCCCAGCACTTTGGGAGGCCGAGGCGGGCAGATCACTGGAGGTCGAGAGTTTGAGACCAGCCTGACCAACATGGAGAAACCCTGTCTCTACTAAAAATACAAAATTAGCCAGGCATGGTGGTACATGCCTGTAATCCAGCTACTCGGGAGGCTGAAGCAGGAGAATTGCTCGAACCCGGGAGGTGGAGGTTGCAGTGAGCCGAGATCACGCCACCGCACTCCAGCCTGGGCAACAAGAGTGAAACTGAGAAAGAAACAAAGAAAGAAAAAGAAGGAAGGAAGGAAGGAAACAAGGGGGAGGGGGAGGAGGAGGAGGAGAAACAAAGAAGAGAAGAAGAGGAGGAGGAGGAGGAGGGGAGGAAAGGAGAAAGGAAGGAAGGAAGGAGAAATTTGTGCCATTGACTAACTGAGGCCAGTATCATGGTGGAAAAGCCTGTTACTAGTGTTGAGGTGAAGAAGCTTGACCATATAAGAGATACTTCTGAATTTATTCAGGTGAATATTGGGATATCACTGATTTTATCAGATTCATTATATTTAAGAGTAAGAAGGAAGAAAAGTGGAATTCTGGGATCATGAAGAGTTCAGAATAAATGGGAAAAGGAAATGCAGCACTAAAAACATGACCAAAATCAATCAACAAAAGTCAGTCAACAAATATATGTTAGGTACATATGTGAATTACATTGGTGTTCAAAATAGAATCTTTGACTTTAAGTGCATACATTTTAATTAGTAAGAAGAGGGCTCCAAAAACATGTAAATAGGCAGCAAGACAATACATGCTTTTGGCAAGTGCTATTATGAACTATGACCACACAGTAAGAGATGAATATGGGTGGTAGAGAAGGCTTCTTTTTTTTTGAGACAGAGTCTCACTCTGTCGCCAGGCTGGAGTGCAGTGGCACAATCTCGGCTCACTGCAACCTCTGCCTCCTGGGTTTAAGTGATTCTCCTGCCTCAGACTCCCGAGTAGCTGGGACTACAGGTGCGCACCACCATGCCCAGCTACTTTTTTTGTTTTTTGTTTTTTTTTTTTTGTATTTTTAGTAGAGACAGGGTTTCACCATGTTGGCCAGGATGGTCTCGATCTCTTGACTTCGTGATCTGCCCACCTCCGCCTCCTAAAGTGCTGGGATTACAGGCATGAGCCACTGTGCCTGGCCTGAGAAGGCTTCTTAGATGACTTATGTGTTGAGAAATAAATGACAAGACAGTGAACAAAATTTGGGGGGAATTCTTTACAAGCGGAAGTAACAACAAATAAAAAATGCCAAGTTTGCCGATTTCAGGAACGAAAAGGATCACTGTGTTCAGATGATCATAACTGAGGCCGAGGAACAGAGAAAGATGAGTTCAGATCTTGTTCTGAAAACAGACCATGCAGGGCCCTGAAGTCCAAGTTTGGATTTTATTCCAAATTAATGAAGGCCCTTGGAAGATTTTTAGAAGGGGAAGGTGACATACTTTTCTTTCCTTTGAGAGATCACTGTGGCTGCTATGTGGTGGATGCCTCCAGGGACCCGAAGGTGGGGACAAAGGCCAACTAAGAAACACAACAGGAGTTCAGGTAGAAGATGATGGTGGCTTAGACTGGGAGCGGTGGAAATGGTATCATAATTTCCATTTGACATCCATTTTACCAAAGGTTTGAGATTTGGAATATGAGTGAAAGGGAGGAATCAAGGTCATTTTTGGTCTGAGTTACTGTCTGAAGAGTCATGCCATTAACAGAGAAACAGAAGGCATTGAGGAGCTGACTCGATGGTGGCATGGGCAAATCAGTGGTTCTCCTTCGGTCATGTTACATTTGAGGTGCTTATGATATAAAGTGAGAAGTTCAATACACACGTCTGAAAGTAAAAAGAGAAGTCTGTGTTAGACATGTAGATGTCATGTCTTCAGAATGCAGATCGGTGTAAAGCTCTGGGCCTGGATGCAACCACCCAGGGAGAAAGTCTACTTATGGGAAAGGCTGGGGACAAAGCAACATTTCCAGGTCTGGGAGGAGAGACCTGGAAACCAAGAAGAAAGGGTCAAAGCAGTGCTGAGGAACAGGCAGATTTCAGTTAGAGCAAAAAGATAAAAGCAATGTTCAGAGAAGAAGGTGTATGGGTATAGATGACCTTGGTGATGACAGATTAAATTTCACAGACATTAGGAAGGGAGTGCAGAGGAGAAGGGGCCACGAGGAATAGATCAGAATAGTGACGCATTTCCTTTTGGTGGCGTGCAATCTGGAGACAGATTTCTGAAGATGACTGAGGTGAAAGTGATGCAAGGAATGATGCACTTGCTTAAAAGCAAAGTGTGCCATGAAGGCGGGGATCTTGGCAAAGAGGAGAATTAATTCATCAAAGCACCCTGCCCTTGAAATCTCACCACACTGCTAGATTGAAACTAGATTGATGGCACAGAATGGATGTTTTGTTTTATCTTATCTCTCTATTTTCTTATGTGGGAGGAGTGGACATATTGCAAAAAGCAGTTGCCAGACATGCACATTTAAATGTACTGAAACGCAAGGTGATAGACAAGAAAAATTTAGTCAAATTTATGCATTAATTATCTTCAGAAAATGCAAATCCCTGTTGTAGTTATTTTCCTATTTCTACAAATGTAATTAAAGCATTGATAACACAGGGGAACCACAGCATTGGAATTGAGAACAACCTGGTGTGAAAGAAAAGAAGTGTTGAAAATTTTAAGTTTCCCTCTCCTATGCTTTCTATTATTTCTGTGTGTAAACCCAATTTTCACTTCCCCTTTCTATGAAGCTAATGCTAGATCTTATCTCTTGACATTTAAAACATCCACTCTTCCTGCCAACATTCATTTGCTTCTCCATTGTTAAATCGGATAGTCACAACTCTGATGTGCTGTGTTGTAGTACCTGAGCTGATCGTATGGAGGCAGATCTTATGACGCTGGCCATTGCCACAAGTGATAATTGGCAATGCCCAAAGAGATGCTATGAAAGCCTTAATATTGTTGACGAAAAGAGTCAAACTCTGTGAAATATTTGAAGAGATTTATTCTGAGCCAAATATGAGTCGCCATGGCCCATGACACAGCCTCAGGAGACCCTGAGAACATGTGTCGAAGGTACAGCTTGGTTTTATCTATTTTAGGATGGCGTGAGACATCAATCAAATACATTTAAGAAATACATTGATTTGGTTCAGAAAGGTGGCACAACTCAAAACGAGGTGGGGGAGGGGGGCTTCCTCGCTAAAGGTAAATTTAAACGTTTTCTGATTGACAATTGGTTGAGTTTGTCTGAAGACCTGGGATATATAGAAAGGAAATGTTCAGATTAAGATAAGAGACTGTGGAGACCAAGGTTCTTTTGAAGTTTTATAGTGGCTGCCCTTAGAGACAAAAGATGTCAAAGGTTTCCCATTCAGATCTTTAAAAGGTGCTAGACTTTTAGTTAATCTCTTCAGGATTGGGAGAACCTGGAAGAAAAAGATCTAGCTGTTAGTAGAGATTCTTTACTGATGCAGTTTTCCCCCCACAAAGGACAGCTTTGCAGGTCCATTTCAACATATGGCAGGGAAACATGTTTTGGGCTAAAATATTTTGATTTTCTTCCTTGTTTTGTAATGTTATGCCTGAGTCAGAGTGGAAAGTAAGCCACAATATATAGGGTTAAATAAAATCCATCTGATGAGAATTTATGGTTTGTAGGGCATGACTTTCTAGACAACTTAGGAACTTGGGCAAGATAAAAAAAATCAGAGCTTAGTCCTTAATATCCAGAGAATATGATGCATTTTCATAAAAAAGTAAGGATCACCCACTTAACACTCTACCCTTTCAAAATCCACTCATATTGTAATTTGTTTGTAATAGGTGACAATATTTTTCTTTCATTTATAGATAACTAATCTTCACCTTTATCAAACATGTCTTTCAAGAGTATGTAATACATCGATTGCAGCTCCAAGTCTACATCATCTGTTTTTGCATCCTTCTTATTTACTTATTTTTCTTTTTGTCAATAAAATACATCTTAAATATATAGTCAGGCTCCTCTTTAGCTCAAATAGTGTTGTTTTGTTTAATTAGACTGTGTTCCCAGTATTGCTTCTATTTTTTTTTCTTTTTTTCTTTTTTTTTTTAATTATACTTTAAGTTTTAGGGTACATGTGCACATTGTGCAGGTTAGTTACATATGTATACATGTGCCATGCTGGTGCGCTGCACCCACTAACTCGTCAGTATTGCTTCTATAGAAGGCTAGCCCAAATGCAGAGAGGAAAATGGCTTGACTTGGCCTTAAATATAATGAAGCTTGTACAGTGTGCATTGTGTTTTAAGTTTGAATATGAATGTAACTGCTACATGTATTGTATTAAATTAATGAACTTTTATTATGCTTAGCCCAGTGTATCCTCAGTTTTTAATTCAAGTTGCACAAAAATTTATTATTTTGCTTCTTGATAAAATGATTTATTAATATTTTATTCAACCTCATTGTTTTAAGCTTTTCTGAAACATATTCCCTCTTTAATCAATGATGATATGCTAGCTTTAGGTAAACGGTCTGATGTTAACACATATACAGAGAGTATAAAATTCCACTTGACTCCTCAAGTGCCCATCAAACATTTTCTTTAAAACTCCTTTGATACATCTTAGTCCCATTCTGCATTTTATATGGGTCCCATTCTTTGATTTTCATTTGTTTTATTACATTTGAGTCTCTTTACAAATTAGCTAAATATGCCTAAACTCTAATGGTGTTGTTGTAGATTTTTTAAAGTTACAAAATATTTTGAGATTGGTTTTCTACTTGTTGAAACTGGACTTCATATTGCAGGGTAATATTCCCCCATGGGGCCATCAGTATTCATAAATCTATTTGATTTACATGTTGAACACTACATGTTCCGTAAAATACCTAGAATGCTGCACATGTGGATGAATATTAATGATTGTCTCTACAAATAATAAAGCAAAGAACAAATGACCTCTCTTTAATAATCTAGTGTTACAGCAGTCCTGAAAGAAGTGGGCAGAGCAAGGGTCCCCAGCCCTCACAGCTCTTCTTATCCTTTGGGTAGCACACAAGAGAAAGAAGTGCATTTGAGAGAGTTCATGAGCAATTTTAAAAGACTTCTGTAGGAAGATAGATGCTTTTATCCAAAAAATGGTCTACTTACTGATTTAAGTGATTACATCTGCATTCTCTCTTCACTAGGAAAGAATGGCCAATTAATCAAACTTAAAGTAAATTCATCTACATTTGAAATTCTGTCAGGTATAATTCAAATGTGTACTTTGGCTGGTACCAAATATGTATGCTCCTTTTAAGAAACAATGCCATATTTTGGGATAAAGTTCAACTGCAATTTAAGTCATGAAAAAGGCTACTGGGAGAATGACCTTAATTAAAATAAATCATTTTCAAATTGTTCCTAACTAAAATATTTGTTATAATTTTAGATGAAATTATATTGCATTGTTTACTCATATCTGGAAAAATAGGTGTAGTTAAAATACTAGAAGAAAATCAGTTGAAACATTAACAGTATTTGTTCCTAAAGCTATGTTTAATAAGGAATTTTCTGCCTTCTACTTATGTGTTTTAAAAAAATTAAAGTGATCGTGTATTGCTTTAATATTATGTGTGTTGCTTTGATAATACTTTTTAAATCAGTTAAATTATAATCTAAAATAAAAGGTGATTTTAGTGCATATACATGCATGTGTATGCATGTATATGCATATGTGTCTTATATACTTATATTAAAATTTTGAACTGGCAATTAGGGAAGTGGTTTTTTAAACTGGGATAATACATTTTAAAAATATGTAGTGGATGGGAATCTCAGGTAATGGCATAAAAGTGCTAATGACCTGCACAAGCATTGAATGAAAGATGCAAATGAGCAGCTTAATGGAAAAAATATGAGGAACTTGGTGCTAAATCATTCACAGTCAACCTGTTTCTGGGCTGGGGTTTCCTAAGCAGCGGAGCACCTCCCTCACTACCGTCTATTGAAAGTCAGCTTTTAAACAATAATAGTAATAAATAATAAAAAATAATAAAAATATACATATATCAAACAAACTTTGACACCATGGTGTACATTTTAGATAAATCAATATTTGTTAGACTACAGCACTAACAAGTTTCTATCTTAAACATTATAGTGACCCCTAATCAGGCCTTAGAGTGGTGATTGAATTTTTTTTTTTTTTTTTTTTTTGAGGCGGAATCTCGCTCTGTTGCCCAGGCTGGAGAGCTGGAGTGCAGTGGGGCGATCTCAGCTCCTCAGCTCACTGCAACCTCTGCCTCCCATGTTCAAGGGATTCCCCTGCCTCAGCCTCCAGAGTCTACTTAAAACACATAAATAGAAGGCAGAAAATTCCTTATTAAACATAGCTTTAAGAACAAATACTGTTAATATTTCAATTGATTTTCTTCTAGTATTTTAACTACACCTATTTTTCCAGATATGAGTAAACAATGAGATATAATTTCATCTATAATTATAACAAATATTTTAGTTAGGAACAATTTGAAAATGATTTATTTTAATTAAGATCGTTCTCCCAGTAGCCTTTCTCAAGACTTAAATTGTGGTTGAACTTCATCCCAAAATATAGTATTATTTCTTAAAAGGAGCAAGTATATTTGGTACCAGCCGAAGTATACATTTGAATTATTCCTGCTGACAGAATTTCAAATGTAGATTAATTTACTTTAAGCTTGATTAATTGGCCATTCTTTCCTGTAGCTGGGACTACAGGCATGTGCCACCGCACCTGGCTAATTTTTTGTATTTTGAGTAGAGGTGGGGTTTCACCGTGTTAGCCAAGATGGTCTTGATCTCCTGACCTCGTGATCCACCCACCTCAGCCTCCCAAAGTGCTGGGATTACAGGTGTGAGCCACCGCACAGGTCCTGGTGAGGTAATTTTTAAGTAACTATGTATCTGTTCATATGTAAGTATATGTGTGTAGGAGTGCAGATGCCAGTGTGTTTGGACCTCTGGGGAAGGAGAGGGTAAGCAAGAGATATGATGCAACTCAGCCTCAGATGAGCTCAATCACTCACAGAATTAATTAAGGTAATTGACCCTCATTCACTTCTGGGTTCCTCAATAACAGCACTACTAACATTTTGGACCAAATAATTATTTGCTGTGGAGACTGTTCTTCTGTGCATTGTAGGGTGTTTAGGAGCCTCCTTGACCTCCACCCTATAGATGCCAGTAGCACTGTAACCACCAGACAGGTTCTTCCTGCCCGCTGAACAAAGTTAATTCATGGAGACCATAACATTGCAGTAAAGAAATAGTTTAATAAAGTTGAGGCCGGCCACACCACGTGGGAGACAGTTGTAACTCAAATCAATTTTCTTGAAGGCTCAGAGGTTAGGGGTTTTTTCAAAGATAGTTTGGTGGATAGGGGCCCAGGGAGTGGGGAGTGCTGATTGGTTGGGTCAGAGATGAAATCATAGGGAGTTGAAGCTGTTCTCTTGCTCTAAGCCAGTTCCTGGGTGGGAGCCACAGGACTCAGGACTGGTTGGCAAATGCTGGTGGGGCCATCCAGTTTTCAGAAATGCAAAATCCTGAAAAGACATCTCAAAAGGCTAGTCTCAGGTTCTACAATAGCAATGATATCTGCAGGAGAAATTGGAGAAGTTGCAAATCTTACGACCTCTGGAATAATGGGTGTTAATTATGTAACTATGTTTGCATCTTAGCAGAATTCAGGTCCCTCTCATCTTCCTAACCTGGTGGCCTTTTATTAGTTTTACAAGGGCAGTTTACTTTTGGGGAAGGGCTATTATCATTTAAACTATAAACTAAATTTCTCCCTAAGTTAACCTTGCCCATGCCCAAAAATGTGCGAAGACAGCCACCCTTGAGGCTAGAAGCAAGATGGACTCAACCATGTCAGATTTCTCTTACTTTCATAATTTTGCAAAGACAGTTTCAAGACCTCTCTATTGTTATATCTAAAAATGCCTCCAAACATTGTCAAATGTCTGGCATTTTGTGAGCAGGTGGTTGGGATGGGTAGGAGGTTGTCTGGGATTGAGAAACACAAAACACTGCTCTAAATTTGTTACCAAGGGGTGAATCATTTTGCGGGGAATATTTCATCCAGATGCTCTATAGTCTTTTCCATACAACTGTTGACATTCAATTAAAGAAATATGAAACAGGACTAAGGAAACAACAACAGACAGTAGTAGCAGATGCATAAATGACCAGTTATTAGGAATTAACGGATATACATATTTAAATAACTATAACAAACATAGTAAAAAAAAAAATGGCAAGGTGGGTAATTGGACAATATCCAGTCTAAAGTACAGATAACTCAAAGAATATTGTTTTTCCTGACTTTGGTTCATGGTGGTTTGCTTCCTTGTGTGTGTATTTTTTGGTCTTCAGTTTCGAGCTTATCCTAAACTCCGGAATATCTTGAAACCTAAGTTCAGGACACGTTTTTCAATAAGTTTTGTCCATTTTTGAGATGAATATTACTGATCTTGCACCTCTTCAGTCCTCATTTCATGACACCTACTCCCCGGCTTACTCAGGTAGTCTTGGGTCTATCTTTTCCACCTTTATGGCCTGAAGTACCAATGTAGGAATTTACCCACAGAGCTCCTTTCATGTGAGCTTATGGTTTATTCCTCTTGCTTCAGCTTATAGCTCTTGTTTTCGGGTTTCCTGAAGGATATTACTTCCTATAAGTCCAGTAATAAAACAAACAATTGATATTTGGTATAATAGATTATTTGGTCTTTGCATTGCTGGAAGCTAAAGCCCATATACTGTGTGCTTCATTGTAATATATCTTTCATCATGCTATTTCAGAATGTGACAATTACTAAAAGCTGACATTTGAGATCATATCACCACCTAATATTTTTTTTCAAAAGTAAAAGTAAAGTGGAAGATAAACGAGAAACTTAGAAAAGACTAGGTTTAGAAAGTTTATTAATTATACTTCTGAAAAAGCAATTGTCATTTTCTAAACGGATAAAAATGAACTGCAAATTAAAATTCCCAGTGGAATTAATGCAGTGACTCATTACATAATACATCATGGGCAAGTAATCCATCCTTTGTACTCTCAGGCAATCGGATGTATTTAAGCCAAAGATAATTCAAGACAAAAGTAATCAGGGTTCCTCCAACATCGCTTTTTATGTGACATAGAGCTTATCATTGTTTAAAGCATCGAACTGCTTAGGCATTCTTTGTTCTCTTTTATTGCCTTCATTTCATTGTCTGAATAGCTTTTGTAGTATGATGTTAACTATCACTGTTTGGACTGATTGAATAGTTTATTTATTTTGATAACCATCAGGTGAAAGCAAAAGTCATTTCATGGCAATTTCCTGTTACTTCAATGAGACACTGCTTTCCAAAAATGGCAAGAATGTTCTTGACAATTAGCATTTACACGTGATTTTAAAATTTTACTTTGTTTTTATTCTTCCATATGAGCTCTTTTGATTTTATTGAAGCTTTGAATGAGTGAGACATAAGCACAGTTTAAGTTGTATGATGGGAGCTAAAGTAAGTTTAATTTCAATTTCAAGCAAATACTATTTATTCTACATTTTCTATAGTCAGGGAGACATGAGGGCTTGCATGAAGGACCTGCATGTCAAATTCCTCTATTTTCTGACTTTTTTCCATTACCAATATAGACATAATCACATACATTTGGTTGTTCTTACTTTTCCAACAGCCTCCCTCCCTTTCTCTTTACTGTAATTGGAAGCATATTTCCATCTCTTCCTCTGTCTCCATCCCTCCCACTTTGATATTCTTATTAAAGTGGAATATTTCCTCTTATCTGGTAGAATGTGAGGAAAATAGGGCACCCTAATTTATTTGATCACCGTTCAGTTTTTCTCGGTAACTAAGTTTGTCCCTGAAAGTTTCTGGTCTCACTTATGGTTACATTGTTAATTATCTTGGAATAGTGAAAAAGATAGTCAATATTTTTTTTTCATATGTCTTCCCACAGTGTCTGAACTATTTCCATGATTTTTTGACTATTCGCTTTTGTCTTTGTAGAAAATATTCATTAGGATATAATTTACAAATCTAATTTTCATAGTTCTGGATCACTTATTGCCCCAGTAAATTCCATTATTTGGAACTGTACCTCTATACTTAACTACTAGTGAATGGCAGAAGGTGTTTCTCTATCCTAGCTTCTTTAGGGAAAGAAAGATTATTTGAAGGGAACCACAAGCAGCTTTGTTTCTATCTGTGATGGAAGATAACAATTTTAATATTTAAATAGATGTTGAATAAATGAGTATGATTTTTATATGTACATTACATAGTAATAATAGTAAATGTCTTTGGGAAAAAATGCAAATAATACCATGATAGATGCTATCAGAGTCTAATAGATTATATAACTTGACTGCACATATTTGAAACATTTAAGTAGAAAACAGGACTGGTAGTTACAACTGGTGTAGCTTTATGAATCTCTAATTCTATTACATCTGAGACACTTTAGAGATCGCTTGATCTAGTCTCTTTGTGCAGAAAACAAGGAACTGAATCTTTGAGAAGCAAAAGTGGCTTATCCAGGCTACATAATTAAAACTGTCATCAAAATGGGCCTCCCAGCTGCCATCACAGTGCTTGGCCCATACCAACCATTGATTCTTACTTTCCTATCAGGCCTGGGCATATTCCAGTCTGTCCACCATTTCTTGTGCATATCCTTACAATAAACATGAAATTTATATTTTATAATCCAAATTGAGGTAATGTTCCATTTGACTGTCATACAAGGTTTCCCAATCAAAAGCAGATGAGATAGTGGTTGAGGCCAAGGCATCCTGGGTATTAGTTATGTATTTAAATTCTCTAATTAATTGTCTCCAGGAAGGAAACAAATGTGTACACTTTGGAATTTGTCTGTATTACTACTAATGTAAAATAAACATTGCACTAAAACTTGGATGATGATTGAAAAAACAATTTAAAAACCATGAAAGAACACCACAAAATATTTTTCTTACTTGAACTACATTAATGTTCAAGGTGGCCTAAGGGAAAGAGAGAGAGGAAGTGCTGTTTTAAAATGTTCTCTCTCTCTCTTGAGAAACAGCAGATTTATTGTCATAATAATCTCAAAATGCTTTTGAGGAGGTCAGCAGATATAAAGTACATGCAGATTGAGTGTAATCATTATATGAAAAATTAACCACATGAACAATGAAATGGTACTGTGGTAGCAGCCCTTTGTCAAATTAATGTTCTGAAGAGTGTTATTTGTGAAATACAAAGGCTCTGAAAATAAGTGGACTGGACTAACTTCGCAGTTTTATGTGCTACATTTGTAACTGGATTCCAGAAAAAATTATTAGGAGAAGGAGAATTTAGAGCTTAACATTCTGTTCACCTAATATAAAGTTACAGAGTGTCAGATCAGATAGCATCATCCAATTAGTCAATTTACATTGACATAATATATATGGGACTTCCATAATGAACAATAGTCAAAATGTATTATTTTGGGAAATCTTGAATCAAATTATTTACAGGTATCCTGAGAGATCTCTATTATAATAATTGTAAAAGGCAGCAATAGCTTTCTGAAAAATATTTATATATTGTTTCTTTTTTAAATATTGTTTAATTATACTTATTTTTTATTTATGTCTATAATGTAAGGTAAGGGTTAAAAATACTGTTTAAATGCAGTTGGGATATATAATTGATCCAGGATCAATTTATTGAAAAATAAACTTTTTTCACTGCACTGTAACATTAGCCCACCATAAATCAAGTGACCTTATGTGTATGAACCTGTTTGTGGTGTTTCTATTCTGTTTCATTTGCCTATTTGTCTGATCTTGTACTAGCAATCCATTCTTGTTTGTTTGGTTGGTTTTTGTGAGATGAAATCTCACTCTGTTGCCCAGGCTGGAGTGCAATGGCATCATCTCAGCTCACTGCAACCTCTGCTTTCCAGGTTAAAGTGATTCTCCTGCTTCAGCCTCCCCAGTAGCTGGGATTACAGGCACCCACCACCACACTCAGCTGATTTTTGTATTTTTAGTAGAGATGATGTTTCGCCATATTGGTCAGGCTGATTTTGAACTCCTGACTTCAGGTGATCTGCCTGCCTTGGCCTCCCAAAGTGCTGAGATTACAGGCATGAGCCACCTCACCCAGCCAATACATTCTTAAATACTATAGCTTTACAGTATGTTTTAAAATCTGATATTGACATCTGTCCACCAATTTTTTTTTTCTCAGCAAGGCTTTGGCTATTTGTATGCCTTTGCATTTGTGTATAAATTTTAGAATAAACTTGTGAATTTTCTTAACATGAAAACTGTTGGGATTTTGATGTGGATGCATTAAATCTATAAATCAATTGACAGAATTGACAGCATTGATGTTCTAATCTATAGCCTTCCTTTTTATTTGTATATTTTTTAATTCACTTAATAATTTGTAGTTTTCTATAAAGAGGTCTTGACATATTTCATGAATATTCCTATTTTCTGTTTTTTATATGTTATTATAAATGACATAATTTTAAAAATTTATATTTTAAATGTTTGTTTCTACTATATAAAAATATAACTATTTTTAAAATTATTAACCACTTGTATCTAGGGACCTTGCTAAATTAATTTATTAATTGTATGTAGCTTCTTTTATATTTTCTACCTATATAATCATGTCATATGTGAATAATGACTGTAGCATTTCTTCCTTTCTGTACTGTTTGTATTTCTTTTTCTTGCTTTGGGGCAATTAGCTATGGCTTCTGTGTAATGTTGGTTAGGTGTAGTGATAGTGAGCATTCTTGTCGTGCTCCCAATCTTGGAGAAAATGCTTTGTGAAAGCTATCAGAATCAAAATGGAATCACTTTTGTCAAACCCTTACAAAAAAAAGTGGGGAATATGAAGGGAGGGTTCTTATGCACAATTGCCTAATAACAAGAACTATCATAAGAGACTGCCAAAACCACAGCGTTGCACAAAGACCACCACAGTCTTACACACACAAAAATATATATACTTATGTGAGGATCTGCCCAGCAACTGCCTGCCTAACCTTGGACGGACACTGGCTTTGTTATTGATCCTTGTAGCCAGGGATAATTATCTCAAAATAACTTATATAACCTCCTCATTTTACCTTCAAAAACCCTTGTCTTTTGTTTTCCTCCCCTGAAGGTGTCTGTAGTTTACTATGCTATGTTATTCCATGCTGTACTGCCCACTGCCAGATAAACTTATTATCTTTGGAGAATGTCTGTCTTTCTGCCCATTATTAAGACTGACATAATCTGGTATCAAGAAATGGGACAGAAGTAAGCTCACCTGGAACAGCCGGGCAGCCCCTGGAATCAAGTGCAGTACCAACTGAATGAACCCTTTGTACTCTCTGCTTCCAGGAGTCACCTTTTCTGCCCTGGTGATTCTCCTCTTAAATTCTTGGACTGCCTCCTTTTAGTGAGTTCTTTTGACTTGACTTGGGACCGCACTGGTTTATCCGGTTGCCTCAAGTAGAAGATATTGCATCCCTCTTGGAACTGTGAGCCTGTCTTCTCTGGCAAGTTCTTTTTAATAGAAGGACAAGTATCTTTCCAGAGAGTTCTTGGATTTCTGCAGAACTTACATTATTTGTGAGGCATGTTTTTTTTTTCTCGTGAATTCACTTTTGATTTTTTCTTCATGTTTGATTTAATGTTTTGTTTGATCTGTACCACTGGCTTAAAATTTTTGTGAGTACAGAATTTTGTTTTATTTTTGTTTGGTTACATGTGTCTAATGATTTAGCAATTTTATGTTTTTCTCCCTCTTGTTTATGAACATCTTTTGAAAGCAAAAATAGGCATTTTAAACAGTGGATGTGGGATGGCAAATTGAAAGTCACTAGAGCAGTCACCACCATCTTTGTGGCACCTTAATAATAAGAGCCTCAGAGAAAAAGTCTCCCATGTCAAGATCAACTGTTACGGACAGGCAAGGTCACCTTCAGGAACCCAGTCGGTTCCAAGAAAAATTCTATACAATGAAGGAAACTTGGTCACAGGTCAAAGAATTAGGGCACAAGCCATCTGCCAAGTATGAAATAAAGGAATCTTGTGCCACGTACACTTGTGAAAGCAAAACGATTTGTCCAAATCCTTAAAATTCCTTGACAGGGCTTATAGGATTATCTGTCGCTCTCCAGAGATTAATAAGAAACTGAATGACATTCCAAAATTCTAAGACATGCCAAACCCTTAGACTGCTATACATTCAAAATTTATGGTCCATTCTCATGAACATTTTTTTAAACTGATGGGAAAATTACACCAAGAATAATGTATGGCCATTATGGAGATTGTTTTGGCCTTCCAAGCTTGTTTTTCTCAGAAATGAATTAGAAAAGTGCAACTAGAGGGCTAACATATAGTCTTTTAAGTTTCCTATTTTTCTATTTTATCTCTGCCTATTTGAATATACTGACGTTTTTGCTTGCATTGGAAGAGAAACTCTCTGCTGCAATTGTTCTTGAAACTAAAATAGGTCAAAGTCTGCTTGGAGATTATTTTTCTCATGGCATTTCAATGAAACATAAACAGCAAGGAATTAATCCTTAATCTAATTTAACACTGAGAAAAAAAAAAAGGAAAAGAAAGTAAAAGGGACTTATTAAAACAAAGTTGCTAGAGAAACTGCTTTACCCAAAATTTGATGCACAGCCTTCATAATATTACCCATCAGGACAAATGAAAATCTTAAGTTTAGCCATGTGAACATTTCCCATTGTGTCAGAAACTGAATTTAGATTCAATTGTCCTTTTATAAACCATTGAGTTTATATTACTATTTTACTGTCTCATGACTAAAATTTTTAAATGAAAGCTATAAGATCTTTGTGTGTATATGTGTTTATGTGTGTTTAGACACATATGCATGTGTTATGTTGTATGTTGTATATACATAATACAATCTGGCATAGTTGGCCAGAAATCCTTTAAGGAATTCTTTTCAAGTTGGCTTAGAGATAAGATATGCAAATGACACTTAAAAGTGTAAAAAAAAAAAAACCCCAAATGCCTTTTAGCTCATGGGATTCATATGAATCTTTGATAAATAAATTGGTTTTAAATTTGTTGGTAAAATAAAAATTTGTTTCAGAATTGTTAGCTTACATTTTGTTGCCTGGGTTTGCTGGTTAGACAGGATTACATTGATCTCTGTTAGATGTTTTACAGTCATAAAACTATAAATTCAGCTTAGGCCAGGTGCAGTTGCTCATGCCTGTAATCCTAGCACTTTGGGAGGCCAAGGTGGGTGGATCACCTGAGGTCAAGAGTTCGAGACCAGCCTGACCAACATGGTGAAAACCTGTCTCTACTAAAAATACAAAAATTAGCCAAGCATGGTGGTGGCCTCCTATAATCCCAGCTACTTGGGAGGCTGTGTCAGGAGAATCACTGGAAGCCAGGGGGCAGAGGTTGCAGTGAGCTGAGATCATGCCACTTCACTCTAGCCTGGGTGAAAGAGTGAAACTCCATCTCAAAAAATAGGTAAAATAAAATAAAATATATTCAGCTTAATAGCAAAATAGATTTTGTTTGTGTAGCTCTTTAAAAAAGATGACTAATATTGTTGGTTTAAGAAAAACAGCTGTATTTTCTGAGTTACTGGCAAAATACCCATATATTTCAGGTTCCTACTTGGGTGATGAACACCTGATATTCACAGGCTTCAAAAATAGTTAACAGAGAATCAACTTGAAATGAGAACTAGCTTGTCTAATATCTCAGTTTTCATGAATAATCTGGTATAATTGTTTAAAATAAATAGGTGAATATAAATGGTATAAATGTGTATAAATGAACTTTTCATGTAATTTCAGATGTTAAAATTATGTTATTTTGAATTAAGTAATATTCATAAACTGGATTATTTCCAAATAAGATAAAATAATAAACATTAATTTCTGATCAGAGGTTCATGTTTATTTAATTTTGGCTTCTTAAATTTTACAGGAAAACACAATATATTTGGATCTATTAAAAATTATATCATGTTTCACATTAAAAATTTGTTCTATGAGGAAGCACACATTCCTAGAAGTTGTAAGATGTATATTCATAAGCTGTTGCTATATGACAAATAGTTCAAAATGCTTACCTCCTAGGCTTTAACTAGAAATTAAAGCTACAAAGAGTTAAACCTTTTAATTAATATATGTAATTCTATATGTAAGTTGTACAAGGAAGTAAGATACCTTTTTCGTTAAAAAAAAAAGTATAAGCATGGGAAATATTTAAATTTTGGTAGGAAGGAAGAATAATTTTGTCTAAGGGTTATTTCAAAGTATTAAAAGAAATAACAACAAAGCAAAAAGAAGCCAATAATTAGGGGAGTGAGAGGGATGCAAAGAAGGTTATGAGGAAGTGTTTTTAGGTAAAGAAGTTAAAAGCAGAAAGTGAATAATATGAAAAATAATATTGTGTGGTCAGAATGATAAAGGGAAATAAGAAAAATAAATGTTTGTGCTAAGGTAGAATTTAAAAAGAAGAAAATATAGGAGAAAACTGAAAGCTTAATCAAGTCGTAAAAGGTCTGAGGAGAATGCAAAGGTTTGTAAAGTATAATCTTATGAAAGGAATTTGTGTGCAATCAAGTTGGCTTAAGTTAGAAGAGAATTGTTTACAATTCTTTCTAAAATTGAACATTACTATACTGATACAAAACCAGAATCTAGTCCTCTGTGTTTAAAGCAACACAGTTTTCTTGGATTATTGATCTGCTCTCAGTGAAATTTGCAGAAAGTTTTTATTTTTAATTGTAAAACTTGTTTCTTTTAATTTTCAATCATTTTCTGAACTGCATCTTTTGCCCAATTTACAGTTTTCATTTATTTTTTCCCAATTCCAGATTAAAATTGCTATGTTCTTCTTTTAAAATACCAATTTAATTTCACAAATTGGAGTTTCCTCTTGAAGCTTTTCAGATTCATGTCTCAGAAGTTCAACTTTTCATTGCATCTCACTGCACATAATTTGCAGGTCATACATCATTGCCTCTAGCTCTTCCTCCTTCTCTTCCTGCAGAGGTACATCTTTTCATATTGTTAAAGTTGTGACTCTCTCCATTGACTTTTTAGTCAGCTCCTACTGCCTTTTTTTCCCCCTCCAGTTGTTACTCTGCCACTGTGGTCTGATGCTGGAAAATGTCTTGAAGGCCCAGAAGAGCAATGTCTTCCTCCAGGATAACTTGATCTGTTCTCTTGGCTTTTCTTGATGTGTCTGAATTGTTCCATGTAATGAGGCAATTTTGCATGCTTTTACTTTTTTTAAGAGCCACATATTACCCTGCTCAAGGTACTAGTTTTCTTGTTTACTTCTATGATATGAAGTGCACTCATAACCTCGGGCAGACAATTCCAGTGTCTTAGAGAATTCTGGTATCTTTTCATTGGGTTCAACTTCCAGGTTATTTAAATGGACTTCCATAAGCAGACAACAATCACACTGCAGGAGGTTCGTGTTTGTGTGTTTCTTAAACCTTTTGATGATGGGCCTAAGAAACAAAAATTTTGTGTTTTATCAAGATAATTCCCTATGCTTTATGTTGTCTTACTAGGTTTTTCATTAGTGAGGGAAACTGAGCTTTGAAAGAGTTAAAGTTTTCTTACATCCTTGTAATTTTCTGTATTTATTTTTGACATTTTCTGTCACTCTAGTTAAGTGAATAATTATTATTTCATGATGACATGTGATTCTGTTTTAATTAAATGTTTTAAACCTTTTGACATCTTTGGCAGGCTTCCCCAGTATCAAAGTTCTAAATTAAGTCTTTTTGACTTCAAATTAACTTTGGGAATTTCTAGTCAGGAAATTCTGAAGGATGTGTCTCTCATCTTATGAAAGAGTTATTAAACGAATTAGGCTTATTTAATATGTTGGGTTGTCTGGTAAGCATTGTCTAATAATAGAGTGATGCCAAATCTTTTTCAAGTTATATTTATATGAATATGTTATTGATGTGAATGTTCCAAAGATTATGTAAAATTTATAGAAGTCTGATGGCTCTGGTTGGATGCTGTCAACCATAATTCTGGTTGTTATCTTAAAATGTTACATGCGATAGAAATAACCGAATTTCTTCATCAATTTTGTCATTATTATAATGAACCCTGCAGAGTTCAAATTCATCAGATTTTTAAACCATAGTTATTCTAAATCTTTGTCATCTACTGTTACAGTTTTGTTTCTTCTCTAAACACATGTGCATTCAGATGCCTAGAAAAGACTCCAGTAATTACTCTTGCTTACAGGTTTCTGATAACACTAAACTCAGTAGGCCAAGCGAAAATTTCCAGAACTCTGATAAAGAAACTGATACATTCATGAAACTGCTAACAAAAATCAAGCAGAACAAAAATTAATTACATGAAGTGAAATAACTAACAAAGATGATGTTTTATGACTTTTATTTGAAACATTGTTGTTTCTTTACTTAAAACGTTTCAGTTGCAGATTTAAGGAAACTTTCCCTCTTAAGCTAATTATAATTTACAGCTATTTGACAAAAGTATACCTTTGTTTTTTTTTTGTTTTTTTTTGTTTTTTTTTGAGACGGAGTCTCGCTCTGTCGCCCGGGCTGGAGTGCAGTGGCGTGATCTCGGCTCACTGCAAGCTCCGCCTCCCGGGTTCACGCCATTCTCCTGCCTCAGCCTCCCGAGTAGCTGGGACTACAGGCGCCCGCCACCACGCCCGGCTAATTTTTTGTATTTTTAGTAGAGGCGGGGTTTCACCGTGTTAGCCAGGATGGTCTCGATCTCCTGACCTCATGATCCGCCCACCTCTGCCTCCCAAAGTGCTGGGATTACAGGCGTGAGCCACCGCGCCCGGCCAAAAGTATACCTTTGTAAACTAAAGTGGAAAAATTTACTTTTTATCCCTATTTGATCCTATCAAAATTCAGAAACTACATGAGTATTCTTATGTTTTTTAATGGCAGTATATATGTTTGTGTAAGTTCAATAAGAATCTGCTTTCTTTATAACAGAATAGAACTGGAAATATTGGCTATATTACAAAGGTTTTGACTGAGATGTGATATTTAAGTTATTTATAGGTACTACAGACAAAACCTGAAGCCTGCCTTGGTTTGACTTTTTAGTCTCAAGAGATATTTAAGGGTCCAATCTGAGATTACTATATGTTTAATCACTATTCTTGCTACATTTATGTAAATAATTCAGTCACATTTGACAAAATTAAACTTATTTTACAAACAAATTAATCTTATTCTCATTATCTTTAGTAAAGATTGGGATGACTGTAGAGAGAAAAATTATGTTTCTAAAGAAAAACTCTAATATACTTGTTAGATGTTGGCCCTGTGCATAGTTTCTTAGTTTTTATTATCTATCTGTAGACTAGACTGGATCTTGAATTCTTCTGATATAGGAGTTAAGAAGAAATTACTTAGGCAGATAGTGAGAATATGGGAGTCCTCAGTAAGGTTTTCCTTTTAATGAAAAGCAGCCCCCAAATCATTTTCTTTTCTTACGAAGAGCAGCCTATTGCTGGCAGTTGTGCCAATAGGAAGAAACTACCTGGGAATAGGCAGGCTCAAAATGGCAGCTCCATCCTCTCTTTGCCAGCCACACGTACAGTAAGGAGCAGACAAGATGGTTCTGGCCAAGTGGAAAGTCCATTTGCATAATAAGATTAGGGTGGGGCGACCAGCCTTCCCACACACAATGTAAATGTCACACCTGATCCAATCAATCTGTGGGCCCTACATAAATCAGACAGTGCCTTCTCAAGCTTGCCTGTAGAATCCAGTGCACTCTGCCACCAGCAGGTCTTTCCTTTTCAGATACCTCTCTCTGGCAAGAGACAGACAGAGACGGCTGCTCTCCTCTCCCCTTTCTTCTGCTTATTAAACTTTCCGCTCCTTAACCCATTCCATGTGTGCGTGTCCATGTTGTTAATCTTCTCAGCACAAAATGACCAACCCCAGGTATTTACCCCAGACAATGATGCCACTTCACTTGTAGGTTCCTCCAATCCACTTTTCTCTCATGAAATTAGTGAGAACAAAACCACCCTTTTCTAAACCCGCGTAGAATGAAGCTAGACAATTTGATGTAAATTTCAAGGGACAAGACTTGTGCCTGATGTTTGAGCCACACGGCAAGTTCACCAAACTGTCGAATGCTGTAACCAGAGACCTTCAAACCACAAACCAGGGTGAGAAGTTGACAATTTCATGCTGGGAAAAATTCTTCCCAAGACATTGAAATAAGATTCCTTATCATAATGAGACTCTTGCCCCTCTTAATTTTTCCTTGCTTGTGCCTACCTTTTTCACTTGGCAGGATAATGGTATAGTTAAAATTTCACAATCAATAGCTTCTGCAGGAAGCTGTAAAAAATGTTGCATCTGTCATGCCCATCCTAAATATTTACATGCCCTGACAGATAAGCCCTTAGCCTGCCCAATGGGTAACTTCAACAGCATCTCTAGTACAACTGTTGCTCATTCTGTGTTTTAATTCAACCCAGCTATAAGATACGAAATGATAGAATTGCTCTAGATTCTCTATTGGTTAAATAAGGAGATATTTGTGCTATTGCCAATAATACATGCTGTACCTGGATAAACCCCTTTGGGCAAGTTGTGATGCAAATACTCAAGAAAATAGGCCACATAGTTACAACAGGACTTACCTAATTCCCCATGGTCATTTGGCTGATTCAGTCAGTTGCTTTCAAGCCTAGGTTCTTGGCTCAATATTATTACATAAACTAGAATTTTCCTATTACTATTAATTTTACTTTGTATTTTTCTTTATAAACTTTGTACTTATTGCTTGTCAAATTTCAGCAGAAGTACAACTCCTGAGAGAATAATGCTGGCTCAGAGTTTTGAGATGATAACCCTTGTCTATGAAACTGATGAAGTTGGACTTAACAACGAACACTCCCCACAGAACTCCTGATGCTCAAATGTGGCTAAAGGGTTTCATACTGACTCCTAATCAGCAATCACTTCCCTCTGACATGGGATCAGAGTTACCCAGAACAAGTTCATCCTGGCACTGATGGATGATGAAAATCTAACCACAGAATGATTAGTCAGCAATGGTTTTAGAGACGTATTTTGATCAAAAGGGGCAAATGTGAAAGTTGTCTGAATCAAAATGAAGTCACTTGTGTCAGACACTGACATAATGAAGCCAGGAAAGGCCATGAAGAAAGCGTTTTCATGCACAATTGCCTGATAATAAGACTTTGACAAAACTACAATCATATACAAAGCCATTGCAACCTAATACACACACACATACACACACTCGCGTGCATGCACACGCTTCTGTGAGGATATCTGCTTGTCTAACCTTGGACTAATGTCAGACTTGTTTTTGATCCTTGCAACTAAGAATAGCTGTTTCAAAATAACTCATGTAACCCTCCTCACTTTACCTTTAAAAACCCTTGTCTTCTTTTGCCACCCTGAGTACTTCCATAGTTTACTATGACATGTTCTGCATTGCTGTGCGTGTTCCTGAGTAAACTTACTATCTTTGGAGAACCTCTCTCTGTTCTGTTATTTAAGATGAAACCTTTCAATATTATACTTCTAAATATGATGTTTGATATAAATTTAGTTTAGATTACCTTCATCAAAATAAGGAAGTTACTTTCTATTTCTTTCTTATGAATGATTTTAAATATTGTCTAATATAGAGTATATATGTTGAGATAATTTTTTTTTCTGTCAAAGGTACTATTTATTTTGATTTTAAAATGATAAAGCAACCCTCTATTCCTTGACTAAATCTACTTATATAAATTTTTTTGTATATTTCTGGGTTCAAAGTTCATGAGATTGATTTGTAACCTCCTTTTCCTAATGTCTTTATGTTATTTCTGTATCCATGCTATTCTAGTATCATAATATTTACATTCTAGATTTAGTTTAACTTCATCTTATTTTTATGGAATTTTTTCACTTAGATTTACCCTATATTTGCTTTTTGTTTTTCTTTATTTGCTTCTTGACTTCAGTGTTTCTCTTTCTCTTTTTGATCTTTTATCTAATATGTGAAGAAATTTTTTCTTTAACATTTCTTCTGATAGGCTCCTCTGGTCACAACTTCTGTTAGTATCTGTTTGTCTGGAAAAGTTCTGATTTTTGCCTTCAAATGAAAGGATATTTTTGCTATGCACAGAATTCTAATTTGACAATTTTTTTCAGAATTTTTAAAATGCCATTTCATCATCATCTGGTTTGGCCATTTGTTTTGGTAATTCAGTTATCAGTCTTGTTGCTTTTTCCTTTGAAAGTAATGCATCTTTTTATCTTTTACTACTGTAAAAATTTTTCCCTTTTTCTTTGTCTTGACTTTGTCATGACTGTGTTATGTCTCTGTGGATTTCTTTTTATTTATTCTCTTTATGTTCCATGTCTCAGATCTGTAGTTTGAATTAGTTTGGCATTTGTGTTAGTTTGCAAAGACTGTCAAAAAAATTATTAAAGACTGAATGGCTTAAACGACAGAATTTTAATTCTCACAGTCCTGGAAGCTAGAAATCCAAGACAAAGATTTAAGTAAGGTTGATTTCTTCCAAGGGCGTCTTTCCTTGTCTTGTACATAGCCTTCCCTTTGTGTCTTCACATGATCTCTTCTCTTTAATGTGTGTGTTCAAATCTCCTCTTCTAGTAAGGTCACCAAGATTAGGGTCACCTTAATGATCTCCTTTAACATTAATTACCACTTTAAAGAATCTATCTTCAAATATAATCATACTCTGAGGTACTGGTAATTAGGACTTCAACATATAAATTTAGGGGTGGGATATTTCATCCAATAATAGCCGTGTAAATGTCTTATCCATTATTTCTTCAAATGTCCTTTCTGCCTCATTCTATCTTTTCTCCTTCTGAGAACCCAATTAGATGCATGAGATACAATTTCAAGTCCAATGTATCTCTTATGCTCCTTTCCCCAATTCTTTTTCTTCCCTATCTAATCTGGGTATTTTCTACTATCCTATCTTCCAGTTTGCTAATCTTTCCTTCTGTGTCTAGTCTACCATCGAATATCCTTATTCAATTTTTAATTTTACTGTATTTTTAAATTCAGAATTTCCACTTTATTTGTTTTTTACAGATAATTGTCTAGTGAGTTTCTCCACACAGTAATATTTTTTGAACATTTTAAAAGTAATAGATATTTTAGTCAATGACTGATGATTTAAGTTTGTTACCTGCATCATTTTTTAATCTCTTTCTATTGTCTGTTTTTTTCTCTTTTATTTTTAGTGAATCTGTCCTGTCTCTTGACATACCTGTTTTTGTTTTGTTTTGCATTTTTGTTGTTGTTGTTGGTTTTGGTGTGTTTAAACATTGTTTATCAAAATCGGTAGAATTTTGTAAATGATATGATCTTCCTTGAGGGACAGTTTACTTTTTTTCTGGCAGATATATAGATATAGATATAAATATAGATATAGATATATATCCAATTAGGAATTGAGATAATATCTAAAGTGAAAATCTGTGGTGTTTATGGAATGTTTATCAATACCTCCTTCTTGAAGGTTGCTGTGTTCCAATTACTGTATTTGCAGCAAGATCAAAAAGCCAAAAGTTCTGCCTAGTTTATTCATATTTTAGATATTGTTTTCTGCTTGGCATTTCAACCTCTTGCCCCAAATAGTTTCGGAAGTGACAAATACATCAAAGAGATTATTTGGATAGAAGGTAGAAGTCACTTTCCAATGGTCCTCTTTTCTCTAGTATCTTGGCCACTTAAATCCTGGTTGCCTTTGGGTTTACTTAATACTGTTTATTGGATTTTTGGTAATCTAAAAATTATTTCTTACAACAGAGACAAAAATTCCAATAGGACTTTAAAGTGGAAAAGGAGTCGGTTGAAGAATAATGTCAGTATAAGATATTCGTATAAGATATTATTTAAATTACCATTAAATTAAATAAGCATAGTAGCATTACTGGCTGGGCACACTGTCTCACACCTGTAATCCCAGCACTTTGGGATGCTGAGGTGGGTGGATCAGTCGAGGCCAGGAGTTGGGTGGCGAAACTCCATCTCTGCTAAAAATATAAAAATTAGCTGGGCGTGGTGGCACATGCCTGTAATCCTAGCTACTTGGGATGCTGAGGCACGAGAATTGCTTAAACCTGGGAGGTGGAGGTTGCAATGGGCTGAGATCACACCACTGCACTCCAGCCTGGGCGACAGAGCGAGACTCTCTTTCTAAATATATAAATACATAAATAATTAGCACTACTTAATAGAGAAACCATAAGTTATCTGAAACATATTGTCGGCAGAGGGGGAAAAAGAAGAAAGCAGAAATTCATTTTAGAATGAGAAACATATTAGGTGTGAAAAAACTATATACCACTGTCATATACAAAAATATAATATGTGTAGGTCTATTTGTGAAAGGCTTTTACTCTTTAGGTTATATAGTTCTTGAATTTTTAAAGCTGTTCAGACACTGTACCACAACCTCATATCACAGTGGTACCCAGAAAATCCAAATAGTAGTACTTGTGTAAATAGATTTCTATTTCAGCCTCTTTAAAGGCAGTTATGTAGATACTCTTAATTTTGAATTTTTGGAAATAGGGAGGATCATTATTTCCTAAAATTATAGCACTTATAAGTGGTAGATAGGGAATTCTCTCGTAGGTCTCAGACTCCAGAGCACAAACGACCAACCTTTATGAAATATGAACTTCCTGGCTTCACTTCCATCTGGGAGGAGAAATGTATTCCCCCTTATGCTAATCCATTCCATTCAGGACAATGCTCATGGGTAGAATCCTATTTATTATAGTATGTTAAACTCTACTTCTCTGTAACTCTTACTTATTAATCCTGCCTATGATGAATGTGCTGTAAAATGGCAAAGTCAAAGCAAATTTACTACATCCTTAAACTTTAAGCTTATTATGTTTCTGGCATTTGGGGCTATACAGTTCCCAGGTTCTGCATATGTTTGACACGGCTTCATAGATAAAAATGGCTTACATCCCGAATATGATGCTAAAAACTGTTTTCCAAAATTGGATATAAAATGTGTGAGTAGGTGTATACATGATTATTGATACGACCTTATTTTTGAAAATACCATTTAACTACATAAATTATATATAGTTTTACTTATGTATTTTTAAATTATAAACTATTTTTATTTGAAATAATTTCAAACTTAGAAGACTTAAGAATAGTACAAAGAGCTTTTTTGCATAAACTATTTGAGGATAAGTTGCTCACATGAATTTGCATCATCCCAAATTCGCATGTACATACATTCTCACATATGTGTAAACTCGTATGTATGCAATATTCTTTCTAATGTCTGCGACTTGGGGAAGTTTATTTTGGTAGAGTCAAAAACAAAGACTAATAAAAAGATAAGCTAGAAGAAACTGTTGTTTTATGGTGAATTTTTCTTAATTTTAAAAGATAAGCCTATTTGTGAAGGAAAGTATATTATGTATTTTTCTATTGATTTTGTTGTTCAATTTGTAAAATATATTTGCTAATTATCCCAGATTTGGGAAGAAAACAGTTTAATTAGCACTTCTGAAATGTGTATTAAGGAAGTGACAGATTCACTGAGACTTTTTTTTTTTTTTTGAGATGGAGTCTCATTCTGTCACCTAGGCTGGAGTGCAGTGGCACGATCTCGGCTCACTGCAACCTCTGCCTCCTGGGTTCATGCAGTTCTCCTGCCTCAGCCTCCTCAGTAGCTGGGACTACAGGTGCTCACCACCACACCCAGCTAATTTTTTGTATTTTTAGTAGAGACTGGGTTTCACCATGTTGGCCAGGCTAGTCTTGAACTCCTGACCTCAGGTGATCCACTGCTTTGGCCTCCCAAAGTGCTGGGATTAGAGGCATGAGCCACTGTGCCCGGCCCACTTTTTAATGTTTTAAAGCGTTAGTACCAAGAAGTTCAAAGTGACTAGAGCCTGATTCTACCCTACTCCTTTCTCCTCCCCAAATAAACTCATCTTCAAGAAACACTTTTTTTAATTTTTTTTTTTATTTTTTTGAGTTGGAGTCTCACTGTTGCCCAGGCTAGAGTGCAGTGGTGTGATCTGCAACCTCCGACTCCCTGGATCAAGCGATTCTCCTGCCTCAGCCTCCCAAGTAGCTAGGATTACAGACATGTGCCACCACGCCCAGGTAATTTTTTGTATTTTTAGTAGACATGCGGTTTCACCATGTTGGCCAGGATGGTCTCCATCTCCTGACCTCGTGATCTGCCCTCCTCAGCCTCCCAAAGTGCTGGGATTACAGGCGTGAGCCACCGCGCCTGGCCGAGAAACACTTTCTATAGAAACATTTATCTGATTATATCAACGACAACACTTTCTTTCACTGGTGCATGACGTTGATTGCCTGTGTGTGTCCTTCAGCATTTATCTCATAAAGTAATTTTATGGTGAATTACAGTTGAGTGTGTTTGTTTACAATCTGGAATGAAATCATTAAAGTCAATGTCAAAGATCAGCCAGTATTTCATAGGACTTATGTATTCAGAAATCCATAACTGTGTTTCGAAAGCAGGGCACTGCCTGATGACCAATCAATGGGTTTTGCCAGCTAGAAAAAAGGAGATTTTTACTCTAATTTACATGGGCTGCTTCATGGTGGACTACACTGGTTAAGAACTTCAGCTCTACATTTCCTACCTCAGTCATTCACTGACTTTTTAAACTTGGACCTGTCACTCAGTTTCAGAATTACTTTTGTATATGAGTATGATATTACTACCTAATTTATAGCGTTTTTGTTAGAAAAAGGTGAATCTTGAATAGTTTTTGGTGTTGTTGTAGAAGCCATCTCAAGGTTCAAATAATGAGATAATCTGTTAGAATCCTAAATGACCTCCTCTGTGATGTTTTGCTCTATGGTTTGGAAAACCTTTAGAGATGAGTGTGGCCTGGCGCTTCTCTTCCCATTTTCAATTTTAGACACTCTAAGACAGAGAAGAGAAAATTATATTAGTACAGAATTTGCTTAAATGTCTTAGTTCCTCACATAGTCCATGACTGATTACTTTAATCCTTGTGTACTAAGAAAACACAAATAGAAGAATCGACATTTATCTGTATTTTAAAGTTATGAGCAACTTTTTCTTGGCTAACGATTGATCTGTAATGTCAACGTGGCTTGCATTATATGAAGTTTTACTGGCTGTTTTGAAATGGAAGGTGAGGGTGCCTCTTCACTTTCAAATGTCTGAAGGAAGATTACTGTATTCGCACAAAAATATTTGTACTTAGCTGAAATGGCACAGAATATTATAGTTCTCAAGTGTTTAATTCCTTCTCATAGAAATTGCAAGGGAACTTAGGATGCATTTGGCAGGCGCTTTCTCTAGTGCAATCAGGTTGCTATGGCAAACCTATTATTTTAGGCGAAGAAGGACTATGTTAGTAAAGTGCTAATCTATTTTCTGTTTTATGTGAGCCTCTAATTACTCCCCAACTATTGAGCACATACTGCAAGTGTGGTTTTTATCATTTTAAAAAGTGAAAAAAAAAATAAGGTCATGGAGAGTGTGCCTACTGTTACCACACCAGCAGGTGCATTTGATGATACAGTGCTCTCCTGAAATCATCTCATTCTGGGTCGGGAATACACTTTTTTTTTTTTTCATAGAAAAGTACAATGAAAAAGGAAGTGAACAAATTGTATGTGAGTAATTGAACTCCAAGCCTCCCAGCTGTGTTTTACTTATTAAAATATGATAATAATATCTAATATTTGTTGAACACATACTATGTGCCAAGCCCTGTACTGTGTAGTTTGTACACATTATAACATTCAGCCCTTACAATCATCCTGTGCTATGGGTATTATTTTTACTCCCATTATGCAGCCACAATAAATGAGGTTTAACTTATTCTTCCAAGGAATCACATTTAGTTGTGTATGCACCAAGATTAAAATCCAGACCTATTAAAAGTTAGAGCCCACATTTTTAATTGTACCTGTGCCACAAAGTGTATTTCCCTTTTAGACACTTAAACAAACACATTAAGACTCAACCCCACATTATCTTTGCCAGAACCTTTCTCTAACCCTGCAGGCCCTGTGTGCACGTGCATTTTACCTTAATTTCCCCTGCTAGTAAAAGTGTTAAAACATCCTTCTTTCTTTTGTATCTCAATATCTAGCATGATACTTACCCCACAGTTGATAGTCAAAATGTGTCTGGGGAATGATCAAAGTAATGCAGACATTTAAGATTGTGAGCCCTGCTAAACCTATTCTTCAGCAAGAACATGTGTGTTCTCTATGTGGGGTAGTTAGAAGGAAGTTAGTATTCTTCAGCGGAACACTTTAAATGTGACCATATAGGGAAGAAACGTATGTGTATGTGTGTGCGTGTGCCTGTGTGCATATGTGTGTGCGTGTTGCATATTCAGTCATGGTTTCTGAAGGTGATTACAATTTTTAACACTAGCAGTTCAAGTCCAGGCATCTACCCTGTGGCTTCTGAGTTTACAGATTTTCACCCTTTCACAAATGTGCAAAAATGTTACTGGTGGTCATGCAGAAGAGATGTACTTGGTCCTGAATAAATAATGACTTTCCTGAATTAGTTATCTGAGGACTCTCTTGATTGTCAATCCATGAGGTTAGTGGGCGACTGTGTCTGTCTTGTTCGTCTTCTTGTCTCCCCATCCAAGATCTAGAAACTTAGTCCCTGCTGGTTTGAAACCTGTGTCATGTGGAAGTGAGACCTTAAAGCGAGAAAATCAAAGAAAGTGAGGGAAGGAGATGTCAAAGTCTAAGGCTTGAGATATTGGTTGTGGTTGAGATTATGAAAAAAGAGGAATCCAAGAAGAAAAGAAAAACCTGGAAGAAAGAGGGAAGGAGTGAAGGTGGTGTGTGTCTGTGTGTGTGTGGGTGTGCGCATGTGCGCATGTGTGTATATGTGTGTGTGTGTTGGGAGAGAATAGTCAGAGGGGAAAGGGAGGGAGTAGAGGATCAAGAAGAGGCAGAGAAGGAGAGAAAAGAAGAAGAGGAATATAGCTTGAAAAACAAATGTCAAACTTCACAATTTCACAATCTTTACCTTATACCAGTTTTAGAAAATTAACCTCTACCAGAAGTTGACAACTTTCCATAAGGCAGTGCTTCCAGATATGAGTCATCCATGAATGTTTAACTATTAAAAAATAAGACAGACAATAGTTAAATAAAAGATTGTGGAACAAGAGATGACCTTTCCATTTCTTCTCTTACCCTCTGATTATTTCTACTGTAACTACACTCCAGCAATTAATCAGGATGTGAACCAATGAAACTACTAAAGTTTTAATCTATTTGTAATAATGCAAATGAGGCAATCTGTATTTTATAAAGGTCACAAGCTACTCTTTTTCATTTTGTCTTATACTTTAGATATACTGACTTACCCTATAAGTAAAAGAAAAGTTCGACTTTGTCTTTCTAGTATTAAAATAATAGTATTTTGTTTATATAAATCTTGCAGTATCTTATGGATAACATTCCAAAAAAACTGTGAATGAGAGTTTCTTCCAGGCTATATCAAGTAAAATTTAGTAACAAAGATTTCAGAAATGTCAAGTATTTCAATGAACACGGTAACTTTCCTAAAAGTGTAATTATTTCAAGTTTGCAGTTAATTTCCATCATATTTACTAAAAGACAAAAGTAATTTCATGTTCACAATGATCAATATATATTACTTCTATTGTGAATAACCCATTTTTGCCCTCAGTTCATTTTTCTTTTGCTCATTTATTATTAGTTATTTTTATTTTAACTTATACACATAGTAATGTTTTCTTAGTGTCTATATTGTTTGTACAAATATTTTGTCCTTGTTTATTGTTTATATTTTAGTCTTAGGTTATTCATTGCTCTATAGAAATTGAATATTGAATATTTTATGGTCAAATTTATTAATATTGTCCTTTATATTTCTGATTTGGTGTCATATTTAGAATAGTTTTCTCACCCAAGTGTTATGAAAACTCTCACCTATATTCTTGTCTAGTTTTATGACTTAAACTTTTACATTTGAATGTTGAAACCCCTGGAAACGTATTTAGTTGTAAGGAGTGAAGTAAAGGAAATGAATATTTTTGAAACATGGCTCACCAATTTTATCAAACATATTTTTTGAATAATCCATTATGCCCAGAAAAGTATATAACATAAATTTATAGCATTATGAATCATATAAAGTAATCACATGCCCAGATTCAGAAATAGAAGAATGCCAGAATCCTAAAAGCTCCATTCTCACTTCTCTGAAATCAGCATACCCTCTCCCTAAAAAGATAACCTTTATTCTCATGTTCATGTAATCACCTCTATACCTGTCTTTAAAGTTTTCCGCCTAGATATATATTCCCAAACAGTGTGATAGTTAGACGTGACTTTTTTGGAATTAATCCAACAGCATGCATTGTTTTATGACTGAGTTCTCGCACTCTACATTATGTTCTTGAGACTCAGGCATTACGTTGAATGTATTTGCGATTCTTTCTTTTAATTGCTATAGTGTTTCATTTAAGAATATAGCTGATATGTAAGTATTCCGTAATTGATGAACATTTGGGGCATTTCTCCTTTGAAGTTGCTAAGAATAATGTTGCTATGATTATTCTGGAACATTTCCTGGTTCACATGTGTATGCTTTTTTCTCTAGGGAACTTACCCAAGAATTAAATTGCTGATTCTTAGATTATGCATGCCAACTTCACTAGATAATGCCAAACGGTCCCCAGAATATTCTACCAATTTATATTCTCACCCTCTGCAAAAGACTTATCTGTATTTCCAAACCATTGCCAATGCTTATTAGGGTCAGTTTTTAAATCTTTGCTAATCTGATTGGGTTGGGGCAGAATCTTTTTGTGGTTTTAGTCTGCATTTCCCATGTGAATAAGAGGAGGAGTATCTTTTCATATATTTACTGGCCATACAATCCCATTTGCTGAAGTGCCCATTCAGATCTCCTGCCCATGTCTTTAATGGATTGTATGTATTTGTTGTTGTTGTTGTTAGAGTTCTTTAAATAGTTTGGATATGAGACAGTTGTCAGATATGTGTGTCACTGATATCATCTCTCATTCTGTGGCTCACCTTTTCACTCTCTTATTTTCTAATGTACTAGAGCTCCTAATTATAATTCAAATGGTTAATATTTTCTTTTTTAGTTACTTACTCCAGCACCATTTATGTGAAAAGTCATCTTTCCTTTGTTGCTTTTCAGTGTCACCTTGTCCTAATCCAGTATTTGTATATGCAAGGAATTGTTTTTGGATTCTCTATTCTATTCTACTTGGTCTCCACTTCCACCAAAATCCAACTTTTATGATTACTGTGCCTTTAAAATAAGCCCTGATATCTATTTCAAAAGGTATTTCTACCTCCTTCTTGTTCATAAGTATTTTCGTTATTGGTGCTTTCCATTTCTGTATAAATGTCATAATTGGCTTTTAAGCTTTAAAAAATCCTGATAAGATTTTGGTTGTAGTTACATCGAATCTATAGATCAATTAGGGGATATTTGGTATTTTAACAATATTGAATAATAAGCATACAGTATTTCTTCACATTTAAATCTCAAAGCTTTCATTTGTCTATGCTGCATATACATATGTGATTTATTTTTGTATATATGTTTGCTATAGGGCAACTAATATACTCTCTTAATAATCCATATTATTTGTTAGTAGTTTTTGCATTGTCTACATGCACAGTTTTCGGTTAAGTAATTTTTGTTTCCTTCTTTCAATTCTTTATGTCATCTTTTTATCCTTACCATATTCTACCGACAAAGACATCTAGTGCAATGTTGGATAGAACTAAAAGATAAATTTATCTTTCTCTTATTCCTAATCCAAATAGAAGGTTTTAAAATGTTTACCATTAGCACCAACCAATTATTATTATTAAGTGCATGCATATCCTTTAACATTTTTTCTCTCTTCCTCTTTCTTCCTTTTTCACTAGTAAAACACTTTATTTACTATAGTTAGAGGACATTTTATTTGGTTGAATAATATAAAATTGATGACGTCTGACTATTTTTGACTTATAAAAAGAGTCATTTTACATTGTTCAGCTTACCTGTTATGACATTTCTCCACTTATTTTCCATAGATACACACAGACTCTGTTTTTAAAGTATTTCTGAATATTACCATACTTGTTATTTCAGACAAATTTGAGAATCATTTCATCAACTTGAAAACATTCAGTGAGTTTGATTGGTACAATATTGATTTATTAATTCAGGAAAAATCAGACACTTCTTAATAAGAAAGTATGTCCTTTTAAAAATTATAAGTCTTCTCCTATGGCCTTCACTATGACTTTATATGCAAAGTTGTATAAGTTCATTTATTTTACGTTGCTGATATTTTTGTACATGAAACAATTTTCCATTATATTAGGTTGGGTTAGTGTTGGCACATAAAAATTTTTTCATTTCTGTATGTTAATTTTGTCACAAGATACCTTGCCAAAATGTTTTATTCCTTTAAATGCATTTGTAATTTTTAAAATCTTGGGCATAAAGACAGACCATCTGCTAATAATGATCTTGGCTCTTTATTATATTGTTTGTCTAATTTTTATTAAATTGCACTTAAACTATAACAATGGTTGTTATAAACATCTCCCATCTCTAACTTAGATCACTCCCTGTTAACCATAATGTTGGATTTCTTTTGAAAAGATTATTATATATACCTGTTGGCATTAGTATTTAAGCAATTTTCTAGAATAGTGTCTTCTCAGGGGATGACTCTAGGCCAGTGATATATTTGAGAGTGTTCATCATGTAAGACAGTTGTTTAATCCATGGGATAGCAGGAAATTTTGGAAAATATAGAGGAAAGAAGGTTCAGGGCTGAGCCATGGGGCAATCCAAGATTTAGATATTTGTATAAAGATGAGAATCCAGTAATATAGCCTAAGAAGAATTCGTAATCCAATAATAGCTAATAGAAGAAAGTATTTCCCAAAAGGGCAGGGTCAACTCTCAAAAGCTTCTGAGAGGTTATATAAGATGGTACAGAGAATTGGCCACTGGGTTGGGGTCATTGGAGACATTGCTGAAGAAGTACTTGTCACATAGCAGTATCTTGAGGTAATTGGATTGGGTTGAGATGAGACTGGAGTTAAGAGAACAGCAGCAAACTTCTTTTTGGGAAGTTTACTTTAAATTGTACTTTGCTGCTATGCTTTTGCAACACAAGGTGTTTTCTATCTTTTACTCATCTATGTTTTGCCCGGTTCCTATGTTACTCCTCCCGGCAACCACCACCACCACTGCTTTCCCCTATTAGAATGAAGCAGTTCTAACTAAGCCTCCTTTTCCTCCTCCTTATTCTCCTGCTTCTCCTTTTAGCTGCCTTTGAGGTTTAGTCTCTCATATATGGCAACCATATAAAGAGAAAAAAATAATGTGATGTATTTTTCATGGATTATGCTGAGATAATTTTTGAAGGCAGTTCACTGTTAGTGGGAGAAGGTGCTGTGGTCTATAGGTGAGGTCTGGAAGGACTTCAGACAAATATTCAAGTGCTGACTAATTTATAAACCCAGAGCAGAGGTTTTACTTCCAGAATTATTTTTACATATAATATATTCAATCTAATAGCATTAAAATGCTATCCAAGAATACACATAGCATTCTAAAATTTTAAGCTTCCGTTTTAATGAATACTTTAAAGATTTTGAGCTAGTCATATAGAAGATTGGGTTTAAGGTTAGAATGAGATAATGTGGATTATGTTGAGATAATTTTTGGAGGCAGTTCATTACTAGTGGGCGAGGGTGCTGTGGTCTGTAGGTGAAGTCTGGAAGGGCTTCAGACGAATATTCAAGTGGCAACTATTTTATAAACCCAGAGCAGAGTTTTATTTCCAGAATTAGTTTTACATATAAAATATTCAATACACAAAATGCTATTCAAAAATGCATATAACATTCTAAAATTTTAAGCTTCCTTTTTAATGAATACTTTAAATATTTTGAGATAGTTATATAGAAAATTGGGCTTAAGGTTAGAATGAGATAATGTTCTAGTAAATTTTAGCTGTCTATATATTCTATTAAACAATTATTACATATATTGTGACCTTTTAGTTTTATACTAGTAGCATTTTTTTATTATGAAGTTAGTAATGCTGGTCAAAATGTTTAGGGTTTAATTTTGGTGATATAATCATTCCTCCACATTTTTTGGTAGTCAATATGCAGTAAAATGAGGTAAATGCTATAGAATAGCAGACTTTAGAGACATATATATCTTTTATTTAACAGTGTACTCCCATATCTAATCGTGTATTTCATACGAAACAGATTCTTAAATATTTGTTGAATTTTATATAAAATATTTTGGAGTAAGTGAATCAAGGTTTTCACATTTTCATGTAGTTCTTATGAGAAAAAAATGTACTCTAAGGTGAAAATAGACACTTTATCTGAATCTTATATCTTAATGATTGTGGGAAAATATAAATTTAAAGAGATTTAAATTAAGAGTTTTTATTAAAATGATTACCTGCACATAGTTGGGCTTTTTGCTTATATCTTGACTTATAATTTGTCTATATTTTACACAAGTTCAGAGTCTGAACTTGTTTGAATTTTTAAGTAAAATCTATTTTGATCGGAACTTCTAAAAATCTGCCTTAGTTCATTATTCTTCTTTGATAGCTTATAATGAGCTTTAAAATATAATTCATAAAAAATGCAGTTCTTTATGAAATGATATCATTGGAATGATTTTATATGTGCCTAAAGATTATCTACTTTATTAAAACTTAATAAGAGTAGGCAGACTCAATGTAGAGTAAATTTCAGATAAGTTTTGGTTGGATGATATTGATGATGTTGGCTGAATTAATTTCTTCTCACACAGTTATTTCTATGCTCCTTTCTGTCTGTTTCTGAATTGTCTTCTTGCAAATTACTTGCTTTATTTTTATTTCTTTGGGTATCTCTTTTTTTAGATTTTCTTTTAAATATGTCGTATAAAGTAGCACAGTGCTAGAAAGGCAGATTTCCATTTTCCTTCTTTCTCATGTATGAGAATATTAATTTGGTATTGATTTCAGAAGCCACAGTTGTATCTCCATAACAGTAAAACAATCACTGAAATAATAATAATAATATTATTTAGTAAACAAAAGAAAAAGATTGGACTCAATTTCTTATCTGAAATCAAGTCAATAAACCTGTATGTCAGCATCCTTCTACTACATTAAGGGAGAACTTAGTTGGCTGCTACCAAGATACAAATCTCACCGTTAGTCTGGACCGTAGTGATTTTATCATTTAACAATTGGGTTGAGGCACTTGCTTATCTAGTTTAAACTTTGCATTCAGTATTCTACTAGGTATAGACAAAGGGCTGTGGGATCAGAAAGGTGACAATTCTTCCAGGTAACCAACCTGGGATGGCAAGGAAGGTTTCAGAGGAGATTAGATTTGGGCTGGCTATAGAACACCGAGTAGGACTTTACAGAGAAAATGGTGGTGTGCACCACGGAGGGAAGAAATAGGGAACATAAAGTCTCTGAACATGAGTGCTCTATAATTGCTGGATATATACTTGAAAAGTTTAAGTTGGACCATGTGTGGAAAACTCTGTTGAAGAATCTAGTCTTTGCTTTGAAGGTTACATGGGGCCATCAGAGGGATTTGTGCAAAGGAATTACACAATCATATGTATGTTTTTAAAAAGCAGATTATGTGGATTTTCACAGAAGACCCAAGAAGAAGAGTAGGTTTGTGAATACAGATGATGAATTTGTCGTGGGACATATTTAATTGATCTGACCATGGAAAACACAAATGAAGGTATTCAGGCAATTGGAAATGAATATCTATTCTGGGAGAGATATACCATTTCAAATTCAAGTTCTACCATTAATGCTCATGTATTGTGTGAATATTTCTATAGTATTTATATATGATTACTGTTTAATGCACGTGTTCAATAAATATTGATTCAAAACATTATGATTGCCGGGCATAGTGGCTCACACCTGTGATCCCAGCACTTTGGGAGGCCAAGGCGGGTGGATTGCTTGAGGCCAGGAGTTCAAAACCAGCCTGGCCGACAGGTGTAATCCTGTCTCTACTAAAAATAGAAAAAAAAAAAATCATCTGGGTGTGGTGGCGCATGCTTGCAATCCGAGCTACTCTGGAGGCTGAGGCAAGAGAATTGCTTGAACCCAGGAGACAGAGGTTGCAGTGACCCAAGATTGCAACACTGCACTGCCAGCACTCAAGCCTGGGGACAGAGCAAGACTCTGCCTAAAAAAAAAAAAAAAAAAAAAATTATGAGGACACATAAGAAGCATAGTTAATTTTATTGTATTTGTGAAATTGTGTGAGTAGGAGGATGCCAATGTCACAGATTTGGTGAAGTTTTCCTTGGACCTTGAAGAATGATTGGAAATTTACCTGATAGGTATATGATAATGACTGAAACAAAATTGGTAGTGATTTGTGGTAGTGGCTAAATAGAAGTTGTGAACTGAGGCAGCAAAATAATAAACTTACAAAAATTAGCCAGGCACGTGCCTGTAGTCCCAACTGCTCAGGAGGCTGAGGCAGGAGAATTGCTTGAACCCAGGAGGCGGAGGTTGCAGTGAGCCGAGATCATGCCACTGCACTCCAACCTGAGTGACAGAGCAAGACTCTGTCTCTAAAAAAAAACCCAAAAAAATATGGAATGCATGAAGAATTTACTCTTTTTTACCTCTCTGTCTGCAATAAATTAGCCTTTCCTAATGCATTATATTTTAATTGTTAACTTTTTAAAAAATGTTGTGGATATATAGTAGGTGTATATGTTTGTGGGAGACATGAGATGTTTTGATATAGGACACAATGTGAAATAAGCACACCATGGAAAATGGGTTATTCATCCTCTCAAGAATTTATCCTTTTGAGTTACAAATAATTCAGTTACACTTTTTCACTTATTTTAAAATATACAATTAAGTTATTATTGACTGTAGTCATCCTATTGTGCTACCAAACAGTACGTCTTATTCTATTTTTGGTGCCCATCCTAATACGTTATTTTTGATTTTTATCAGAAGCCACTGTATCTTATAAACTGTATTAGGGTTACATGCAAAAGGTTAATTCATCTCATAGTTGCCTTAGTATTAGTCATTTTAAAACTCCAATAGATACATGGTGAAAAAAGAATTGGAAATTGGTTACTATATTCTCTGATATTTTAAAAAGATATGTGAATTGTTATTTATCAGGAAAGAAAATGTGCCGACGCCAGAATATTAACACTTTATTGTCTAACTTTACACAAAAATATGGGACAGAAATTATCCACAATGAAAACAACGGAATGTTGAAATCTGAACACATATGCCAGTGTTTAGTTCATCTTTTCTGAAGAGGCACAGAAGCCAATGAGGCACATTCAGGAAAATTACTTAAAATGTGAATTACTTAAAATTACTTAAAATGTGAATAAATTTGTCACCATGAATACATATACCCTGAAACGTAGAAACTGGTTCTATGTAACTGGAATGCATTGCCCCTCAGGAATAATGCAACTGATGATCATGGCTTCCCACATCTGTGTGTGAAGGAACAGTTCACCATATCCAGACCACACTGCTGATGGTACTACAGTTTGCCTCTTTCTCCCCACAGCCTGCATTATTGGAATCATTTGCACATCCACCCATGAAAAAGATTAGAGCATTTATGCACATTGAAAGGTGACTGGAGTTCAGAAAATCTAGGTTCTAAAACCAACACTACTAATAGATAGAGAGCTGGCCTTGGGCAAATCATTTAGCCCCAGCATGCTTGAGTTTCCTCATCTATTAAATAAATTGAAGGAAGTCATGGATCCTTCTGACATTTTACCAAAAAAAATGTGTATTGGTATATTTTTCCAGGGATAGATCTGTGTTCTGCCAATTATGGTTCTTGATTACAAACAACAAAACCAACTTCATTAAAAGGGATAAAAAATATTTTATTAGAAGGCTTTAGGCTCAGAATGCAACTTTGAACAATTAGCTCCTGCAGCAACCTGGGGAAGCAAGGCACTGCCAAGAACCAGTTCCTGCTGCCATCACTTCTGAATGTCAGCCACTGCAGGCTGAGCTTCAAGGCTCCCAGAATTGCTATGCTGTTGCATTTGCCACACTGCCCACAGACGTTGTGCCTTTGCTTTCACCCTCAAGAATAAAAGCCCTGACCAAGGGTGTCTGATGTGTGCCTGTTCTAGCTGCCAGGGTATAGGAAGAGGGAATATCGTTGAAGGAGGGACCCCTGCCTCCTGCTGAACCTGGGACTACCTCCAAGTAGAGATTAGTTGAAGGTCAGCCAGCACAACACTGTATTGCCATGTCTTTCACCAGATTCTCAAAGGGATCGTGACCCCATCATGTCAGCTAGAAAATATTATGAATCATTGCATTAGATTATCTTTAATTACAGCTCTGAAATTATATGATCCTAAATACTAATTTTTCTTTCCCCCATCATCCACCAACTCAGAATTTCTTTAACAAGATACAAGTTCAGCAACAGAGTGACTAACAACATTGCAAGGTCAGCCCTGAAGCATCTTGTGATTATTTCAGTGGGTGTGTAATTATGATGGTTGGGCTAATGACAGGGAGTAACAGATGTCTCGGAGCACTGTCACCCAAGCAAATTTCTGGCAAACCAGTAGTGATTCCTCAAACAAAAGAAATTTACTTTCTCATATAGCCTTCCGGTGCTGCATTAGATGTACATTAAGATACAATGTGGTTTAATGGTTAGTTGTGCAAACTTTGAGGTTAATGAGAATGGATGTAAATTTTGAATCTATTTCTTCCTAGCTGGTTCACCATTGGAAAGTTACTTGGCCTCAATATGTCTCGGCTTCCTGTTTAGTAAAATGATTGTAATGATTCTAGTCAATGTGTGGTGTTGGAAAATGAAATGATGTCATGCAGGGAATGATAGTGTTTGACACATAGTTACCACTCAATAAATCATGATGAAAGTCAGCATAATGGGACTAGTTAAGGGGTTCCCAAACGATGAACCAAATTCATTGCAAAAATATTTATAATTTTAAATTTTAAGACGAGGATAATAAAGATATTTAGGTTATGCTCTTTGACATAGGTTCTATGCTAAAATGAGTTCTATGAACTATAAAATTGACTACAAATAGTCACTAAAATAGCACATTGAAATATTACCTATGACCACTTTTTTTTTCTCATGGAGCAGATAGACCCAAGATTAAAACATTTTAAAATGGCCACATCATACTAAATTATGTCAGTATATATAATGTATTATGTTATGTTCAAGGAATCATCAGGATAAGTTGTATATGAAATAGCCAGAGAGTTTTATAATGGATTTATTCAAAAATGAATGAAACAAAAATTAGAGAATAGCAAATGTGAATGACTTCTGAGACAGCAACTGCCACTTCCACTCCAGACCACCACGGAATTTCTTCTTGAACTTCAGCTTACCTTAGGGAGGTTGGAAATGTGTATTTGTGTAACTATTATCAGGCACAGACTGGAACTATTCTAGGAGATTTGGGTTTAATAGTGTGCTCACCTCCTTGAAAGCCTTAGTGATTCCGGGACTCTCCTCATAAGTGTGCACTTTCTTTATACTTTCCAGGTAAATGTGAATGTGGCAAATGCACCTGCTATCCTCCAGGAGATCGCCGGGTGTATGGCAAGACTTGTGAGTGTGATGATCGCCGCTGTGAAGACCTCGATGGTGTGGTCTGTGGAGGTAGTAACCTTTCTCATAGCTGTATGCTACCTGCATGCAACTTGCTTTACCTGCCTTTGTTATTCTACTGACTCTTGCTTTTTCAATTGCTGTTAAAAATAAGATAAACAGAAAGCAATATACCATTGAACCTAAAAGCAATATACAATTAGGTTTGTAATGACTTTTATTTCCCTGAACTCTTTATTTAGCAGGTATGTGAAAGTACGCAGTACACTATCAATAAAAGATCATTGAATCTAAGTACTAAGATACTTTATGATCGTGAAAGGTTTTGGGGCAAGTCAGCATTTTAACATGATTTTCATTACTTTATTTATAAACACTGGTAGGAGAAAGTATAATATCACCCACAAACTTGAAAAAATGGAGTAAGATTACTCTTAGAAATCACAAGAGGTATACGCTCAGATTCTATGATGCCTCTCATACCCAAACAAGAGCTCACTGGCATTAATAAACTGTCCAGAGAATGAGTGAGGCAGATAGAAGGTAGTGAGCAGAGGTAACCCACAAAAATGAGAGTCCCAGGAGTAGAGTGCTGATCCGAGCACCTCCATGGCTGGGAATGTGGGTCAACATTATTCTTGCATTGCATTCTTGAAAAAGTTCATATCGCTGAGGCTGATGCATGTGAATTACAGATCTTTCCACGTTTCCAGTATAAATGAAGTGATGTGGACATGGAATTACATTACAAGAAAATAATTATATCCCTTTATTGGGGGAAAGAAACAGAATGTGTGTCTTTTCTAACTTTTATTTTAAGTTCAGGGATGCATAGGTAGGCTTGTTACATATGTCTTATTGGAGGGTGGAGGGTGGGTTGAGGGAGAGGATCAGGAAAAATAACTAATGGGTAGTAGAGTGTGTGTCTTAATGGAAGGCTGAGGCACCATCCATCCATCCTATCTGTCTGTCTGTCTATCTATCTATCTATCTATCTATCTATCTATCTATCTATCATCTATTATCTGTGTATCTATTATCTATCTATATCAATCATCCATATGCCTGTTCTCTCTCTAACCAACGATAAGACATTTGAAACCTGACAAAAAAATACTTTCTTCTTTCCTTTCTCTGTGAGTTGAGGGGAAAAGCCCTTTTAACCTGTTAATGACTGAGGTTAGACTTTTTTGAATTTTTGCAGTCAGACCTTGGTGATGACCTGGAGCAGTAGGATATAAAAAACTCCCACATGCTTAGCGTCCCAATAATGGAACACCAGGCATAAATTCGTAAAACATCTGCTGTGCTGGGCAGTTTATCTTATGCCATTGTCATGGCAGCCACCCTAAGAGATTGTTTCTACTATTTTTTCTTTCATAAATGGAAAATAGAGTGAGGTTGGAGAAGTTAACATCCCATAACTAAAATGTGGCAGACCCAGAATTTCAGCTCTGATATTTAGTTCACAGATCGTTCCTTATGTCAGTCACAGTTTTCCCTAGAGTGACACCAACGTGTTTTAACAATATGTCAATATTATTCTTAGGTTAAATCCTCTGTTCACTGGTATTAGTTAACCAGAAATACCTATGTAGGTTTTACTCTTTTTGTTTGTTAAGGACATGACATATATTAACTCATTTATTTATCATAGCAATATGTATGTATGTATATATACGTATTCATGTATAAAAAGCTTGCCTGGCCCCTTGAAAGTGCCATCTACATGTCTCTGCTCTTGTTACCATTGTTACTTTTCTTTTCTTTTCTTTTCTTTTTTTTCTTTTTGAGACAGAGTCTCACTCTGTCACCCAGGCTGGAGTGCAGTGGTAGAAGCAGAGCTCACTGAAACCTCAAACTCCTAGGCTCAAGCAATCCTCTGGCCTTAACTTACTGAGTATCTGGGACTACAGGCACATACCACCACAGCTGGCTATTTATTTTTTGTGGAGATTTGGGGGTCTCACTAAGTGGCCCAGATTGATCTTGAACTCCTGGGCTCAAGGGATTCTCCTGCCTTGGCCTCCCAAAGAGCTGGAATTACAGGTGTGAGCCACTGAGCCTGGCCAGAAATGGCTTTTGTATGTTTTTTCTGTCTATTTGTTGCTTTGGAGTAATCTCAGTCTCTTCCACTTTCATATTTAGGTCAATGTCTCTTGAAATGATTGATCAGCAATCAGTCATCCTTGGCTTTAGATTCTTTTCAATTTCTAATAAAAGATTTTCATATGGGAATTCCTCCAAATTACGCATGGTTTAAACTGAAGTAATTATTTTTTCATTAACTAAACAAATATTCATTGAGTGTCTACTATTTGCCAGCACTAGACATTCAGTGGTGAACATAGAGCATTTGCTCTCCTGGAGCTTATGGTTGAGCGTGAAGGGAGGACATTGAGAAAGGAATGAAAAGGAGCTGAGTGATCTGAAAAGAGATTTGATTCAATGGGAATATACATAACGGGGATTTAACATAGGCTGAAGGCTAAGAAAGACTTCTCTAATGCCTTCATATCTGGATAACAACTATGTAATGCAGACTATGTGCTTTACAGGTATTAACTACACCTCACAACAATACTTGGTAGTAATAGGATACATGGAACTTGGCCAAGTAGGGGAAGTGGGGTACAGTCAGAGAGCAGCTTGTGCTCAGTTGTGTGGGAGAAAAGAGAGTGTGTGACGTGTGCCAGGAACATTTGAGGACCAGAGAAAAACCCTGTGTGATTGCAGATTAGAAAACCAAAGGGAAAAGAGTGTGACGTGTTTTGTAAACATGTTAATAACTTGAGGCTTTACTCTAAAGGTGACAGGAAACCAAAGGAAGGGCTTAAACAGAGCTTAAACATGATCACAGTGTTTTAAAAAGTACTTCTGGTTGTCAGATGGAGTATGGATTGCTCCAAGGACTATGTGTGTTTGTGGGTTGGTAGGTGAATCTGGATGTTAGGAGATGAGCCCTGGTGAGAGATGAAGGTGCCTTAGCTGGATGGAAGACAGTAAAGGTGGAGGATCTTGAATGTGTTGGAGAACATGTTAGAAGCAGTGGGGTCAAGAGACTAACAAAACCCTTCACCCTGCTGCAAGAGACTCCAGCACTCTGTTAAACTCCTAGCTCTGGTTCCCTGGCAACAGATGAAGATGGTGCATTGCAGTGTTAACAAGCAACATTGCTCATGGTCATAATGATTTATGATTGATAAGTTTCAACTACATTGGAAGAGATGATGAATTGAACTATAAGCAGCTGATGGGAACCTCATGCTTTTGGATTTCATAAGTGTCATAACTCTGCCAACAGTCTTGTCCCTTGTGGGCTCCTTGAAAGCTGTTTACGGAATCATCGGGAAAGATTTTGGCTCCTGTTGGGCGTGCGACTTCTTCTAAGCCAGAAAAGCCTCAACATCTGTGCAGTGTGGATCTCATCTCTGTGCATATGGGCTGTGTTATCCCAAGAGAAAATAGTCCCCAATTATATGAGTTCATCCTCATGAACTCCTGCAAGAACTCCCATGGGTATATCCTGGTGCCTGACAGTGCCTGCTGGTAAGATGTGGCTCCTGTCCCACAGCCTTCAAAGGAGATTGGTGGCAAGTGTCAGCCTGAGAGCTTAGTTGAAACTTAGAGCTCCCTCCCCAGAGTACAAGCATATTTAAGGAAATTCATGATTGCACAATATGAGGGGCAGGGTAGGATCAAGGATGACACCAGGTTTCTGTTTTGAGCAACTGAATGGTGGAGGAGACTATGCTTGTCTTGACCAGTTGTCTCCATTTCTTGAAAAATTGGTTTCTTCACAGAGAGCAACAGAGATGGAGAAACTTGGATATGTTGCTCCCTTTGGAACATATCCCTTGGGTATGTTAGTTCCCTCTCCTAGTCCTTATTGTCACTTCTCCTTGTGAATAACTTATTGTCTTTCCATTCTTCCATGATTTTTCCAAATTACCTCCTATAGGAAGCCTCTCTGAAATGATGTCCTACTTCCTCTATACCGCACCACCTGCATCGTAGTGTGATGAAGTTGTATTGAGAGTGTCCCTGTGTCCCTTTTCTTTAAGTCTACAATTCTCATGGATATAATCAATCTCTCTCTCTCATTATCATATGCTCAAAGCTAGGATAAAGGTTAGTGCTCAATATTTTTATTTGAATAAATGATCAAGTAAAGGATTCACAATTAAGGAGAATGAGAAAGGAAGAACTATTCCAGTTTTGGATACAGGATTCTTCAAGTTGAGGTGAGGATGTGATTTGGACCTTGAACAACTAGTATTTAGATGTGCAGAAATAGGATGTGAAGAATATTTTAGGCCTGGGAAAGCTGGGCAAAAGCACACAGGTGAAAAGTTATTTATTAGATATTGAAGGAAAATATCGATTTCATTTTTTTTTTTTACATCAAGAGCTCTTTCTCAGCTGCTTCTGTACCCATCATTAGAAAGGATTTTTTTCACATATTACTTACTCATGTATTATTTATAATATATATTATGTCACCTTCATTTCTTATACTTGGCTCATCTTTAGATATCAGGTCTTTAAAAATATTGTTAAATTGGTGTTTTTGCTTTCAAAATTAAAAAAATATATAGAGAGAAATGGAAACCACAAAATAAAAATCACCCATTAATTGATCATCCTAGAATAATATCTGATGACACTATGTTGTATTTCTTCCTAGGTTTTGTTTCTGAGGAGTAAAATTATTTTCAAAATATAAATTCATAAATCTTCTTTGGGTATTTTGATATTTTGTCTAGAGAAAGTCCACATTGTATGGTATCCTCAGTTGCTTTAATGTACATGGTGTGCACTTTGTTGCATTTTTTCATGTAAGATTTAAGTGAGAAGAAGTAACCATTTTCTTTGGAATTAAGTGAGGCAGTGCCATATAGCAAGACGAATGGGAACCCTGTATTCAGACAGACCAGGATTTTAATTCTGGGTCTATTTCCTGCTTATTGTAGTAACTTGGACAGGTTGTTTGTCTTCTCTGCTTTGGTTTACCTATGTATTTGTTTGACCTGTCTACCTTGGTTTACTCCTATATACAATAAGGATAATAATCCATTTGGCTTTATGGAAAGAAAGAGACATAAAGACGGAAATGTGCCTGGTACTATGTGCCAGTGAATATTTGATGAATGCCCTGTATCTGTAATAAAAATAAAAGATTGTAGTGGCCATCTGCATTACAGAACAAAATAATACATCTGTCTCAGGTATCTGGAAGCACTAGCTGCAGAGCGTTTTGCAAGGAAGTTGGACTCACACAAATCAGCAGCTCTGTACCTCGGGGAGGAAATTGCAGCTGGTTTTTCCAAAGCAATTAGTCCCCCCCATCATCTCTCCAGTGGAGAACAAATCTTACTAATATGAGAATGTGAAACACACAGACATCATCCCTCTGTTATGGCTTCAGAGAATAACAAAATAAGAGAGTCACTCATTTTGGTAATTTTTTTAGTTCTCCACCAGACACTAAACCATAAGATCTGTGGCCTTTCATATGGAGAATATAAAACCTATATATCCAACATGTGGCCAGAGAGTAAAATATGGTACTTGACTCCAAAATCAGGGACTGTCTTAGCATTTTAGCAAACAAGCAAATAAGTAAGATAAAAAACATGTATAAACTTAACTGATCAGCAGATGCATGAGCACTAAGAGCCAATAGTGTTTATCCCCTTTCCTACCAATAACACTAAAGATGATTAAACCAATTCTGATAGGTTGGATAAATTAGCAATTGTACCTGAAGGTGAATGTAACTAATTTCATAATTTTTACAGTTCAGTTTTGATTACACCAAAATTACAACCTGGAAAAGAGTCATGAAAATGACTAGCAGAAAGAAAATCAGCATGAAGTGAGATCGTTCTTCATTTAATTAACTTGTGAGTCATGTTCAATCATCATAGACTGTCTGTGGATGTTCTCAAAACATCTTTATTAAAAGAAGATGTTATGCAACCTATGCATGCATGGATTTATTATCAGATAAGTCACTATTTATAAAAAGCATGACTTGTCCAGTGATAGTTCGTAAGATTTATTTATTTTATTGGTATATCATTTTAAGATTACACAAGTGAAATATATTCACATACTGGCACATGTGTGTTTAATTGTTTAGCCTAATATAAGTTAAATCAGAGACTTCCCTCCTGTGTGCCATATACCTAGGGTGAGAATAAGAACTAGGCTGCTTATTGCTTTTCTTCTTTCCTCTATACTCCTGGAATAGCTACCCATGAGTCCAATTTAAAAAACAAGAAGGGATAATGAAGAGCCACCTCTTAATTACACAATCAGTTCACATTTCTTCAGGGAGTTCTCTAGTTCATCGCTGCAATTTGAAGGAGATCATGCCGCCTGAGAGTATGAATTCAGTGACTCCCAGGCACTGATGGATTTCTTGTATGAGGAAGAGATCAGATCACACACTCAGACTAACCCTTTCTTAACTGAACAATACAGTCAGAATGTGATTGTCTCCAAATTACATCTTAAAATTGCACACCTGTTTCGTGAATTTGTAAGAGGATCAGTTAGTCCTGTGTTTGGCTGAAGGTGATAGACACAAATACTGAGTCTTCAGGTTGTCATTCCAGGGTTGGATGGTGAGGCGACTGCCTGAGCACCACAGTGTCCCTGAACCCCATCTCTCTCTTCTGCTCTGCCCTTCCAGTATGACGTTTATCATTGTTATGGTTTGGCTGTGTCCCCACGCAAATTTCATCTTGAATTGTAGTTTCTATAATCCCCAAGTGTCGTGGGAGGGACCAAGTGGGAGGTAATTGAATCACGGGGGTGGTTTTCTCCATGTTATTCTCATGATAGTAAGTTCTCACGAGATCTGAAGGTTTTATAAGGGGCTTCCCCCTTCACTCGACTCTCATACTTCTTCTTCCTGCCATCATGTGACGAAGGACATATTTGCTTCCCCTTCCACCATAATTGTAAGTTTCCTGAGGCCTCCCCAGTCATGCAGAACTGTGAGTCAATTAAACCTCTTTCCTTCCAAATTACCGAGTCTTGGGCAGTTCTTTAAACACAGATGTTGTTATCAATGAATGGTCCATGTAGATGATTCTCCAACAGTTCCACCACTCCTGGGTGTTCCTCTTACAGGTCTAAGTGGCAACACAGTCGTGTTGGTGAGACAAAAGATGAATAAAACTACTTCTATGGTCTTATTTTTTAAACTCAAATTTCCAGGAACATTCCACTTAGTAGACCTCCAGTATGGGACACGCTCCTTTGTCATTTCATGAGACAACACAATCTTAGTTTTCTCCTTCCTTACTGAATGTTCTTGTCTGGCTTCTCTAGTTACCTAACTCTAAATATTGGGGTCCCCAAGACTAATTTCTCCCTGGATAGCTGCTTCACTTCTAGGGCTTTAAGTGCCATCCACATTTGTAAGCTCTAACATGTGTATGCCTAGAGCCAGCACTAACATGTTCTCTGAGCAGCAGCTTGTGCCTAGCTGCTTACTTGACCTCACTATCTCATTGTCTTAAGAGTGTCTCAAATACAACAGGCTCAAAACAGAGCTGTTTTTCTGCCCTCAACCTCTTTCTCCTGAAGTGCCCCTACCCAATAAACAGCATCATTATTCACACTATTTCTTCTAGCTAGAAAACTTGTCTTGTCTTTTCCTCACTTGCCACATCCAGTCCAACATTGTGTCCCACATATACAGGCTCCATCACCAAAATAGATTTCCATGTACTTCTCTGTGTTTCCACTGCCACCACTGTCCTTTAAGCTTCTATCACTTTTCACTTGGAAAACAGCAAGAACCCTCTAACTTCCCCATATTCATTCCTCCCAACATACCTTAATCTGTCCCACCTAGTTGCCAAATGAGTTTGCAAAGTGTAAACTATATCGTCACATCATTCACTTCCTTAATATCCTTCTGTCATTTCTCAATCCTCTTAAAATAAATTTAGATTTTTTTTACCAAGAGTAAATCATTTGCTATGTTCTCATTTCTGAGAAGGGAATATTTCTCCACCTTCATTATTCAGTGTTTTTGACTTACTATTCTTCAAACACGTTGGCCTTCTTTTACTGCCTGTAACATGCCAAGCTATTTCTTGTCCCAAGAACTTTTCATTTGTTTTTCTAGGCTCTGTTCCTAGAACATTGGCTGTCTGGCTCCTTCTCATCCCTTGGCTGTCACTGAACCCTTCCCTGACTACCCTAGTTAACAGTGTTCTTGCTATTGAATATACTAGCATTTTCTTTTTGTCTTCTATTACTCAAATGTTGCTTATCGTTATTTTCTTCCCTAGAAGACCGTAATTACCATGAAGACAGGGCCAATGCCTATTTTACTTACTGTTATATTCTAAGCTGTTAATACAATTCCTGATACATAGAAAATATTTCTTGAAGAGATAACTAAATTATTAGAGTTTATTAAAAAGAGGGTATTGAAAGTTGTTTTGTTCTTAAGTAAAGTCATATAAATGACAACTCAAAGCATTTGAATATTAATGTATTTTGATGATTGGCTGAGCTAGATACCAACTTAACTTCGTGGAAGGATATAATAGATTAGCTAATAATAAAAAATCATCGCCAGGCACAGTGGCTCACACCTGTAATCCCAGCACTTTGGGAGGCCGAGGCGGGCAGATCATGAGGTCAGGAGATCAAGACCATCCTGGCCAACACAGTAAAACCCTGTCTCTACTAAAAATACAAAAATTAGCTGGGCGTGGTGGCACATGCCTGTAATCCCAGCTATTCGGGAGGCTGAGGCAGGAGAATGGCTTGAACCCGGGAGTCGGAGGGTGCAGTGAGTCAAAATTGCCACTGCGCTCCAGCCTGGTGACAGAGCAAGACTCCATCTCAAAAAAATAAAATAAAATAATAATAAATAAATAAAAAATCATCTATTTTCTTGCATAACATTTTATATTATTTGCAATGAGATGCCATAAAATTATTCTTAATAATATTGTAAATCAAAGGCAGAATATCAACTTCTAAAAGGGGAAAAATTGTCTCATACTACAACATGGAAGGATCTTTAAGATATGTTAAATAAAATAAGCCAGTCATGAAAAGAAAAACACTGTATGATTTCACTTATATAGGTACCTAGAGTAGTCAGATATATAGACAGAAGCTGGAATGGTGATTTCCAGGAGCTGAGAAGAGAAGGGAATGGGACTTACTGTTTTATGGGTGCTTAGTTTCAATTTGGGAAGATGAAAATATTCTAGAGATGAATGGTGGTGATGGTTGTACGACAATGAGAATATACTTAATGCTACTGAACCATACACTTAAAATGGTTAAGATGGTAAATTTTATGTTATATCTATTTTACCATAATAAAAAATATTGTAGAAAAAAGTAGCCATAGGTCTACTTTAATTATCTGTTTCTTTTTATGTGGGTTTTAATAGATTGTGTCTTCACGGAATTGGTCCAAATGATCCAGGTTATCAGATTCTTGGACAAATCATTGTTTGTAATATTCTATTATTATCCTTTTAATGTCCATAAGGTAAGATATAATCATCTCTCTCTTAATTTTCATATTGAACATTTGTGTCTTCTCTCTTTTTACTTGTTTAGCCTGGCCTAATATTTATCAATTTTATTGATCTTTTCAAATAGCCAACTTTTGTTTTATTGATTTTCTCTGTTGGTTTTCTATTTCCAGTTGTATTGATTTGTCATGGAATTGATTGTATTTCTTTTCTTATGACCAATTTAGTTTTATATTGCTCTTCTTTAGTGTTTTAAAGTGAAAGATTACATCACTGATTTTATATTTTTCATTGCTTCTGATTGCATTCATGCTGTAAATTTCTTTCCAAGTATTACTCTTGCTGTATCCTACACATTTTCATAATATGTATTTTCATTTTCCATATAGTACTAATTAAATTTGAAAAAAAAAGGCAGAAAACAAAAAAAAGACAGAATATTTTTCTATGCAATACAGATTAAATGATTTCAGTTGTGTCAAATTGTGATAATTCTTACCAACCTAGGGTCAGTAAGAAACATGAGCATTTGAGAAGTTCATAGCCCAATTGAGCTGGTACTAGAAGCTCTCTTTCTCTTCATTTTTGGTTTCTTGTACAACAGATTCTCTGCCTTCAAAGATGGACAACTTTTTATTTAACTCTTTAAGGACATCTGGACTTTAAGTGGACTTTGGTTTTCATGGAGAAGTAAAGATGTACTCAATTTAACAATTATTCATTGAGTAGATAGGGGCGTAGGGGTGCCAGTTTTCTAACTTGGCTCTACTCTACAGTTTGATTTGTGGGTAAAAATGAGAAAGATGTTTTGAAAAAGACAATTTCAATCTCCTCCAAGTTTTTGAAGATCCACTGTGTCTCAGGCATTGTGTTAGGCACTCTGAAGACTACAGTGCTGACAGAAGTAATACTCAGAAAATTCATAGTAGAGTAGTGGATTCATTTGACACATAACTATATACCATGAGATGGAAGTCAAAAAAGTTCCACAGGAGGTAAAAAAAAAAAAATAAGGTATTACAGAAATTCAGAGGAGAGACAATGAGTCTCACTTAGGGATATTAGGTAAATCTTCACAGAAGGGTAGTCGCTTTTTGCTGAGCTTTGAAAATTACTCAGAACCTGAATGTGTATAGTAAGGGAAAGGTACTTCTACCTCTGCAAAAACATGAGGTCAGAAAAGCATGACAAATGTGCAGGAAACAATGAATGGGCCAGTTTGGTTAAAGGGAGAAGAGAAGGAATACAATTGGAAATGTAGCTTCTGTTTTTCAAGAAGCTAAAACATAACAAAGGCTAGAGTAGGTAAACTCTATGCCATGAGTATTAGGAAGTTATACGGGACTAAATATCAAGGCAAGTTGTGCTGTAGGAATCTACGAGCCAGAGTATTGGAGAGACATGACAGGAAGTTTTTTCCAACGTTGTGATGGTGATGTAAGTGGGAATGTTGGAGGTGGTTTCAACAAGACTTGACAACAAGCTGGATGAGGGCAGTAAGGGAAATTCAAATGAGACTCAAAACATCATGAACTGGTTGATTGAAAGGATAGCTGTTACATTAAAAGAAATGAGAAAGACAAGCAGCTTTTGGAAAGAAAATCATATATGGATGTAGGAGATCGGTCAGGGTGGTGGGAAAAATTGTAGAAGATGCAAACCTTCTTGGAAGGCTGGAAGATTTTACAAAAGCTTTGGAAAAGGATTTGGCTGAAGGCAGCCAGATTCTCTTATCTGGTGAAACTAATCTAAATAAGTAAGTTAACATAGGCCTTGGAACCTGGGCTTTGATCATCTGAGTGCAGGACTACTCTCTCTGGGGAGGGGAGGGGACGGGAGAGACCATGTAAATTGCCCACAAGTGTGTTGACTCAGAGCCTTTGTGATTAAATCTATACTGAATAAATGCCTGCAGTGCCAGCTTGTCAGGGCCACGGCTGCTGACTCTTTACAGCACCCTCCTTGGTGTCTGGTGTCTGTGAGCAGCCTGGTCCCCTAGCCCACTCTTTCACTGGATACCTGTGTCTGGGTGCATTTGTTCATCCGTTGTTCCACCAGGGTCTATGGGTCGGACCCTGCCTATGTAGCTCTGGAGGTATTAAGTGGGGATGCTAATAGAACACAAAGTGTGGAATCATGAAAGGGGAATGTAGGAGAAAATCAGGGGCTGGAGATACAGCCCTGTGGTCTTGGCAGTTATCTGAAAGCCCAAAATTTAATGGATTTTTCAAGAAAGAAATTATGGAGAGATTAAAAAAGATGATTAAAGATAAACATTGGGTGAATACCTGCACTTATTCATTCAGTAAAAAAAAAAAAAAAAAAAGTAGAAGAATAAATAGAGACAAAGGAGGAGTGTTGAATGAGGCCAAGAGAATTTTGTGGCATGCCAATAGAGAAGAGACTTGCAAGGAGAGAAAGTGCCTGTGAATATCAAATATATACCTTCAAATGATGTGGTGGTTGAAAGAGACAAGAATTAAGAAATCCTGCTGTGTCTCACTTTCTAAAGTGAAATATAGAAGCAAAGCAACACATTGGGAAGAGTGTAGACATTGGAATCAGAGGAACTAGAGTCAGTTCCGATCTGGCTGAGCCAATTATCGGTCACATGTTTACATGCATGCTACTTTTAAACTTTAATGGTTTCAGTTTTTGGGTTTTTTGTTTGTTTCTTTGTTTGTTTTTACTTTGCATGTAAATCAAGCTAGGTGAAAAAGACCACAATTACCTCATTTATTTGTTTATTTATTTACTTTTTTCCTTTTTTGCTAACCTGTGTGACAAGAACAGTCATTAGCCTTAGAAAGTGCCAGAGCACTTGCTGATTGAGTGCATGTTAAAGGTATGGCAGCGACATTTTTCTTGCAGATTTAGTAGTCCCCCATTCGTATCCGATGTTTTTCCCAGAATATTTTTTAAAAGAATGTCAGACATTCCTAGTATCCTGTCTTTCTTTCAGGATCCCAATTTTCTCCAGGGGAGCAACATATGCTGGATTAAAAAACCGCTCTCCCAGACCTTCTCTGGCTGTTAGGAGGCACTTGTTGCATGGCCTGTGAGGTAGGGATGTGGTATAACCCAGGGAAAATCTCTCTTATTTAATTTAAAAAGCAAAAAAAAAAAAAAAAACAACAACAACAAAAAAAAATAGTTTTCCAAGAAACCCTCTCCAGGAGACTTCTGCTTACCTCTCAGTGATCAAAAACCTTTTCACCACAGTTACTTACCACGTCCTACCGATCCGCATTCTCGCAAGTGTCCTTCACTCCATTTACTCTACTGCATTTTTCACTGTATTTCTCATGCCAAAACTTGGGCTTCTCCACCAGTCTGCACACGTTCATGCTCTCAATTCTCACAGCCATCTATTTCATTCTCCACTAAACTGTTAGAGGGATTTCTGTAGAAATTAAAGAAATTCCTATCACTCCTAAAAAAAAAAGAAAAAATAATTATAATAATTAATTGCAAACCATTAAGCATTGGTTACTCATCCTCCCTGTGGAGAGCTGAATGGAGGGGGAGCAGATGGAGCAAGGTTCACTCCTGAGGGTCCTGCCAGAGCAAATGGTCAGGAGAGAACGGTGTCAACAGCTTCAGAGAGGCTAATCAGTGTGAATGATGAGCGTATCTGTCCCTGGGAGAAGAGCAGGGACCACTTTGTCCATGGTGCTTGATTTTGTATCCCCTAGTGCATAGCAAAATGCTCTGTTGATAACAGATACTCAGTAACTCTTCGCTAGGCAAATAGTTGATTCAGAGAGACCCTGCTGTAAGGTAATGCACATATCAGGAAAAGGAATAAAGGGTCGAGCGGAAACTGAAATGGAAGAAATTGAAATGGAATATCATGCAATCTAATGGTGTGTTGGTGGCAGGCAATAAACAGGTGTACATCCTGGTATATAGCTGTCACAAATACAATGTTACATATATACCAAAAGATAAACATCTGAAAAACCAGGAACCAATGTCAGGAACCAAACCAAAAAAAATGTGCCAAACATGAATCCAAGCTAATGTTAATTTTTATGCAATAATAGAGAGACACCATTACTTCCACTTGTATCTGTTGTTATTTGTAAGCAGAGAGGTATACAGATAAACTAATATAGTACCAAATGCCATTTGTATGAAAGTTACCCTTTTGTTTTATTAGTAAGCAATAGGAGAACAATCAATAAATACTGCCACCAGTGGTAATGTGACTAGCCTTGCAAATTGGTCTGGATGGCATGGTGTGTGCAATGAAGAATAGCGCTAAGACTCCATACTGATAAAAATGCAAATGAAGAAGTATTTTCTATCAAGAAAGGTGGTATAATTCCATTTAAAATTATTGCAAGATTTCTTTCTCTCAAGTCATCTCCTATGCTACATTCAAATTTATTATGTTAAGCTAGAACTCTGTTGTAAGTTCTTTCAAACAATTACATGCCAAATTGACTATGCATAAAGAAGAATGTGTTGGATGGGAAATGAGATCCTATGGTTTACACATTTCTTTCTTAAAACTCTCTGCTTCAGCTGGTTATTTCCTCATCCTCTCACTCCTTTCCTGTGGTTGCTTCACAGGCCACGGCACATGTTCCTGTGGTCGCTGTGTTTGTGAGAGAGGATGGTTTGGAAAGCTCTGCCAACATCCGCGGAAGTGTAACATGACGGAAGAACAAAGCAAGAATCTGTGTGAATCAGCAGATGGCATATTGTGCTCGGGGAAGGGTGAGTATCTCTGCTGGTGCCTGGACTCCATTCCTGTTCTGACACATGATTTGTAGAACAGCATGTAGCAACTGTCTTTCCCAGACTGAACTTTGCATGAAAGCAAACCACTATGTCCTCTGCTGTCCCCAACTTGAAGCTTGAAGATTAACCAAATGAAGTTTTGGATCTAAGAAAATGAAATGCGTGTGAGAGGATTCATGCAAAAATATCCTTGTATGCAAAGTTATTGCTGAATGAAATAGAATTAATACTTTTATCAAGAAATTAGGACAACAAAATATACCAGATACTAAATGGACCCAAAAATGGGGAAAAAAGGCAAAAGAATGATTATTGGGCTCACCTCTGAAACAACACAGCTCAGAACTACAGAAAAGTAATCACAAGCATCTGAGCTGCCCAAAGATATGACTTTGGGAACTTCTGGGGCTAAATTATTTAGCTGTATGTGGAGCAGGGGAAGATTGAAGGTGTGAGAAGACATAAAAGGAGACAAAATATTTAATTTAGTTTAATTTTTTTAAAAAGGAAAGAAAAGCTATGGGGGAGGGGTAGTATCCCACAAGTCTGATGGAATTTTCTTTGCCCTAAAAATCACCAATTGTTCCAAGTAAACATGTGCAGCCTGATATAAGAAAATAGGTAATTGTTCGGTTGGGCACCGTGGCCCATGCCTGTAATTCTAGCACTTTGGGAGGCCAAGGCGGGTGGATCACTTGAGGTCAGGAGTTCTAGACCAGCCTGGCCAACGTGGTGAAAAATACAAAAATCTACTCTATTAAAAAAAACACAAAAAAATTAGCCAGGCATTGTGGCTCACACCTGTAATTACAGTTACTTGAGAGGCTGGGGCAGGGGAGGAGCTTAAACCCAGGACGTGGAGGTCGCAGTAAACTGAGATCACACCACTGCACTCCAGCCTGGGCAACAGAGCAAGACTCCATCTCCCAGAAAAAAAAAAAAAAAAGGTAATAATTAAACAAAGAAAACAAAAGCCTGCCAAATGGTTATAACCTACAAGTTGGTTGAATAGAAGCCACCAACCCAATAAAACATTTGCCATGGAAACATATTAAAGGAAAAAGCAAGCCTTCTCCATCTCCCATCCTACACACATGCAAACACACACACACACACACACACACACACACACACACACACACATACACACAAATTGGAAGAGGATTCCCCTGAGTAAAGAATGCTAATAGATTAAATTTTGAACACCTTGATTTTGATGTTTCTGTATACTATTCTTGAAGGGACTTTAAAATCCTGCCATTGTAATGCATATGGCATCATCTAGAAAGCTGTTGTGTTCTTCTTTGCTAGTGACTAGGAAGACACAGGGAGCCTGAAAGATTCTCACCTCATGTCTGGGGAGCAGCGCTTCAAAGAAACTGAAGTTAGGGGCTTCCCAGCTCTCCTCTTCAGCTCAGTATCCTCTTTACACCACAGACACACTTTTTTTTTTCTGACAAGGCACAGCTCTGGCTGAAGCTTCATTTACCCTCAAAACCTCTGCTGGTCAGGATGACCAGGTAAATAATTTTCTGAAGAAGACAGCAAAGCAAAAGTGTGCTAGAGACACTGAATCCTGTTGCCAAAGAACCACACCAGTGAGGCTGCCACACACGAAGGAAGGAGGTCTCTGAAGCAAGATGTGCCGTGTGTCCCCTAAACAGTAGCTTTTGTTTTGCCTCGTATGCAAGACCAATGCTATCAAGTTGAAAGAGACTTTTTGGCAGAACTTCAGACATCAAAGAGGATGGATGCTGTGACTATCTGTGGTGCCAAGAAGGGGGATGAAAATGAATGCAGATGTATTCACTTCAATAGATGACAGTGTCCTTGGTTTCCAGGAGTTCTGTGTTCAACACTTGTATTTACAATGCTCAGGCAAGGAGGCCATGCCATCAACCTAATGTCATTACAGCAGGCAGGTGGAAAATGAGTTTAAAGCAATCGCTTTGTGCCTTGTTTGTTCTCTCACTAATTCAATCTAATCTCAAGCCCCAAACAGATCTTCCACCAGTTCTGTTCTCAGGGGGCTTCAGCCCCTAGAAACACCTACCTTGAATTCAAGCTGTGTTGGGACAACCAAAAAGAAGGAAAGGTTAAAAGGAAGAAAACAAGGGAAAGAATTGGGGAGAAGGAGATTAAGGAAGAAAAGCAGGAGGCCGGGCGCGGTGGCTCACGCCTGTAATCCCAGCACTTTGGGAGGCCGAGGCGGGTGGATCATGAGGTCAGGAGATCGAGACCATCCTGGCTAACAAGGTGAAACCCCGTCTCTACTAAAAATACAAAAAATTAGCCGGGCGCGGTGGCGGGCGCCTGTAGTCCCAGCTACTCGGGAGGCTGAGGCAGGAGAATGGCGTGAACCCGGGAAGCGGAGCTTGCAGTGAGCCGAGATTGCGCCACTGCAGTCCGCAGTCCGGCCTGGGTGACAGAGCGAGACTCCGTCTCAAAAAAAAAAAAAAAAAAAAAAAAAAAGAAAAGCAGGAAAGGAGGCAGGGATGGAATTAAACTGCAAGAGAGAAGTAGGAGAGAATAAAAGAGATGTTATCAGAGGGGAATGATCTGTGTATAAAAAGATACTGAGAATGAATCGTTTTTGAATTAGATTTTTTTTTCCTCTGAGCATGGCTTCAGACATAGAGCACTTAAGTTTAGATACTTTTTTACTTGGTTTTCTGTAATGGCATTGTCACTGGGATAAGAATAGAAGCTTTTCACAGAAGCTCTACTGAAAAAGATACCCATACATATTAAAACACTAGTGTGCTTATTTATATTTGTTTATTTTAAGAGTCAACTATTGTTTGTGTTTGTGTGTTTACTACGCTCACTATTGAATCATTAACACTTTCCATAAGCGGGTCTTCCCTAAGACCTGTCCAACTGCGAGTACAGGAAGAACACACAAAGCCATACCCTCCAGGGTAACAAATAGCAGTCTTCCATTTCCTAAACTGAAGGTCATGTAACAAGAGTTGTTTCTTCTCAGAAAATAAATATGCTTATGAAAGTCATTACAGCCCTAGGAAAGATTCTCATCTTTCAGCATCATAAATGTAGAAAATACAAAGAAAAAAATAGGTTGACTAAATATTGACTCAAAGGCATTTCCTGAAAACAAAACAAAACAAAGCCAAAGAGTCCCTCTAGCTAATGCCTTTGCAAATTGTTTGCTTTGGGAGGTGGCGATATATTCAGAGATCAATGAAGGGTTGAAAGCATATTTGTGTAAACTATTTGTTTATCCTTCAATGGGTAGGGAGTTTGGGAGTCCTTAAACTTAAAAGGGAATATGAAAGCTGCCTCAAGGCTGCACATTTTGACATTCATGTTAGTGGACCGGCCTCCGGACTGTTGGCAGCAGCTGATCGTGATCTCCCTTCTTTTCCCCTTTTATGGAGACATCAATGCTGGATTATCGATGACGAAAGGGGATAAAACCAGGATCATGGAACTGTGATCTATGATAGGCGCAGAGGATAATGGGGATGCCACAGTTACTCCTGGTTCCAGTGGGGAGCACTACCCCACAACCCACCCTGAGAACCACAGGAAAAGTAATGCATGAAATAGACTAAGGGACTTTAACATGGTGATGGAAAAGAAAAACCTGTTTCCGATTTTTTGACTGGGGCCATGTATTTCTAGATCAATTTCATGGACTTGTCCAAATTTTCTATCATTTTTCTCAAATTTGTCAATGAAAGTCCCTCACCCTGATGGTCACAAAAGATGTTCAAGTTCTTTCTTTATTTGATTATGGGACAGATCTTAGCAGTGGGCATGAGATCGCCATGGCACACAGCTTGGTGGCCTGTACCCACCAAAAGGCTGAAACGTGCACTTCCCATGAGCTGTGAATAAAGCTGTCACCTCAGGAGACGATGAAGAAATAGCGTTTTATTTCTTTACAAATTTATAGCCAAGACAATAAATCACTCCATAGAAAAATTTAAAACAAGATACATTCTTGTGACCTTCATAACAGATGGAGTAGTTAGTACAATAGTGAAAACTGCCTGCTGGGATGTCAGGTTGCAGCATTTTGTCAGGCTTGAATGAAAAAGAAAGTCCAACATTAGTAATGGAATGGGCAACTGACAAAGGTGCCTTGCCCTTAGACTCAAATTGTTTTTGTGAATAACCAAGAGAGATGAGGTTAGTGCAGTGCCGGGTCTTCCCTAAGCTTAGCTACCTTTGCAAAGTACATGATATAATTCATTGTGGGTTGTTTTGTTCATTTGGGGATTTATTTGGCTTCAAGACTACACAATTATATCTTTGCCTTGACTACTTCAAGCTAGATCCAGATAATCACGTCCAATCTTCTTACAGATGCTGTTGTGTGACAATGGCTGTAAACACATGTCATTAACTGTCTCCTTAAACTCTCACAGTGATACTTCTTGGGTCCCACATCTTCCAAAGAAGTCCAGCATACACACACACTCACCCACCCACAACCTGTCCCACATCCCCAGAAAAGAGAAAGAGTGAAAGATGCTTCACAAAATCGGCCTCAGCCTGGTGTTCAAGTTGCCTCGCTCAATATGCCTGTGCAGTCAGACCTGCAGGAAGAAACAGCTCATTTTTAAACTACTGTATATGAAAGTTTTTGCCTGGAGATACATCACAGATAGGCAGATCACTAAAAAGAAGAGTGGATTGAATCAGAGTGAAGTCTTCAGTTAACTGTTTGTTTATTGCCTGTGAGGTCCAGGACAGTTTCCTTTATTCTCTCTTCCATTCTCATCTTTGAAGGTAAAATTTCATTTCTTTCCCCTTCCTATGTCCTAAGATGCCCTGAAGACACATGAGAAAATGTGGCTGATTCCCCAGGGATGGAAGCCAGCAAAAATGCACAGAAGGGAGATGGGAACATTCTCAAGGGTCCTTATATTGAGAAAGAAAATGAATGGATTAGTGGTGCTGTGGTGATGAACTATCTGCCCTAAAACTCCTGCCAAGATCAGCCAGCTGTTCTCTGGCTAGGCTGGGTCTCAGGGGTGTGAGTGGGTCTTGGCCAGCTGAGTTGAACCATTTCTCACCTCTTGATAGTCATGCAGCCTACATCTGTCTGATGGAACCCTCTCCCTGTGTGCTTCCCATTTAAGAGAGGCACAATTTGACCCATGTTATGGAAGAAAACAGCTAGAGCGTTCTACAGGAAAAGTGCTATAATAGGTCCTAATAACTATTCACACTGTGTTATTACTATGTGCTATCTAGTTCTAGTTTCACAAGCAGTAGAATAATTTCCTACCTCTAAGATGCACTGAGCATTGACAAACAGGAAAGAATAACACAGCTGGGAAAATGCTGACCTAGAAATGCTACTGTTTCATGACACATACAAAATCAATCCTCATTTTTTATTCTAAGTATTTCAGCGACTAGTAGACTTTCAGAACTGGAATTTACTCATCAAATGTTCTATCCATATATGCCATATTAGCTTTAGCTGAGCTTACCAGTTTTCTGAAAATGCTCTACTATGGCATGAAGCTAAGCATTCCAGAAGCAAGAGCAGTGATTAGAATAGTTCCAGGGCCAGAGGATAAGTTTGAAGATGAAATATAAGATATTTCATGAATTGTGACATATATAAAATGATATCCTGGGTGTATATATGAATATTATGGGCATATAAAATCAGCACTACTTTAGAAACAACTAAAGACAGCCAAATACTTCAAATAACTAATTTTCCTTCACTCATGGAAATAAAACACTAAGTATGGTGCCTTTCGAGGAAACTTCTCTGATAGTCAATGAAATACTCCATGTGGTCTTTGTTGGCAGATATATCACTATCCATTTGTTAAACAAGCAGTAGAGTGCTGTACATTTTTTTATGCCTAGAAATGTGAAAGAAAGTCTTCAAAATTAGGATAAAGAAATCTCTAAAATCAGGAAATTCCTCACCTTGATGAGACCACAAGGGAACCAGCATCCTTTGCAGACTGACCTGGGAGCAGCAGCTCACTGGGTCCTGAGAAACCACAGGGCTGTCAGTCAATTATTAAAACTGAGAAGACGTGTATATTTCCTCAAGAGCATGCAAATCAACCTGGACCCTCAGGAAAACAAGTCAAGACTAAATACAATTATGCCATAGCTACGCAAGAAGTTAAAAAACACAATTGTCACAATCTAAATAATTCTGACTGCACTCTTACTTTGAGAAGTGTGTCAAGAAATGGCAAACATTTAATTTGGACTTTGGGGATTTTTGCAGCTGAAATGCATATACCAGTTTCCCTGATATGAAATATCACATAGTTGAGACACATGAACCTGAATCCTTTCATGATATCTGTGATGACCACAACTCCTTTTTCCTGATCACTTTAATCACCCAGGCTGTTAACTCATTTTTAATCACTGTGTTTTAAAAGAAGCACTAATGATTGATTCTTGCCCCTTTTCAATATATTTTGAACTTACCAATTCTGCAGTTTTGTTAAATATGTCAAAATACTCTTTTCAACTGCACATTTTTTCAACGTGATTTTGACTCAAAAAGAATACAGCCATCTTTTAGTAAATGGAAGTCATGTTTGGAAAGAACAACCAACCCAAGGAAACAGAAGGAAAAGAAAGTCCTTTTTATTTGTTTCTTTTTCATTGTAAAGTCTTTCCTGCTGTCGTTGAGGCAGTTTTTCCATGTAAGGGTTTTTAGTCTGTCATGGAAAGCTGTTTAGACTGAGAGAACTTCTGTCTTGGATACCATTCATCATCTCATTTATTTTCTTTTATTTTAAATATATCATTAATAAAATTTTTACTCAGTAAGTAAAGATATTTTAAATAACCAAAGAGGAAGTTTTTTAGTTAGGTAGGAGAAATGGGTGAAGTGGAGGGAAAAAGAGTTGAATCCAGAGCCTCATAAAATATGAACTTTGGGAGTAATTTGAGCTATCCCAGTTTATGACAGAGGGTCCTGAGGATGAGTCTCACAAGGCAAATATACTGAGTGACTGTATGCATTTTTAGCACTTTAATTAGCCACCCAATATGCAGGTGTGCTCCTACTCCAAGAAAATCATGTAAACGAAAATCCAAAATTATAAGCACAATAATTTAGTAGTTGTTTTAATTAGAAATGCAACCTAATTTAATACAATTCCCTATTCATTTCCTTTAAAGAGCAGGCACTTTAAAAACATGATTCAATTTAGGAGGAAAAAATCTATTTTTGAATACTTTTTTGGAAGACCATCTATAAGAATCAACCCCATCCTGCTCTCATTGACATTTCAACCAGACTGGGCCATGGGACATTTGTTCAAGGCTAATTGCAACTGTCTAGATCCATAATGAAGGCTTTCCTGGGTGACCTTTATGAATTACAGTAAGTAAAGCTCCCCTCTGAGAAACCAGCCATTCAATACACTTTTACCTTTGGATGATGGGTTATTAGAAGCCTGTTGTCAGTGTGTCAACGATATTCTATTCGAGATGGAAACCTTTAGTTATAAGGTGATGGTGAGTAATAGCCTTTGTAATTTCAGGTTCTTGTCATTGTGGGAAGTGCATTTGTTCTGCTGAAGAGTGGTATATTTCTGGGGAGTTCTGTGACTGTGATGACAGAGACTGCGACAAACATGATGGTCTCATTTGTACAGGTGCAGTATTAACCTTTTCTAATTGCTCTATGCCACAGTTTGTTATAGAGCCAAGAGACACTCGTCATGCAATGCTTTAGGTGGCTGGACCAACAGGGCCAACCGTGAATATGAAATATCTACCAAAGGCGAAGTGGGCATTTGGGAAAAAGCCCTCACAAAAGCCTCACATTATTCCTAGGCATAGAAGAATACAAGAGAATGAAGCTAAATTTTGTGATTATTTGGGATCCTTCCACAAAGTAACCTCCCCACCCTCAAACTCACATGTATGCAGTTGTATATTGAACACAGAAAAGAATTTTGTTGGCAACCATTTTACTTTGAACATGGTATAGGGAATGAAATATTCTTTTAAACAGAATCTGGGTACCACTAGTTGATGTGTTGGTTGCTTTTAGGGAACTGGATGTGTGTATGGGGGAGAGGTATAAAGAGGGCTCAGCCGTGTCATAGCCACTGCTATCCTAATTTATTGAGTCCTCATAATTGGTTATAAATTCATTTGTTTAGCCAAGTTACGAGGAAACAGAGACATGTATACTTCTCCTCAGCTCTAGCTGAAGGTAAAAGATGACTCTTTGTGTGTCATTAAGTTAGACCTTTGCTTTCTGCCCATCCTTACTACGTAAGACTCTCTTCACGGATTACTTGGCCTGCCTCATGTTATGTCAAAGAGCCTTATGTTTTTCTGTATTTATTCATAAGTCAGATATAACTTGCTCTTTAAGGGAAAACAAAATTGTCACCTAAAAGCCTAGCTGGAGTGATACAGGATGGTGACTATCTGATCGGTAAAGGGTGGCACCAAATAAATGCCACTAATTGTTTGAAAGATTAGATGTCTCGCAGCTGCTTAATAAGATGTAATAATAACATCATTGCACAATAAGAAAATCTACCAAGGATGAATGAAATGATTTCATTGTGGACACTTGTGATTTATAATAGCATGTTTAAATTTGGCACATTTTGATCATAATCATGATACCTATATGTATTTTATTGCAGGGAATGGAATATGTAGCTGTGGAAACTGTGAATGCTGGGATGGATGGAATGGAAATGCATGTGAAATCTGGCTTGGCTCAGAATATCCTTAACAATTACATGAGAGAGGTCTGGATTCTTATTTTTTCTGGGCCATTAGAACAGATAAATGCGAAGGAAACCATGTATATTCACCACTAGGACAGGTTAAAAAGACCATTGTATGTTTTTCTATTTCTGAATTACGAATGAAATCCGAGTACCTATTAGAAATGAGTTATGCAAATTTAGATGCAAATAACATTAGAAAAAAAAGATTCTTCCATAATTAACATAAGTGGTTCCTAACGAGAGCAATTTTTCCACCCAAAAGTCATTTGGCAACATCTACAGACAATTTTGATTGTCACACTGGGTCGGGTAGGAAGGTATGCTGCAGACATTTGGTGGGTAGAGGCCAGGGATGCTGCTGAGCATCCCGCAGTGTACAGGACAGCCCCCAAACAAGGAATTATCCAGCCCCAAATGCCAATAGGGCTCAAACTGAGAAACATTGAGTTATATGGCTATTAGAAATCCACATTCTTACACAAGAAAGACCATATTAGAATCTAAGGAAAACATGCATATTCACATTAATTAATCGATCAGATTTTTCCAGAATTCCGTATCAGTCACCATTTTAATATGGGGACAATGAAGACAAGCACACAGGAGGTAGAATATCAGAGTGGGGCTGGATCAAGGGCAAAAACTGGTCATTAAGTCATCTGACATTAAATCATTTAGCCACTAAGTTATTTGTCTACTCTCACTTTAAACTCACCAAAGAAGATTCTCTTAAAGAAATTATGAAAAATGTACAATTTAACATTTTAAATAAATAGTGACAGAAGTTGTTTATACTCTGTGTCAGTATATATATCTACTGATAATTAAAAATGAATTGTTATTCAGGGATATCTATTTTAGGTTTCTAGAAATAAGGGATCACATTTTTAAAACTGGGCAGGGGTTATGCGTACAAGAAATCTGATTTTTTATTTTAATTTATTCCATGGTAGTGTGGCCTTTTAAAAAGACAATATTGAGTTACATATAAAATGGGCCTGAAGTATGCATCCATTTCCCTTAAAATACTTTTTTTTCTAAGGATACCTTACTTACTGGAAACCTGGGGTCATGCAAAGAAGTCAAGACGAGAAATACTGTGATAAAATGGCACCAATCTCAGAAGCTCACAAAAGACCAAAAAAAAAAAAAAATCTAGAAATGGCTTAAATAGAAATTACAAATATTCACTCAGTGATAGGAACAAAATGTTTATTTTCTTAATGGTGAAACTTTGCTTTGTATGAAATTCACATTGAATTATGAAAGTGTACAATAATTGGGACTTCCCTTACATATTTACAGGTAAATCTACTTATACACATTAGTTTAGGCAACCTTTAATTATTTAGAGCTAAAAAAAAAACCACTTTTTTTCTAAAGGTGAATTACTTTGTAAAATCCTAGAATAATGTAGCAAAATCATTTCCGTATTACTTTAAGATGAAAATTTTTACTTGGAAATTTTATTTTAATGATGTAAATATTCTAGTCATGGCTTAAACTTTATAAGTCAAATTTCCAAAAATAAGGAAAATATGCATCCACTGAGTTACTTAAAAATTTAATATTGAAAATTATTTTAAGAGAACATTTAACTGATCCTGATTTTTATAGTACTAACAATGTTCTCATAATGTAATAGATTTATAAAAATTGTTATCTCTATCCTGAGATTAAGGAGTGCAACCATGTTGTAGTTCTATTATTGAGTACGTAAATTGATAGATCTCTTCCGTAAAATGAGGGAAATATAAGTAGTCAATAAATAATGTAGGTTATATTCTTTCCTCTTCACTACCTAAACATTTTAAGCTGTGAACAACCTATTATTATTGTTTTGTAGCAATTTTGATGACGTATTCGCTGATGCACAGACATTGGAATTCATTACATTATCTAGCCATCGTAATACAAATGACCTTTGGATTTCTCTATCACGGCGCTTATCCTCCTATTAAGGATCAGAAAGTTAAACTTTACGGACCACGTACGTCCCTGTCTCATATTCTTCTTTGTTGGTTTCTGTTTAATACTTTAAAGCTGTAAAAAAAATTTAAAAAATTCCTTCTGAGCTCCCAGGCCATACAAAAGCAACTTAAGGGTGGATTTGGCTGGCAGCTGGGCAGTACTTTGTCAGCCTCAGCTCCACTGGAACTGCCCTTGATTCTCTATAGCTCATCACAAAACCTCAGGTATGTCTTATTTTTCTTATAATCCTCTGTATGTTATTATCCTTTTTATTAACAACAACAACTACAACAAAAGTGCTGCTCTTTTTCATAGTCTCATGTAAGAAGAGTGTCAAAAATGTCCTCGGCATTTGTTTTCTCAGAAAAAGAATTTAGATATTGGAGAAATTATCATACCATAAAAAGTTCAAAATGTGATTCATCTAAAATTTTGGACAAAGATGAAAATATAGTCAGCTCTGTTCTAGTGTTCATTTAGTTAGAAACCATAGTACCGGAACTGTATTATAGTAGAAGTTAATGGTACCTAAACTCTAAGGAATGCTTTTTCTTTGAAAACAGAAATATTTTTACTTATTTCTGTCCACTATGTTTGTGTGTATGTGTGTGTTTGTGTGTGTATGTGTGGTTTTGATGCCAGCAATGCAAACACCAATATATCTATTAAGAAGTGATTGAATTTAGATTGGAAAAAATAAAATAGTTACATGTAAAGACATAAACTCTTTCCTTCTTAAATGTGATTTTCAACTCTATGATAGAAACTCCCTCTAAAAAACAAGCAGGGCAAGAACAAACTTACTTGTAATGGGTGAGAGAAAATAAGCAAATCTCATTGGCTCATTCCTGTTTTTAGGAAGTTGCAGTGGGATTAATGTCAATTGGAAGGGATGCAGCAAGTTTAGAGAAGGTGTTGGCACTAACGCTGCTTGTTTGGCAAATCATCATCACTGAGGTATTCCACCCAGAGACTTTTTCAAAAAAGTCAACTAAAGTGCTAAGTCATAAGAGGAGAGCCATTATACCCGTTGTCTTTCTGGGCTCCTTGAGTTTATCTGGATTCCAACAGCACTTGGAAAGTACCGCCCTCCACTACCTCAAATGCAAACACAATCTCTGCCAGTAGACATTGGAATTAGACTTAGTGAAAACCAGGAAAAAAAAAAAAAACTAAAATATAACTCAGCCTTAGTTTGCAGACTCAACTGTCAACACTTTGAAACCCTACTCCATATTCAAGAGAGTCAACAGGCCCTATGTCACATTGTAGGCTAAGAAACCTCAGCTATGACTACTATTTCACTCAAAGTAAGACCATGTACATCCTGGATTTTGATATGCCTGCATTTTGGAAAAAAAAATTGAGGATTTAGCCCAGTCGCTTTCCCTTGATATAGCCTTGTTCTGAATTAAAATGGAAAAAATATTTCAATTATTTTCATCTTGTTCTCAACTGGATGTTAGTCAATGTGGTCTCTTTTTGAATATGTATCAAATATTAATGATCCATAATATTAGGGAGATAATTTTAAATGAAGTGATACGTGTCTAACTTACTTAAAGAATAAGTTTTTGGTTTTTGCTTTTAAAGACAACCAAATCTGATATTGTTCATCCTGATAAAAATAACAACTTTTAGTGCTTAAAGCATTAATTAAGCAAGTGGCTAGGTATGATAAAGAACTTCTGCTTGCTCCCCAAGAGGCAAACTATTAGAAGAACTGGAGCGGGAGTCCTTTGGACCCATCGTGGATCTCTTTAAGCCACTGCTACCCAAAAACATTCAGGACAAGCAAACATTTAGAGCAAGAATCTCCAAATTCTTCAGGATTTGTAATGAAATGATGTTCAGTTCCATTTTGCTCTTTACATAGGGTGGAGAATTGTCATGTCTTCTCTAATTTTTCCAAGTAAAGTGGTAGCAAAATGTTTTAAAAAGCAATCTTATATTAGAAAACAAAAATGTTGTCACTTGAAATACCAAAACAACATTTCTGAGCGTTGTTGAGGGACTGGCAAAGCAATCAGCTACTATAACAAATCAGTAGAAATAACCCTCCCACACCAGATATGCATGCAGAAGGAATGGAGTATTATAGAGACTTGATACAATGGACATATGCACATGGAGGTACAAAACACACAGTCTAAATACAAATGAATTCCATCAGATTTACTATACGGAACATCAGTAGTGACAGATTGCACTTCTTACTTAATAACAGCAAACTTAATTTCTGAGGGGAAAAAAATGGCGAAGTCTTATCCCAAACAAATAGCAAGAGAGGTATCATCAAAGAGCTAAAATTTTCTTTGGCATGGTAAAGGGGGAAATTGAGTTTACCAACTTATTTACATGACATTTCTCTATATTGGTGAGTAATGCAATGCCATTTTGTTACATAAAGTTGTTTGATGTTTTTTAATATGCCTTCATATAAATATTTTATTCAATATGTTGTATTTGTGAATTTAACAAATGATATTAAACACAAACTACAATGCAGACAGACAAACTCTTTGTATGCAAATTAGCAATACATACCAACAGTTCTTGATACACAGGTACCTACTACATGCAGCTCATCATTGCTGTCCTCTTCCCATGCTACAGGTGAGACCAGACACAAAGTAAATGACCTAACTCAATTACAAATAACAAGGACCCCTCTGCAATATGTCTAAACATATATTAGAAGAAAGTATTTGACATCCTTCATAGGGATAAATGCCCTTATAGACACCCCATATATAAAACACAACAGAGATACACATTTACATAAATCTCAGTCATTTACAAAAATAAATCTTGTCTTAATTTAAACCAATAAACAGACTTGCAGGGGAAAAAGAAACCAGCAAGTAGGGCTAATTATCAGTAACAAATAGATGGGGGTGTTTGCTCTGTGTGTGTGTGTGTGTGTGTGTGTGTGTGTGTGTATATGTGTGTGTTTGTGTGAAGTGAAGTGTTGCTGCTGTAAGTAGTGTCCATAAGCCCATTTGACTGTATTACAAGTTAGTTAATTACTCATATAGTTGGCCACATATTATGGGATCTATGTTTTCTGAAAATAATTGGTTAATGGAAGTTATCTAATATATTTTAACTGTTCCTGTTAAAAACAATAGGCTTCAAGATGACATAACACCAAATCAAAAATGACCAAAGGAATCATTTTGTTTGTTAGATTTGTAATTTAGCATCATTGGCAATAAATCTACTCAAACGTTCTGCTAACTTTTTATTTATTCAAGTAGAATCCAATATGAAAATGAAATAAGCATAAACAAACAGTTAAATTTCTACTAAACCTTTAATCAGCTAAGCAGGCCAGAATTTTTTAATGCTGGGCAAGGGCTGTCATGAAGAAGATTTATGAAAGCAGTGACAAAATAATTTCCCAATAAATACAGTGCAGATGGGGAAAATGATGACTGGGTCATCCTCCCACATAGAAAGAATAACAAGAGGCCAGTACATTGATCCCACATATAATTTTCAATAAATGAGGTTCAGTTTGGTCTCAATGAACTCTTCTGAGAAGAAAACATTGAATTTTATTAGGTGTACACAGAGTTAACAAATAAATTCCCAAACAGTTTAGTATGAAACATTTTGAACCCCTTTAGATCCAATATTGAACATTTTGCATGGAATCTTCATTGTGTAGTCAACTGTTCCTGGCCTTTCTTGGTAGTTGTCTTCCCTAAGCTCAAACAAACAGTGTTAAACTAAAAAGGAAATTAAGAATGCAAAATAAAAGAAAATAAATGGAATGGACCAAAATCCTCATGGATGAATGTGTTGGTTTGCCTTTATTTTCATCTAGGATAATTCAACAGACTGTATTCTGAGATCATGGCAAGGCACCTCTAACCCAGCCACTGGGCAACATGAGCCCCAGATGCTGAGCTAGAGGCATGTACTGGTGAAATACACAGTACCGGACTCAGCATGCTGAGCTAAAAAAAATATTTTTCCTAATATGTCCAGTTTAAAAACTTGTCATTAAACACCAAAAATATTAAAGTCTAATTAATTTATAACTAACGTTTGCATTGCTGCTGCAGGAAAGAACACAACAGCCGTCTTGCCCATGCTCTGCTGAGTATGAGGGGAACGCAGCCAGAAACGGGGATGGCGTTAAGTTTGGTTCATTAAAAACAGGACGGAGTATATCTGAAATGGATTTAGGTAGCGCAATTCTTGTAGGTTATAATTACTGATTTTCCTTTTTTTTTTTTTCCAAATAATGAGAATTAATAGATGAAAAATGAACCTTAATCAGGCCTACAAGGCCTACAGAAATCTTTGGACCCACTTTCTCAAAAACCAGTGGGTCTTGCTCGCTGGGCAAGGCAAATGTTACCATTACCAGTAAGCTTGTGATATGTATAAAACACACACACACAAAGAAACTAGAGGGGGATGTCAAACACATATCATAGAGAGCTTCCCTGGATTGTGTTTGAGCCATTTCCCACCCAGGCAATGCCGACCTTGGGAGCACAGTATCTGCTACTGGACAGAGCGTATATGTGTGTTTAATCGATAGTGTGAGCCAGAGACAACAATCTTTCTTAATCTTTCTTTATAGATGCAATTTGTAATAATAGGTTTAGAAGGCTTCCTGATTCCCTGATTGCTCTCCGACCTAAGCCAACTGCAACATTTAAGATTTAGAGGAACAAAATCCCTGCAAAAGGTCACAGACAGTGGAGCGAGCAGCCCTGTAAAAATGGGAAGAAGAGAAATCCGTAATAGCACAGGTTTACAGCGTCTAACTAGAAATTACTCAATATTATTTGTGTGCTACAAAATTGAACTTAAACACATAGATTTCGCTGAAACAGGACTCAAAAAGGATTATGGGTAGCTGTCAGCAGGCAAGGTATCGAGTGTACTTGTGAAGTATGTCATTCACATGAAGTGTCACAGTCACAGAAAAGATATTAAAAAGGCATTCCATATCTGGTAGGGCATTCCATGGTCTGAGTTTAGCTGGTTATCCAGGTGTCTTCTTGTTGTGGGGGGTGCAACAGGTTGAGATTTATCCACTTGCAACAGAGAAGTTCGGAGACAGCAAAGAATAAGCATTAGCTTACTTCCTGCTGCTCTTCAGCCACGGAGCAGGAATGTCTGGTGAGGATAAATCACTCAACTGTGCTCAGGACGAATAAGTCACAACACCTGTGAGGATCTGGCTATGTTGTCTTACTCTTGTTGACTGGTTTGCCTCCATTCATTATTGCAGACGCACTTGTGCTTTTACTTGGCGTCACCCCAGGCTTCGGGACCGTTTCCCCAACATCATGCAAAGATGGTTCTCGGTACATGGCAACTAGTGATGGGAAGAAAGGAGGAGGAAAAGCAAACATTGCTTGGTTAGGTGTGAGAATGGTCCATCCATACCTGCATAGACCACTGCAGTTTGCCCATTTCTGTTTTCCCTGAAGTAAAGCAATTCCATTGAGACAGAATTCCTGTTGTAAAGCAATCATTTCCAGCCCACAGAGGACATTACTCCCTTCACATTCTCTGGTCTGTATACCTAAAATATGTATATGAGTGTGCATGGATTTTTGTCTAGGACAGCAGGTTTAAATGGGAGCTATGGCCTCTTTGTGGGTCCATGATGTAAAACACACACACACACACACACTATAGGAGAATGACAGGCATTTAACTTAATTCTCAAAAAAAGAAAACTCAGACATCCCTTCCACTGCACATTAATATCAACACATGAACTTCTCATTCACTTCAATCAATCTTTGTGAGCTGCGGTATTTACATCCTAGAACATTAAATTACTTTCTTTCATGTGGTTCAAAAGCAACATAGTCATACTAGTGTCAACTTCAAAGCTACACAAAATAATAACAAATAACTCTCTTCCCATAAGCCAGAGCCTTCAGGAGATTATCATTTCAATGTTCATTTCCTACAATCATGGAAAAAGACCCTTGGGCAGCAGAAGGCAACTCATTTTCTGCTATGTTATTAAAAATCTAATAATTGACATGATACAGGGGCAGAAAACAGAATGGCAAGACAGCAACTGAAACTACCTGAATAAACTCTGAGGATTTATCTAAATAGTGTCTGGTGGCATAATCATAGTAGTTCACGTGGCTTTTTAGAAAATGATTTCTGGAAGTCCTGAGAAAGGACATATAAGAGTGACTGATGGTTGGGGAAAACTAGGGATTAAAGTCATCTGCCATCAGAAATACAAGTGCATTAGAGCTGCCCAAACTGCTTTTTAGGTTTTTGAAAGTTTAAGGTATTTTACGAAGAGCCCTTAGATTTAGTTAAGATGAACTACCATATGCATTCCCTATGTTCAAGGGGGTAGAATGTGGCCTTTAGTATCAATGCATCACGTGAGTTTTCATCAGCACACATACTTGAAAGTGCAAATGTACATAAGGTTTCTATTAAATTACTTGCTAAGGTAGCAAAAGGAACTAATGCGTATCCTGAAAGCACATTCCAATCCCTCACTCCTATTACTAATTAAATTAGCAGACAAAAGCATGAAGCATTGACCTTGATTTTCTATGTAGTGAAGTTGTATCGTCCAACAATGATAGACTGGATTAAGCAAATGTGGCACATATACACCATGGAATACTATGCAGCCATAAAAAATGATGAGTTCATGGACATGGATGAAGCTGGAAACCATCATTCTCAGCAAACTATCTCAAGGACAAAAAACCAAACACCACATGTTCTCACTCATAGGTGGGAACTGAACAATGAGAACACTTGGACACAGGAAGGGGAACATCACACACACGGGCCTGTTGTGGGGTGGGGGGATGGGGGAGGGATAGCATTAGGAGATATACCTAATGTAAATGACAAGTTACTGGGTGCAGCACACCAACATGGCACATGTATACATATGTCACAAACCTGCACGTTGTGCACATGTACCCTAGAACTTAAAGTATAATAATAAAATATATATATATATATATATATATATATATATATAAAACAAAGATATGAATGCCCTAGAGTACCAATAATTAACCAGGTACTTAATTTGTCAAACATTTCCAATAACATTATTTATATTCGGTATGGGTTTTGAAAGTTTGAAATTAATTTTCCTCTATCAAGTAAACAATGTGATAATCTCTGTCGTTATAGTACCTACCCCCTTAACTGTTTTTAGAGTACTTCTGCTAATTTTTTGAAAACATAAAAAGTATTATTTCTCTCTTTCTCATATATATATATGTATATATACACACAAAACACTCATATACACATAACAAATACATGAGTGAAATACCAAGTATCATTCTATACCACATCATTGTTGTCTCAGATATTTTCTATGAGATATGCAAAATAACTGGTTCCCAAATTTTACCTCGGTTAAATGACATAACAGCCCTTTTGGGTTTTGTTACATTTATGCAGCTAAAGGGTAAGGTTCTAAAAATCTAGTCAATTCTTAACTATTTACAAAACATAAAATGAGTGAAAAGAGATAAAGCACGGTGGCAAATAAACAATGGTCTTATTAGAGCTTCTGTGGGCTTATTTTTTAATTTTTTATTTGCATTTAAATATAGGTGAGTCCAATGTTATCAAAATTTATTTAAAACAATGAAAGTGTATCATGGATGTGTTTTTTTTGGGAGGAACAGGGAAATCCTCTAACTTCTTTCTACTCTAATCATCCTTATGATCCACCATATACTGAGAATAATTCACTCATATTTCAGACTCTGGAATAATCTGTCTTTTCCTGTATAGGCCCTGGTAGCTAACTGTTTGGGTTTCAATAAATTGTTCTACAGAAAAATATAATTAAGAGTGACACTAAGTCAACATCATTGAAATTACAGAAGTAGTATTAGCCAACAAGAGCGATTTTCTGAATTTAGGCAAATTGAAAATTATACACTCACAGATGATGAAGAATTGACTGTTCAAATTTTTAAATTATTTTATTTCAATATAGAGAATATGCATTATGAAAACAATATGCATTTTCTCGTGATGGCTAAGCCTTTCCTGTAGGAATAAAACACAAAAAGAAAATTGAGCTGTCCAAGCTAGCTTAAAATATTTACTGAGTTATTGTAGATCTGATCTTCTGCAAAAGAGTAAACAAAAGAACTTGAATAGAAACACATGTGAATATCCTAAAATCAAATATTTTTGTAATTCTCAAATGTTACATAGATAAAAGTAAATGACACTTTTGGCAGAATCATTAATGAGAGAGGTGCAGATGTTGTTGATTAATTAAAAAAACTTTGTAGCCTGCTCTTTGGGTATCTGATTGGAGTAAATGTGAAATTTCCATTCATCCGGCATGGATGACTGGATATACCCCTTCCTGCACACAAATGAATGTGGATAAATTATTTTAGTAAAAGAAGTAATGCTACAAATGTATACAGTGAAGAATTACACAATTTGAAAGCAGATGTGTAATATCAGCAAGTTCTTTAAGAGTCAAGCTATTATCTCTTATTTTTCTGTAATTATAATAATCCACAAGTAGGTAATTACTTTCACCTAGATAATATCAAAATGGAAAATACTTTTGATTCCACGCTCAAAACTTATTTTTTCTAATATACTTATTATCTTTTTCTAATATACTTATCATCGCAGATTTGTATCATTACAGATTTAAAATTGTTTTAACTTAATTAATTTAAATTATCTAAGGGTTAGAGTGGTTGTAGCAGTGAGGATTTGAGCCTTTGGAGGTGGCAGAGAAGAAATTTTTCCTGGTACACATACATACACAAATATAGTAAAGTGTATAAGGGGCACAAATTCTAAATCAATAACTTAAGTAGGCACCTGTGCAACCATCACCTAGATCAAAATAAATGACATTTCCAGCACTTTGTGAAGGTTTCTTAGAGCCATGGTAGACCTATCAATTTGAAAAATAAAATATGTAATAAGTCTATGTAATAATAATGCATGCATAATACTCACCTTCCAATGGCTTGGGTAGAAAATGAGCTGCTGGTTTGGTTTTCTTTACTCTGTTCCCTTTCATAGCTTGCCCTTCCTTATTTAATCCCAAAAACCAGGCTCTACCAGATTCCTGTTGTCTGTACAACATGGATGAGTAGATTACATAATAATTTTCAAAAACAGATTCTTTAAACTTGCATTCAGGGGTAAAAAGTTCCTGTGGAGAGAAAATGAAACAAAAGTTAGAGGAAGGAACTTGATCTTCACTGTACATTCTACTCATTCTCTAGAAAGTTTCCCAGCATGGTGAAAGAGTGCTTTGGCATGGAGGACCGGATATACCCCTTCCTGCGCACAGTAATTGTCTATACATTTTTAAAATATACAATAAATTGAGAAGAACCTACTATTATTGAAAATATATAGAAGCAAAAGTATATCATAAGAAAACAATACATGAGCAAACTAAAGATTTAACTTAAACAGAAGACAATTCAACCAGAGTATAATCAGAAAGGGAGCATTAAAGTAGCATCAGATATTCACAATAAAGTGAACCAAATAAAATACACATTTCAGATATTTTATAATCCATTTTACATGTTTCCATAGGAACAGTGATATAATACTCTACAGTTGCCAGTTGCTCCTTGGATCACTGAAATCACAGGGTGATACATTTTACTTACAAAGGAACAAACTGAAACCTCAAACTAAAACTTAGACAATCAGCTGGCTTACTTGCCAGCCACTAGAGCTATTGTATAACCAGATGAGGTTAGGTGTCATGTTAGCTGGTCATAGTGACAGTAGCTGAAAATAATTCAATGGGGCTCCAAAGGTTTGAGTCCCGTTGGAACTCTTGAAGATAAACATCAAAAGCTGCTCCAACTGAAAAACCACACAGCATTTTTGGAAAGCATACAGTTTGTTAAATACTATTATGCTCAATGCCATGGTCTGCATTAATTGATGAGCAGCACAAAGCTTACTACTTTACAATTATTATTAATGTCAGAAATATTCACAGATGATTTTTATATACTTCTTACTTTGGGATGAATAATAATGAATATAATCCCATGCCAAATAAATAAAAAATTAATAAGGGTACAATCTACATATGCATTTTTGATAGCCCTCTATTAAAAATAAATTTGAAGTTCAACCTGTCTGGTTATAGACCATGAAAGACACCTAGCTAGTTTTAAATAGGTCCAACACTGTGCTATTCTATATGTATATAAAATATAGATGGAAAATAGATCCTTACTGTCCTTGATCTTTTTGAAAATACCACTGGACTAAAAAATATACACAAAGTTTTCATTTTTCTTTAATAGATTTTATTATTGCAGAAAATAATAATTTTTGGTTTTCTTCTAAAAATGTTGTATACCTGTTCTGAAAAATATTCCTTAGGGGCTAAAAACTAAAACATTAAGGGCTTGACTTTATGCTAACTGTAATTAGGAATGTGACCTAATGTCATGTAGAAATTTCCTTTCAATATTCCCCATAAAAGTGTGAATTATCAAATGCTGTCTCATGCAGGAGACAATTTATTCAGTGTGCTGAATAACTTTCATTCACTGAGAGCTAATAGTTTTCCAAGGGGAACAGCCTTTGTTAGTGGCAGATGCTTTTCAAGACAAAGATGACAGTTACAGTGATCAATTTGATGAAATCACAATAGCCAAATGACAGGTTTAGCCCCCTCCTGGAGCAACTTATGTAGATCTTTATTTCTTCTTGATGATGCTACCTCAGATTAGAATAAGATCCCATCCAAATAAATGTTCTGGCTTTCTACTGAGTTCTGCATCTCCATATATCCTCCAATTAGTTTTCTCACTAATAAATGAGAGTCCACTGAGTCAATGTCCAGGCCATGCGCCCGAAAAAAAAGATTGATAAAACAGTACATGTTCATGCATTTATTGTGAGTAAAACAAAATGGAATGCTATAAATCTGGCTTCTCCCCAAGAGACTAATAAATATATTGGTTGAAACTATACTTTCTCAAACAAAAGGATTAGACTTTGGCATTTCACTTGTCTTTTTACTGAGACAGGGCAGGGCACCTAAGCATATTGCTTACCAGTTAAAAACCTATCTCAAAATCAGCTATGAGTGACATGCTGAGAGCTGACTTAGTGGGTCACTTAGTGGAAGTCAGGGGAATCTGGCTCTGCCTCCTGGGCTTCGGGTGTCTCTGCCCAGAACCTGGCTCACTGATGCTCATCCTGTTGCTACAAACACCAGAAACGTAGGTCCACAGGATTCTCTTCTGATCGTCACTGCCATAATGTCCAAAACATGAATGGTGCTTGCAACACCATCAGCAACTTAGGGATGTATTGTCTCCATTATGAATTCACTGTGTTGAATATGGAAGAGAAGAAGATGCTTGATGTAGAGGAAGTAATTTATTCTCGGTGGATACCTTAAGGATTCTGACACTATATCTTTTCAGATGAAATGTTCACATCATAGGACTCCAAAGAAGTCAATTCCACAGCACCTTTCTGTGAGCTGTGCCCGTGACTTCACAGATAGGTGATTCTTTCTGTAGAACTATTGCCTTCAGTTGCTTGTGATAGTGGAGACTGGTATATTTTCAGCCTTCTTATTTGTGGCTAAATAATTAATGCACACACAAATGCACATGTTACATTCAAAGATGTTATTGTCTAATACATTTTCTCAAAACTTTTTGAGAACTTAATCTGTTCCTCCAATATTGAAGTCTCAAATAATCCCAGCATTTCCTATAGAACCGATAGAACCAATGGAAGTTGAGGTTAGTTGCTATTTGATGTCATAAGTGATATACTTTCAACACGTAAATGGGAAGCAATGGAGCAGATAAACATCACCTGTGGAGGCAGACAGTAGGATTCAACCCTGACCCCACTAGCTGTGTGTTCTTGGGGAAATTACTCAATCTCTCTGGGCTTCAGTTTCCTCATCTCTAAAATGAGGACAAAAATCATAGGGCAATAAGGTAGTTGGGATGATTGAGTGAATAAATACGTATTACACATTTAGAAGAGAACTTGGTATACAGTGAGCACTCAATAATTATTCTTTAAAAGTTTCTCATTATTTGTAGTAAAAAATATATCCTGATCAGTTATTTCAATTCTGTGAAAATCTCACCAAAAGTCAGCTACATAATTAGTCAATGAAAACCATTTTACACAAAATATTGGGTTCAGCATGAAATATACCAAGATAAATAATAGTCATTCATTTCACTGAAAAATGACAGAACAATATAATATTTGTTATGAGTGACTTACCTATAAAATACTAGAGTGATTATAGGGAGAATAAATGGTATTGTGAAAGGCAAGAGGTGGGAAATGGCCTGGTACATTTGGAGAACTGTAAATAGTTCATCACTGAGATACACGCTTTGTGGGACAGAAGTGGAGAATGTTGTAGATGGGAAGATAGGTTTGAGAAACATAATAAAGGGTCTTGAAAACTCTAATAAACAAATTAGATGTCTTATAAGTGAGAGGAAGACATGTTGAATTCCTGAATATGCAAGGGAATAATAATAGGGCCTGATTCGTATGTTATAAATACAAATCTGTTGTCAGTGTGGAGGATGGTTTCGAAAAGTTAAGAACATGTCGTACTGATGTTTTCAACCCTAATCTCTCACAAAATGAACCTGAAAGTTGTTTGTAGCACATGAGTATATGTGTGTTCACGTTAATAGTTAGTATTAATATTACAAATAGAGAACCAGAACACACAAAGTAAGGGGAGAAATAATATCAGGATTATGACACACTGACTTCTGAACTTTCTGGTAGCCAGGACAAAAAGAGAAAGACTATAATGTTACAAAAATTATTCAAGAAAGAAAATATTTTCCTTTTTGAAAATGAAAAGTTTCTTGGCATGAATTTTTAAAAGGTATTTCCTTATAAGGGACCTAAAAAACTGACATTGACCAACATAAACAAAAATGCTCTTGAGAGTAATTGCACAGTCATACTTTGTGCTTCAATCCTGCAGTATGCTTTAGGAAAACAGATTGCATTGAAAATGTCCAATAGGTAGAACTACTTAAAGTCCAGTAGGTGGAAATAATTGTAATTGATGAGATCTCCAGGGATAATGTGCACAGCACGGGCCACAAACTCAAATGCCTCTAATGACCAGGTAGATACAGGAGTGAGGAAAGCTGGCATGATCATGGCACCGTAATGAGGATAAATGGCCTCTGACTCAGGCTCTGTGGTGAGGAGATGAAGACAGTGGTAGAAGCAATGATTTTTTTAAAAAAGCAGCCGTCCCTCACATGGTTCTCCTGTGAAAATAAAAACCTTAGATCTTTAGAAGATCTGATTTTTCAAAGGAAGTAAGAAATGTAAGTTTCTACAGATAATCTCCTTTTAACATTGGCAACTATTTCTTAGTTTTTGTTTTTCAACCTTGAGTGGGTCAAGGGGCCACAGGGAAGCCTGTGAGCCTTCAGTATGAGACCTCCAATGTACAGCAGCAAGAACCAAAGAAAGAGGAGCCCTACTTTGCTTCTCAAGGCAGTCCTAGTCTAATTGATAGTTGCTATACAGTTGGATAATACAATTATTGTGCCAGTGAAACACTCTCTAAAACTGGCAGTGATAATATGAAAATGCTTATTTAAATTTAGGCTTAAATATAAACTCTTTGAATCTGCCAAAACGAGATCGATAAGGAGTTTGATGTATCTTTTTCTCACCTTGCCTCCTTGACTATGTTTAGAACCATCACCCCCACCACAACAAAATCAACAACAGATGAGTTCCAGCAGAAGCTTGAATATTAATTTGCACCACTGCCAAACTAAATCATCAAGTCATAGGATAGAAAAATGCAATAATTAAACAGAAATGTTATATCTTTTTTATGTTGTGGTTGTTTTTGAAATGAAAGCACCATCTGTGGTGTACTTATTATCTTAACAGTAGCAGCAGAATTCCTCTTCTGAGGGAAATGCCTTTGTTTAGGAAAATACCGTGATGGGCCATTTGCTTGTACAAAGAGAGACTTCTGGTTGGAAGGAGCTCTCCTTCCATAACTCATCAGGAATGAATAACTCAGATAATCTGGCAAAACCATAACCTCAGAATTGAAAGTGACCTTGAGAATCTAATCCAGTGGTCCAGCAAACTGACTCTCAGGCCAAACACAATTTTCACCTGTTTTTGTAAATAAGGTTTCATTGGAAAACAGGCACTTTCCTTTGTTTATATATTGTCTGTGTCTGCATTTACACTACAAATTTCAGAGCTGCGTGGTCGAGAAAGATCTTTATGGCTCACAAAACCTAAAATGTTTACTATATGGTCCTTTGCCAAAAGTTTGCCAATCCTGATCTAAGGTAAAATTTGAGGACTTTCCAACCTAAGTAATTGAGGGAAGAGTTATTAACCCAGTAGCAAATTCCTAAGGAGCTAAGCATTCCCAAGTTAAACTTGGATTGCACATATTTTCACATATGCAAACATATACAACTTGAAGGAGGAGCTTCACCAGTGTTTCATCCTTGGAAAAGCCTTTATGTTCTGTTACGAGCCCAGGCTTCCACTAGGAATTAGCCCACCAACTCCACTTAGTTACTATGTCACCTTGGTGTTATCTAAGACTAAATGAAAATTATGTTTTTGTTAATGTCTTCAAGTTTGCCCACCATCACCATTTAAGGGAAAACTATAAAAGGGGCATTCTGAACACAATCATAACATTTTTTAGAATACTAGGCAATTCCAAAATAACTTAAAAAGAGGAAATAGAGAAACGATATTAGACACAAGTAGCAAATAGCACATAATAAATACATGATAAATAATAGCTACTAATATATTACTAACCTCTATTTTCCAGAGTCATCCACGAATTCAGTCCCCTCCCAGTAACAGCTCAATAATGACCCTCATCCTGGACTCCTTAGGAGTATCTCTCCTCAGAGGAGGCTTGAACTTAAAGGAGGAGGAGGTCTCCAAGTCCAAGTTCTTACTTTGAGTATAATATTAAACAACAAAGGGTTCTTTCAAATATCAAATAAGATAAGAGAGGTGAAAAATAATTTATGGACTAGAAATTAAGTTGTAATCTGTAGTTATATTTACAACGAGAAATTGAGTTTGAAAGTGCAACTCAAATGTTGTTATCATGAAGAAGGCTGTTATTTAATTATTCTTAATAGATTTCAACTTAATTACACATACCTTTAGATGGGAATTCCCATATTCAGATCCACTTAATCTGAATTCTCAATTTTTTTTCTTCCCTTTTCTACATTTTGGAGATTTGATCTACTAGAGTTTATCTGAGGTCAGCAGAGATTTATCCCAATCTCTTTCATCTTTTACAGTTTTAAAATCAATTGTATCCTTTAATGCTACTATTCTGACACTAACCACTTCTTTAAAACAAAAAGGCAGAGTACTCTTAAGATTACTTATAAAGAAAAGAATATCGTGAACTTTTAGAAAGATTTTACAGTCCTGAAGTTGAAACAAAATATTTGTAGTTAACACTCAAAAGCAGAAAATTAAGTTGACTAATGTACTTTATTTATATAAAGTTGTATGTAGTCAAAAATTTTTAATATTGGGCTGTGACTAATGCCCACAGGAGAAAAAAAATTAGTTAATTGGTTGTGTGTGTACCTCAAATAAAAGCATAATTATGTACGAGTTTAAGAGACAACTTTTGGCAGTGCACGGTGGTCACTCCTGTAATCCCAGCACTTTGGGAGGCCAAGGCAGGCGATCATGAGGTCAAAAGATGGAGACCATCCTGGCCAACATGGTGAAACCCCATCTCTAATAAAAATACCAAAATTAGCTGGGCGTAGTGGCACATGCCTGTAGTCCCAGCTACTCGGGAGGCTGAGGCAGGAGACTCACTTGAACCTGGGAGGCAGAGGTTGCAGTGAGCGGAGATTGTGCCACTGCACTCCAGCCTGGCGACAGAACAAGACTCCATCAAAAAAAAAAAAAAAAAAAAAGAGAGAGAGGAGAGAGAGACAACTTTTATCCTGATTACAGGACCCAGGAAATTTAAGTATATTTCTACCAACAAAGGAGTCTCGACAGCAACTTATATTTATAGGGCCAAATTCTGTTACTTAAGTAGTTTCCCGGGAAACAAAATGGAAAATTAAAGCATTTTTTGGCAGTAAAAATATTTCTCAACATTTAGAGATTAACACATCATTAGATACAATAATTTATTTATTAAATATTATATGTTACTTTGATTCATTATATTTATTACATGTTTTATAACATTTAATAACTAAATATCAAATAATTTGATTTGAATTTTCACTTATTCAATATAAATATGTATTATATATTTTAAAATATGTATTTTATATGTGTGCATAATTTTTAAATATACATAAGGAGATGTCTGTGTGTGTGTGTGCATGTGTGTGTGTGTGCACGTACATTTAAAATGTGGTATTCAGGGACCAGTAGCAACTTCATCACCTGGAAGCTTGTTAGAAATGCAGAATCCCAGGCCCACCTCAGACCTACAGAATCAGGATTTGCATTTTAACGAGGTCCCAGGTGACTGTATGCACATTAAAATTGGGACATATTGGCATATATTCTCATTACTACATAGAACAAATCAATTAATGATCACATTTTAAGAGCTGTCAATTAAATTGACATTAGTCATAAGCTTGCTACCATTTCTTAACATTAGTACAAAATTTATAAAAGCAAGAAAATAGAAACAAAAATCTGTGGTATTTACAATACGTCTATAAGTAAGATATTTTAAGATTATAAATAAAAATGTGTCCCAACTTGTTCTACAATGTAAAATCTTTCTCTCTGGAATATAGACATGTATAAACTCCTAAAATAATAATCCTTGTAAGATGAACAGATGGCACCAGTGCTATAAATATTAGCCAAAAATTCACAAAATAAATATGCTCAAGAAAGTATTAAGACAACCATATATCATTTTTACACATTTGTCAGTTTTCAACTGTGTTGCCTCAATATTAACAATAATAATGATGTTAATAACTATAATTAACACCTTATGCATATTTCTATGTTGAGCACTGCTCTACACACTACATAATACACTAATTTAACCCTCACCATAATCGTATGGGATGACACTATTATTATCCCCATTTTAGAACTGAAGAAACCGAGGCACAGAAGGTTGAAGTAACTTGCCCGAGTACGTTACTTTCATCAAGATAAATATAATTATTTAACTATTCCTACTAATTTATCATATTGTTCAATTGAAAGAATTTACTTTTTAAGATATGTGATCAATTGCAAAAATGATTCTAATTCTTCATCCTCCTCCTCCCAACCAACGACCTTTGCCATGTAATTTGCAGCATTCTCTTACTTTGAACAAAGATAAAGAAAGTAGAGGCTTAACAAGTGCTTGTGCAGCTGGGATTGCCCTCCCTCATGCCTGGGCTACTCTCGCTGGAGGAGAGAGAGAGTGGGGAGCAGAGCCAGGTTGATTCAATCAAAACTAACCTATTCCTAGAGGTGATCAAGTCCTGCCGAGATCTACAGAGCCACCTAGCCAAGGCCCACTTGGTCTTAGTTTCACAAGCAATATGCATACGCTTATTGTTTTATGCCAGGTTTTGTGGTTGTTCATTATACAGTTGATAACTGATACATATAATTATCAATTTCACTGAATCACTCATTCAACTAGACATAGAAAATATGTATTTTATGCTGCTGATTTTTATCTACCTCTATACCTACAGATAAAAAAATATATAGATGAAAGCAGTAAGGAATTATATAGCCTATCACCCTAGCAGAGGTGACACGTCTCTTAGAAGCAACAAATATAAGGAGCAAAAAGGTAAAGAAAAAGAAGCATATTTTAAAAAGAGTTTTTAAGAAAGTACCAAAAAATTTATAGGTACTCAAAATGAATCTTTCCTCCTCTTCACGCAACCTGTATCCACCTTTTCCCCCTCACTGATCAATTAAAGAAACATTGAACAAAATAGAAATTGGGTTGGCTTCCCTGGATTGCCAATTATCCCCATAGGAAAAAAAAAAAAAAAGCTCATTGTTGTTATTAACTCCCCAGGAAGGGGTAGAATGGGATGAGGGTGTCATAGTGGGTGGTGGCATGAGTAAAAATTGAGCTCTAAGATCAAACATGTTTGGTCATACATCAGCTTCTCAAAGGTACATTTCTTGGGCATGTGTAGGGTAATATACTAACTGTATAGAACATTGTCTAAAAGAAAAATGTAAAATGGATACTGCTTTACGTGAAAGAAATCAAACTGTACATATGTAACAAAATCAAGAGAAAGTGCTTCCATCAGTTTTTTAAACATTTCTGGATTATCTGAGTAAATAATGTCAACAGAGAACAAATATACACAGTAATATGCAAAACGTTTCTTTGTTTGACAAATACTCAGGCATCAAAGTAGAGATTAGTGATAGCTCAAAGCCAGATGGTCAGTTTCGCCTCATCCTCTATTTTAAGGACACTTCAGACTCAGTGATTTATACTTTCATTGTAACACAAATATCACATTAAGCCAAATATATATATGTATGTGTATTGTTATGTGTGTATACATAAGTGTATATATACATAACTATATCAATGAACATTTGAATATTTTAGAAATAGGGTTATCTTATTCAAAAGAGAAATAATAAAATATACATTCTTCATAGAAGTATGATCAAGGAACTTGTGCCTGTCTATAGATTTTATTTCCCCTCTGCAATAAAGCAAGTACAGAAATTATGTGAAAACATTTATAAACTTCTATAGAAATTTAACAGAATGTTTTTTATATTTGTTGAATATAACAATAAAATCTCTGGGCTTTTATTTTGTATATTTTTACGTTTCCTATTAATTGAATTTTATTGTATTTTATGATATTATCTTTCTACAAAAACTGGCAATTAATAAAAGTACTGTCCTTCACCACATGCAGTCTGATGGCCACTGCTCTATTATACATGGGTTTGGATATGAATGTACATCCAATTAAAGGAGAGCTAAGGTGAGAATTGGTGATGGTTAATATTTATTTACTTATCGGTATGAGGCAACCAGTATGCTAAAGGCTTTGCATACATTACCTCATTGCATTCCTTTTAACAGAATACAGTGCTGCAGGTGAATATCTTGATGAGAGTTTGTACAGTTAGTAAGTGGCGAAGCAGGTTCTAATGCCAACCTGAGTCTACAGCCTTCGCTCTAAATCACTAATTATACCAGTTCTCAAAACAATACAGTTCTAAAAGGAAATCAAAGAGGGAAATGTGGCTTAACAACAGCAATGGCAACCACAAGATTTTTTAAGATTATTCAATTTGTTTAGATAAATTATTTCTAAAAGTTATCAGTCTTAGCAACTATTCTATTTTTTAATCTTATTTCATTATTTTAGCCTTATGTTTTATAAGCATTGGGTTGGGAGTAGGATATGACCTGGTGTGGACGGCCTACTTGATCTAGATTTGTTAGATATTACTAATACCAAAAATAGAGGAAAGATAAAGGGAGGCATAATTTAAGAAATTACTTTGTAATTAAGAGACCCCAAGAATCTGGAAAAAGACAACAAATACCTGTGTTCTTAGTAATAACGGTTTTAATGGTGGCGATTATCATGGGAGTGGAGGTGAAGGAAGATGCAAGAAAGATACTCCTGAGTGGAACAAATGTTATGGAAAATATTTAGTTCTTTTATGTCCAACGAAAAAGTGATATGATCACAGTTTTAATTTACTCCAACAGAATTTTTGTTAGCCAGAACAAGAATAGAATTTGCTGTGCAAAAAAATGAAGTATTTTAGTTTATGTAGTTAGGAGATATCAATTTTGTGTCTTGCTATATCCTACCAAAATCTAGTCTGGTTACTTTATCTTCCTTTATCAATATTTTCTTTCATTTCCTTGTACTTCTCTGCCCATTCTGTCTTGAATAATTGAATACAAAATGACATATTTTGGAAAAAAACCAAATTTGTGATTTTTACTCTGCTGGAGTCTATGAATAAAAATCCAGTTGTTTTCATCACATTTTTCCTACCCTTAACTATTTGAATTGTATTTTAATAATATTCTTGCAATTCCATACGCTTCTCTCCTTAGGCCTATGTGTACATGCATATACAAGATTTTTCTACTTTTTTCTCTTTCAACCACATTTTAAATTAGACCTTTATATCAAACATTTTAATATTAAGCATATGTGTTGTAAACTTTTCCTAATAAGAATGTACCCCATCAAAACCACTTATTTATATAAATAGAAATGAAACAAAAGGATCAAAAATACCTGTTTAGCCAACCTTTAAAATGAAAGCTTTCATAGAAAAATGGAGGAAATATAAGCAGGTTCTACAATTCTCCTAAAAGACCATATTCTTCAAATAATAATAATTTCTGATTGAGCTTTTTGATTTTCAAAGACTATTCTTGTATACTAAATTTGATACAATAATGCTGTGAAAGATGCTTTAAGAAGAAAAACAGCACCATCTCCATGTCATAGATGATGATTTTGTGTCTTAGAGGACATAATAGATTAAGAAGCATTTATTTCTACCAATTTGATATTTCACCTACATCATGCTGCTATTTAGTAAATATTTATTAATAATTACAATGTTGAAAATACAAAACAGATAAAAGGGGTTTAATTTTTTCCCCAGGGCACCAAATAAATCATCTTACTGGGATATGAGGAAATTAAGCATCTGATAAGAATCAGCAACACTGAATTTGTGGAATACAAAGGAAGCCCACATAGTTCTGAAATGCAATGCTGAGGATTATTTTCTCTTGGTTTTGCTTTATTAGCCGGGAACACATCGGCCATGAGTCCCCAGATTCTGGCAACAACTTGTTTGATAATTCCAAAGGTTAACACAAAAGGACAAACATGAAACACTGAAGAGGGAGGCCAGGAAAGCAAGAAAAGAGGCAATACCTTCTGGGGAAAGAGAGACCCTGAGGAGGGGAGAATGTCAACCTGTGGGTTAAATAACTCTAACTAGATAAAGCTGGAGCTGTGAAAGTTCACCATGCTATAGATTTTGTCCTCTAAAAATCAGCAGTGAATTTTCATATTATATTATGAAATGTTATAGAAATTAATGAATTATATTGTCTTACTTTCCAGGTTGTTAGTTGAAAGTGTGAGACTATAAAGTGGGAAGAATCATAATATTTGTAATTGGTATATATATATATACCCACACACACACACACATACACCAATTGCAGTGTGTGTGTATATACCAATTGGTATATATATATATGTATATGTATATATTGTATGTGTGTGTGTGTATATATATATATATATGCCAATTGGTGTGTTTATATGTGTGTGTGTGTATATCTATCTATATATATATATAGGTGTGTGTGTACCAATTACAAAGATGATTCTTCCCACCTCATAGTCTCATACTTTAACAGTATATATATATATATATACATGTATATATATATATATATATACCATTACAAATACTAAAATTGGTCTACCAGATATTAAATAACAAATTAAAATTTTTGAGTACTGTGAACACATGGAAACAAATTTCCATTTATTCTTTACTTAATGATGTCTAAAATTCATGCATTCATTTATTCAGTAAATATTTAGTGAGATCCTAGTATTTAGCCATCACTGTTCTTGATCTTGAGAAGTTAGAATAAGCAAAAGTTGACATAGTTTACCATTTTTTGAAGTGTACAGTCTAATGAGAGACAAATGTTTACACTAATGATCGTATTATTACAAATTAAGAAAGGTTCTTATAAGAAAAGGAATGATTTCTATGAGATCACATAGATAAATCTGGCCTAGCTTGGGTGGTAAGGAAAAGCATTGAATTCTGAACTGAGATCTGAAACACCAGTATGAGTTAACTAGACTAAGAGCAGCGTGAAGAATATTCCTGGAAAGGGTGATATAATATACAAAGACCCTGGGGCAGGAGGAGAGACAAGGCATTTGAATGAAAAAGAGAAAACAACGAAATCAGAATGCAGAATGTGAACACACAGCAGTAGGATTTGGGATTTGGGTATTAGGCATGAGTGAAACCAGTGGTCACATTAAGGGTGAGGGAAGAGAGAGACGCTCTCATATTGTTTTATACTCAGTACCTGTTTTAAGAAAAAAAGAAAAAACAACAAGGAAGTAAAACCAAAGACAGGCAGCCCAGCGCCAGGCCTGAAACCAGGCCTGGGCCTGCCTGGCCTAAACCCAGTAGTTAAAAATCAACTTAGAACCCTATGCCTGGCCTAAACTCAGTAGTTAAAAATCAACTTAGAACCCGATGTTACCCATAGATTTCAGGCATTGTATAAAAGAACATTGTGAAACTCCCTGCTCTGTTCTGTTTCACTCTGACTACCAGGGCATGAAACCCCTGTCACGTATCCCCTAGATTGCTCAATCAATCACAACCCTTTCAGGTGAAATCTTTAGTGTTGTGAGCCCTTCAACGGGACAGAAATTTTGCAATCGGGGAGCTCAGATTTTGAGGCAGTAGCTTGCCGATGTTCCCAGCTGAATAAAGCCCTTCCTTCTACAACTCAATGTCTGAGAGGTTTTGTCTGCGGCTCATTCTGCTACAAGGGTTTTCATCGTTCTCTAAAAGCAATGGGAAGACATTAGAAGTTTTAAGCAGGAACATGTCACACTCAGATACAAATTTGGAAAGGCTAGTCTGGCCAAAATGTGAAGCCTAAAAGAGAGCCAATTTGGATATAAGAATTCTGGTTTGTCCATTATAGTACCAGAAAGAAAAAAACATAACAGTTGTGTGGGCCAAGGCATTGGCAATGGAGGTGGACAAAACATGGCTGATTGGAGAAATATTTAGGAGGTCAGAAGGTCAGCACTATGTAATTGTATATGGCAGCTGAGGGAACAGAGTGTCAAGCAGTGTGCAGGTTTCTAGCCTGTGGAACTGGATGACATTTTGTCCATGTTCATTGGTGCTTCTGAAAGGTCAAATATTGCAGTTTTGTATTCTTGGGCAAAAAAAAAGCGTAAGAGTATAACATAAGTTTCCAGAGTGCTTTCTGTCCTTTTACAGAATATCATTTCAAATATCTATAGGGTAATTTTCCACAATGTTGCATGTTTAAGTTTTTCCTTAGTAACCTGTTTTTTATTTTTATTTTTTGGTGGGTATGTCTTTTTTTCAGTACCAAATTACTTCAGAAATCTTCATGCATTCCTATAACAAAGACAAACCACATATTGTTAGTTGCAGAGCAAATAAGTTGAAAGATAAAGAACTGGAATTTGAGGGGCAAAGGTCCTTAAATTTCTTATGGTTTTATGTTTTATAAAAAAGTCCCCGGTCAGTAAGCAAAGTGGTTCCCACATCACCACTGAAACATAAGAGGACAATGGCCATGATAGACTTCCCAGTTGGAGGCAACCTGTAATCCCAGCACTTTGGGAGGCTGAGGCAGATGGACCACCTGAGGTTAGGAGTTCAAGACCAGCCTGACCAACATGGTGAAACCCTGTCTCTACTAAAAATACAAAAATTAGCTGGGCATGGTGGTGGGTGCCTATAATCCCAGCTATATGGGAGGGTGAGGCAGGAGAATTGCTTGAACCAGGGAGGCAGAGGTTGCAGTGAGCTGAGATCACACCATTGCACTCCAGCCTGGCAGACAGGGCAAGACTCCATCTCAGAATCAATCAATCTGCAAAAGGTTTCTCTCATGAGCAGTACTATAGTAGGAGACTATCAGCTTACTAATGGTGAGCAGTAAACAGAAATGTTATTTCCATAGGAAACCATTATATTCCCAGTCAGTGAATCCATTAAACATCAGTAAAAGACCAAAAAAACCCTGCTGAAGTAAAATTCTTAACTTTTTCAGGATAATATATGAGATATGGTTCTTACTGATGTCAACGGCAAATCCACCATTTACAAATTCATCTAAACCTTTAAAAATAGTTGTTATGCTCACATTTTATTACAGTAAAAAAAAAAAAAAAAGAATTCCATCAGAGTACTTCCCTGCCTTTTATTATTCTATATACTTTGATTCTATTCTTGGCACATTTAGCTTTCCAAATTAAATTGTGTAAACTTTCAGATCTGGTTTCATAGATTAGTTCTTCTATTCACTTGGTCAGTCCAGTTTGCTGCTGCAACTAAAAAGGCCAACTAAAAGGTGGGCCCCCTAAGGAGAAAAATTGAAAGTAAATTAGCAAGTATTAGCACACCTTTTTACATAGCTGCCCTGAGCCTGTCCCTAGGGGAATGAGTGGTCCCTGAAGCACTACACTTTTAAGGATAATAGAAAAATGCAGAGAAAGAAAACTAAATCAGGTGAGGGGTCAGGAAGTGGCTAGAGTTAGAGATCAATAAATATGAATGTAGTTGTCCCCTAACCCCCATCAGGCCCCAGTGTGTGATGTTCCCCTCCCTGTGTCCATGTGTTCTCATTATTCAACTCCCACTTATGAGTGAGAACATGTGGTGTTTGGTTTTCTCTTCCTGTGTTAGTTTGCTGAGAATCTAGCTTCATCCATGTAATTAGGACAAATACCTGATGCATGCAGGGCTTAAAACCTAGATGACTGGTTGGTAGGTGCATCAAACCACCATGGCACATGTATACCTATGTAACAAACCTGCACGTTCTGCACATGTATCCCAGAACTAAAAATAAATGAATGCTGTTACATTAAAGTCATCAAGAATGAATGAACAAGAAGAGAAAGTTACAGATGAAAAACCAGTGATTATTGAGGATGGTTAACCCTAAGCATAGTGCAGACATTAAGATTAAAGATTTAGAAAATAAAAAGATTGAAGATTTAGAAACTAAACAGACCTGGATTTGCTTCCCACCCCAGCATCTTACTAACAACTGTCTTGGAAACATCACTTCACCTTCAAAATAAAATATTTACCTCTATGGAATTATTGAATTTCATGAGGATTGGCAGTTTTTGGTGCAAAGTGTGCCCTCAATAAATGTTAGCCATAGTTATGATTAAAAGATGTGAAAGAAAAATAAATCTCAGGACCCCAAAATCACTAAGTCAAAGGGAAGAGTCAAGCTGGGAAATGCATTGGGCAAAGCTGCCTCCCATTCTATTCCTAAATAAGATAGTTACAAAGATAAAAAAGCTACATACCTCCCTCGCAATTTGTCCACAAGGAAATTCCTTGTGGACAGGCCGAACTCAAAGTCATCCCTCTGTTCACATGAGACAAATCCATGTCTAATTGCTTCCTCTGCCCCATTGTTCCACTAAAGCAGATGAAGACATAAGTGACTATTTCTGTAAATTGTGCATTCACTGAAAGGCTAATCAGAAACTCAAAAGAATGCAATCATATTTCTCTTATCTACCTATGACCTGGAAGTCCCCTCCCTGCTTCAAGTTGTCCCGCCTTTCCAGGCTGAACCAATGTGCGTCATACATACATTGATTGATGTCTCATGTAGCCCTAAAATGTATAAAACCAAGTTTTGCCCCAACCTTCTTGGGCACATGTTGTCAGTACCTCCCGAGGCTGTCACAGGCATATCTTTAACCTTGGAAAAATATACTTTCTAAATTGATTGAGACCTGTCTCAGATACCTTTTGGTTTACAGAGACTAAGAATGAAGAGATCTGTAATACTGTCTGGCAGAATTCATATAACTGTGAGGCAGATCAATAAAATGAATTCAGATCTGTTTACCAATTGTGGAATTCTACAAATGGGAACATAAGCTTGTTGTTTAAGGAGGAAAATTTAAGGCTTTTTAATTAATTAATTTATTTATTTTGCTTTATTGGAAGATGCTATGAATGGAACCATCATCAAAACATTGTTATCTGTGATTGTCTAATTTGTAACAAAATATTAATAAAAACTGAATGAGGGTGAATCCCTCTTCTTTGAAGAACTGATAAAGAAGGCAAGTGTCACTTGAAAATCATTTAGAAATTATTTTTCTCTTGCCTTCACACTGTCAGTGATAGAATGTTCAGATAAAGAAACATATACAACGAAGCAATGTCTATGCTCTGTCTATATTTAAGTTTGATGTTCTTTTGAAAGAGAAAATAAATATTGAACATATTCACATCTGTAGATATTTTTACCATAAGCTTATTTCAAAGATTTAAGATATTCATCCATTTTCTTAAAAACTGAACCATATTTAAAGAGGGTTTACAAATCAGGTATATATACATATATAATTGCATCAAGTATTTAAAAGCTAGAGCACTCTATTTGAATATAGTATTTAACCTCAAAATTGTTTACAAATATACTGCACATGTTTTAGGAAATTAGAATAGAAACCAAAATAAAAGTTCCAAAATAAGAGTTAAGGATCCTAAGGAAATGCAGCATTGTAAAATTGAGATGATTCTGTGAGCAACCCCTCACCATGTTCCCATGACCACTAAAATGGCTGAGGATTAATTCAGTAACATTTGCAACCTTTGTATCTTACTAAGGTATTAAAATGCACACTAGGAATATAAACTTCTGCCTTTATGCTTTGATTGGGAGCTTGTGGGTGATTTTTTTATTGTATATGTTGAAAGTAGCATGCTAGAGCCTGGCCATAAATCCTTATAAAAATCCTACAGATCTACATCCAGTGAGACTTTACCTATTTCAGGGCTGTTACCACCTAATTCAGGGCTGCTACATGTATGTCATACAACTCTCGGGGACAAAGTCACAATTCCTGACCTTCTGGCTTATGTAGTTTCCCCATCTCCCTCCTCAACATCCAGAAATCACTATTCATCTTATTTTTGTGAGTTACATTTTTTTCATTTTAGCAGAATGCATTATATTCAATTAGAGTGGGGACTTTGTCAGTCACCTTTGCAAGTGAGTCTCCAGTGTCCAGAATAATGCACAGTAGATGATTAATAAACACGTATTAAATGAGTGAATGAATGAATAAGTAAGTGGTTTTAAAAAATGTTCTCTCTGAGCATCCAGGATTGTATGTGGGGGAATACAGCCTAAAAGAAATAGCTTTTAAATCTAAGAGCTAGGGGATGTAAATATTCCCATTGTATACTTGTAAGATCTAGAGCTGCAAAACAAAAACAAACGTGTCATTTTTATTAAGAATTGATGCTTTAAATAGTTTATTTCATTTTACTTATTAACACATGCGTGTATGTTCATTCGGTTAGCATTTATTGAGTGGCTACCTTGTGCTAGACTCTCTTCTAGGTGTTTGGGGTTCATGAATAATCAAAATAAGTTGGATCCCCTGCCCTCAAAGACCTTATATTTCAGTAGTGAGAAAAAGAAGGCACCAAACATCAAATAAATGTTTGAACACTAGTATGTGGTCAGAATTATGACTAGAATGGCAGAAATGACAAAGAATCATATGCCGCTCCTGATTCTGTAGGGGTTCATTTTATTTGGGAGAAAATTAATATGTAAGAACTTAAATAATAAGAATGTAACTAAATGATTATTCATGTCTTTTCTTGTTGGCTGGGTGAACTACATAGCACACTTATTCTGCGAGTGCTTTAGTAAGGATATATATACACGTTTTATTTAATAGAGAAGTTTTAAATTCACAGAAAAATTGAGCAGAGTACAGAGAATTCCCATATACCCACTGCCCCATGCCTAACTCCTCCCCATTATCAGCGTCCTGCACTAGAGTGGTATACTTGTTGCAATCAATGAACCTACATTGGCACATTATCATCACTCAAAGTACATACTTTACATTAGGGTTCACTTTGGGTGCTGTACATTCTATGGGTTTTGTCAAATGTATAAAGTCACGCATTACTATTATAGTATCACAAAGAACAATTTCATTGCCTAAAAAATATCTGTGTCCCACACATTCATCAATTCCTCCCTTCTAATTTAATCCCTGGTAATCAGTAATCTTTTTACTGTCTCCATAATTTTGCCTTTTCCAGAATGTCATATAGTTGAAATCATACAGTATGTAGTCTTTACAAGTAGGTCTATTTAACTTAGCAATATGCATTTAAGCTCCCTTCATCTCTTTTCATGGCTTGATAGCTCATTAGTAGATACTGTTTTAAATGTAGATGGTTTGGAAGAACTTTTCAAAGAAGGTAGGTTTGACCACGTCTTGAAGAATAAAGCTTATATGGAGAGAAGAGTGGAGTGTAGGTGGGTTTCATGGTGAGAACCTACATATGGAGGTGAAATGTTGAGAACACACTTAGGGGAATGAAGATGGAAACAGTTTGCTTGGGCAGAGTGCTCGCAAGATTGTAGATGGAGGTAAAAGTGGAAAAGGAGGTAGGTTTCAGACTGATTCATTTATAGTGTCCTAGAAAGAATGTGATAGAAAGAAAGAACAGATCAATTCAGCGGAGATGTGCAGGATAGATGGAGGAAGAAAATAAATATGTATGGTTAATATGTATGGTATTTAGATGTTACAGAAATTTTAAATGGCCTGCAATTAGAAATATTTAACATTGTCACATTGGACTCCTCTGAACCCAACCCTCTCAAATGTGGCTGAGATTAATTATTTGGAACCTTAATGAGTTGGTTTTGTGCAATTTCTTCATTTTATGAGTCTAGACACTAATTCACAACTATTCAGTTAGAACCTAGATTATGCTAAGAGGTTTACCGAGTTCAAACAGAAACTTCTCAAAAGTAATGATGTAAAAGGCATGTAGAGATGAAAACCTATGCCCCAAATCACCAGACAATATTCTCTATCTTGTTCTCAGTCTCAATTCACATGCTTCTCAGTCATCTTATATACTGACAGTATTTATTATTAGAAAATACTGAAAACTCTAGCTCAGTGGTGCTTCCCCCCAAAAATGTTAGTACTCATGCAATGTCGAATGCAATTTCAATATGTTCATATACTCCTAGAGAGTGCAGTTAAGAATTGTTGCTCTAAGTAATTAGGTAAGTAGATGAAGCTACTTATTTTCCCTTCTCTTGCTTTATTTTAGGCGAGAAGGGCAAACTGCATAAAGTGCCTGGTAGAGTTTGTGTGATGATCAACAGTAGGTAGGCAGGAGCATGAGAAGGCACTTTATCAATGCCAGGAGTGTGCTTTACTCAACCTGAGTGATTATTTACATGTTAAGCAGTCAGTGTTGTCCAATGTGAAAAATGGTGTCCCTTCTATCATGTGATATTCACATGGGAAACCCCTTAAAATTATCATAACGCATTCTCTAGCCATAATTCTGGTATACTTTAGAAACTTAATTGTATTCATTTCCAGAAACTAGCAATAGTTACAGCAAGAAACAGCATTCTACACCTTTTGACTCTCAGAAAACATTAGATTATTAGATTGGAAAATATACTTCATTCTGGGTAGACTGTCTAAACTATGATATTTGCCTCTAGGTTTGCCTGGTAACTAAAGTCTCTATGGTGTATAAGGCATTTTGTGGCAGGAAAGTGGTATGTTGAGCATTGTCAATGAAGCTCTTCTCCATTAGATAATGAGCCCCAAATAAGAAATAGATGAGTACCTGCCAAAGAAAGAAGCCTCAGAATAGCCTCTGGTAAAGGCAATTTAGCGACTGAGCTCTGCTAATGAGTACATGATAGATGCTGGGGAAAAAATGTCTTTCATCAAGACTGTGTGATTCATCCAGCAAACAAGTATTAGGTACCCATTAACTAGCAAGCTCTATAATAAGTGTCAGAGATTCAGCAGTGAAAAAGATATAATTTCCTGCCCTCAAGGAAGTTTACTGGGAAATTTAGACAGAAAGAAAAGTTACAAAATGCTACTTTGAAAATTAAAAAATTCAAACAGATCTAATTAATTACTTTTGGCAAGTTCTTTAAATGATGACTCTCCTTCTAATTGTTAAGGGATGAGACAAGACTGCAGGTAGACTAGGACACTTACATGAGGCTGATGATGAAGAAAACGACAAAAACTCACCTTACTGACCAACAAACATGAAAACATGCTCAACATTGCTGATCATCATTAAAATAAAAATGAAAATCACAATGAGATATCATCTCACACCCATTAGGATGGCTACAGAGGGAACAAACCTGTACAATGGCAGAAAATATCTGCAAACTATGCATCCAACAAAAGATTAACATGCAGAATCTACAAGGAATTCAGACAACAACAACATCAGCAACAACAAAACACCACATTAAAAAGTGGGGAAAGGAACAATTCTTAAAAGAAGACATACAAATGGCCAAGAAGCATATGAAAAAATGCTCACATCACTAATCAAGAGAAATGCAAATTAAAACCACAATGAGATATCATCTTGCACCAGAAAGAATAATTATCATTATAAAGTCAAAAAATGAAGGTGTCGGAGAGGATGCAGAGGAAAAGAAAAGGCTTACACATTGTTGGTGGGGATTTAACTTAGTACAGTATTTATGGAAAACAGTACGGAGATATCTCAAAGAACTAAAAATAGAACTAACATTCAATCCAGCAATCCCACTACTGGGTCTATATCCAAAAGAAAAGAAATTATTCTATAAAAAAAAGACACCTGGACTTTTATGTGTATAACAACACTACTCAAAATAGCAAAGATAGGTAGTCAACCTAAGTGTCCATCAACAGATGATTGGATAAAGAAGATGTTACATATATATGTATCACACACACACCATGGAATACTACCCAGCCATAAAAAAAGAATGAAATTATATATTTTGCAATAACATGGATGGAACTAGAGGTCATTATCTTAAGTGAAATAACTCATAAGCATAGAGCCAAATACCACATGTTCTCACTTATAAGTGGGAGTTAAATAATCTGTACACATGGACATACAGTATGGATTAATAGACACTGGAGACTTGAAAGGGGGTGAGGATAGGAGGGGGACGACAGATAAATTCTTTAATGGGTACAACGTACACTAAAAGCCCATACTTTACCACTATACAATACAGCCATGTAAAAAAACAGCAACAAAGAAAAACAGTACTAGTAGCCCCTAAATTATACAAATTAAAAAACAAAAAATAACAAGTGCTGTCAAGTATGTGGAGAAATTGGAGTCTGTGTGCATTGTTTGTGGAATTATAAAATCTTGCAGCCACTAAGGAAAAGAGTATGGAGGTTTCTAAAAAAAAAAAAAAAAAAAAAAAAAAAATAGAATTACTATATAATCCAGCAACTTCACTTCTGAGTATATGTCCCAAAGAATTGAAAACAGGGAGTTGAAGAGATACTTGCACATCCATGTTTACAACAGCATTATTCACAACATCTGAGAGGTGGAAGCAACCCAAATGTCCAGCAATGGATGAATGAATAAACAAAACTTGGTAGGTACACACAATGGGATATCATTTAGTTTTTAAAAGGAAGAATTCTGATACATGTTACATGAATGAACCTTGAGAACATTACGCTAAGTCAAATATGTCAGTCACAAAAAGACAAATACTATACAAATCCACTTATATGAGGTAACTAAAGTAGCTAAATTCATAGAAACAAATTAGAATTGCGGTTGCCGGTGGCTAGGGAGAGGAGGAAAGGGAAGTTGTTTGGTAGGTGAAGAGTTTCAGATTCGCAGGGTGAGATTTCTGGAGATCTGATGGACAGCCATATAAATATACCGAACAGTATTCAAGTGTACATTTAAAAATGGAAAGATTAAGCAAACTGTGGTACATCCATACCATGGAATATGACAGTAATAAAAAGGAATGAACTATTGATACATGCAGCAACATGTATAAATCTCTAGAGAATTATACAGAGCAAAACAACAATAAAAGTCAATCCCAAAGGTTACATATTGTCATATTTCATCTATGTAACACTCTTAAAATGACAAAAATACAGAAATAGAGAATAAAAAAGGGTTAAGATGGTAAATTTTGTATTTTTATCACAATTAAAATTTCTAAGTATGCAAAAGGAAAATAAACCCTATTTTACAACCTCCATGTTCAGAATCCAATGTTTTCTCTACATGTGTGTTAGGGTTAGGAGACACGTTTGACTTTTTGTCTATATAAATCTATATAAAGATTTGGAGTTTAGCAAATGTTGCATCTGAGAACATTTGTTACTTTTCAAACCAGAATTTTATTTGCCCTTTCTTCACATGGACTTTGAAAAATACAGTCCAACTGAGAGCTTCCTATCAGATAGTTTAAAAAATTATAAACTATTGTGAAATAATTAAAGAGATGACTACTAAAGCTGGTGTTTGCTGTGATCTGACATGTTTGTGTCCCTCCCCAAAATTAATATGTTGGAACCTAATCCCCACTGTAATGGTATTTGAAGGTGGGGCTTTGGAAGGTGGTTAGGCCATGAGGATGAATCCCTCCTGAAATGGGATTAGTGCTCTTATGAGGGACTGAAGAGACTGGAGTTCTCCCCTTTCAAGTGAAGACACATCGAGAAAACACTGTCCCCAAACCAGAAAGCCCTCATCAGATACCAAGTCTTCCAGCACTTTGATCTGGAGTTCCCAGCCTCCAGAACTGTGAGACATATATTTCTGTTGTGTATAAGCTACACAGTTTATAGTATTTTCGTGTAGCAGCCTGAATAGAATAAGATCATGTCTATGGTCAGAGCACAAATAAGATACAGCAATCTTTACACTTACTCTGGCTTGTGCAACAATGTTATGTATCCCAGCATATAACTGCCAGAATGGAACATTCCAGACTTACTGATATAGAGCACTTGACTATATTTCACTATACATACAGAATGACAAAAAAAAATGCAGGATGAACTGACAATAACCTTTAAGGATGAAAACAAACTGCAAGTTATAAAAGTTTTTAAAAATAGTAGTACATACACAAACACATATTTTGAGGAAAGGTTCCAATTTTGAGGGATGAATGGCATTCATCCATCTTCTTTTCTGCTGGAGAAGTCTTTGTGAAGGAAAATAATATTGTGAATAACAGGAGTGACTGTTATGTGATGTAGAAATGAAAATGAAAACTAATGCAAACAGTAACTGGGAGTGATGGGGCTAGTATGGTCACCAGAAAAGATAACTGACCATAGGATCTAAAAACCTTGATCCTTGGTGTTTACTCAAATGAGTTGGAAACTTACATCCACACAAAAACTTGGTGTAAATGTTCATGGCAGCTTTATTCCTAATTGCCAAAACTTGAAAGCAATCAAGATGGCCTTCAATAGGGGAATATACAAACAAGCTTTCCAGACAATGGAATATTATTCAGTGATAAAGGAAAATTATAAAGCCATCAAAAAATATGAGAAACCTTAAATGCATATTACTAAGTAAGAGAAGCCAGTCTGAAAAGCCTATACACTATACGATTCCAACTATATAACATTCTGGAAAAGGCAGAACGGAGACAGTAAAAATATCAGTGGTTGCCAAGGTCTAGAGGAGAGGGGGAGGGTGGAGAGAGGGAGGGATGATGAGTAAGTGAACACACAGGATTTTTAGGGCAGTGACACTATCTGTATGTTACTATAATGGTAGATACATGTCATTATACATTTGACAAAACCCATAGAATGTACAACACCTAGAGTTAACTCTAATGTAAACTATGGACGTTAGCTAATATTAATTTATCAATATTGGCTCGTTCATTATAAAATTTGTACCATACTAATGTAAGATGTGAATAAGGGAAATAGGTGGAGGGAGGGATGGGAGCAAAAGGGGTTTATGGGAACGCTCTACTTACTGCTCAATTTATCTGTAAAGCTAAAACTGCTTTTAAAAGTTTATTAATTGAAAAAATTAAAAGAGAAATTTGACTCAGGGTGGAGGAGGATGTTGGTCTGGAGGCAGAACTGTCGTAGGTGCTGCAAAGGCTCCCCCACTGATGTCTTAATAAGTTCCACAGTAGGAATTCTCAGCAATTATGCATCAGGGAAAATACATACATTAAGTTTCCAAGAACCACATTTAAAAGCCCAGGTTGACGAAGCAAAAATGGAATCTCTAGGTCAGGAGTGAGAAAACAACAAGCCCTTAGGTCATATACAGCCTGCCAACTGTTTAAGGAAAGTATGGTTGGAAGACAGCCAAGACCATTAATTTACATATTGCCTAAGGCTGTTTTTGACGTCCAAACGCAGTGGAGGAGTAGCAGTTGAGACCATCTGACCCACAAGCCTAAAACACTTAACTTGCACTTTACAGAAAATGCCTGCTGACTCCTGCTCTAGTTCCTATTGGCTAAATATAGCATTCATGGGATTCCCTAATGTTATATATAAAAAAAATAATGCTGAGATGTGGAAACCTTCTCTGGGGGAAAAAAACAAAACAAAACAAAAACAAACAAACAAACAAAAAAAACAACTCCATCCTTGGACACATACCTGTGAGAATATGAGATTTGCAGAGACTACTGTGGAGAATTTTTTTTTCTATCTGATCTATAGAGGTAACATAATATTCATGTTGATTCATTAAAATAACTCAATTGTGAAACAGATTAAACAGCATTCTACACCATATATTTTATTTCACTTTTAATTATCACCTTTGATACACTTTAACTCCTATCAGTAAATATGAATGGGCACATTTTAAATGAAGTCTGTAAGTAAAGAAATATCAACCATTAAAGAGAAAAATAGAAATATGAAGTACTTGTTTTTGCTTCACTAGAAATAACATCAAAAACATGTTTATATCATCTTTATCTTTTCAACAGTCTAATGCACTGTTGACCAGAGAAGAATGAAATAGTTAGAATTTGATGTAAATGAATTTTTAACATATTCTATACAAATTTTAATCAGTTGCATAAAATACAAAAGAACAGTAATCTACATGTATAAAATACAAACAAGTCTTAATATTGTGAATGATGATATTAAACTAAAAATAATATTATGAATGATGATATTAAATGAAAGTACTTGGCAAAGTCAGTCTCTGTATCATTTCAGAATGCTTTTAGCAACAAGGGAATTGTAGCTGAATTTGGGATTTCCCAAACTGCATTGGCTTACGCAGTGGAAAGTGAGCCCCTTTCATACAGAAAGTCTCTAAACCTTGGTGCTTCTAGTGTTAGATCAGTGCCTCTGAGTTCATCAGGAACTCATGTTCTCTCTATTTTTTCCCTTCTGCCATTCTAAGTTATTGATGACGTTCTCGCACATAATGGTTGCTCTAGCTCCAAACATTATATTTTCATAGAACAGCATCCCAAGTAGGCTAGAAGAGGGCAGGGCCAAAAAATGGCTATCTTTTTGGAAAAAGAAAATAGTTTCTCAGCAGCTTTCTAAAAAATATTATTTATCTTAATGTTCAGAACCAGGGGCACATAACCACACCTAGACTAATCACTGGATAAGCGAAGTGGGGCTGCTATGACAGATATAAAAAGTGAAATGTATTAATCACAGTTTAATTATGGTTTGATAATTGTTTAGTAGCCTTTAACCAAACATCAACTTCCAGAATTAGGACATATGACCCCCTAATAAAAGCAGGTTCTGTTAGTGAGGATGAAGGAATTCTTTTGGAATTAAGGTAAATTTATCTTTCTCTTGCAACATTTTAAATATATAAGTGATATATATTTAATGGTATGACCCAATTAAAAAATATGACATGCAAATGCAATTCAGTAATACCACATTCCATATATTATATATGATCAAATACACACACACACAGACACACACAGACAGACACACACACACACACACACACACACACACACGGTCTGTAATTTGAATGGTGGTAAAAGAAGACCTAAATTCTATTTTAGTTCCACCTTCTCAACTTAAAGTCTTAAAGTATTTTGTTCCTAAATATTGATTTGCTTTTTTGGATTTTGTGGTTTGCAAATTTTTATTGTTGTCATTGAAAATGTAATTTAAACCAATATTTTTCTTATTAAAATTTCCTTGTTGGCCAGGCGCGATGGCTCACGCCTGTAATCCCAGCACTTTGGGAGGCTGAGGCAGGCGCATCACCTGAGGTCAGGAATTGGAGACCAGCCTGATCAACATGGAGAAACCCCGTCTCTACTAAAAATAAAAATCAGCTGGGCGTGGTGGCGCATGCCTGTAATCCCGGCTACTGCAGAGGCTGAAGCAGGAGAATTACTTGAACCCGGGAGACGCAGGTTGCAGTGAGCTGAGATGGAGCCATTGCACTCCAGCCTGGGCAACAAGAGCAAAACTCCGTCTCAAAAAAAAAAAAAAAATTTCCTTGTTTATCTCAACAGTGTAGGAGAGTTTCTGGTACTCGTTATTGAGTAAAAGCTCAAAAAACATCCTTTAAATGCCAGGCAAGGAGACCTATGTTTGAAGAAAGTAGCCAGATGAGGCCATTGAACACTGCCCATGAAAAAAACAAAAACAAAACAAAATAGAAAACAAAGTAAGAAAGCGGCCAAATCTGGAGACCACGTATGCCCGCGTGCCTGGAATAGCCATTTCTTTGCCTTTTCGTGCTAGCTAGATTACTCTTAAGAATGTTTTGAGGATGAATGTTGTCATCTTCCTAGTTTGGAGTTGGATTAGGTGTCTCCTAGGCTGTTTCTCTGGCTCCCTGAAGCTCCTCAGCTGCTGGGGCTCCTAGGGGCTGATCCAGGGTGCCGCATGGTCACTGTTTCAGTGCAGATGGTATGGACAAAGGAGCCATCCACCCATGTGTGTTTCCTCCTGCCTTAATAAAAAAGTAGAGAAAAGCCAGCTTCTTCTTTGTTGCCAAGAGTTATCACAGAGCTCTGCTCAGACAGTATCTTTCCCTGTTGCTCTATCTTTGTCAGTGTTTCTAATGTGTTTAAGCCATATCACTAGAGTATACCTTCATTTTAACAATAACAAATGGCCAGGTGCAGTGGCTCACACCTGTAATCCCAGCACTTTGGGAGGGTGAAGCAGGTGGATCGCCTGAGGTCAGGAGTTCAAGACCAGCCTGGCCAACATGGTGCAACCTCATCTTTACTAAAAATACAAAACTCAGCCGAGCGTAGTGGCATGCACCTGTAGTCCCAGCTACTTAGGAGGCTGAGGCGGGAGAATTGCTTGAACCTGGGAGGCGGAGATTGCAGTGACCCGAGATCACACCACTGCACCCCAGCCTGGGTGACGAAGTAAGACTCCATAACAAAAAGAAAAAAATAATAATAATTTCTTAACAAAAATAGTTGAACAGTTCCTGTGATTTCCATTCTATAAATGGAGAATCTGAAAATCCAAAATACTCATAATAATGATGAAGAGGAAGATGACAGTTATTAAACTTGGAGAAAAAAATCAGTTCTCGGTTCTCATTTAACTGTAAACTAGGGTTAAAATGCTAAGTAGAATACACTTCCTAACAGAAATGGAAGTTAAATGACATATCTTTTTGCCTAAGAACTTATACGGCATATCAACATTGTTGCAAGAAAACAGGAAGGAGTAAATATCTAAGTATGTACATATAAACTTATACAAACAAATACTACAGAAACATTACTATATGTGATATAGTAATCATAACAATGTCTGGAAATATCAAACTTTGGGTTAAAATTACTTTTGAGTTTAGTTCAAAAGAATGCAGAGAAGACATTCTAGAAATACTTAGAATAGCTCACGTTAGCTACGTTTTTTCACAAAGATGCATAACATAAGAATAAAATAATTCTCACTTCACACTACCCACCCTCTTAATCCTTGTATATTCTTTCCCAATTTTCTTTATGTCTGTCAATTGCCTCTTAAACTTTACGTTACACATGAAGAACCAGAGGCGAGGCATGGTGTTTCATGCCTGTAATCCCAGCACTTTGGGAGGCTGAATCAGGATTGCTTGCACCTCGGAGTTTCAGTTTGCAGTGAGGTATGATCACACCGCTGCACTCCAGGTGACAGAGTAATACCCCGTCTCTTCCAAAAAAAATGAGTAAATAAAAAATAATGATCAAAAGAGTTGGCTAAAAATAAATCAGATCAAATTTTCAAGGAATTCAGAAAAATTGGGGTAATTTGATCTCAAACTGGAGAGAGAATTGAAGAAACTGCCTGAATTGCTGTTCTCCACATGGACAGGACTGTCATATCTTATCAGTTGACAAACAATTAGGCATATTTGTCATCTGATTAGTCTGCAACTGGTGGGAAAGTCTGAGTGGCTTCCTCATGAAGTAATTGAATTGCATTTTTTCTCTTTCAACTCTAATTTGCAAAGGAAAGTTTAGCCCCATGTCAGCTTTAGGCTGGGTTAGTGATAAGAGTATATGCTTATTCTCAACCCACATACACTTTTCAAGAACGTCTTCTATAGTTTTAAAATGGGAGTTTTTTAATTAATGGAAAAAGTACCTAATCTTAAAGACAGGAGTAGCTATTCTCAGGTAAATAATACATGAACAAGAGAGATTGTAAAAGTTATTAGTGTAGCTCTTCCCAATTCTATATAAAAATCATATGCCATTGTTACAGATACTATTTTAGTACGAGAGCACAGCAGGCTGAATTTTCTTGGAAGAAAGGTTTCAATTCAGACTGCAACCTTCCTTCAAAAATACAATAATGATAAAGCCACCCATCCTTCAAAGACTTACCTTTTTCCAAAGTTAATATCTCCTTATGAACTTAGATTAAAGTTAAAAATTTATTTTAGACTAATTCATGCCACATAAAACCTTTCTTTGTGTTTTAATAGAAATGCATTTTTATAATATGCTATTTTTCTGGCTTGTAGAGGTAGATAAAAATGAAAGTCATTTGTACCTGAGAATCCAAGTTTAATTGCCGTAGTCTTGTTTTGCATGAGTTTAGTTGTTTTTTTTATTTGTAAGATAACCATTCAGTGTTCTAGAAACACTCTTTAAAATAGTCTTAAAGCCAGGCACGGTGGCTCACGCCTGTAATCCCAGCACTTTGGGAGGCTGAGGTGGGCGGATCACGAGGTCAGGAGATTGAGATCATCCTGGCCAACATGGTGAAACCCCGTCTCTACTAAAAATACAAAAATTAGCCGGGTGCGGTGGCACATGCCTGTAATCCCAGCTACTGGGGAGGCTGAGGCAGGAGAACTGCTTGAATCCAGGAGGCGGAGGTTGCCATGAGCTGAGATCGTGCCACTGCACTCCAGCCTGGGTGACAGAGCAAGACTCCTTCCTCCACCACCAAAAAAACAAAAAACAAACAAACAAACAAACAAAAAACTGTCCTAGAAAAGAAGCAAATAACAGTTGAATCTACATATTTTCATACAATTGGCACTATCCTGAGCCCAGATTTTTTCTGTCAATAATTATTAAAGATCAAATTTTAAAAAATTAAGTTAGTATAAAAAGTGCTCAGAATACATAAATATTACTTGTATTCATAGTGTTGCAAATTTTGAGTTGAAATTTTAAGTACTACAAAAAAATATTTATTGAGGTGGTTTTAAGAATAACATTGAACTCTGATATCAAACCGAGAGATTTTAGCAGAGGAGTTATAACACAAATGTTTTACTTTCTAAATCTGAACTATAAAAGATAAACCAAATATGGTGTTCAACATTAATTTCTTAAGGTTGACCTAAACTGAGCTCTCTAATTACTATGTGAACATTTGGATTTTCTTTTTCTCCTTTGGTATCTAGAGAATATGTTTGTCTTATTTCTAAATCACCATATAAAACTTAACAAAGTCCTATAGCCTTTTGTTTGCTTGTTTTTATGAAACAAATTTGGGGTTCTATTTTCTCATATGTTTAGTTGTGTGTGTCTTTTGGGAGAAAAGGGGGGAATATATTTTGAATTGGAATTGAAGCAGATAATTTTAAAATTCAGAGCTGAATTTATTAATAAGGAATTTTATCCTAAAATACAAACTGAGAAATTTGCAATAGCTTGGTTTTAAATATTCCCACAAGACTAATAGATTATTTAGAAATTGAAAGTTATTAATTATTCATGTAAGAATCACTTCTCAGCCTCTCCTTCACCTTGAGTAAACAGTTATACAATCCAATTTTATGAGATGGCTACAGAAGATGCCCTTACTTTATATGCACCCTGATTTAGATAAAGGTCACCCTCTAGTGGGGTTGATATGTATTTCAATCTCAAACCTCACTCAATTGCCTTGCCTTTGAATAGCAAAATGATTGATTTTGAAAACCAAATGCAAATCCAGGTTCAGGGATTTTTATCAGCGTGTCAAAGATGAAGAGATACAGATTATTGTATTTAGCCCCAGGAAACTGGGATTAAGAAATTCAAAGACCCACTAAGCTTATTAATGTCATGTTAAAGTCATTGTGAATACCTTAAAGTGGATTTAAATGACAGTAGAAAAGTAAGTAGCCTGGTCCTAATTTCTAAAATGGAAGAATAAAAATCTGCCATTTTCCTGGTTAAGTATCACAATTTTAGAACTTCTGCATCCCATTTAGAACTTATATATATAAAACATCTAACATGACTGCTTATATTGTAGGCAACCTGTGGATTCTCTTGAAGTTAAACAATTAGAAAATAAGAGCAGTGTTTGTAAATTAAATATAAGCTCAATAATATGCTTACTATTTATTGAACACTTACCTTGAACTAAGTGCCTTTTTGTACATTATCTTAGTTTTATAATGACAACAGAAAATAATCTAAAGAAAAACTATGAAGGATCAATTATCATTGTTTTATTCAGACAAGGAAATGGAAGCTGAGAGCAGCAGTTCTAACTTTAGCATGCATCAGAATCACCCAGAAAGCTAGTTAAAATGTAAGTCTGGGGACAGAGTAGGAGCGAGTTTGCATTTCTAACAAGTTCCCAGGTGATGCTGATGCTGTTTGTCTAGGGACCACACTTTGTAAATCACTGCACCAAGTTAGAATGCAAATATGGCTTTTGCTAGCAAATTCCTTCAGTGTGAGTATGATGAGCACTTGCTAGTAGCTTAATATATTTTACTCTTCTGCCCTTGTAGAGCATAACATGGTAACTATGTGGACCTAGTAACAATAAAGATACAGTAACCATAAAGACACAATAACTAAATAATTGCAGGGCTTGCTTGGCACCCAGAAATCTAAACCTAATACTTTCTCTTATTTCTTGACCTAACTTTCTAGTTCTCTATGTGGTTGGCAACAAATCGAAAAAGTCCATGAAAGGATGTAACATCCTACAGGAACATATGTAGTGACTGAGTATAGATCAGCAGTCCTCACAATTCAGTGTGCATTTGTATCTGGGCCCCATGAATTTCAAATCAGCAGTTCTGGGTTGAGGGATGAGGTATCTGCTCTAATAAGCACCCTAGATGATTCTGATGTAGGTGTTGTTTCCAACATGCTTTGAGACAATCTGACTTAAAGATTCAACAGATGTTTGGTTGCTTCTTCCATGAGAAAACAACAATAACAAAAGCACCTTTTCCATGAGAGATCAAATTTCCAACCAAATCTTGGTTTAGAGCATGCCAGAGCTCTGACTATGACTGCTTTCTGAGTCAAGTGCAGAACAGAGCTACTACTGCACAGAGTTATCGTGAGTATTGTCATTTTGACAATTCTGCATCCAAACACACGTTGATTTGGGTAGAGTCACAAGACAGGTGAGAGGTAAGAGCCTATCCCTAACTTTTCTGTCCCCTTCCACTAACCCCAGCAATTAGGGAACCGTAGATGATGTCATGTGGCCAATGAGATGCTCTCAACTGGGAGTCTGAATCTTGAGGGGGTGAGGCACATATATATGTACATGTATTAGGGAACCTGGGATGGAGTAGAGAATGCAGTGATGAATCCAAGAGTGATCAGGATGGCTAAAGATCATAACGCATCAGTGGGCAATAAGCAGTTAGCGGAGGTGGGGCCAGTGGTGCAGCCCATGCAGACTGTATCTGGCTGGGCTATTTCTCTTCTCTCCCATAGTAGCTTGGTTGCCTGGGATTCATACAGATTCTCTGAGTGCCCATTACCCTTCCGACCCATTGTTACGATTCTTAACATCTGATCCCTAGGTTGGAAAGACAGGTTCACATCATTCAATGAATAACTGTCTCACCTATTTTAATTTTACATATGACCTTCTTACTGATGTGACTCCTGGGAAAATAACTTAATCTTTTGGGCTTCAGTTTGCTCAGCTGTAAAATTAAGAGGGAGGAGGCAATGTTCTCTATGGCACTTCTCAGTCCTTAAGATCCTGTCCTATTTAGCCTTATAATAGTCTTTGGGTGGGAGCTATTACTGTAGAGAAAAGAGGATCAGATTTGTTATCTAGCCCTTTTCTGCAGAGGTAGAAATGGAATTTAGATAAATGAAAGGATCAGCCTGGAAGTTTCAGAGGCTGTTTCCCTCTCTTCTTATAAGCTAAACTTAGTGGCAGCTAAAAAACCTAATAAACTCCTAAGAGGAAAAAGGATTTCCCAACTGACAGAGAAATCTTGTGTTTCTTCATCTAATACCAACCCCTGAGCCTGCAAAAAATAGGGGTGACTCCAATGGTCTTTTCCGCACAGAATACAGTACTAGCAACTAAAGAGAAAATCCACTTTTTCATACAACATAGGGTAACAAAGTATCCTTAGATGGAACTATTTTTGATGGAAACAAACCTGAGTGAAATATGAACCAGTACGTGAGAATGAAAGGCAAGACTATTCCTATCAGATTCTTTGAAAGCATTTCAGTTCCTAGAGTCTGGGAAATAAAATATATCTATTTGGGGCTTACTCTACGTTCACTGCTTCCTGTCTAGCTTTCACCCTCTATTAAAAAGGCTTTTGTCTAAGACCTTCACTTATTTGGTGACTTAATATTCACCCTATCAATACCTATTGTTAAATGATGCCTATTCACATGATAATTTTCAGAGTCACAAAGACTGTCGCAGGGAGAGTTAAAGTGGCAACAAAATCGATGAAAAGTAAGCATAAAGTGCACTTTGAAAATGGCTTTCCAGTGTTTCACGTGCTCAAAGAACTGTTCATGCTGTTCCCTTGATCAAAAGCCGTCAGTGGCTCCCCATCCCTTAAACTGCTTTTGGCATGTGATACTCTGAAATTGCCTTAACCAACCACCTCATCCATCCATGTACTCATTCAAATGGTAACAAGTGCTTACTGAGCATCTATTGCATGCTGATCACCTGATATAGTATTTTCTTTAATTCCTTCCAGCCTCCCTGGTATTCCCCGTCTTGCTTCCATTACTTTATTTTTCTCTTCCCAATACCCACTGATTTTTGAAACTTATTTGTTTATGATCTGTCTTCTTCCACTGGAATGTAAGTCCTAGAGTAGCCTACAACAGGTAGACAATGAGCATTTGTCTAATAAATCTAAAGCATTTAAAAATATTCAAAGTCAGCAGGCTTAATATTTTGTAGAATTAATTACTCTCTTGAAGGATGAAAAAAAAAGTATTACTTCACCTAAATACCCTATTAAAAATTTAATCCTTGGATAAAATTCTAATACAGTAATCTTACTTTTCAAACCAAAATATTAATTAGGCACACTTCTTCTCCAATTCCATTTACTAACAAAGGTTATAAGGCCCAATGCCTTAAATTAGAGACATTTGTCATAGTAAAACAACAAAATAATGCTATGTGATTCTATGTAGTTTACATGTAAAAATAACTTTTAGCTTTATATAATTTGCGAACCTTCAAATAAATCACAGAATATGCAGGAGAAAACACAAACCAGATTCTTTAACTTATATACTGCCTAAAAATGAGGAAAAATGAGACATAATGACACACATAGATAGAGATTTTCTTGCTAGTTGGAAAACTCAGATGAGAAAGTTATACCACAATCTATGTTGTATTTTGGGGTATTTTAAAGACCACAGTGACTGCTGCCTGTCACTTGGCCAGTCAGGGGAAAGTTCAAAACTTGGACCCCACGTGACTGTGGGTCTCTGTCAGCAAGTCCCCTTCTACTGTTCTGAGGCATGCAGAAAGGTCGACTATAGACAAATGCTTATTTAGGTTTCTTGGTCAAGTTAGCAGCAATGACTATAGTTAACAATAATATATAGTTTCAAAGAGCACCAAGGAGGATTTGAATGTTCCCTACACGAAGAAATAATAAATGTTAGAGATGATGGCTAGGCTAATTACCTTGATCTGATCACTGTACACTATATATAAAAACATCACTATGTACTCCATGAATATATACAATTATGATTTGTCAATTAAAAAATTAAACATTACAATTTATCAAGAAAACAACGCTTGTCCTCACTAATGGCAGTTGGGTAGGCATTTCTCTGCCATTATTCAGTTCATAATCTAATGGCTTAAAATCACAATTAAAGGCTCCCATCTCTGGGAACACAAACCAACACAAGAGTCCCTAAGAGAGAGGCCGCCAGGGAGTTAGAATTGGACAGGAACCAGCTAATTCCAGCCCTTTTTGATTCTGCTGATTTTGATATCTGAATACTAAGCAGTATAGGTTGATGATCTGTGTAGCAACCATGTGAGGTACTGTGCTGTGCTGTGAGTAGCCTGCTCCATTGATAGAGACTTAATAAACTTGGTAAAGCCAAAATCCAAATGGTAGGAGCATTTTGTCTGATTTCTAGTAGCACTGTTAAACATGCTTTGGAAAAGCTTGGAGGGATGTGTGCCTATGTGAAAGAGGGTTAAGCTACAGAATGCTGCAGTAAATCTTGCCTGGCAATGCAATATTTTGAAATAGCAAGACACAAATATGAAATTGGCAATATATGCCTTCAGCTGGATAAGTGTTTCAGTGAATTCTTCTAACCCCATTGTGCAAAATCCCAACCTTCGGACCGAGTTTAAGATTCTAAACAAGAAACTCACACATTTATTATATCAAAAATACCTTTGTCAGGGGCATTATATTCAAGTAAATCAAGCAAAGGCATAATTGTCCTTCTCACTCTATCTGCTTTGAGCTATCCATTGAAAGACTAACAGGAAATATATACTTAGGTAATACATATAAATATAATAACAATTCAGTCAGTTGTTGTTGGTCTGAGTGATTATGTAACGTGGGTCAAGAAATGAAACAATATGGCAAAACCAAAATAGCTGGCCCATCGGCATTGCTGCAAATGCTCCCTTAGTTGAATGGAGATAACCATAGTTCAATCAAAATAATTGTAAGTTTGCCATCTTTCTTTACACTTCAGTATTAAATACCTGCTGGGAACCTGAAATAGGCCAGTTTTCCTTGAACTGTATGGAATTAGCAATTGTCACATTTCATTTTTCCAAATCCGTATCATGTCAAATCCTACCTCCCATGGTGTCACATTTTTCCCTCTTGCCCAGAGGAATATTTTCATGCTAGTCAGTAGGTTGTATTTAGGCAGGCTCTGACACTGCCATAGGGAATATCAGTGCTGCACCAAACACACACCCTGCCTCCAGCATCCAGCCTTCAGCCCCATCATAAAAAGGTCAGACGCCATCTTTCAGACCACTAACTGCCATTTCTCTTTATCATCACAAGGAAAGGCAAACATAGGGTTTGTTGGAAGTGTGTAGAATGCACAGAAGTAAGCAAATTTGGCCTAATGAGTTTGGCAGGGTTGGAATTAGAGAGAATAGAGTGTGATGAAGTGAAAGGCACAGCACAGAGACCTGTGATTACAGTTAGAAACACCATTTTACCTGTGACAAAGTCAAAGATCACAACATTCTCCAGTCAGTCATCCCCAGCTGTGGTTAGGCCAGCTGTAAGGCAAGGGGTGCTCTCTGTAGCACTGATTGGCATAAGATTGGTTGTCTCAGGTGGCTGGAATGTACCACTGTCAATATGTAATGTACTCAACCCATGGGATGGAATGAACAGTATTTTAAGGACCTAGTTCTTTTTTTCCTAATAAGGAAATACCACTTTAATGACAAGATTGAGACAGGCATAGTGAAGGAACTTTGTGTGTGGAGACATCAGGAGTGAAATTTGGTCCTGTATTTATGCATTTCCTTTTCCTCTCTAGCGTTAATTTGAGGTAAGAAACTTAACTTCCTGGCTGGGCATGGTGACTCATGCCTGTAATCCCAGCACTTTGGGAGGCCAAGGCAGGTGGATCACCTGAGAGTAAGGAGTTTGAGACCAGCCTGACCAACATGGTGAAACCCCATCTCTAGTGAAAATACAAAAACTAGCCAGGTGTGGTGATGCACACCCGTAATCCCAGCTACTTGGGAGGCTGAAGCAGGAGAATGGCTTGAACCTGGGAGGCGGAGGTTGCAGTGAGCCGAGATTGCACCACTGCACTCCAGCCTGGGCAACAAGAATGAAACTCTGTCTCAAAAAACAAACAAACAAACAAACAAAACTTAACCTCCCCAGAGCAGCAGATTGAGACTGGCATGGTGAAGGAGCTTTGTGTGTGGAGACATCAGGAGTGAAATTTGGTCCTATATGTATGCATTTCCTTTTCCTCTCTAGTGTGAATTTGAAGTAAGAAAGTTAACCTCCCCAGAACAGCAGCTGACCAAAGTGGCAGAAGCTAGTAAGAAGTCTGTCCCCTGGGGCACAGGGATCCATCACTGACACTGTTAAGAATTGTTGGCACTGAGTGGAAATAAAAAGCACGGTAAATTTTAGTTGGTTTTATTATTCTTATTTTAATACTCTGATTCCAATATACTTTCTTGTTGGCTGAACCCTGGGATAGTTTCCGCTGACCCTCTGCCCCTGCTGGAGGTCTCTAAGCTTCAGTTCACTGATTTGCGTATGGCAATTTCAGCATCTGCTCCTACTACCCCACAGAATTGTGAGGATCAAGGTAGTAATGGGTGAGAAAGTGTTCTGTAATTGTCAAGCAAGTTGCGCAGTTAAGCACATGATTATCTGAGGTGTGGAGCAGAGTGAATGTGATGGAAAATTGAACCTCACTGGTGATCTCCCAACTCTGTCTTTGCTCTTGCTTTAGAATTATTTTCCCTAACCCACAAGTGTTGCAGAAAAGGGGCGATTAACAACAAAATGAGATTCACTAGTTTGAGCATCAGCTTGTTTCTTCACTCTCCCTGCTTATTCTGAGCAGTTTCTCAAGCTTGGCATGATTGGCCTTTTGGGCCATGTCATTCTTTGTCATAGGGCTATCCCATACGATGTAGGCTTAGTGGGATTCCTGGTCTCTACCCAGAAGATTGCACCTCCCCCACCACACCCAAGCTGTGACACAATGGCAAGAGGTACTGAAGTTAAGGAAGCCGGAAAATTTTCAAATAGTCTTTATTTCCAAATAGTCTCAAATGTACTTTTCATAAAGCAACCAATTCTGAATTTTAAAACAGCTTGTATGGAGTTGAATTTGACCTTGGATGAGAATTAGCATTTTAATATACCACTAAATGATAGTGATCCCACTGGGTTGAATACGAAAATCACTCAAGGACTGTAACTTCCCCCATCTAGAGTCTCTATGTGTTTGTCATAAAGTCATGCTTTATGCACACAATAGATCAGAGGCATTTTGTGAGCAAGGAGCTCTCCTTGTCCCATTTTGATTTGGTTCATATATTCTACAACCTTTATATGAAAGCAATATCAAAGGATGACTTAGGTCATCATGACTACATCAGGACAATGATAATACTCTGCCTCTGGCACATATATTCCTTCTCTTAATTCTGCTCTTTCTCCTCCCTACTTTATATTTCAGTTGTCAGATATTAGAGTTGACAAGCTAATGAAAATTGAATTGACTACTAAAAAACTCACACATACAAAGATAGAGAAATTACTTGAAAATTCCCTGTTTGGGTCAATTCAATGCAGACCCTTGCTTGGCTGCAACTGTAAACCCATCCAGCCTCTAAATGGCATTACTCTACAACTGACAACATTGGTCCCTGGGAACACTGCCATAGATTAGGTTAATAGTGGTAAAAAGATGCCTTGCTGTCTCTCACAAATTGTGCTAGAAGACAATGATGGCCTCCATGGAGGCAAGCAGGTGAACTGATTGCTTAGGGAAATCTCAGAATTGGTTCGTTATACCTTCCTACTCTTTCCTTTATAGAATCTTTACTTGCCAAATATGTATTTCATGCTACAGATTCATACAGTTGTGAAATGAAGACCACATAAGAGAATCAATATGTGAAACAAATCCTCTGTGCATATAGAAGCCTTTTATTTATTATTATTATTATTATTTTATTTATTTATTTATTTATTTATTTTGAGACGGAGTCTCGCTTTTGTCGCCCAGGCTGGAGTACAGTGGTGCGATCTCGGCTCACTGCAACCTCTGCTACCTGGGTTCAAGCTTCTCCTGCCCTCAGCCTCCTGAGTAGCTGGGATTACAGGCACCTGCCACCATACCCAGCTAATTTTTGTACTTTTAGTAGAGACGGGGTTTTGCCATGTTGGCCAGGCTGGTCTCAAACTCCTGACCTCAGGTGATCTGCCCACCTTGGCCTCCCAAAGTGCTGGGATTACAGGCATGAGCCACTGTGCCTGGCCAGCCTTTTACTTCTTAAACAAATCTATGGAAATCACACTTCTCAAAATTGTGAGCCTCAATAATTTGGAAAACCGGGCTTAATAATCATTAATCCTCATCTACAATTTTATAACCAGAAACTGTACTAGCTGGAATGATATCATTCAGGTGCAAGATATTTGATGTGAGTATGAAATGCCAATATTTTAAAAAATGAATTGCATAGTTCCATCAAGTCAAGGCACGTGTGTGTTTCCTCATGATGTCCATGGAGGCAGAAGTCACAACCTTCTCTTTTTCTTCCTCTCTTCCTTTTTTCCAATTCTTACTACGGGCTTCCATGAGCTAAAAATTGGTTGGTGTTCACATAGAGACCTGAATAAGTCAACTCCCTGCCCTCCAGGATTGCACAGACAATAAGAGGAAGCAGATATTTATTTAGCAGACTCTTGCAATATGTTGTTAGGGGCATTATGACAGAAGGGAGCAAAACAGGCAAAATAGACACAGAAGATATGGGAGGAAGGAGTTCTCAGAAGAGTGTTGAACAGCATCAAAAGCAGTGGAGAAGTTGAGTAATATGAGTGCAGTACTGGGCTGAAGAGTGTCCTCCAAAAATCCATGTCTACCTGGAACTCTGAATATGACTTTATGTGGAAATGTGGTCTTTGCAGATGTAATTAGTTAAGTTTACTTTAAATAAGGTCATAGTAGTTTAGGGTGGGCCTAAATCTCATGACTGGCATCCATATAAAAAGAGGAGACACATGGGGCAAAAACACACACACAGGGGACACCATGTGAAGGCAGAGGTAGAGATTAGGGTGATGCGTCTACAAGCCAAGGAATGCCAGGCACCTCCTGGGAATGAGGAGAGAGGCATAGAACTGATTCTCCTTCAGATCCTTCAGAAGGCACCCACTATAAATAATACAGGTAGTTTTCCTGTATTATGCATAATAGTCTTAAATAGTCTTAACTAGGCTTTAAATGCAATTAATCACTAATTTGTAATGTTTGTCTGTTTATTCTCTCAATTTATATTGACAAGAGATAAAATAAGAATAACAATAAAATAAAAGCTCTCCTCAAAGAAGTCTGAATTATCGTAGGCCTTTACATATCACATATCTTTTTGTTCTAAATTTTTTTCTAGCCACGTATGTGATGATGAATTAATATACACTATGATTAATAATTATAAAGGAGCAGCCTGTTCTATTGTACAGAGCTGTGGTTTGTCACCATCGCTGCCTTTGAGAATCTCCTGGGGAGCTGTTTTAAGTACTGATGCCAGAGTGCCAGCCTCCAGAGATTCTGATTTAATTGGTCTGGTGTGATACGAGATCATTCTTTTTTTAAAAGCTCCCTAGGGTTTCAGAAGTGCAGCACAGGTTGAAAGCTACCGATATAGAGCAAAGCTTTACTAAAAGCTGATATGTGGAAGCAAAGAATGTGAAATGACTCCTGAAGGCACCAAACTGACAATGCAAATCAAATCCAAGAACAAGCTCTAAATGTGTGCTTGTATTTTACTGAATCCCTTTTGTAAACCCATGCAATATTTTACCCCAATATTATTGCAATACAAACTGGGAAAGATAAGATACTGGAATGTAACCTGCATCAGACAGATAGCAATATCTCATTGATTTAGAGCAGAGCAGACCAAGTTTTGGAGTAGAGGGAGTAGTTCGATGACTGGCAGAGAAGCGGGTAAGAATTTAAAGACAATAGTAGAATCATTATCTCTCTGCTACCCTGTTGGGACAAAGCTCTCTAAAATAAGCAACTACACAGAAGGAAAAAAATGGTCATTTGACCATACGTATTTTGAGAGAAACAATTACTTTTTTAAAAATTTTAAAGTGTGGATTTGAATTTAATTTTTTTATACAAATGAAGTACTTTTGAATACAGAGCTAAGAGTATATTCTTGACAGCTTGAAATAGCTTCTTCATTTTCCTCTTTGATGCCCATATTTGTATTTCATTGTTTTCATAATTTAGAGTAGGCATTATTGTTTCTAAAACGAACATAAAAGCAAAACATAAAAATCAACAACATGTAAATATTTTAGTGTCAACAGGGAAATCTCTAACTGTACATAAGATAAAATATCTATTATTTTAAAAATAATACATACCTTAAAATCATACTCTGAAAAGACTGAATCAAGCAAAAAAAAAGCTTGATGAATGTCCACATAAAACAGTGGGAAGAAAATATGTTTAAAAGTACATTTACTAACAAAACATGTTCAAGGTCCATATGAGGAGAACTGTAAGGCTCTAATGGAAAAATCAAAGAAGAACCAAATGAATGAAGAGATACTCCATCTTCATGGGTAGGAAGACTCAATATTGTCAGCATATCAGTTATTTCCAACTTGATCTATAGATTCAATTCAATCCCAATCAAAATCCCAGTGACTTAGTTGGTGGATTTTGACACACTGATACTAAAGTTTACACGGAGAGGCAAAGGTCCAAGAATATCCACCACAATATTGAAGGAGAAAAAGAGTGAGAGGACTAGCACTACCCAACCTCAAGACTCACTATACAGTTACCATAACCAAGACAGTGAAGTATTGGTGAAGGAATAGACAGATAGATCAATGGAGCACAGGAAAGAGCAAAGAAATAGACCCACATAAATACAGTCAACTGACCTTTGACAAAGGAACAAAAGCAATACAATAAAGAAAAAGTAGTCTTTTCAACTAACGGTACTGGGACAACTGGAACGTCCACATGCAAAACATAAATCCAAACATAGATCATACGTCCTTCATAACATTAACTTAAAATGGATCACGTAAATAAATGTAAAATGCAAAATTATAAAAATCCTAGAAGGTAACCTATGAGAAAATCTAGATGAACTTAGGTTGTGCTATGACTTTCATATATGACACCAAAGGCATGATTCAGGGAAGAAATAATTAATAAACTGGACTTCACTAAAATTAAAAATTTCTGCTTTGCAAATGACTGTCAACATTATGTGAAGAGAAACCACAGACTGGGAGGAAGGTTTTTTTTGCAATAGAAATATCTGATTTTAAATATACAAATATCTCTTAAAGCCCAGTAATAAAAAACAATGCAAGTTGATTTAAAAATGGACCAAAGACCTTAACAGATAAGTTGCCAAAGAAGATATACAGATGGCACATAAACATATGAAAAGATGTTCCACATTATATGTCATCAGGGAAATGCACATCAAAACAACCACTGCACGCCTATTTGGAATGCTCAAATCCAGAAAACTTACACAATCAAATACTGACAAGAAAGTATTAGACAACAGAAACTCTCATTCACTGCTGGTGGGAATAAAAAAAAAATGGTACAACCACTTTAGAAGACAGTTTGATGGTTTCTCATAACAACTAAACATTGTCTTACTACATGATCCACCAGTCATACTCCTTGATATGTACCCTAAAATGCTAAAAACTTCTGTCTACACGAAAACCTGCATGCAAATATCTATGGCAGCTGCATTCATAATTTGCCAAAACTTGAAAGCAACCAAGATGGCCTTCAGTAGGCAAATGGATAGGTAAACTGTGGAACATCCAGGCAATGAAGTATTATTCATCTCTAAAAGGAAATGAGCTGTCAATCCATGAACAGACATGGAATAAACTTACGTGTGTATTACTAAGTGAAAGGAGCCAATCTTAAAAGCCTACATACCACATGATTCCAACTGCATGACATACTGTAAAAGGCAAAACAATGGAAACAGTAAAAAGATCAGTGGTTGCCAGGAAATGGGGTGGGGAAAAGAATGAACAGGCAGAGCACAGAAGATTTTTAGGGCAGTGAAAATACTCTGTATGATACTATAATCATGGATACATGTCATCATATATTTGTCCAAACCCACAGAATGTATAACACCAAGGATAAACCCTAATGTAAATGATGGACTTTGGGTGCTAATGATGCATCATGTAGGTTCATCAATTGTCACAAATGCACCACTCTGGTGGGGGATGTTGGTAACAGGAGAGACTCTGCATGTGGGGGCAAGGGGCATAAGGGGAATCTCTGTGCCTTCATCTCACTTTTTCTGAGCATCTAAGAGTGCTGTAAAAACATAAAAGTCTTTTTTTAAGTACATTTATATCAAGATTTTATTCCTGTGGATTTTCCTGCATTCACAACGGAAGAATCACTTATGAATTGTTTGGGTCTAACTGTAATTTTTGTACAAACCATTCATTGTGGGCTAATGTGTGCTGTTACATTAATGCTGTTAGTAATTCCCTCATGTTTGCTATATATTTTTATCTTTACCTCGTTATTGTATATATTAGTGAGACTACAAAACACAAACATTTTAACTGAAATATTAAATACTGTTTTATAAGTGGGATTCATTAAAACAAACATTTGGATAATGAATGACAGGTTAAATTTCATTTAATGATTAATAAAATAAATATTGCACTAAAAAAGAATAGCCTGAAATACTAGTATTAGTCCTATTATCTCAGCTCAGGGTTGAAAGTACTTAAATTATTAATAAGACAAAACAGTCATCTAATTGTTTTCTTTTCTTGTATGACATTTCTGTAACTACAGAACAAGAAAGAAATGTCAATTATATATCAATGAGTAATTCCTGTTAAAGTGCATAGTGAAAAATACCAAGTAAGAAACTACAAAAGCTAAAATGGGTTAGCATAATAGTAAGATACTAAACCTGATGCTTTTCAAAAAATTGTTAATTTGGAGCAAATGGACAGAACACACTGCATTTATAAACAACCTAATCAATAGTACTCAAATATCTACTGCAGTGTTCTAGGAACATTATTTAAATCAAAGAATGACATAGAACTATCAAGGAACTAACTTATTGAGGAAATATACAACAAATAGTAACAAAATGCACAGATTTAAAACTATATTAAACAAACAAAACACACAGATTTAAAATTATATTAAACTATATTAAATTATATTAAACTATACTAAATTAAATTAAAACTGTGTGAATATTTTCAATCTAGTAAAATCAATGTTGAGTTAATTGATCTAAGATATTGTAGAGGATGCTTAATGCTTAAATATCTTAGCATGGGGGCTGTAGTGCAGAAGGATGTTTGGTGCAAATCAGCATGGATCTTCATATTCTTTCCCATGGAAAGATTCAAGCCCCTACAGTGTTAGCTCCACTTGGCACCGTATTTCATTAGCAGTGTGGTAGCATTCTATCTCTACATCCACAAAGAGAGTAGAAGAAAGCTTTGGCAAATACATTGAGGCTAATGAGACACATGATGAAAGGTTAATTTAACATGTTACAAGGCTTTAATCGTCAATGTGAAAAATGCCCCCCCACCCAAGTATTGACCTGAGAAAAGATTTCTCCTCATTATGGCTAGGCTAAAAATCAGGATTAAAGCATTAGTAGATTATTATCACTCATGTGGCCCAATTTTGTTGAGTAGTAAGTCTGTGCACACAACTAAAATGAACACTTTAAATATGGCATTGACAGCTTCAATAAAATTATACTTGTAGTAAATTTTAGACTTCAGGCAAATACACATCTGGATGCTTACTCAATCAGGGTTGTTGTAATATTGAATATTAATCTGGCCCATAGATAAATTACAGCCTGATTTTCTGATCTATGAATTCAGGAAATGGGCTGAAAACATTTTTAGGTAAAACTTTCCGAAGTTTTTTCAACTTGAGTTGTGTGGAATTCTAGGGATTCTGCATACTTGGTTTTAGATTCCTTTTTTTTGAAACACATTTTAATGATTTTTGAAATAAAAATATACATACTTTAAAGGAGAGGGATTAAAATTTTTCTCTTAAATTTGAGAGTTTAGACAAACTCTCAAGTTAAGTACTTGTACCACCTTTCCAGCCCATATACATGTATAAAACAATGTTGTCAAACAGATGTTATTTTCTGTCTGCTCTTGATACATTTCAATAAAATACATAAGTAATATATTCAAATACAACAGCCATTCACATTCACAGGAAAGAAAAGGCATTGTTGAAATAAGACATGAATTATTGTGTTCAGGAGGACATTGGGGAGGCTTCCTAGACCAGAGAAAATTTGGCTATAGTTATGTTATGTCACATATACATTATGTGACAATGAAGCAATATTAAAAAAGAAGAACCCACAAATAACTCAAGTTCAAAGACAAAAATAAATTCTAGCTTTAAAGTTAAAAGCTGAAAAGTGCCAGAATTTTCTAACTGCACAATCTAAAAGCCAATCCATTGTTGCCTGCTAATTAAGCCACCACGGGGTTTCATATAATTAATAGCAAATCGTCTCTGAATGGAAAAATAAAATAGTTGCAACATGCCTTTACATAGACATGCATTTTAGACAGTCTGTCTTTAAACTATAGTATCAGGACAGACTTTCCATGTAGAAGAGATGATTAATTATGTCTTGGGTTGGGTGCTCTCTTTATTTTCTTTTCTCTCAGGCTAGAAAAGCTTTGGTTTCTATAATTACTTCTCATTTATCTCTAGTTAAATGTGGGCGAAATTTTCTATTAATTAAATTTGAATTCACTCTAATTGGTAAGTTTAAAACGACAGGAATAAATTATAGCACATATTGCAACCCAAATAAGGCTGAATTAAACAGATACATTATGTGGCAATGAAGCAATGTTAAGAAAGAAGATCCCACAAATTCTTCAAGTTCAAAGACTAAAATAATTTCTGGCGTTCTGTTAAGGTTAGAAAATAAGGATTCTCTTTTATTAGGCAAATGTTTGGAAGAAGCATTTGAAGGCTACCACTTATAGAATCAAAGATAATTTTCCTACACAGAGCAGAAAAAGAGGACTCACCGAAGACTCCAAATTATGAACTATTTTTAATCATTTATTTGGCTTAGTTATTTATAATCAATTTACTCTGTTGATTTCTAAACATAAAAAATATATAGATAGCAAATGGACTATCAGGGACTTCATGAAGCCATTGTTTTTGATTAAGGAAAGGTGTGGTAGCTATTCTGCTTAAGTGGCCCCTGTTGTATGAATTTTGCACCAATGTTTGCTGATGTATTTCCTTCCTTTAGTGAAGCAGGAGGTGATGCCTATCAGTAAATATCAGTAGACATATTCTGCATTTTCTTCTCTCCACACTCAGAAGGAAAGAATTTTAAAACTCAGCCTCGCATTTTAAAACATATTGAATTATAAAACTTTTAATGCAGGGAAATCCCTCAGAAATTCTCCAGCCTGATTTCCTCATTTCACAGATGAGTAATCAGTTGCTCTGGGAGAGGATGTTATCTGCCCAAGGTCACTTAGCTAATAGGAAATCTAATCTGCGACTAATGACAAATGTGTGCTCTTTCTTTCACACCAAGCACTTGTGGGCATTTTTTTTTTCTTGTCAGTGATATAGGTGAACACAATTTCATAAAACTTGCAGATGGACAGAAACTGAGAGGAAGATCTAATGTGTGAGAAATGATAAAATAAGAGTTCAAAAGAAGGTTGGCAACTTAGAGAGGTAGAAAGAAAATGGCAAAATACAATTTTATAGAAATCAGTGTAGAGTTCTCCTCTGAGTTAACCACACATGCACAGACTCCTCACACATTTAGTTATGGAATGAAGAAGGTACATCTTAAGAAGAGCTTGTACCAGGACAGCTAGTTGCAGAAAGACTAGCTTAAGTGGGTTTCATGAATCCAAGTGCAGTGTCTGCTGTACTGAAGTTAATGGTCTGTTAATTTGGTTTAGAGACAGAAGACTTGGGCTAAAGTCCCAACCAGGTGTGAGTATTATCTGGGTATCATCTGTAATTTTTAAAAATGTATTCCTCCCATACTAGATCATAAGAGCTAGAAGGGGGGCACCATTCTTGATGTATTATCTCCTATATCCTAGGATTTTGCGCTGTGCCAAGCATACAGTAGACACTCCATTAGTACTTGTTAAATCAATTATTAAGGTAATGTAACTTATCCTCTCTGAGCCCCAGTTTTCTCATTTATAAAATTAAGAACCTACAGTTGTGAAAGTGTTTTGGAAACTCCAAAGTGCTGTGGTAACATAAGCAATTGCTACTGTCATTGAGAAATGCTACCAATAATACTTAGAGAATTTGATACAACTCAGTCTGAAAAAGCTAAGATTAGCAGAACAGAGCTGTCTCCAAATATTTGAAGAACTATTTTATTTAAGGGATTGGACCCATTTTTGTATGTAGTTCCAGAGGAGCAGATGGTGACCACTGTCCAGGCAGATGTGTCTCAATGTAAGGACAACATCTGTAATATTAATAATTAGAATGTATCCTGTAATTTTCTCTCTACCCTTGGAAACCAGTCGAGATCCAGAGTCTTTCACTGGGAGGCTTAAAGCCTAGAGCAGCCTTGGTGCTAGAGGCGGACAGGGATAATGAACTAATCTTGAACCAATTCATCCATAGCAATCTCAATGCTTTCGTTAGCTCTTATAGGTATTTAATACGGCCAGAGGAATGAAGGTAGTCTTGCTGGTTTAGAAGCCCTGCCTACCACAACCCCTACACCACCCCATCCCCTGCATAGTCTGATGTCATCACTAGTGGAAATGTTTAAACAGCAGTGAATATGCATGATAGACAGAATCTTGCATTGGATAAAGAGTGAATCTTTGAATTTCAAGGTCATATTCAGCTGAATATAAGCTAGAGAAATTGGAACTTATGAAGGTGGTGATGAATACATGAGCTTAAAAAGGATTGGAAAGGGCCAGGCACGGTGGCTCATGCCTGTAATCCCAGCACTTTGGGAGGCTGAGGCAGGAGGATCACATGAGGTCAGGAGTTCAAAACCAGACTGGCCAACATGGTGAAACCGTGTCTCTACTAAAAATACAAAAATTAGCCAGTGAGCCGAGATTGTGCCATTGCCCTCCAGCCTGGGCAACACGAATGAAACTCCATCTCAAAAAAAAAAAAAAAAAAGGATTGGAAAGAAGAGATATGAACTTCTCTTTTTGCTTCCCTGAAGTAGAGAAAGCAGAGCTTAAGAAACAATTTATATGGACTATGTGTTCCAACTTCCTAAAAATCACCATATAAAATTCTATGTAGGAAATAAAAATAATTGCAGATTAACACAGTTTATATATTAATCACATCAGTTTATAAATATAATGCACACACATGAAAAACACACAAAAATGTGTGTTCTAATAAAGAAATTAGATAGAACAGTTCTTAATTTACTTATTTTCATTTTGGCACTTCTGTGAACTTGGTTGTCAAATGCATTAACCCAAAGAAAACTTAGCAATTTGATGAACCTTGAATCCATTTAGAATTTGTCTTCTCTGCTAGAAAAAGAGAATGTATGTTTTTAGAAAAACATTTGGCCCACAGATGATATGAGAAAAAGCTTTTCCCATTTAAATAGCTGCTATTTTTATAAATGGAACCACATCAACTCTTCCATAAGGAGAAAACACACTCTTGTGAAGAGCCGAGAATTTCTGGGGTGAGTGTGTGTGTGTGTGTTAGAGTTGCCAAGTAGCTTTCCCTTACATTTAAGCAACATATCTTAGGAAAGAAAAGAGATGCACTTAGAGTTATTTCCCTGTCCCTGTGCAGGTTAGTATAGCAGAGTGGAGGTCTTAAGGGAGGATAGGGGGCCTAGGGAAAAAGTGTAATGATGCCTAAAGGATTTCCTGGAAGTTGGCAGGTAATGTGAAATGAAATTGGAAGGGTGAGGAGGCTGTGTTCCCCCTGATGCCAGTGTGTGCTTTCATTTGATATTAATAGTTATTGAGCCAAGGGGGAAACATCTTTACCTTGTAAAATAATTCATTGCTATCAATTACGCACATGAGCTAGAATGTTCAGGCCACGTTCACAAACTTCTCAATTAGAAACGCTGTATTTCTGAAAGTAATTATAAAATACATTGCATGGCAATGTTTTTCCAAGATAAAGAAAAATTCATGGAAGCGTTACACAACTTTCTGAAATTCAAAACCAGCCTAGTCAACAGGGACTACCTTCTACAGATTCATTTTCTTATTCACGTGGTGCGCTTACGAGTTCCATTAATATAGATGAACATTACACATAGGTATCCAGAAAAGACATCTGAGGCCTTCCACACTTCACATTATTATCAGTGGGGATATCAGAGGGCAGCTTTCTTTCTGCATCATCTCTCTGAGTGAAAGCTGGTTATTTAACTTCATTTGTCAGCTAATCAGCCAGAACGTGAAGCTATTAAAATTTAGAACTGTCCTCTGGAAAGGTAGATGTTCCGTGAAACGCCAAAATGAAAATTACCTGGTGTTATGATGACCACCTTAACTTGAAGCCATCATCATTAGGATGCATTTCTCAAGGCAGCGTACAGGGCACACATGGATAATCATCAGACTGTATTTTCATCTGAAGCTTGCCATTCAGGGACTCCATCCTCAGTTCTGGGACAATAGACTAAATCCCCTCTCAATTTATACAAATCAGTGTCAGATCTCAGCTGGCAAAAGGCAGCCTTCGAGGGTGTCTCCTTCAAAATGGAGAAGACCACAGCTCCAGCTAGAGTCACTGAAAGGCAAGAAGAGCATAAGAAAATCCCAGCTGCAGAACAAAACGCATGGTTCTTCCACAGCACATCTCATTGCTGAGATCTGGTCGCATGAAGCATGTTCTATAGCTACTCTTCTGTGTCTCCTGGTAATTTATGTGCAATACTGTCTTAGTACATTCGGTATTCTTTGTACATTCAAAATACCATGAACTGGGTGGCTTCTAAACAACAGAAATTTATTTCTCACAGTTCTGGAGGCTGGGAAGTTCAAGTTCAAGGCCCTGGCAAATTCAGTTTTTGGTGAGGGTTTCCATTTCATAGTCAATGCCTTCTTTTTGTGTCTTCACAGGGTGGAAAGGGCAAGGGTTGTCTCTCAGGCCTTTTTTAAAATGAAGTTGTTAATCCCATTCATGCAGGTGTCACCCTCATGACCTAATCAACTCCCAAAGACCTTTGTTATTTGGCTTCTAGTTATAGATGTTTCAAAAGGCGAAGTGTTGTACCTTTTCAAGCTTTGTATAGTACTATCATCTGACTGCTTTATTCCCCCAAAATTCATATGTTGAAATAGTCATCTCAAAGGGGATGGTATTAGACAGTGGGGCCTTTGGCAGGTATTTAGTATTTGTCTTAACTTTTCATCTAACTTCTAAATTCCTGGCCCTGAGTACCATTGTTTTGTAGCCCCTATTCTACCTAGATTTCTCTGGATGGGAGTCAGTGCAAACTTCTTTTGTTATAAGAAGGTTGTATTCTGTCACTAGTGAGTAACGGAGGAAGAGCAATTAAGAATGGCCTTTTATTAAGATGCCAGCCTTTGTTGAGCAGTCTTGGTAATATCATAATTTGCAAAATTCAGAAGCTGATGTGAGAGTTCCAGGGCTGTCACCAAAACCCAGGTTTGACATCTGAATTTAACTGACACTGTTTGCCTGCTTTGAGGCTGTCCTTCCATTGTGTCTCTAACTGCAAATGAGAATGACTCCCCGAGGGAAGCCTTTGGGATCACAGATGCATCAACATCTGGGAATCAAATCTCTTTCAATTACATTAATTATCTGCTATGTGCAGGAGAAAGTTTTGAATCTAAAATAACATTAATTTAATCTCAAGGTTAGAGAGAGATTTTAAACTTCCTTTAAACCCCAAAATGCCGAGGCGGGTGGATCACCCGAGGTCAGGAGTTTGAGACCAGCCTGACCAACATGGTGAAACCCCATCTCTATTAAAAATGCGAAAAAATTAGTTGGGCATGGTGAGAGGCACCTGTAATTCCAGCTAGTCGGGAGGCTAGGGTAGGAGAATCGCTTGAACCCAGGAGGTGGAGGTTGCAGTGAGCCGAGATCGCACCATTGCACTCCAGCCTGGGTGACAAGAGCAAGACTCCATCTCAAAATAAAATAAAATAAAACCCAGAGGGGAAGAATCTATATGCACACTGTAATGAAACTGTGATAAAACATATGCTCGGAAGCACATCCTTGAGGTACTTCGTGAGAGTGCCTGGTAAATCAAATGTCTGGGATGCTTGCTTCAGTCAGTGAGGCAAAGGAAAGTCCGGCTGCCAAATTATTTACTTAAGAAGTGGTTATAATGTTATTTTACCCAGTTGGAACTGTCTGCCTATACTAGCTTAGTGCTCAATACAGTTCAATTCTGTTGATCATTTTTTTCGAAATCTCACGTACATTCTTCTCATCTAAAGATGCCCGTTGCCATCGCTAAGCCACCCTATTGTCCATCTCTTCCCAGTACAACCCACACCATGTGAATGTTGCAACACCACTTCCATCATGGTTCATCATGGTTCTCCTTGTGTAAGTAGCTCACCTATTGAAGCAAGCCTAAACCTCCATCGCCTTGCCTCAGTCTGCAGCTGATGGTCTTCCACACCATTCCTGCAGGCAGCCTCTTCCTGGCAGTCAGGCTGGGCTCCTTGCTGAATGGTCTGTACAGTGTGCTCCTTGGTACCTGTTTTGCTTTTACCTATGCTATGGTCACTGGCTGTAACATCCTTCTCCTGTCCTGCTTCCCATGGTCAAATGTTTGTCATTCTCAAGGTCCTTTTAGGTTCTGCCCCACCTGGCTCTTTAGGCCCACACAACCTCTCCCCGTTTCTAAAAAGTGTTTATAGATTACAGCATGAATTTTGCTGTGGTTGTGTGTTTTTATGAGCATGTGTGACTATGTATGTATCTATAGATAGACACTGCTTGTAATTTCTTAAAGAAAACAGCTTCTGCTTGTTTTGTTCAAAATGTCTGAAGCCAATTGTTTTTGTTTGCTTTTAGAAAAAAAAAAAACTGACATCAAGGAGAGAGCATAACACAGCCCCCACTACCACCAATTATGCAGCCGAGTGAGTTTCCCACATTTGGGGAAATCACGGAAATCAGCACATCAGAATGCAATGGGTAAGCTCACCCTGGGAAAAACCATTTTCATGATCATGCCATCTCCCCTGCCGGGTAAGACCAGTCTGTGAATTTCTCTGTTGTCATAACATATGCCCAGCAAACATGGATTTGTTATGTTCTACCTCACTTCTAGTGAGATATATCACTTAATGAAATAAGTGACTGAAAAGTCACAGAAGATTTCAAAGCACCATGTTATCTGCCCTCCCTTGCCTCCTAGTCCGGAATCACCCCCTTTAGTTATCTCACCTCCCTTTATGTGATATTAAAGAATCATTTGAAAAGGCCAGAGGTTGTAGCTGGGATCAAAAGTCAGGCAGACAAATATGTCATGTGTCCATATTAACAACAATACACGTTTCTTCCTGATTTAGAAATCAGGCTATAGTTTCACAATAGTCAAAAACCAACAGCAAACCTGATAGTCAAAGCCTAGTAAGGTTCACTTCTTTCATTGTGTTAATGTATGAATATTTCAGCGACTAAGGCACGTTTCCAAGAAATAAGAATTAAGGGGAAAATGTAATTTAGCAATATTTTTACATAAAACCATTATGTGTTTAAATTTATATAAATTCCATTTTGAAATATTTCTCAAATATTTCTCCAAATGTAAACAACAGATAAAAGACACATGAATCAATGCATTTGCATACATCTAATCTGAAGGTATAAATATTTTGGGTTTAAACTATTGATCTGAATATTGCACTGAACACTATCATTATTATCTTAATATGTTCATATAAGGTCCCAAGGTAATTTGACATTTTTAATGTGTCCTAATGGTAACATGATTTGACTATTATATTTACAAAAGGAACAACTAGCACCCTACTTTCTAGCAAACAATAATGTCATGTAGAATCTCTTAGAGAAACTGCATGGGCTATGTGTTTCTTTAGTAATTTTTTCTTGGACAAATTTAAAGTTGTATCTTTTTATTTTCAGCAAGTATCATGCCTTGAAAAACCTCCCTTCTCTGTGGTTCTATGGTAAAGTATCAAGGGCATAGACTCTGAAACCTGATGGTCGCACATTCGGATTTTGATTCAGCTACTTCTTAACTGACTGGCACTGGGCAATTCACTTAATATCCCTGAGCATCAGTTTGGGTATCTGGAAAGGATACACTGGTGGTGGTACAATATTTACTATTTAAAGTTGAGATATGGCTAAAATAAATAATTATTAATAAGGTTCCCCACTTGTTGGATTGATAGAACTGCCAGTACTTGCTAAAGGGAAACAAGTTGTAAAATACTACAAACTGTGTGGAGTTAGAAAGGCACCCTTGCTTCCTTTGCTACCCTCTATCTTTTGAAGGTAGTTGTGGTTCACAGGATCTCAGCAGCCAGAAATACTGCTGCTGATTTTATAATTTTCCACCAGGCACTTGTGAATCACCATATGCTCTAACTTTTTTTTCTAAGAAATTCTGGCAGCATTTAAAAAATGAAGTCACTATGCCAATGTCAATCTAAAGATGCCAATCTACAACTTAAAGTCTTTGCTACTTTTATTCTTCAACATGAAGTCCAAATCTCCACTGTTGACTTGTCATGGTCAGTGTCTTTGTCTAAATGACAGTGTATAATGACACATGGTGGGATTTTCTCTTTGTTTGAAGTCAGGTGGGGAAAGGGGTGGTGCACTTGACATGTCTTTATTATTTTTCTTTAAGAAACCCTTATTAAACCTTTAAAACTGATTTTTCCCACTCCCTTCAAACTTTGAAGGGTCTTTGTGCAGTTCACCCAGAACAGAACTCATCACACAGCACTGATACACAGGCTATGGGGAAGGGGAGATCAGGGGCACGGAGAAGCACAATGCAGGGGTTTAACAAGCATTTCATTAACTGAATTTAGGAACTCTAACGTTCCTCCGAAGCAGACGGCTCCTTGCTCTAAGAGCTCCAGTGTCTTCCCACAGCCCATGCACCTGCATGGCCTTCCCACTGCTGACAACTCTGCCTCTATTTCGTGCGCGTGCCTCATCAGCCACACATGTCCATCTTCCTAATGATCCTCGCGCTTGCTACTCATGGCCACCTCACGGTTCTTACACTTGCTGTCCACCCCACATGCTTTCCCTCCCCAAGCGTCTTGCCATAGCATGCTCCCCCTGCTCTCTCTTTGTCTTTGTCTCTCTCTCTCTCTCACTCACTCATTTCAGTTAAGTTGTATGTCCCTTGAGTGCTACATCTGAAATAGAGCCTTCCCAAACTGATCTTGCCTTTCTCTTATTCTGCTCTATTTTACTTCAAAGAGTTTATCACTGCCTGAATTTCTATGTATTTTCAGTTCACTGTTTCTTCCACTAGGCTTTGTTCCACTAGTCTCTGGCCTCAGGAAGACTGGATGTTGTCTTTTTTTCTACCGTATTCTCAGCATCAGAGCTGTGCCTGATCACGATAGAAACTCAAAGACTAAATGAATACATGAGTGTCATACATATATCGAATAGTAGACTTTCAATTGTTGCATTTTCTAAAAAAGCAGGAAAGAGTCAGGGACTAGCATGGTATATAGCAGAGGGCTGACGTAGTTCCTTTAACTGTATTATCTCATTTAATTATTAAAAAATATGGAGTATCTTTCATTCTCATTTTAGAGCTGAAGCCTCTGATTTTAGAATTTAAATTGCCCAATCTAAACTTGTCCAATCTAAAGATATACACTTAGGAAGTGACTGCCAGCATTTAAGCCCTGGGTTTTAGATTCCAAATTTGATACTTTTGTCTCCACATAACACAGATGTAAAATAGTTTTTAAAGAAGCTTAGAGAGTTTACAGACTTGTTGATTTTTAGTTAAGTGGTTAATATTACTAGGTAATTGATTCAGCAGCTGGGATAAGATAAATAATTAAATGAATGTTTATATAAGCAAAGAGCCAAACCAGCAATTGAATCAATAAAGCCTACTATGCTTTCATTTTTCTCTGGCTCTCCTTTCCAACTTCCCTTGAATAAAGGTATCCCTTAAAATTCAGTACATGTTCTTTTTGGTCTATGGAGATCTCATTCTTTTTGATGACTTCATAACCTTAATTTTGCATTTCTATGACTGACCTTCAGTTTGAATTCCAGTCCTGTCTCCTAATGTCTACTGAATATTCTCACTTTGAGTTTTTTTCGTTATGTCCTCAAAGTCAGTATTACTCTATGTCCCCAACTGGCTCCTTGTCCTAAATTTTCCTTCCCAGACACTAAGCGTTAGCCATATTTAATTACTTAGCCAAATAATTGTTATATCCTATTCATTCTTCCTTAAATTATGTCTATATATTGCACTTACATCAAATTTACTATTTTCACTGCCAATATCATATTTCAAATCCATGTGCATTCACACCTCGATTGCTACAATAGCTGCTTTTTTGTGGTTTTATTTTGTATTTTACTTTTGAGTTCACAGGTACATGTGCAGGTTTGTTACATAGGTCACCTGTATCATGGGGATTTGTTGCACGGATTATTTCATCACCAGGTATTAATTAAGCCTAGTACCCATTAATTATTTTTCCTGATCCTCTCCCTCCTCCTACCCTTCACCCTCTGAAAGACCTCAGTGTCCGTTCTTCCCCTCTGTGTGTCCATGAGTTCTCATCATTTGGCAACTACTTAATAAGTGAGAACATGTGGTATTTGGTTTTCCTTTCCTGTATTAGTTTGCTGAGGATAATGGCCTCCAGCTCCATCCATGTTCCTGCAAAGGACATGATCTCATTCTTTTTTATGGCTGCATGGTATTCTATGGTGTATATGTACCATATTTCTTTAACCAGTCTATCATAGATGGGCATTTAGGTTGATTCCATGTCTTTGCTATTGTGAATAGTGCTGCAATGAATATACACTTGCATGTGTCTTTATAGTAGAACAATTTGTAATCCCTGTGGTAATGGGATTGCTGAGTCAAATGGCATTTCTGTCTTTAGGTCTTTGAGGAATTGTCACTCTGTCTTCCACAATGATTGAACTAATTTACACTCCCACCAACAGTGTATAAGCATTCCTTTTTCTCCACAACCTTGCCAGCATCTGTTATTTTTTACTTTTTAGTAATAGCCACTCTGACTGGTATTAGATGGTATCTCATTGTGGTTTTGATTTGCATTTCTCTAATGATCAGTGATGTTGAGCCTTTTTTTCATATGATTGTTGGTGCATGTATGCCTTCTTTTTAAAAGTGTTGGCCGGGCGCGGTGGCTCAAGCCTGTAATCCTAGCACTTTGGGAGGCTGAGGCGGGTGGATCACAAGGTCAGGAGATCAAGACCATCCTGGACAACATGGGAAAACCCTGTTTCTACTAAAAATACAAAAATTAGCTGGGTGTGGTGGCACATGCCCATAATCCCAGCTACTCAGGAGGTTGAGGCAGGAGAATCGCTTGAACCCAGGAGGCGGAGATTGCAGTGAGCTGAGATTGCACCACTGCACTCCAGCCTGGTGACAGAGCGAGACTCTGTCTCAAAAAAAAAAAAAAGTATCTGTCCATATCCTTTGCCCACTTTTTAATGGCGTTGAGGTTTTTTTTTGGTAAATTTTTTAAGTTCCTTATAGCTGCTAGATATTAGACCTCTGTTGAATGTATAGTTTACAAAAATTATCTCCCATTGTCTAGGTTGCCTGTTTACTCTGTTAATAGTTTCTTTTGCTGTGCAGAAGCTCTTAAGTTTAATTAGATCCTATTTGTCAATCTTTGCTTTTGTTGCAACTGCTTTTGGCATCTTTGTCATGAAAATCTTTGCCTTTGTTGACATTGCCCTAAATGGTGTTGCCTAGGTTGTCTTCTTTGGTTTTCACAGTTTTGCATTTTACATTTAAGTCCTTAATCCATCTTGAGTTAATTTTTGTATATGGTGCAAGAAAAGGGCCCAGTTTTAATCTTCTGCATATGGCTAGTGAGTTATCCCAGCACCATTGACTGACTAGGGAATGAATCCTTTCCCCATTGCTTTTTTGTTGTTGTTGTTAGGTTTGTCAAAGATCAGATAGTTGTAAGTGTGCAGTCTTATTTCTGAGTTCACTATTTTGTTCCATCGGTCTGTGTGTCTGTTTTTGTACCAAAGCCATGCTGTTTTGGTTACTGTAGCCCTGCAGCAGCTTCTTGATTGATCTCTTTGTTTCCTGATTCCTCTAACTTATCCTGTACATTAGTGCCAAATTGATATTCCTTAAAGTTCTTTCAACAAGTCACTGCTCACAGTTCAAAGTTTGAACATCATAGCTTAGAAGTAGCTATCTACAATGTGGTCCCAATAGACCTTCTGATCTTAACTTCTATTATTCTTTAATATCCTCTAGTTCAGAGAAGTCTTTTAAATATGCCCTACTCATTTTTGCTGCCAGAAAATTTTCTACATTCTGATCATTTTGGGGAATATAGTTTCTTCTTCTCTCAATTTATTCAGATCCCACAAGGCTCCACTTATGACCCACCTTCATGAAGCCATTTCTGATTGGGTTGCCACATTGCTCAATTCCAGGAGAAACCATTAACATATTTGTGCTCCAGGGAGCAAATTTCTTGTTTACTTTCTAATATTACCCTTTCTTCCCTTTAGACTTTAGTCTTATGTAAAGTTTAATTGATGTCATTCTGAAGATTATTTAACCTTTTCAATGTTTGAATGGTAACATATAATGAATATAATCTTCCCATTTCCCAGCTATTTTCCCATTCTTATCTAATCTTTCTCTTGTCCCACTTGTCAATTTTACTCATGGCTTTCCAGGGTCAGCATGTGTTTATGAAACACCTGCTGTGTGTCTTGAACTGTTTAAGACAATAGACATACACTGTTGAATGAATTAGACTTGATCTTTGCTTTGGTGCAGCACTCATATCACTGCATACGCAATCTATGGGATCAAGTGTGGCAAGGGGGAAGTATCAGATGCTAAGGTGGCTTTAACAATAGGCTAGTGAGGTCATGAAAGGGGCCCCAGACATCTATTTCATGCATAGTTCTCAGGATCACTTCTAGCTTTATTTATACTGTTCCACATGAAGAGGAAACAACCAACCCCAGATCTGCTAAAATGTGTTCAGGGTCTCACATTGTCTCCTAGGTACTCTATTTGAGTAGAATGAGAAGTGCAGTCATTACATCTGCCACAAAAAAGCACATGTCTTCCAAATGTACATATAATGCATACATGGATGTGACATTGGTATATCTTTAGTTTTAATATTTTAAAAATTATATATAGATATGTAAATTATTCAAAGGCAGGGAGCATCCCTTCTGCTTTGTAAAGAATATTTGCGGTGAGGGTTAGCAACCCCAGCTGATCATGACAGACTCTATTTAAATATCCACAGTTTCAAAGCCTAGCTTCTCCCAAAGATTAAAAAAAAAAAAACCCAAACCAAAACAAAGCAAAAGCTATTAGAAAACAATATTATTTTCTATATTAATAAATAAAGAAAAACAATATTAAAGTAGATAATATAAAGTAAAACAATATTATCTAAGAGCTGGGCAACTTGATGTATGTAGGGTTTGCAGCTGTGTCATTTTAAGCCATTCTTGATATTACTAACTGGGTACTACAAGTTAAACTTTAAGTTTAAACTAAACTACATTATCTGTCTATCACCTATCTATCTATTTATCTATTAACTATTATCAATATCTATCTTTAAAGTAGGATACCTTATATATTGTAACCGTATTCTATTATCAAAGTAGCTGGCTCTATAGTATTATATGTGTTCAGAGGGTTTTTTTCCTCCTTTCATAAATCATTTTTGAGTCTTTTCTACGGGATAGAGAGAATCAAGTGTAAGGTGTATTGAAGATTAAGTTAATTTATAGTGCTTCTCTTTGCTATCAGTGTATTCTCAATGTTTTAATAACAATGCATGGACCCCACTCCCTATGTTTTAGGACATAGAGTGATCACTGCATTTTGCCCAAGTTTCATTGTCACCTGCCAGGAACTGAACTGGACATAAGATTCATCCATGTTCCTGAAGACCCTTCTCTGCCATCTGGCATGCACCCTGAGTCAGTGTCCAGGAGCTTGGCTGATAGAACCAGCCACTGGATGTCACCCTTTCTCTATAACCAACAAACAGCGCTGGCTGCTCACAACCACCACCAAAGTGCCCACTGCTGGTCTGATGTGTTGGCAGTAAGACACCAGCTCACAGATTAGACCACACCTTCAACCTCACCTCCCAGAATTCTAAGAGAACTCATCTTCACTAAGTCTGTCTGTCATCATGAACTACCTATTATGTTTTGTTTTCTCCCATTTCTCTGAGAACAGGAATTTTTACATAGGGAAAGACTTAATTATTTGCTTAGAGATTTCTGATGATTCTTGATGATGAAGAGAAAATACTTTTTGTATTAGTTTTCTAGGGCTGCCATAACAAAATACCATGGTTGGAGGGGTGGAGGACGGGGAGTTAAACAACAGAAATGTATTTCCTCACAGTCTAAAAAAGTCTAAGGTCTAAGAAAGTCTAAGGTCTACGGAAGTCTAAGTGTTGGCAAGGTTGTTCCCTCCTAAGCCTTCTCCTCTTCTTCTTGGCCATCCTCCCCTGTATCCTCACAGGTCTTCCCTCTGTACATGTCTGTGTCCTAATTTCCTCTTTGTGTAAGGACACCAATCAAATTGGATTAGGGCCCACCCTAATTACATCATTTTGATTTCATTACCTCCTTAAAAGCCTTATCTTCAAAGGCAATCATATTGGGGGTTAGGACTCCAACATACCCTCAAAAATTTGGGGGAAGGAGGCAGAATTCAACCCATAAAGCTTTTCTTTTTCCAGATCATCTGATTCTTGTGTATTCTCTTATTGTTGCTGACAATTAAACCACATAGCATTTATATAGGCTGGTGGAAGTTGGATGGTGTTGTGCCTTTTAAGAAACTTGAAAAGAACCAACTGTCTCCACACTGGATTTTCTCAACACACAAGCCAGGGAGGTCAACACTGATGACTCACATCATGTCGCTATTTAATCCTGTCCCACCTTCTAACATACAATCTGTCTTGTCTTCCCAATTCCACTTTGCTATGTATTATCTAAAATGCAGAATCCAAGGCTAATTCTGCTCTTTATTTCCAGGTGCTCATTCAAAATATATAATAAGCAATGTGAAAAAAACACTAGGCTATAATTCAGAAAATGTGACATCATCCATGTCACAATAATGTATCTTCAACACACTGTCCAAGAGTATATCATAAAGCTAAGCCAATAATACTTTCCCTGATTTCAAATAGTGTTGTAATAAAGTTAAGCTCTAATGAATGTGTTTTGAAAGCTGTAAAGTACCATCTAGCATATTGAATAGCTGTCACTGTCCATTTTTATGATTATTGTCATATGAATGAATGGATGAACCGCTGTTTTATCCTTTAAAACCAGCTAGTTTCCATTCCTATGGATCGCATAACTCTCTCCACTTACCTTTATTAGAGTGTTCCTTATACTGTATTTTAAATCTAACTTTACTGATCTGTTTTTCCACTGAGTTACAAACCCCTGGAAAAAAAGGATTGTGTCTGCAAGCAGCTCAGTTTCCTCAACGCATAACCCTACATGGTTCTCAGGAGAAACTCCCTGTGCTTTCTGATGACTGACTGCCTCTCCTCAGAGCATGTCAGCTGCATTTCTTTCTGGGTAGCAAGCATCCTGTCTTCTTTTCTGTCCTCCTACCCGGTGCCTCCAAGCCCCCACCCATCCATAGTGGTATGTAAGCATCTTTCCAGTCTCTTCTGCTGTTACCCCAGCAATGTGTGGGACTGTGCTTGGGTTTGGTGTTTCTTTTCACCTTGTTACTCATCTCTGTCCACTGAAAAGCTTAAACCACACAGAAATGCCAGGCTGTTTTCAATTACCTTTTAATTTATGTATTTATTTTGAGACAGAGTTTAGCTCTTATTGCCCAGGCTAGGGTGCAGTGGCAGGATTTCACCTCACTGCAACCTCCGCCTCCCAGGTTCAAGTGATTCTCCGGCCTCAGCCTCCCGAGTAGCTGGGATTACAGGCTTGTGGCACTACGCCCAGCTAATTTTTGTATTTTTTAGTAGAGACAGGGTTTTGCCATGTTGGTCAGGCTGGTCTCAAAGTCCTGACAGCAGGTGATCCACCTGCCTCAGCCTCCCAAAGTCTGGGATGACAGGCGTGAGCCACCACCCCTGCCCCCTGCCCCCTCCTCCACTTTTTTTTTCCTGAAATCATAGGGCAGTTCTGCTAGCATGGTATAGAGTGCAGGTACTCCAGGGCAGGGTGACCCAGTGATATGGGATAACCACCCAGCTACTTTGAGATTGTTGAAATGTCTGCTTTCTGATTTCCCTGTCCAGGCTGTCTCTGTCAGATTAGAGCAATTAAATGATAATGAGGACTGTACATAGGAAAATTAATTCTGGGGACTGTAATTAGCATCCTCCCTATGGGAAACTTATACATGTGTGTAAGCACTGAGGAAAACCCTGAAATATCTGCTAGTATAATAAAAAGAGGCAGTTTTGAGATAGAATGCTGGATTAATTTATTATGAACCGGAAGCATGTTGTTGTAAGAGAGACAAATTCGATTCCTTTAATGTGACTTCGACATTACATGCTTGCCTTCCTTGCTTACTTTGAATGTGATCAAGTTCAAAACTAGATACAAGGGGGAGGAGAGACAGGCATTTAACTGGATTTCTCAAAGTGTATTTTCTATGCAATTCTCTAGTTTGTGTTTGTGATATTAACCAGAAGAATTTTCTTTTCAGTTCTGGAAGCATCAACAGCCCTACTTGTTAGGATTTTGGATATTTCTTTGCCCTTTTTTCCCAGGATTCTTCCTGATTTAAGAGAAATCCTAATTCTTTAATGTTATTTGTGCCTTTTTTGACTATATATATATATATATATATATATATATATATATATAGAGAGAGAGAGAGAGAGAGAGAGAGAGAGAGAGAGAGACAGAGAGAGAGAGAGAGAGAGACAGAGATAGATAAATAGTCTATACTCTGTACATTTATTATAAGATTATCTTCTTTCCTTCAACAGAACGACCCATGATTTGGTTTTCCAAATCTTTCTTCAGGGATTTATTAGCCAGGGTGACTCACAGATGTCTCTGATTTTAGAGCTTCTATTTCTCTTTCACTGTGGTGTACTTGAACATGTGTAAGAACTTTTCCATTCAAATTTTTCAGTATCTAGAATTAATGTCTGGAATGGAGCTCTCTTTCTTAAGACATCATTTTCCCTATTTCCATGCTTCCCACCACTTATATTCTCTTTTGTGTCTCCAGGCTTGTGATTCTGGAACCATTAGGGGTTCTTTCTTCCTCAACAGGTCAGCAAGTACCTAATATTATCAACTTTTCAGAGATTCATAGGTGCCTTCATGCCCCAGTTTCTGATCTCCAGGTTAGTCCTGTGAGATTTGGTCTTCATTTCCCAGCCCAAAACATAATTTGTGACTCACCTGGAAAATCATGCCCCTTACGCTCTGCTAAATTAGATCCTCTTTTTGAAACATATTTCACAGATTCTCTGACCATCATAAAGTTGATTCATGTAAGTTTCTAAATTCTTCTCTAATCATTTGGATCACTTCAAAATGTAAAGCATAAGCTGTCATGCACCTGAGGTTCATGGGTTCTCCAACTTTAAAAGGTTCCAGTAAAATTCAAAGGATCTCAGGACTACCCGAGGTAAACTGGGGTGAGAAGACGAATTTTAAAACAAATATATGAAACTTTTTATAGATAGTATTAGTTTTCTAAGATAAAAAAGTATATTAAATTAAAAATTCCAATAACATTTATATATATTAATAAGGACTTTTTATTAAAAAGCTTCTATTATGCCTCAGACAATTTTCAGAATCTCCTCTTAATATTTAAATGACTTTACATTATTATTCATATTATTATTAATAATAATGCCCTTACATTATTCTTATTTTTTTCTTCATTGCAAATAATGTATACTGAAAGAGGCTTCTTCTCCTTGCTTTTGGTCTTCAACCAGATGTTCAATGCCTTTCTGATATTAAGACTTCAGATTCTACCTCTGGGTCCCATCTCTATCATCAAATCTTATAATCATTTCAGTTTGTTCCCTAGGTGAGGTTCTAATTCTAGTATTTTGGTTTTTTTTTTCATTTTCTATTAATTTCTCCCAAATCTCATTTTTACCAAGCTTTATTTTTTAAAATAGTAACTTCTTTTTACTCTCTTTTATCCACTCTACCTTTTTTAAAATTAGTAATCAAGGCATTCCATCTTTTATGTAATTATATCCAATAAGAGTAACTGCCGTAAACATTTAAGAACTAAGCTGTTCCTAATAATGTCTAGAGCATAGTCAACTACATTTGAGTGAAGAGAACTAGGATTGGGGTAGATTTACTAGCTGGCTCTATTCATTTTCTTTTTTTTTTTTTTTTAACTTTTGTTTAGATTCAGTGGGTACATGTGCAGGTTTGTTACATGGGTATATTGTGTGATGGGAAGGAGGGAAGGTGCAAAGGCAAAAAACTACCCATTGGGTACTATTTATTTGCTTTTAACTATCTATGTGTGTCCCATCATTAAGTGTACATTGTTAAAATAAATACACCACCTAGACGTTAAACACCAATTTCCATAAAGCTAGGTGCATTCTTCACACTTCAGCATGCCTCATTGTCCCTTTTTGGAAAATTTTTAATGCCTTATACCTGAGTCCACCATAAAGGTGTTGGTTAAATAGTTCTGGGCTTATGTTGGAGAATGAGTATTTTATGTAAGGATCCTGGTGATTTTGATGCAACTTGATCTTGGATCACATTATGATAAATATAGATGAAGAAGTAGAAAAGAGTAATTAGCCGTAAATCTGCAGAACCTTGCAATTCATTATATTTGTTTTTATGTGTACCAACTATAACGTGAATTTGGTATCGATATTTGTGCCAAAGATATAGGTGCTTGCATTTGAAAGTGCATGCTGTGTTTTCTTTTGTTCTATCAATAAGTCAGATGAAGTAAAGAATTTGCAAAATGTTGATGAAACATATTTGCTAACACACAAGCATTAGCTCTTTTTGTAAGTGGCTGTAAAGGAACACTTGGTGGGCAAGGAAGTCCTGTGCTCTGTCTCTTCCCCTTTACAGCTGGGTGGCCTTGAATAAACACAAAACCTCTCAAATGTGTGTCCCTTCTGAGTATACTCTGCGGATGGCACTTCCTACTTCAAAGGGTTGTTGTGAGGCTCAAATGAAAATGTACTGTAAGGTGCTGTAACCGGCATGAAATATAGGCGGCATGAATATTTTGGGGTGTGAAGCATTGTATGCTGGATTTTCTAGCCTTAATGAGCTGACAATTTTATTCTCCCATTTCTACACTCACCACTCCTAACCTTTACATTACATTTTTTTGTAAGTTTTGAAGTCTCACCTTATTTCCTCTGGAATTTCTCAAAATATAGTAGTCGACAAAGGACAGTCATTTGACAAATGTTTCAAGTGAAGGACTTTACAAGCATACCTACTCATTAGTAAAGGCTTCTTGCTAATATTACTTTCAACTCCTTTCTCCAATACTTCCTTACAAGCAAGGAGATTATTATTAGGGAGAGAGTCAATCATGGCCTTCTGCAACTGCTAAGGCACAGCAGACTGGCAGATTTCTAAAAACCAAGATCACTCAAGATGACCTTTGACCTTCCTACCCCATTTCCACCCATTATTGTTAATTTTAACTCTTCTGACCAACTTTGAGTAAAATGTGCAAATGTTCACTGAAACCCACAGTGTAAAAATGTGTCTAAAAAATTTGTGAGCATTAAGGAAATGAGATGACTGAGTCAAACCCATTCATTTGGAGAACCCACTTGAAAAGTAATGTTCCCTGGATATCAAATGACAAGCTGGATGTGTTTATATATTGGCATTAGACCCTGAAATTAACACAGTACTAACTTTCCCTAGAGAATGATGCAATGAAATGTACTACCCAATGAACATAAATAGAAATTATTACTGAAGCCTTATTTGGCCTTTGTGACAAGTGAGAAAATATATGTAAATCTAAATGATTACAATAAAAAGATCTATAATTGTTAACAGGAAATAATATCCAAACAAGAGACTACCTTCTTAACAGTGTAGAGTTTAAGGAAAATGCAAGTAGAATAAGTGAAGAAAGAAAAACAAAATTGGCAAGAGTGGTATAAAGATTAACAACTACAGTGAACTGTAGCTATTTTCCTATTGTCAGATGAAATCCTTAGATTTGAGGAAAAGAGCTGTGGTCCACACCCAAACACCACCATTGCTTTGGATTGCTGAAACAACAGGAAATAAAGCTAAGACATTTCTGGTACAAAATGACAGCTCTTCATTTTAGTGTCACTCAGGTTGACAACTGATGCACAGGATACATGTCACAACTCATCACTGCCTATCTTGAGGGTATGGGCCTTGCAAGCCTCCAGCAAAAATGAAAACTCTGAACAACACAGTGAAATCTCATTTCACAAGATGAACTAGAATCAAGGCCATTTTCGTGGAGGAAAAAAATCATAGAAAAGGGTTATTGATTTATGCCCCAAATAGACTGCCATTGCAAGAGGGCTGTGAAAAATATAAATTGTTGTTAGTTGTAAATCCAACATCATAAAACAAATCTTGTGCACAAGTATTTTCTTTGCCCCTCATGCCATCATTTTTGTTGTTTTAACCAATTAACTCTACATTTAAAAATGAGGAGAATTCACATAAAGCTGTGATTTCTAGCTTCTCTTGAAAAATCAGAAGATTTAGCAAGGGGCCCTATAGTCCTTGATGGAACAATCAGTTGGAGCTGAGTAGAACCTGGCTATTTTCATTTTTTAAAAAATTTGATTGGCTTTTTTTGTATACTGACAAATTATAGTTATATATATATATGAAGTACAAAGCAATGTTATGATTTCTGAATACAATGTGGAATTATTAAATCAAGCTAATTAACTTATCCATCACCTCAAATATTTGACATTTTCTTGCAACAAAAACATTTCAGAATTACTCTCTTAGTGATATGGAGATGTACATTACTCAGTTATTAGCTGTATTCACTACACTGTGCAACAGATCTATAAAAAATACTCAAAATTATTTATCCTATCTAACTGAGGCTTTGTATCCTTTGATTATCATTTCCCCATTCCTTCCACCCCCCAGCCTCTGGTAACCACCATCTACCCTCTGTTTTCATGAGTGCAATTGTTTTACATTCCACATATAAGTGAGAATAAAAGTGTTTTACATTCCACATATAAGTTATAAGAAAAGGAAAACTTTTCTGTATGAGAATGTGTGGTATTTGTCTGTGTTTGGCTTATTTCACTTAGCATAATGTTCTCCAATTCCATTCATGTTATTGCAAATGACAGAACTTCTTCCCTTTGTAAGGCTGAATAGTATTTCATTGTGTATATGTATGTATCACATTGTCTTTATCTATTTATGTGTTGATGGACACTTCGACTGATTCCATAAGTTGGCCATTGCACATAGTGCCACAATCAACATGGGAGTGCAGACATCTCTTGGACATAATGATTTCGAATCTTTTAGGTAAATACCCAGAAAAGGGATTGCTGGATCATATGGCAATTCTATTTTTAGTTATTTGAGGAACCTCCATACAATTTTCCATAATGGCAGCACTCATTCACAGTCCCACCAGCAGTGCACAGCCTCTTCTGTCCCTCAACCTGACCCATCACTTCCTACACCCAAACTGATTCACTCATTGACGCACCTGACCCCCTAAATATGTGAGTTTGAGATCATTTGCTAAACCATAAATAGGGCTGTTGTGTGATTTATTCCCTTCACATTTTATTTTGAAAATAATCAATTAGCTATATATATATTAGTGAGACTCTGATGTTTGTAGCTCTGTCATAGGTGATAAGGCTTCTTGCAGATACATGGAAATATATGGGAGATAGGTAAATACCTTCAGGGAGAATTGGAATGCCACTGCATCACACACACACAAACTTCCAATGTCACATCAGCAATTCAAGCAGTTATGTCCTCATAAATGGGTGCAGTTGGCTTCTGACCATATTCATTCTGTCATTCTTCTGACTCAATTTCTTTTTTTGCTTTATCTGTTTTTACTTTATTTCCTCTCCATCTTTGTCTCTCCTCCTTTTCTTGCTCACTGTCTCTCTCCCCCTGGTTCTCTTTCCTGCCAGTAACTACTGAGGCTCTCTGTAAGCATCTGTGCTCTCTCTCAGTCTCTAGTCATTCCTAGCACTTTGCAGTCAGCTCTCTTTCTCTACGGTTATTAAATCTACCAAAGGAAAACATCTGATTTGGTCAGTAGTCAGGTGCTACTCAATATAGAATATTCCTGTTGGGTAGACTTTCTGGCCCTGATCAGAAGGGACTGAGATAAATACCACATGGGCAAACCAAGCAGGACCACTTATGTACAACACTGCCAGCGGTCCCTTTTTCTAGGGCCAAATCGCAAGCATTTTGATACACGAACTAATATCACAGACAGGGCTTCTCTGCTTTAGCAGCAGTTCACAGCTTGAAATTTTTTTCCTGTTTCTCATCTTTGAGTCCCTTGGGGATTTAGTGCTACCTAGCAGCAGAGAATTAAAAACAAAAACCACTACAACAACAAAAATGTGTCCCTGAAACCCATGCTATATTCAACTGAATATTCTAATGTCTTTGATTACAAAGCCATCTCTAGCAATTTAATACAATTATGAAATGGAAAAGTTGGCAAATGCAAAACAATAGCTCGTGTTCAAGGTATGTCTTTATTAGGGGAAGTTTATCGAAACAGATGTTTATGCTATTTCCTATAAACTAGATTCTAAAATATTTTATTCTATAAAGATGTATTGACTTTATATGAAAAAATTATTGAAAAATCTACAAGATGGTGAAACTCTTTAGAACTATATTTCTATTACAAGTTTATTTTTAATTTCAAAAATGTACTGCATAAATGCAGCAAAACCTTTATTGTCACATATTAAAACATGTACATTATTGTGTGCAAATTAAAATTTCATTACCTTAAACCAAAAAGTGAGTTGGCCAGATAGTAAATAATTTAGGCTCTAAGGCTGAAAAGCGCTTGTATTAATTACTCAACTCCACCACTATTTTGCCAAAGCAGTCACAGACAATATGCATTCACATGAATGAGTGTGGCTGCATTCCAATAAAGCTTTATTTATAGAAATAGGGGACAGGCCAGATTTAACCAGCAGTTACAGTTTGCCAAATGCTGCCCTAAGCTGTTGTTTGATTGTTAAGCTATAAGAAGAGAGAAAGTCCTTTTAGGACTGCATATAAGAAGTATATTTAAAAAGAAAAGAAAAGGGAAACTTTTCTATAGCATCTTCTCCATTGTTTAATTATTTCTTTTGTTTAAGGTAACTAGTAACTTAGACCTTCTGGGATATGAGGAGGGGAAATTAAATCCCCTGAATCTGTGAGGTTTGCTGTCTCCTTAAAAATTCAGCTTTTCCATACCCCTGACTCATATCATAGAATAGTGGCAGTAAGGCAACACATACTTTCTTTTTATCTTGCCTTCATATTCCTGAACCATCAGAAGTAGAAAATAAAAATAGCAATGGCAGCCTGGATAGCAGAGAAAAGCAGCACAAAGCAAAACGAGAAGCCAACACTAGAGGGGCAAACCTGCCATGACAATTACTCAACCATAGTACAGGAATCACGTCTTAGGATGCACACACAATCACGGTACATCAAGTGAGTCACAGATAAATTCATGTTGTAAATATTTAGTGGGTGATTACCATGTAGCCATGTTAATCCAAAAAGTTGGATTTTGCTACATGCAGAAATCATTAGACAGTATTCTATTAAGCATAGAAATAGCTCTGTAATCTTGTGTGTTTTCTCTGAAAATACAGCTGAATTGAGGAAAAAATGCCAAATACGATAGAATTTAGCTTGTGTAAAGTGTGCTACATGTAGATATTAAATGTAATCTCAGATACTTACCAAAAAACACTTTATATATGTCCAAAGTATATGGCAGTAATGGCCAAAATTAACAGCAGTTCCTAGAAAAATAACCTATAATATTTTTAGAAATCGTAAAATATAAAGTTCCACTGAGTGGTCATGTTTTTCTTCAGTAAATAGCTTAAAATTAATATTTTTAAGTTATATGAACATGATTTAATATATACTAAACCCATTACTAAAATTCATTTCTTTAAATTCTCAATGATCACTCTAGCAAGAACCTGCAATAACGCCTTCGATAAAACACCTTGCTGTAGCCTTCCAGATCTCTCCACTCTGATCCTGCCTCCCCTGACCCTTTATATCTTGGTGCTCACCTTCCATACTGTTCTGTGTCTACTCTGCTATAATGTTGAGCCTGAGCATGCACTGGGGGGTCCTTATGCCCCCATATTTTGTTTTTGTGGCCTCTTACCATCAGTTATGGGATAAATTATATTCCCCCCAAATTCATATATTGAAGTCCATACCCCTACCACTTCAGAGTACAACTGTATTTGAAGACAGGGTCTTAAAGGGGCAATTAAAGACAAATACGATCATGAAGATAGGCCCTAATCCAATAGTATTGGTATCCTTATAAAAAGAGGAGATTTGTACATAGGCATTCAGAGAGGAATGACTATGAAAAGACACAAGAGATGACAGCCAGCTATGAGTGAAGGAGAGAGGCCTCAGAAGAAACAATCCTGCCGGCACCTTGATTTCAGAATTCCAGCCTCCAAAACTGTGAAAAAAATACATTTCTGTGCTTTAAGCCCCCCGGTTGGTAGTACATTGTTACGGCAGCCCTAGCAGACAAAAATATCCTGATTGCTGTCCCCTCCTGCAAGGTCATTCAAGCTATTGCTCTACTTTCTATGTCCAGATTAATCAGGGCCTCCTTGGCCAAATATTTCCAAATCCTGACCTCCACGGGATAACTATCTTCTCTGTGGTGCAGGGCTTGGGGCTGGAATTACAAAAGCCAGACCCAGCACCCAACTCCACTGCCTATCAGCTTGGGAAATATTCTCGCAAGTCTTCTTTTTCTCATATTTAAAATTAGAATTATAATACCCACCTTACAACATGAGACAGTGTGTGTGCAAACACAGTTGTTGTTTCTTTGTAAACTTACTGAATGCATTTTTCTTGAATTACAACATATTCTATGCTACATCACTTTTAATTGTTTATGCTTCTGGTTTTTCCTTCTAGGTAGCAGGATGCTGGAGTATACGGGTTAAGTTTATTTATCTTTATAGACAGGGTGGCTAGGACAGCTCTTGCCCTATGGTTCCTCAAAGAGTACTTTCTGGACACAAAATGAAATGACCAATTAATTTGTCACATGTAATTGTGCGTCCTTTATAAAGGTGTGTTTGTTGGTGACTGGAATGACGCACATAAACAGGGGTCAATTTTCTCATAAAATATCTACAGTATATAAATGGTAGGGTTGGGCATGAGGGAGGAGCCACAGTAGAAGTTAACAGAACAAATATTTATTGGAAGGTGATTAGTCGACAGAGAGCGCATCATATTAGCAGGCTGACCAAGCTTTGATTTCAGCCTTTGCTTTCCAGTGTTAGGTACTGGCTTTGAGAGTTGCACTCCATTTGTTCATTATGAAAATGTATTATCTGACCAAAGAAAATGAAGATTTGCAACCTTAGGCACTAACTAAAGAGAATGTCATGAATTGATGTGTGTGTGTGTGTGTGTGTGTGTGTGTGTGTGTGTGTGTGTGTGTTCAACCTCAGTAGAAACAGAGATGGTTAGAGTCAATAAGAAAATGTTAGCTTGGAAATTAGGAACCTTCAAAAAACCAAATAATCATTTGTTCAATAATCATTGTCTTGAAGTTGTTTCAAAAAGCAGTCTTTTGTTCAAAGACATAAAGACAACAACAAAGAATTTGGAAAACTCATGATATTTATCAGTAAATGGTAAGATTTGAAAGTTACGAAAGTACTTGCTAACGTTACTCGCTGTTCTTCGATAAGCTGTAGTTTAAAATGTCTTCCCTTTTATATCCTTTCAGTACTTTTAAATGACTCTGTTTTTTTGTATTTGATCTTAAGGAACTTTGCATTCTAATAAAAGAAAAAAGCTGACTTGAATCGCTATGTTTTTCTATCAAAAGAAAACAACAAATCCTGGTCTCAACATGTCTCACAGTTTTCCCTGGAGTAAGCATAAAAACAAAACATATTAGGAGCATGTAGTGAGCAATTTAATTCCATAGAGATGTTTCCTGTCCTGTAAGTAAAACCAACAAGGAAGGAGGTAAGAATTTGTTTTCTAATTAATGATGTGTGTCCTAGAAAACTGGCTGGGTCTTTATCTCAGCCTCTGAGCTGAAAACTATCTTAACGATGAAGTAGTTTGAGATTAAAATAGCTCAATTATGTTGATCATAAACAGGTGTCCTTATTGACATTTTAACTCATGACAGTTCATCTAGAAAGTAATAGATGAGAAAAAAATATCTAAACTGAATAGCACTCTTCCACATCTCAGATCTCTAACTGGTCTTTTGGTGGGTGGGGTTGGGGGGCATGTGGTCAACATTGAATATGCACATAGGTTAATGAAGAATCTTGCTATGAATAGGCTAATACAATTTTAAAATTGTGTACATCTTGCGAGTTGCCATTTTAAGGGCTGTGTGGAATCATGGGTTGCATTTGCCTGTGTCTAAGGGAAGGCTGTTTAGATATGTGCTTATTTAAGTCACTGAAATGTAGGATTAAGGAAGTGAAATGTGTATTTGTGAGTGTTTGTGTGTATACACTAAACTTATGACTGTGCAGGCTGGCGTAAGCAGTGAGAAAGTCAGCTTCATCAACGACCTTGGCATGACATTTGCAAAATTCTGAGCTAACTGCAGTTTTAAAGTGTTGTTTCCTAAAACTATACAGTATTCTGCTACTCGGCAGATGTATAAATAATTAGAGCATTAATCATTTCTCAATGAGTTAATCTAAGGTAAAGATTGCCTCATACATATACGGTAAACACAAAATAACTATTTGCTGCATACGAATGACTTCCAGCGAATTTTTTATGCAACATGAGTGTACACAATTGTTCAACATCTACTCAAGTCTCAGCATAATTTGGCTTTTTCTTTACCTGAAGTCCATTTGGGAATGGGAGGTTGGAGACTTTTTTTCTCCCTGTCTGATCTTTCTTATTTCAAATTCATGCTGTTCTCTCTGATACTCATTTTGTCTTTCAAACCTGAAGTTTCATAGGATATATGAGCCCAAAGGATAGAGAAGTCACATCAGTGCCTTCGTGTGACATTGATGTGATATCTCAGAAGCCTGTCTTCACTCTTTTCCAGACTCAGCTGCTGTTCTCTTGGTAAGCAGAGGGGAGCCTGCAAGCAGTGTAGGCAAGTGCCCTGCTGAGGTGATTTGCCACAGCAGAAGATCTCTTTGCATAGTTTAGTGCTGGAAATAAAGGATTTAAGGCAGCAAAACATGGCGTTAGGTCAATTTAAATAATGCGTGGCAATGACAGAAACAGTGAGCAGCCGATCATTTGGGGGAAATTGATAAATATATAGTATGCACGTATTAGTCTGCAATAGTCATTACTGTTTCTCACTGTCTGGATTGAAGATCGTTGATTCTGCTCTACCTGGCAGACCCTTCCCACTTCCTTCCCAAAGTCTACTATTCTTAGGATAATTGGAAGACTACCCAAAGCAAAAAGATCAATGGAAGGACAGTGATACAAATGAACATTAGGAACTAAGGACTTTATAAAAATGCTCAAAATGAACAACTCAAGGGGAAAAGGACACCGAAAAATAGTCTTCAGAATTGTCCACAGTAATGATTTCATGGAAATTACAAGGAGGGTTGCATGATAACATGTATAGAAGATTGTATATGGATTTTATCAGACTTAGTGCAGACAAATGAATTGCCTTTTAAGTAAACTTTACATAGAAGGAATGTCGATTTTTAAGGAATGTTCCCTACCTACTTCTCCACAGACACGTCTCCATAGAGACATAAAAAAAATGGCCCTTTATTTTAATGAGTTAGCATTTTAGAATTTGCAGACAGAAAGAGTGTCTCGAATAAAAATTGAGTATCTGAAAATCATTATGGGTTGTGTGTCAGCTGAAAATTTATTTCACTTTCCTGTGGGACTACCCTCCCCTTTGTCACTTAAATGGTTTTAGAACAGGGTAACCTCAAGTTACCTAAAGTAATTTATATTTCAAAGACTATTTCATGTCCTTACAAATGATACGGAAATATAAAATATAAAAACAAATGAGAATTGACATCTATTCTTCAAATTTAACTGCAAAATATGATAGTCATAAGTTACATGTGTAATAATGTGATAATATTCATATAAAATAATAGTAATAACAGTGGATATTATAATAAACATGAAGTGTGTCAAACCAAAAGGGACTTATCCATTTGCTGTTTGCACGAATCTAAAAATCTTGTCCTCAATTATTCAAAAACAGCAACCGATCATAATGCTTCTTCTAACTATAATGCAATAAAAGTTTCCATCTATAAAATAGGTATCTACTTCAAAAATTGAAATTAAATGTATCAACAATTCCTATGTTCTGTGTGTCCAGACACTTTTGATTGGCATATTTTGTTGAAGGAGACAGATGGCAAGACAGTCTGAGGAAGTGCAGCTCAGCTTTACGGAGAACATTTTCACCTTGTTCTAGGGAGTTTTGGATACAGAGTTCACACCTTAGCAGGGAAACTTTCACAACCATAATCAAAAGTCATAGAAAATATTACTTTAAAAAGTGTGCAGCTGTGCTCTAACAGAACTTTATTTACAGAAATAGGTGATCGTCCAGATTTCAGGCCATCCTGAACCTTCATATCATTATGCACTTAATAATGAATCTGCCTGGAGGAGGGACTGTTAAACTGTTTTAGAAAACGTGAGATAATGCTCAGACATTCTCTTTAAAAGGAATATCAAAACTGGGTGCCCGCAAGCAGGTGTCTGAGTGAGGGACAGCTACCTCGAAGCTGGCTCTCAAAGAGCACAAACTTGAAAGCTATCTCAAATCGCTATTTTGGCATCTGCTGTTATTGATGCTAAATGAATAATTCTTTTCTTCACGTGATTGAAACCTGAACAGAACACAAGTTCTGAAAACACAAGGTCTTTGTCTACAAGGAAAGCTATGAGGAACCATATAGAGTCTTAGGGTCTATAAGGAGAGCTATGCTGCGTTTGGAAAATATGATCTAAAACAATTAATTATATATTTACTGCATATTCAGTATATGCTCAATGCAGATGTTGACAATTTTTTTTTTTTTTCTAAAGAGACAGTATAGATTTTGGGCTTTGGAGTATCAAGTCTCTTGCAACTCCTCACTCTGCTGTTGTAATGTGAAAGCAGCCATAGAAAATATTACTTTAAAAAGTGTGCAGCTGTGCTCTAATAAAACTTTATTTACAGAAATAGGTGATTGTTCAGATTTGGCCCAGGGATCATTTCTTGCAGACCCATGTGCTGAGATTTGAGGGTTTTCAGAAGCTAGTTCTGACTGATCTATTTAGAAGTGGTAATAGAAAGAAGTGGGAGCATCTGAGAAAACAGGTTGGTTAAGAATTAGTTTGAAACACAAGCTCCAGCAAGAACTGAGGATGACTTTGGCAGAGTTCAGTGTTGATGGTGAAATGGAAATGGAGAATATCTGATGGACGTAAGAGCTATTTAATTGGTAGAGAGGGGCCTCTCAGGGAGGCAGCTAGCTCAATGCTGGAGAGCACTAAGCCAAGGCATCATGCCCTACACTGCCCAGATTAGCAAAACAGTACAGTCAGGATGGCTAAAGGTGACACCAAGAAACCAAAGGGTAAGATGTCTGCTTGTGCTCTCTTTGTGCAGATGTGCAGAGAAGAACATAAAAAGAAAAACCCAGAGGTCCCTGTCAATTTAGCAGAATTTTTCAAGATGTGCTCCGACAGGTGAAAGACAGTGTCTAGGAAAGATAAGTATAAATCTGATAAAATGGCAAAGGCAGAAAAAGTAGGTTCGGATGGGGAAATGAACGATTATGACCAGCTCAGGGAGGCGAGAAGATGTCCCAAGAAGGCCACCATCTGAATTCTTTCCGTTCTGTTCAGAAGTCCACTTCAAGGTCAAATCTGCAAATCCTGGCATCCGTGGCAAAAAGCTGGGTGAGATGTGGAATAACTTAAGTGACAGGACAAAGCAGACTGACATCACTAAGGCAGAGAAGCTGAAAGAGAGGTATGAGAAGGACGTTGCTGACAGTAAGTGTAAAGGAGAGTTTGATGGCTCAAAGCACCCCACTAAAGTTGCCTGGAAAAAGGTGGAAGAGGAAGATGAAGAAAACATGGAGGACAAAGAGGAAGGGGAGGAGGAGGATGAAAAAAAAACTGTTTTATCTGTCTCTTTGTGAATACTTTAGAGGAGGAGAGTGCTGTAACTGACACATCTATTTGAGAAGTGTCTACTGCCCTCACTAGGTTTAATGACAAAATCTGATCAGAATCATATTGTAGTTTTTCAAAGTGGTCTAGAAATTGTCAGTGGTTTATGTCAAGTGGCCATGGGTGTCTGGAGCATCCTGAAACTGTATCAAAATTATATGTATTTCCAAACATTTTTAAAAATAAAAAGGCAATCTTGTGTTTTCTTCACACTGTGCACTTTGCTGTTTGCATGATAAGGCATTTAAAAGATGTTTCTGGCATTTAAAAACATGTGTAAGGTGATGTTTACTATTTGGCTATGGGCTAGAAATCCTGAGGTGTCAGGTGTACATACATATCTTTTGTAAAAAGAACAAAATAGAGACAAACTTTTGAGGCCCCTGGCTTCGTGTTGAGGCTGTGGGAGAAGAGGCCTTTTGGAGAAACTGGAGCTCAGTGCATGCACTGTGAGGCTGGACCTGCTGCCACTGCAATGGGCCCCCATTTAGCTTTAGTTGTCTTGTTTCTGTATATAGTCAGATAGCATTCTGCTGCCATTCTTTGCTCTGGACAAAGGGGGTCAGCTGGCGTGAAAATTGTTTGGATTTTTTTTAGTTAAGTGCTGTCATTTTGAAACTTTTTTTTTTTTTTTTTTGAGACAAGGTCCTTCTCTGTCACCCAGGCTGGAGTGCAGGAGCATGATCACAGTTCATTGCAGCCTCAACCTCCCAGGATCAAGGGATCATTCCACCTCAGCCTCCCAAGCAACTGGGACCACAGCTGCACGTCACTACACTCAGCTAATTAAAAAAAAAATTATGGAATTGGGGGTCTCACTATGTTGCCAAGGCTTGTCTTGAACTCCCAGGTTCAAGCAATCCTCCTGCCTTAGCCTCCCAAAGTGCTGGGATTACAGGCATAAGCTATCATACCCAGCTGAAACTTTGGTCTTAAACAAACTGCAGAACTGTTCATTGTCAGCAAAGGGAAGAGCCACTGCATCAATCAAAGTTCAAGAACCTCTGTGCTTAAACATAATTGGCAATATTGTTTTTTTGTATGTTTAGAATGCTGAAGTTAATAAACAGTAATTGTATGTTTAGAATGCTGAAGTTAATAAACAGTAAAGTTAAATAAGCAGTAATGCATTTTAAAAAATAAATGGTAGACTATATAGAACTTAGTAACAGATTGACTATATGATCCTGTAGATGTGTCCTGGATGGCACCTAGGCTTCTGGCATGAGGAATTGGACAGATGTTGCTGCATTTATTGAGCCAGCAAACACTGGAGGAAGCCAGGTTTTGGGCGGAAGGACACGAATTCAATCTCAGACATATTGCATTTCAGATGCATGTGAGACATGGTTATGGAACTTCTGAGTAGGCAGTTGAATTAATATACAAGTTTGGAGCTCGGAAGAGGAATTTAAGCTGGAAATATATAGAAGCTATTTGCATTTAGTTGAAAATTTTAGGCATAGGAATAGGTGTGTGAGGCTGGAAAGGGCATAAGATCAAGTTCGAAGGAACCACAATATTTAAAGATTACTTAGAAAAAAAAAAAGCCAGAGAATAAGAAGGAGCATGGGAAGGATGTGTTACCATGGAGATCACTGAGGTGGTCCAGATGGGGAATCTATGTCTACGGTTACTTCAAAGTTAGATGCGATGAGCATTTAACAACTTGCAGTACTTAGAGACCTTAGTGAGAACGGTTTCAATACAGTTCTTTTAGTTTGGGCTGGATGTGTAAGGAGAGTGGACACCACATTAAAGTGGGTCCCAGAGTAGATAGAAAGTGATGGAATGAAATGGAGAAACAAAAAAACTACAGCAATGGTAATGAAGAGGGATCACAATGCATCCCAAAGGAATTCTGGAAATTTGTTGGTGTGTAAAGGTAAGTACTGCTGGTATTTAGCATACAAAACTCACAGACACTCCTACACACAAGAAGATAGTCCCCCACACAAGAAGGGAGTTATCCTGCATGCTGCACAGATTTTCCATGCCTCATGGGACACTCAGGTAGATGAAAAACCTACTTATAAGCATCTGCACTTAAATCACAACTCCATTAGACATACACAAGCACACATACACACATATGCTGATGTGGGAAGGCACATTTAAATTATCTAGATTTAAGTTGTAACTGTATTTTATACATACAAAATACATATATATATATATACACACACACATACATATATACATACACTAATGTATATTCCATATACTAGCTCTTACAAAAATGCAACTACCATGTAAACCAAAGAAAGATTATCTTTTGTTTTACTTGACAGTTACCAAGAATTGTTTCGCATTTAAGAAAATTATATCTTTGATGGTTCCCTCATTAATGGTGCCTGGATACCCAATGCAACACACCTACATCAAACTGCATTTGTAACTGTTGGATTCATAATGATTCTACCTAAGATGCAAGCATACGGCATCATTGTGCCTTGTTGTATGGATATGCTTGAGAAGTCACATGCTGAAATACATATATTTTAAATTTGACAGTATCTCCTACAATATTTTCTTTATATTATAGTAAGGTATTACATTACAGTTTAAAACTTATGACTATAAGCAGGTGATATTATCTATGAATTTCATGTGAAATTAGCAAAGGGACAGTCTCAAATGTTTGCTGTATAAAGTGTATTTGAAGCCTGATAGGGTTGAGAAACACTCAGCTACAGTAAGTAAAAACAGCTCTCTTAGTGGTTGCCTTGTTGAGAAGATCTTGAAAACAAGGTTGAAAATACAAAAGAAACTGTGTGGAGGTCTACAAAGATATTTATCATAGGTAAATCATTATGTCTAAAATGTTATAGAAATTTCTATTAATGGTGGTTTGTATTTTTAAAATATAAGAAATATAAAAGCTATAGACAGCTGTAATTTGGTTCCAAAGGCTTTGAAATTCACTTTTATTGCTGTGTTTCTGAGCTTCTCCCAGGTAAGAAATATAAACATTTTATCCAATGTCAGACACACAAATTCAGACAGTTAATTCTGGGGGCCAATGAAAGGCCATTAAGGGCACCAAACATGTAGTGGCGTTTTCCTACAGAGAAGTTAAAGATTTGTATGCAAGCAATAGCTTCCAGTCTCTGCTAATCTGAAATATGGCTATATAATATTCTTTTTAAGAACAATTTTGAGTGACTAACATTATCAAAATTGCACAGACAACCAGTGTACAATAAATATAACATTCTGACCACCCCCCTTCCCACAAGCAGGTTAACTTCAATGTTATTCTATGAAGCTGTTACTATGTATGATGCCAACTTCAATACCACCCAAGTCAAAAAACACTTCAATAAAAATATATCAAAAAACAAAAGCCCAAATGGAGTTCTAAAAAATTTTCCTGAAACAAGGCAAATTCATCAGTTTTTATTAGTGCATATTATATGACATATGTATATTCAATTTAGGTATATAAATGTATAGATATGTATAAAAATGTATATACATATACATATATTTATCAGTTTCATTATTGTATATGGAACATACATATACGTAATATATGTATATGAAAATATATAATGTATATACATATAAAATTCATGTGTCACATTGGTATGTAAATATTTAATATGTAAAAGCATTAATGAAAAATATGGCCGGGAGCAGTGGCTCACTCCTGTAATCCCAGCACTTTGGGAACCCTAGGTGGGTGGATCACAAGGTCAGGAGTTCAAGACCAGCCTGGCCAACGTGATGAAACCCAGTCTCTACTAAAAATACAAAATTAACAAGGCATGGTGATGTGTGCCTGTAATCCCAGCTACTCAGGAGGCTGAAGCAGGAGAATTGCTTGAATCTGGAAGGTGGAGGTTACAGTGAGCCAAGATTGTGTCACTCCACACCAGCCTGGGTGACAGAGCAAGACTCCGTCTAAGAAGAAAAAAAAAAAAAAAAGGAAGAAAAATATATGTATATGTACATTGAGAAAATTTTTTTTTTTGTTTTCATTCCAAAATATGAACAAAAAGTAATTAAAAAATCATCTTAGCATCTGGGATTTATTAGGCATTGAAATATTTGATAAATGTAAGAGTCAATGACAAATTATATTTTATGAAAAAGGGACACAGCTTTAAAATAATCTAGTTTAATAGAATCATTTAGGTACTGGAGCACAGTACTTTATGAAATTGTGCTATAGTATCCTGAAAATGTTATTTAATTTGCCTGTATCAAAGTATTAAAAATAAAACTAGCTGGATTTTTCTTTCTAACATTAACAGTATTATTAATAGCATCACCAAATTTAGGCCCAACTTGAAATAAAAGGGACCTAATGATGTCATGTTTGGGGAGTAAAGACTATTGTTCCTGAAAAGAATCCTGGGGTTCCCTCACAGTGATAGAGCTTCCGAATTCAACATAACTAGATTTAATACCTACTCAGAGTGACTTTTTTTCATTTCTCTGGAATAAAATCTCCTTATAACTTTCACTGCGGACTTCTATCCAGCATAACATAGCACACTAAATTTAAAAACAAAAGGAAGCGGAGAAGATTATAAGAAAAAGAAAAGGGGCAGGGATGGTGCAAGAAAGAAAACAAGAATACAATGAAGAAAAGTATTGACTATAACCTTATTCTTTTAGTTCACTCCAGACAGCACATCACTCTTAGTGGACTAGCCACCAATGCTGAGCATAAATTATATTTTTTTATCTATCAGTTTCTGGACATAATCACTACTCATTCCCATTTTGATCATTGAAAAGAATTAGAGTTGCATCAGTACTTTAACTTATTTCTTGAGCAAATCCACAAACTCATCAATGCTCCTCAAGCTGCTAATTCTGCTGAGTAGAATTTTCTACTAAAGTAGAAAGGGCTCAATGGCCCTATAACATTATAATGTTTCCTGGAATTGGATGAAGACTACTCACCTTAAATATTCTCTCTGAAAGCTAAAAGGTATCAAAGCAATATGATATATGTATTCATTTACGTCCTTCTATTAAGTGGACTGTTTTTTGGATTATATGTGCATTTTGCTGTGTTGAGCTCTTAATTAAAGCATCATTTTTCTCACCTAACATTTTATAATTTGGAAAGAATAAAATATATATATGCTCTAGGTAGGTACAATTCCCTGACCCTTAGGCCAGGGAAAATAATTACTGAGTATATCCAATTTCTATAACAGGAAAGGTATACTTAATCTATATCACTTCGAAACAAAGGAGTGAGTGGAAAGGAGGTGGCTGGAAGTGCAGATTTAAATAGAGGATGGTTGGGAAGACTGTTACATGCTGCCACGTCAAAGAGATATTTTAATGATTTGAGCTTACAATTTTACATTTAATAACTTCTATAATAACATGTCATTGAAGTAAGAAGAATGCTGGATTCTCAGGCCCTCAAAAGGGTTTTATATAGTACAGAAATGATATTATTCTGCATAATACTGGTAGACACCAGAAATTATTTGTGTCTGAGTGGATAATGCAGTGGTTGAAAGGTTGGAGCAGTTGAAGAGATGCAAATAATAGCTAATAAGCAAGAAATATACTATATATTGTTATCCCACACAGAGTTTAGCTCTGTGGTTTGTGTCTAGGAGGTACAATATATGTTTATGGAATGAGAAAACTAATGAATATTTCCAAAAAAGTAGCAAATAGAAACTCATAGCTCAAGTGATTTGCAGTGTTAATTAAAGAAGATAAACCCATTTATTGTAACTTACATGCATCTGTGAATCTACTAAATATCCTTCTGAGAGATAGCTTTCTCTATCTCTCATCCCTATTCCTTCTGTTATCCTTTTCATCTTTTCTTTTCTTTCTCCCATCTTCTTTCTGTGCTTCTTTACCTATACCATTCTCCATTTGCTAATCATTATTTAGAAATGAAATGTGCATTAATTAATTTCAATCTAATACAAATTATATTATGCTCAATTTTAAAACTGAATTAATGTTTGTCATATCTTTAAAAATTACAATAGTGAATTTGTGATTTTTAAATAAATTATAAGAAATACTGTCTTCACCTTCAATCCAAGGAATGACAAAACAGCTTTTGCTAACAAAACTAAAATGAGCTATTAGTAATGAAAATATGACGTGGTAGCTATAACTTGGCCTCTCTTGTTGGATAGCCATGATTCTACAACACACCTGCTATTTATTGGAAATGAATACTGAGAGATAGGAGTCCCAGAAGATAAGAGATTGAGCTAACCTATTACTTCAGACATTTTTTTCAGGTAAAGACTTTAAGCATATATTGAATGAGGTTGGCAATGTCTAGATATAAAACAGAAATATCTGTAAATTATGTTACTTTGAAATACTTTACTATTAATATAGAAAACAATCATAAAATATAGTAATTTAGTGCATAATGTAATTTACAACTTCCTATATCATGTGGGAAATATAAGTCCTCGTGTGCAGCTCCTGGATACACCGCTGTTGAATTCATTTTACTCTCTTCCACTCTAATTAGTTCCCAGGATGCAGACAACATTTGAATGCATGCTTTCAAATCTCCGGGAGTTCTTGGCTTTTGATAAATTGGGGAATTGATCCAGTACTATCTCACTTTAATATGTGTCCTATATTAAGAGTGTGACAGCAAAACTTATTTTTTCACAATTCAAGCAAAAATTTTCCCGTTTTATGTTTTACAATAACATAATATGTAAAGATAAGTTGATAAACATGTACATACTCAGAAAAATTACTTTATGTAGAGAAAAAGAACTTAACTTGGATTCTAGAATATTATTTTTGTTTTCAGAACACATGATTAAAAATCTTTAACCTTATGCCTTTTTACCAATGGCCAATAACTATGGTGACAGTCAATAGTCTCATGTCCTATCTGTAGATGCTATCACACTGCCAGGCTCTCCCAGGTGCAGGCTATGAAGAGTTTATCATAAAATCTAAAAACAGCAAAACTCACAATAGTTAAATGGGACTCCATTTTGCTGCTTCAGTAAACAGTTGTATTAATTATCCTACAAATGTGCACAGTGGACTATTACCAATTGAGAGGACACAAGCTGGCAGACTTAAACAGGTAAAGAGACATATAGAAAAGCAACAACAAGCTCATCACATTTTCCCACTCTGGATCTAGGGCAAAAGATCTAGTTAGAGTGCATAACTGATTAAAGGATTATAATATAACAGAGCATGAAATGGGGTTGTATAGGACTCCTAAATTTTGCAGTTTCTGAATGCTGTGTAGATTAACTCATGTCTAAATGGGTTATGGGGTTGATTGATAGATGTCAACCCAGCAAACAGAGCCAGCTATCCAATAAATTAATTTTATTCTCACAACCACCCTATAAGGTTTTTTTTCCATTATAATTCACATCTTATAGAGGAAGAGACCCCCCAAGGTCACACAACTAGATAATTAGCTAGTGAACTGGAAGAGTCTGGATTTGAATCAAGATTTTGACCTAACTACTTAAGATCTTGAAAACAGAATCCACAGCTTAATCATCTGTGTGTTCCTATAGTATTTACAGATTAGTAGCTTTTAGTCAGTTGTATACAATTGTACTAAGACATAATGTCAAAACTCCCACTTCATCATTACTACCCAAATGTACATATTAGAATTTCTAGGTCCAAAAGTTGACAAAACCATTAGTAGGAGGGGTGGGCCATGTTCATTAAGCCATAGTGTTTTCTAGTTCGCTGTTGAGCAAGTTTTAGCCCTGCAGTTTTCACCACCAGTACTCACTCAGCATTCTGGTTTTTATTTATTTATGTATTTATTTTTATGATCTATGCAGGCAACTGTGCATAGTATTGTGTTTTATAACGGTTTGTTTGAATTTACTTACAGTTAAAATAAAGTTTAAATTAAAAATAATAGAATAGTCATAGTTCCATCCTTCCCACCATTTACATCATGAGGATAATACCATAATTCACATTATACTCTATTTGATGCATTAGATGAAGCCTGCTTAGTGGGCAATCTAATGCTGACGACCATATCACTGCTACATGTCATGCTTCTTAGAGATCTCCTGCTTCGCTGACATGCAGGACTGGATGACCCTGTCCTTGCCAGTCTTCCACATCACTTAAGCCCTCTCTTATCTTGCCTTTGTGCAGTCTCTGTCTTACAGCCTCATCTTTGCATTCTAAACCTGATAGGACATTTTTGACATCAATAACCAACCCTCAAGGGAGCTCTTTCTTTAGGCTGATTCACAATCCATTTCTACAGACAGGAAGGCCTTTATTTAGTTTCCAAAATATTCTGCTTTTTCAAATATTTCTGACTGTCTTGGATTTTCAAAGAAATTTCGGATTCCTGTCCTTTCCGTAAGATGCTGTAGGGAAAAAAATGGAAAAGCATGGGTCCTAACTTGGGTATGACACTTAATCTTTACTGGTTTCACTTATTTAAAAAAACACACACTTAATTTTTAGAGCAGTTTTAGGTCACAGCCAAACTGAGAGAAAGGTATGAAGATTTTCCATATGCATCCTGCTCCAAAACACACATATCCGCCCCCCCCGGCCCCCGCATTATCGACATTCCCCATTGGAGTGGTGCGTTTGCTACAATCTATGAAACTGCACTGACAAATTATAATCAGCCAAAGTCTATCCCTTACATTAGGGTTCACTCTTGGTGCTGCACATTCCATGGGTTTGGGAAAATGTATAATGACATATATCCACTATTATACTATCACACAGAATATTTTCACTGAAGTGAAAAATCCTCTGTGCTCCACCAATTTATTTCTCCCTCCTCATAACCCCTGGCAACCATGGATCTTTTTCCTGTCTCTATCATTGTGCTCTTTCCAGAATGTCATATAGTGAAATCATACAGTATGTAGCCTTTTCAGATTGGCTTATTTCAATTAGTAAGAGACTTCTAACATTCTTCCATGTCTTTTTGTGGCTTGATAACTCACTTCCTTTTAGTGCTGAATAATACCCCATTGTTTGGGTGTGCCAGTTATTTATCTATGCTCATACTAAAGTGCATGTTGGTTGCTTCCATGTTTTGGGAATTATGAATAAAGCTGCTATAAACATCTGTGTGCATTTTTTATGTGTACACATATGTTTTCAATTCCTTTGCATAGAGGCCAAGGGACATGATTGCTGGATTGATTGTGTGGCAAGATTATGTCTAGTTTTGAAAGAAACTGCCAAGTTGTCTTTCAAATTGCTGTAAAATTTTACATCCCAACCAGCAATGACTGAGGGTTCCTGTTGCTCCCCAGCGTTTGACATTAACAGTGTCCTAGATTTTGACCACTCTAATAGGTGTGTAGTGGTAGCAAACTGCTGTTTGAATGAGCCTCACTGGTTCATCTCTAACAGGAAAGGACTAGCCTAAATATTTAAGTTTATCTTGTATGTATAAAGTTGGAAGGTCTCTAACAAGTAATTTTGTAAAGCTTAAATTACACAGTGAAAGATGAACAAGTAAATTTTATTATTTAATTCCCTAAATTGAAGGATGATGTGAAAAAGACTCCCAGAAACTGTCATATCTGATTTCAAAAGATTTATCACTGAACAGTTAGAAGACTTCTGCTAAGCACTTCAAATTATATCTAAGTTCATTCATCTATTAAAAAAGAGATGAAAAGATGTCATTCTTCCCCATTAGAGTCATTCACAGGAAGCTATGTGATAGCATTCTAAATTATTTAAAGATATTACAGGATTGGAAATTTTGTTACTCGAATCATCAGTTAATTGATAAATTTTAGACTTTAGAGAATTTTTGGTGCAGATGTTCTGAGGACCATAGACTCCCAAGTTGTGAATGAATAGGGTACAGAGGAAATGCAAACTAAGGTGGTAAATAATACATCTTCATGTTCTCTAATATCATATTAAACCTCAGCATTTCTTTCAACTATAGACATAAGCAGCAAATGACAGTGATATTGTCAAAACCTAACATTTTGTTATCCATAAACTTTATAGATCTTTTATATTTAGTTGTTGCAGAGATCTCAAAATATTTATGATCATCACCACTTAGATTGGCCACTAGATTTTATTTAATGTGTTAATTTCAAAAAGCACATATATCACTATTTTTTTATATTTTTAAAACTATATATATATATATATATATATATATATATATATATATATATTTTTTTTTTTTTTTTTTTTTTTTTTTTTACGGAGTTTTGCTGTTGTCACCAAGGTTGGAGTGCAATGGCGCTATCTCAGCCCACTGCAACCTCTGCCTCCCAGCCTGGTTCAAGCAATTCTCCTGCCTCAGCCTCCTGAGTAGCTGGGATTACAGGCACATGCCACCACACCCAGCTACTTTTTGCATTTTTGGTAGAGATGGGGTTTCACCATGTTGGCCAGGGTGGTCTCGAACTCCTGACCTCAGGTGATCCACCTGCCTCAGCCTCCCAAAGTGCTGGGATTAGAGGCGTGAGCCACCATGCCCAGCTAAAACTCTCTTTCAATATAATTGCTTTCCTTAGCAATCCTATACTTTTGTGCATTTCAAAATGCTTTCTTTAAATGTTGAAGTCAAAGACTTAAGCAGACTGCCAAAGAGGTGAAGTTCATGGCAAAACCATTCCTTGTGTACAGGTGGTGAGAGTTGGTGACATCCTTATGGTAGCACATGGAGGTACCCAAAGAACCCTTACCTGCATCCAGATCTCCTGAATTTTAAACGAGTGTCCTTTCCACCAGGCCATGCCTTCTCTCCAACTCACTGCTATGGTCTGAGTGTGTCCTCCAAAGTTCCCATGTTGAAACTTAATGACCAATGTGATAGTTTTAAAAGGTGGGGGCTTTAGGAGGAGGTTACTGAGGACTGAGCCCTCATGGATAGAAATGGGGCTCTAGTAAAAGGGCTTGAGCGGGTGGGTTGGCTCTCCCCACTCTTCTGCCATGTGAGAACACAGCGTTTGTCTGTTTGGCACTTTTGACCCACTCTACCATTAGATGATGCAGCAAGAAGCCTTCACCAGACACCAAATGCCAGTGGCTTGATCTTGAACTTCCCAGCCCCTAGAATGGCAAAAAGTAAATTTCCGTTCTTCATCTATTATCCAGTCTCAGGTATTTTGTTATAGTAGCACAAACAGATGCAGACAGTCACCATTTACAATGCCCTTGCTATTTGAACCTCAAACAGTGTATGAGCAGGAATAAATAGTATTTCAAATTGGCCCAGTACAAAGTGTTCCAGAAACAGATGTATTTAAAATTAAAATAAAGGCATCAGGTATTTGAATTGCATTACCTCTAATGGAAGTTAATGTAGGTAAACTCCTTCTTCAGAACACTCTGTTCGCAGAGATACTTGTTCCTAAAACCATAATAACAGCATACCTTTGACAGGGGATTCGAGGAACCAAAACAATCATCAGGCTTAATGTAAATGACCACTGAAAGTGGTAGAAAGCAGCAACAAACATTTTAAAGGGCAAAGGACCTAGTATTGACATAACTAAAGAATTCATTCATTAAACAGTTTATTTCCATGTTGTAAGCTGTTGGATGAAGTTATGGATGTTTCCACTTATTTAGAGGGGAAATCAAGTTATTCTTACAGGCTCAGCAAGTAGACAGACAACTAAATATTTGCTACAAAAAGCATGGTTTCCAGAACAGAAGCATCTGCATCACCTGAGAGTTGGTTAGAAATGCAGAATCTCAGTTCCCATCCCACAACTACTGAATCAGAATCCCATTTTAACTAGATCCCCAGGTGATTCACGTGCACATTCAGGTTTAAGAAACCTTGTCCAAAGAACACTGGAGCTGAAAAAAAATGTTGGCATGGGGGTGAAAGACTGTAGGAAGAAAGAGAATGTAACTGAAAAACATGTGAAATAAAATTATGCAAAAGCAGTTATGTGACCTTAAAAATGTATCTTCACAATATTTAACAGCTTTCTAATTTTACGCCATAAAATTTACCTTTTAAGGGTAAAATTCAATGAGTTTTAATAAAGTTAGACAATCATGCAATCATAACCACAATTCAGTTTTAGAACACTTTCATCATTCTTAAAAATTCCCTTTTGCCTCTTTGTAGCCAATCCTCACTTTCATCCCTACCCCCAAGTGACTGCTGACATGGTTTCTGAGTCTGTAATTGTGTCTTTTGTGGAAACTTCATATAAATGGAATCATATAATATTTAGTGTTTCATGCTTGGCTTCTTTCACCCAGCATAATGTTTTTGAGGTAAACCTACAGGGATCAGTGAGTAAGCATTTTATTCTACAGATATGCCACATTTTATTTATCCATTCATCAAGTGATGGCTATTTGGGTTGTTTCCAGTGTTGGGCTTACTATGAATAATAGAGCCATAAACATTTTCATATAAGTCTTTCTATTTCCACGATAGTTTTGAAAAGTATTAATTGGCAGTCAGATTTACAAGTAACCTGTAAATAAAATAAAACCAAACAATAACAATAAAAGACTCAAAGAGACTTATTAGTACCCCTGATGGTCATTCTGGCAACATGTGTACCAACAAGGTGGGTATCTATGCATGCGCAGAGGGAGCCTCATGCTATCAAGTGGAAGAAAGAATGTTGTTCTGCAATTCCACAAGAGGGTTAGAGGAAGAATGACGTTCCTACTAGAACTGGATACTGATATCTGAGCTGGTGGAAAGAAAGAAAAGATGGGAGTCTACAGTAAGCATCCATGTTTTTGGTAAATTACCATAACTGGACTGGTGTGGGAGGAGTGAAGTGGAGGGTGGAGTGAGTGATTAAGCCTGGGAAACAAATGACAGGCAGAGGAGGAAAGGCATGAAAGAGGTAATGTTAAGATGAAAGGCTTACTCAGAGTGGTCAAGTATTGGGTCTTTAAAGAATGCTTATCACCTGGGCAATATGGCACCTCCAAAGGGCTAATCACAGAGACCCTCCAACAGGTCACTGATGCCTGCCTGGAATTCTTTCATGAAGCTGCAGCTACCAGGTACTTCAGGCTGCCCTAAACCTTATATTTTAAGAAGCACTGAAAACAAGAGAAGGGAGAAGGGCGGATTGGAGTTACTTTGGCAAAAGGCAATATAAATGAAGCTAAGTGAGGGCTTCATCGTATCTTATCACAGTCACCAGCACTAGTGGTGACTCCCTTCAATGACTTAAAAGGGATCTCCTCCTTAGCTCACCCAAGGTGCTAACTAGTTGCAGCTGGAAGAGGATGGTGTAGCCCATTGAGATAATACCCCCCCACCCCATGTAGATTTCTCCTAAGCACTTTATCAAGAAGAAACTCGGTGGTTCTGAGTGCCTGATTAGGCAAAAGTCAAGAATGATATGAGGAAGAAACTGAGGAGTGTAGTGCTGACAGGTGGGTGATGGGTATAAGCAAGAGAAGGAATAAGCCCTCTTAGCTAGAGACAAGGGGAATTTCATCTGAATTAACAGTCAAATTAAAACTTTGATCATTTTTGGCATCATTGTGAAGGCTATTAAAAAGTTGGCTTGGCCGGGCGCGGTGGCTCACGCCTGTATCCTAGCACTTTGGGAGGCCGAGACGGGCGGATCACGAGGTCAGGAGATCGAGACCATCTTGGCTAACACGGTGAAACCCCGTTTCTACTAAAAATACAAAAAATTAGCCGGGCGTGTTGGCGGGCGCCTGTAGTCCCAGCTACTTGGGAGGCTGAGGCAGCAGAATGGCATGAACCTGGGAGGCGGAGCTTGCAGTGAGCCGAGATCGCGCCACTGCACTCCAACCTGGGGAACAGAGAGAGACTCCGTCTCAAAAAAAAAAAAAAAATTTGGCTTACCCGAAATCTAAAGGGAGATATCAGGGTTAAATGTATTATTTAATGTTTATCTCTCTGACTTTTGGAACTTCTTGCTCTCCCTCCCCCGCCAACATGGTGAAAGAGAAGGATTAAAAATTCACCTAAAAGTGAAATTATACAATTGGCTAACAAATAAGAAAATAGCAACTTATTCCCTGAAATATAATTACCTGGGTCACTGTTTTGATCTGTGATTTAATAAAACAAAATTATATGAAAAGCCCTACAGCTACAGAGATCTGAAAAAATTATACATCTTAAGCAGTAATTTACTTGGACTGGATACAAAAAGTTCAGCTCATCTTATCATGACTTTTGCATATTTTAATAAAAAATATGCTATTCTAAATCTTTATTAAAGCTCTTATGCCCTCATGCATAAGTTTAATTCTATCATATAGGTATCTGATTATAAAATTCTAGGTTAACTGAAGGAGATATCTAAAATATTATTCATAATATTTATTTTTATCAGAAAATAAAACCATATGAAAGTAAATTTTAAAATAATTATCACTTTATTTCTACAGCAGAAGGATTATCACTGTTACCAGTGGGAAATTTTCTCTATTGTAATGTTAAGCATACTTGTTACTTTGCTAAGCCCAAGTTTAAAAAATTCAATTTTGATTAATTTTTTATTCATTTCAGGCAGGTTTTGAAAGCTAAGTAAAATAATTTTTTCTTCTTTCAAAAGAAACTTTTCAGGCCACACCTCACCTGCCTCTTCCTCTCCTCTTTAAATAATTTTGTGAAAGGACTAACAGAGCACACTTGTTGGATTGTTCTGAGAACTTAAGTAATTTCCAAAAAGGTACATAAGTGAATCTACTGTTATCATCTCCCAGGATCACAGGGCCTGGTTTCTCAGTGAGCATCAGAATACTAGCAAAGCTCAGGCTACATCTTCTTTATTTTATATAATCATTGCTTAAGAAATGATTCCCTCTTTTTCCTTTTTTTTTCTCTTTAATACAAACATGTGAAGTTTGTCTTACAATTAATTAACAAAGAATCTTTAAATACCTGAAACAGCATAAAATAAAACCCTGGATAAACCTTAAATACAAAATTTGCTCTAAAATGTAAACACTGATTACTTTTTTGAGACTTATCTTCAAATTTAAAAAAAGGTGGCAGATTATTCAGAAAAGCAAAGCACAGTCAAATTGCATTTTTTCCTTTCTGTCCAATATACCTGCAGGTACACAATTTCATCATCTCTAATGCTATTACTTGGTTTTGCAATATAGTCTTTGAAAAGGTACTTCAACTAATCTTTTATTTTTCACTTTAATTCACTTTTTCCCTTTAACTGGTGAAAAGTTGGAGAAATAAAGAGGTTACATTCAGCCTCTGGTGTTCTGGGTGAAGGCGCTCTGCTAAGTGACACTGCCTTTCTTCTCCGGACCTCAACAGCACTCAGGGTGCCACTAGGATCTGGCTGCTGCATGAGTTTATACAAAACAGAGAAAATGAATGAAATTTTCCTAGCATTAGTAACAGTCTGAGAAACATTTCTACCCTTTTGTCTCATAGAGGATTGTCAAGTATGGTTCTGATGATGAAAACAAGAGAAAAATAGAGATTGTAAAAATATTAGTTACCACGTACGATTGTGTACAACAGAAGCAATCTAAACAAATTGTATGCCATCTCATTTTTCTTCACTCTCTCAGTTATTCAGTCAGTCAAGATGCATCTAAGTGCTTACTATACATCTGAAACTGTATGCAAGACTCTTGGAAGGTCAAGGTGACTAAGACACAAACCATGACTTGGAGATGTTCTAACAGAGGGAGAAATACCTGCAGACACGTGAAACCTTCAGAAGCTCAGTGAAGCTTGAATCCACTAAGAATATTCTGTGTCATACTGTCAGGAGTGAAAGATTCATTTTTGCTTCTCTTGTTATTTTCTTGAAACTTCTTTAGGTGGGAATATTTCTAGACCAAACTCAAACTCAGAAATTCTGATAAAGAAATCATTATCAACCATACTATACATTTTGCTATCAGTTTTGGCCCTTCCAAAGGACTTGAGCTTGGATGCTGCCAAAACAGGTCCTCCCTGTGCCATGTAGGATATTTTGGGTAGCATCCTCCCTCCTAGCTTCTGCTAATTCTCCAGCTTTCTTATAATTGTGAAAGACCATTGAAAAATAGGTATATATGTGCTATAGTCAACTGAAGCCAGACTGAAACCAATGGGGATTACCTGCACAACCATAACATAAATTAGAAATTCTTGTGGTTTTGGGGGGTAATACAACTATATGCTTTAGCATTTGGATGGTTCGGAGAACTCTATTAATAGATATTAATAGGTATCTTAAGCAGAATTACAACCTGCCAGTAATGTTTCCCAATAAATTATCTTTCTAATGATACCAAAATGGTTTATAAGCTTTCAGAGAGTAACACAACTTAACTAACTTAAGATAAACAAAGGTCTATTTCACCAAAGGAAGCAGAACGTGAACCTTTAAAATGGCAATAATCCCTATGCAGAGCTAAGCCCACCTAAAATGATTTTAGTAATAGGATTTCCAGTTTTCCTATTTTTCCCAACATTCGTTCATCTATGCATTACTCATCCATTACTCCTGGTCAAAAATTACCCCTTTCATTATTTCTTCTGTTCCCTTATTGTGAAGCTTACCCCCCAGGTTACAATCTGGGTCCTCTTGAGCAGTTACAAATTTAAAAAGGCAAAACTGACAGCAGCCACTTATTGAGCATTTACTGTATACCCAGTGCTTTGTACCCAGTCAATCATTGTAACAAGCTTACAAGGTAGGGATTGTTTATCCCAAATTTACAGTAGAGTAAACTAAAGCTCAGGGAGCTTAGAGAAGTCACTAATACCTCAGAACACTTAAATTAACTGAGGTCTTAAAAATTAATTTGTGACAAATTAAATCATCTAAAGAAGGGCAGCAAGAAAAGAAGGGAAAGGAGAGAAAAACAGCCAAGATTATTTTCTTCATAAGACAGTTATTTCTCTTATGAAAAATAAAATATACTCAACTGAAAGTCCCAGAATGTGGCATGAATTAATCCAGAGATCCTGTGATAACCCGGTTAGCAGTGGGGAATCTTGCCCCAAAATTGGGTTCACAGACTCAATGTGAATAGGAGAGAAATGGGCACTTTAGTAAGGGGATAGCTATCTTCCATTATATTCTACCTATCAGTGATGTAAAAGTAAACTTAAATTACAAGTAAATAAAAATGAATTATATGGCGTAATTTTGTACTTAAAATTTGAGGATGTGAAATTGAATCTTTCAAGTTACTTCAAAATAACTGCATCAGCAATCGTCAGCTTAGTTTTATTTCCAGCATCAGACAAGAAGGTATCTCCTATTTTCTAGCAATGATACTCATTCATTCCCAAAGTTATTATAATATGGATTTTTAGAATAGTTTTGAAGATACATGATAAATCAAATACATGTCTTATGATAAGAGAGAAAACATGTCCTGGTGTCTTCTGTCTTGGGACTTTAAATCCTCACTTTTGCACAGCCATGCACTTCTCCCTCTGATGTTGAGGGCATCCCTGATGGATGCGACGGAAAGATATTTCAGAGAACAGGCTGTGTAATTAGAAAAAAGGATGGTACATGAGCCTCAACATTATACTCATCATTTTTCTCATCTAAGATCCACAAGCTTTTGGAAAATCAGCTTTCCTAGCTATTTCTTGGCTGACAGCAGGTAAAAAGATTTAAGATGAGAATTAATTACACCGATATAAAGTTATCAAGGGACAAGCCTATGGGACTTGCTCATTGGCCCCAAAGGATATAAAATGTCAGAGAAACAGTGGCAGCAATATATCAATGAACCAAATGTTTCTGATGTTTGACAAAACATATTATGGCAATAAATGATGCTGTGTTCTGTAATGAGATTGTATAAAGAAAAAAAAACAGTTTTTCAGCAGATATGCTACTTAAAGCAAGATTTCTTTATGCATATCACCAATAGTGAACAGATTAGTCCTATATAATTTTAATAATTTTGCAATTAAGAATCATGGAAAACAGATTAAAATAAAATAAACGTTGGCTGATAACAAAATTAAAATTGTGAAATCAGACTAAAATGAACATATCCAAGATGAAGACTAGCCTTTACATTCAGGTTGTGTTTCTGGGTTGAACGTGTGCAGCAAAGTCATAATTAACATTTAAGAAGGAAAGTTAATTTGAATTAAAGCAATATCATGTTTCTCATATAAAAGCTTATCAAAATACAATTACATATATATTCATTTATGTAGATAGTATCTATGGCTATGCAAGGGGAATTGTGAAAAGCTACTTTGAAAGTGCTTTCTTAGGCTATGATTATACCCCCTTTTTTCTGCTTTAGTGAAGTATAACTTACACATATTAAACTGCCCAAGTATTAAGCTTATAGCTACAGCTACAGTACACACACACACCACACACCACACACACACACACACACACACACACAACACACACACACACACCACACACACAGATACCAGATCAATAAATAGAACATTTTTAGCACTGGAGATACACTTGTGCTTCTTTTTAGTCCAGTCTCCCCCGAGAGGTAACTACTATTCTGACTTCTATCATAGAAGATTAGATTTTGCTTTTTTTTTTTTTGAGACAGAGTCTCGCTGTCGCCCAGGCTGGAGTGCAGTGGCATGATCTCGGCTCACTGCAGGCTCCGCCCCCCGGGATTCACGCCATTCTCCTGCCTCAGCCTCCCAAGTAGCTGGGAGTACAGGCGCCCGCTACCACGCCGGGCTAATTTTTTGTATTTTTAGTAGAGACAGGGTTTCACCGTGTCAGCCAGGATGTTCTCGATCTCCTGACCTCGTGATCCACCCGCCTCGGCCTCCCAAAGTGCTGGGATTACAGGCGTGAGCCACTGCGCCCGGCCCAAATTTTGCTCTTTTTAAAAATTTCACACATATTGATCGTGCAGCATTTATTCTTTTGTGTCTGGTTTCTTTTTCTCCTTTTTATGTCTGTGAGATCCATCTGAGTTCTTGTGTGTATCAATAGTGTGTTACTTTCACTGCTGTGTAGTATTCTGTGTTATGAATATGTTGTAATTTATTTATCCATTCTACTACTGATGGAAATTTCATTTGTTCCGGTTTGGGGGCCATTATTCATAATGCTGTTATTAAGATTATTTGTACATGAACTTTTAGTAGAAACATTTGTCTCTCTTGACTATATACCCAGGAGTGGACATGCTATGTTTGAATGTGTAAATATGTTTAACGTTAGTAGATTTTGCCAAAATGTTTTCCCAAATGGTTATAGCAACTGACATGCCAATAGCCGTATATGAGAGTTCTTTCTGTTCTACAACACTACCAGCATTCAGTATTCTCAGCCATGTTAATTTTAGCAATTCTGGTGGGAGTCTAATGGTATCAGTTTGTGGTATTTTAATGAGTAATGATGCTGAGCACCTTTTCATAAATTTCTTGGCTATCTGTGTATCTTCTTTTGTGAAGTGCTGTTTCAATTTATTTGCCCATTTTTAAGTAATTTGTCAGTCTTGTTTCTTGTTTCATAAGAATACTTTAAATATTCTGGGCATGAGTTCTTTGTCAGATATAAGAACTGCAGATATCATCTTTTCACTCTCATAATGCTGTCTTGTAAGGAACAGTTCTGAATTTTAAGAAAGTTCAGTTGATCACTTATTTTTTTAAGTGAATAGTGCTTTTAACATACTGTAGGAAAACTGTGTCTACTCTCTGATCATTGAGATAGTCATTTGTGTTGTCTTTTAGAAACCTTTTCTTTGCCTTACTTTTTGCATTTAAGTTCCTACTTCAAATCTGTATGTACATATAATAGGTGGTAGGGATTATGGCTCCCACTCCCTTCTTTCTGAAATAGATATGCTATTGATTAAGCACCTTTTTATGGAAAAGGCCATTCCACACCCACTGAATTGCAGTGGAGACTTTACCATAATTCAGGAAAATATACTAGTCTATTCCAATATTAAATTTTCCTATACTTGTACCAAAAGCACAAACTGTCTTATTGTGACATTGGCTCTTAGTAAATCTTGAGATCTGTTAGTGTGAGTACTTCAAATTGTTTCTTCAATAACATTGACATTTCCATATAAATTTTAAAATCAGCTTGTAAATTTCTACCAAAAAAAAAAAAAACCTGCTGGGATTCTGACATGGATCCTAATAAATCTTTAGATTAATTTGAAGAGATATAACATCTTAACAGTATTGAGTCTTCCAATTCATGACTATGGCATGTTTGTACATATTTATGGAGTACATATGATATTTTGATATGAGCATGCATTGTGTAACGATCAAATCAGGGCCAATTGGAATATTCATGACCTCAAACATTCATCATTTCTTTGTGTTGGGAACATTTCAAATCCACTCTTCTAGTTATTTTAAAGTATACAATAAATTATTTTAAGTATAGTCACCATATTGTGATACTGAAAACTAGGTCTAAATCCCACTACTTAACTACATTTTTGTATCTATTAACTAATCTCTCTTCATCCTTCTGTCCACAACTATCTTTCCCAGCCACTGGTAACCATCATTCTACTTTCCACCCACATTAGATTTTTTTTTAAGCTCCCACACATGTGTGACAACATATGATATTTGGGTTTCTGTGCAGGATTATTTCACTTAGTATAATGTAGCATATGCCAAAATTTCATTCCTTTTTATGGCTAGATGATATTCCATTGTATGAATATGCTAATTTTGTGTATACATTCATCCTTTCATGGATATTTGTGTTGTTTTTACCTTTTGGCTATTATGAGTAAAGCTGCTATAAACGTTTGAATACAAGTATTTGTGTGGATTTATGTTTGCATTTCTTTGGGTAAAAGTCTAGGAGTTGAATTGCTGGGTCATATGGCAATTCTATGTTTAATTGAGGAATTGACATTGTTTTCAAAGGAGCTGTTCTTCGTGCTATTATTCTACTCTCTCTCTCTCTGTATATGTATATACATACAAAAAATAGTATATTTTATATATATTATAAATACATGTTTTGTATATATAATATATATTTTGTATATATTCATATATACACATATATCTTTATATATTTGTTTGTTTTGAGATGGAGTTTTGCTCTTGTTGCCCAGGCTGGAGTGCAATGGCGCGATCTCGGCTCACCACAACCACCGCCTCCCAGGTTCAAGCGATTCTCCTGCCTCAGCCTCCCCAGTAGCTGGGATTACAGGCATGCACCACTATGCCCAGCTAACTTTGTATTTTTAGTAGAGACGGGGTTTCTCCATGTTGGTCAGGCTGGTCTCGAACTCCCGACCTGAGGTGATCCACCTGCCTCGGCCTCCCAAACTGCTGGGATTACAGGCGTGAGCCACTGCACCCAGCCTATCATTATATATTTATAAAGATATCTTATACAAGATATACTATGTATAGTATCTATAAAGATACATATTATATGTACATATATCTTTTATATATATAAAATAGTATCTATATTTAGTATAAATAATTTTCAGAAATATATTAAAAATCCTATATGGCATTGTTACTGTTATTTTTCTTAATAATCAATTATAATATTTATGCACACATTTAAAATATCTGGTATTCTACATAATTCTATGTTCTGTTATATGCTTACATTTGATGATGAATTTATTTTATTTTGAACAATTTCCTAATAGTATACCTTGTAGTGAGTTGCTAGTGAAGAATTCACTCAGATATTATTTGTCCAAAGTACTTAAAATTAAATTGTGAGGGATGCTTTTGCTTGTTATAGAATTATAGACTGACTTCTTTTTTTTAACACTTTAATGATTACTTTCTTTTTTTCTTCAGGATTCATACTTTCTACTAGAAGGTCAGCTTAAATTTTATTGTTCATTCCTTGCAATTTTTTGGTTGCCTTTAGACATTGTTATTTGCTTGGTTTTCAACCGTTTGAATATGATGGGCTTATATTTACTTTGTGTGTGTGCGCGCGTGCACGCTTACCATTCTTGGGGTTCTCTGTGCTTGTTAATCACACTTCTTCTGTAAGTTTTTTCACCAGCTTGCTCAGCCATAGACTCTGCATTGATTACTTCTTCGTTTTCTCTCCTTTCTTGAGATGATGTCTCTATTTTTGTTTGATTTTTTAAATTACTATGCCATTTTCATCTAAGGTAAATAAATATTTGGTATTAAAACTAAAATGAAGAATTGAGATATGATTTTTGATTAAAAAATATTTGGTCTTAGTCCAGGCTTCCTGGCACACAGCTCCTAAAACCCTTGAAATCTACAAAATAATGTCTTTTTATGTGCATTTGAGATGACTGATGGCTGAAACCTCCTGAATAGTCTTAGGATGGGAGCTGGTTGCCAGAGGAACCGACCACGTGATTTGAGGATTCCAGCTTTCGGCCTCATTCCTAACCTCCAACTGAGGAGAGGGGCTGAAGGTTAAGTTGATCACCAATGATTTTAATCAATCATGCCTACTAAATGAAGCCTCCATGAAAACTTAAAAGGACAAGGTTTGGAGAGCTTCCGGGTTGCTAAATACATCCCCTTGCCAGGAGGGTAGCTGCCCCAGCTCCACAGGGACAGAAGCTCCTGCACTTGGATGCCTTCTGAACCTCACCTTATGTATCTCTTCATTTGGCTTTCATTTGTATCCTTTCATATGTCCTTTGTAATAAATCGGCCATTGGTAGTAAAGCATTTCCCTGAGTTCTGTAAACCACTCTAGCAACTGATGGAACCTGAGGAAGAGGTGGGAAGCCACAATTTACAGCTGGTCGGTCAGCAGTTCCAGAGGCCAGGACTTCCAATTAGCATCTAAAGTGGGAGGGAGTCTTGTGGGACTGAACCCTTAACCTGTGAGATCTGACACTAACTCCAGGCAGATAGTGTCTGAATTGAATTGAATCATAGGACTCCCGTTTGTATCCAATGGAGAGTTGAAGTGTGTGAAGAAAATCACATCTGGCATCAGAAGTAAAGATTCTTGAGAGTATACTAAGAGAAGAAATGGTTTGTTTCTTCCTATTACTCATGGATTTCAACACAATCCTGAGTCTGTAACTTTTACTAAAGTGCTATTCTTGAAATAGGAGGGCTATAAGAAAATACCATTAATTTTATCTCTACATTTTCAATCTTTGCCGATTATTAAGAAATCTAGAATAGACTGTGATACCTCCTATCTTACCAGATAGTATGGTATAATACTCATCACTATAGTTAGCGTTACAGAAAAGTCCACTCAGATATAAAGCATGCATACTGAATCAGATTTTGAGGTGTAAATATCATTAGAATGCATTATGTATCAAATAAAAAATAAAATCTAAATAAATATTTATCCATTATTTACAAAACCTAAAGTAGATGGGGCAGGGGCTATTAAAATACATTGAGATTCAAGTGTCTCAAGCTATTTGTAAGGTGGTCATGCACTTAACTTGAGACAGTTCCACCCAAGACATAAATAACATTAGAAGTATCCCATGAGGATTGTAAGGGGGTTGAATTTGATATTTCCTGATATAAAGTTTTTGAAAATAAGAATCAAATCACATATATCCCTAAAAGATAATACAAGGAGTCCTCTAACATTGGTTTATAAGACCATGTCAATCTGTTATGCAATGTTTTTATCATATATTTGTAAGACACATCCTGTTTACCAAATTATAATTCAGTTTATATACAAATGCATATCTGTGTAACTTTTATCTATCATTTTAAGCCTCTATTGCCTTTGGAAGGGAAGTAGAATAGAAATGATGCATTTCAAAAACGAGAATTTTCTTTCTCACCGTTAAAACATGCAGCCATAAATATATTCATCTTTTAGTCTTTTTTCTACCATTCTCTCAATGTTTCCATATTTAAATACCATTTCACTAACCTCCCCCCGTCCCCGATACACAGAAACACCTAGCAATAAAGCTTTATCCTGAGGCACATTCTACAGAAATTTATGAGTCTGAGGATAATTTGATTCACTTGTCTCAACCTATCACTAAATACCCACATTGACATTAATCAAATTTTGAGTAGACCGATCAGACACAAATAACCAATGAAATAGCTATCCCAGTTAAATCTCAAATTGTATTGGTCAATTAATATTGACTTCAGAGAATTCATCACCTCAAACTTCCCATATCCCAAAGCTCTCAATTTGCTTTTCGTAAAAATGTAGTATGTGGAATGGAAAGTACACAGCACCATCTTAGATTTGTTTCTAATTAAAATAAATAGAAATGTCTTATATTCTTATATAGTAAAATCTATTAATTAGTAGTTGTACCTAAAATGGTGTACATAATTTGATGCCAGATAAATGAGCTGGATAATTGATATCACTAAAAATTTTAAATTACTCTAAATTTAGCTTACATTTAAAAATTAAGTATGGAATTTTTATTTAACAGACGTCTGCAAATATTTTTACAATATGTATAATTCTAATGTATTGAGAATTGAATTGAGCAATGCAGAGTAGTGCTCACTGTGGCTTTTCTGACATGTAGGACTTCAAAATATTTAGCTTATGAAATAACCAATTGCCTCGGTAGTCACAGCAATAACTACTAGATAAAGACACTATAGGTACAGAGGTAACATAATCTTGTGAACATTTATTAAAACAGTAAATCTTACTTTGTAGGAAATAAAAGGATACACTTTTATGGTAATTTACATTCTTAAGAACATGACAGCTTCCAGCTAGAAGAGAAAGAAATTTCTATTTTTGTTAATACATAATATAATCATACATAGAAATTTCATTTTTAAATGCAAACTTTTAGAGAGTTAATGTTTAGACAGTAGATGTCATAATTTTAAAATGGATTTTGTATAGCACTAGAAAATAACCTTTACATTTAAAATGCAGATAGCTTGGTGTAAATAACCTTCTTTATATTTACAATGCACATAGCTTGGTGTTATTGACAAAATAGTTACCAGAGGTAGTATATTGCCAAATATTAACTTGTTAAGTAGTGTAAGGATAATAAAATGTTATATCAACCTCCAACTGTTCCAGTTGTTTGGTATTCCAAAATAAATGTGAGTTTTTATATTTGTATTTTAAAGTATAGTGTATCATCCTTATTTAAAACCATCTAAGATTTATTTTTTATACATTTCTTTATAAATGCTTTTTATACTTATTTACTTCAAGAAAGAGTAAGGCTATTCATAAGATATATATAAAATACCTGTGAAAGTATGTGCTAAAATTCATTACTTCAATTATTTTTGTGGTTTATTATAAAGAAATATTTGACAATGAAAACAACATTTTTTAACCTAGGCTTTTTTTATAACCCAGATTGTCTATGAGATTCAGACTATTCATGGAAACCACAATTATGAAACATTACATTAATAATTACTGCTAACTTAAGTAAAACCAAAGCACAGAGTTTCACTTTAGTTTCATTAATTGAATCATGCCAACATAGATCTTTATTACCATAAGACATCTTCAAGTACTCAGAGTCATTAACCTAAATCATTAGAGGTGAATTTAAGCAAATCGTCTTCAAATCAAATGTGGCTAATTTCTAAAAAAAAAAAAAAAGAAAGAAAAAAGTGTGGTATACTGGTATGCTCACTTTAGGCATGTCAGGATATAAATTTCAAAATCATGTCTGAATTATTATGAAATCTACTACTTTAATCTCCCAAGTCATTCAAATAAATAATTTATACATTACAAATAAAACACACATATATATCTTAAATATGCATACACACACACATATATCACATACAGATATTGTTCTGACTCTTTTAAAAAGAACAACAGCCACGAATAGATGATTTGCAGTTCTTGTAATGCAATAGTTGAACTACCTATTACAAGTCAATCTGCAGACGCCAATATGTCCAAAATGCCAATAAGTTTTGTCTACATGACTAAGTCAAGCAAAGTGCAGGAAAATCATTTCTGTAAGACTGCTCATCGAGAATTGAATATGCACACTGGATCCTGCCTCCAAGTCACTTAAAATGAACATACTCGTCCCTGGTAACTGTTTCTATGACCAAATGATAATCATTAATTGTCAAACAATTGATAGAACTATTTCAAATACTTTAAAAATAAAAGACTTTTTTTTTTTTTTGCAAGATGAGAGAAAGCATGTCTTGTACTGTTTGAGTTTACCTGATAATCAGTGTTATCATGATGAAGTTTCCAAATTGAAGACTGAAAAGGCATCCTGTATTCTTCGCATTCATACAGCACTGAGTTCCACATATGCACACGGCTAGCACTGATGTTTAGATTAAATCAGTAATAACCATGATCTCCCAAATGGATGAGTTTAATCCACAGGTTAATTCAATTCCATACATGCTCTAATTTTATTCCGATTATCCATGCTGGGTTGAGATAAAAATATCTCTTGCTTTAAAAAAGAAGGGACATGTATTTTTAAAAGTCTACTGATGTGCTGTGGTTGCATTTATTTTTATATATGTACTCAGGAATGGAAGGCAAAGAGAACTAGTTCCACCGTAGTTCCCTCACACCTTTCCTGTCTTCTCACTAGAAACTCATTACCAATATCATACTAGGTGTTAGAGACTGCTGATAGCAAACAAAGTAAAGGTCAGGGAAATTCATTTGTGGTTTCTGCCCCTCGGGGTCTGTAACTGCTGTGTTTCTGGTGTTTCCAAATTCAAGTTTTTGCTATTTATCCCTGGGCTGGGAGATAGATCTAATTGCAGGTAAGCACTGACATCCAGGAATAAAGAAAAAGCAAAGTCAAGGAATAATATTATTCTCATCCAAAAGTCTTTACAGAAAGCATACATAAAGTTGGGAAAGAAACCAGCTAGCTCACAGCTATTCTGGTTATTAGACATCCCTGTGGAAGAAGCACCTTTAAAGATGCAGATGTCAAAGAGCAGGGTAATATTAGCTTTGAATCTGTGTGAAATCAGTTCTGTGCAGTATCATAATGTGTTATTACAGGTTTCTCCTGAGTTTAATTTACAAAGAAGAAGCAACCATAATAAGAGAATAAAAATTGTATAAATCACAAACATTGAAAGCCTGAAAACAGGAGTTTTAATAGTGGTTAAAAAGTAGTGAATTATACTGCTTTTGTACCACCTAAGAATACACTAGCCAGTCAGCATTGCCAATCAGTCTTTAAAGTGTTCACTCTTCAGCTATTCCGGAGGTATTGAGAACAAATAAGAATTTACCCTATTTAAAACCCATTTCCAGCATCGTCATCATAAAAAAAAAATGTGGTTCATTAGGAAAACTGATGACCCAGGGCTAAAGTAAATACCAGGATCTGCCAGAGTTGGAAGAATTTCAGAAATAACTGCCTTGGTTGAATGACCCCATCAGGGACTCACAGTAGACTCTTGATTCACTAGGGGTTAAGATTTCAAAACTCTATTAGCATTCCAGTAATTTTCACAGTGAGGCAAACTTTTCAGCCCACTATTCTGTTTAGTCCTCATAGCAAATATATGAGGTGGGCTCTTCACCTCCATTTTTCAGGTTCTGAAAATGAGGCTCACAATTTTTAAGTGATGTTTCTGGGTATTATGACTTAGAATCATAGGCTTCAAAACCTTTGTCCTTTTCATTGTGGCACAGGCACTGGGTGAGAATAGGGATGGCCATTATTCCCACCACTTACTCCCTGGGAGACCTTAGGCAGGCGACTGAATCTCCTGAAGTATTAGTTATCTTGCATGTAAAATGTATGTAACAGGAACCATCCCTGCCTACTGAATAGAGTTGCAGTGCTTTAAATGAAACAGTGGCTGCAGCAGAAACCTGGGAAAGCATACTTGTAGCTCTAGAGAAGTCTAGTAGCAACCATTTGATTTTTTTCTCCACGTCATCATCATCATCTTGGAAGAGGCTCTTACAGTTATCCTGGGCCTGGGAGAGGAGGCAGTGATAATAGAGAAATTGTTGTGATGAAGGATAGAAAGAAGGAAAAGCACAGAGTTTATGTCAGCAGCACCAGATGTTCTATCATTTGCCAAGTGCCCTGGGAAGTACAGGTCCCTGGCAGGCTGGAATTTTACAGCTGCAGCAAATGTTTCCAGTATGAGACAAGAAGGACTAAATTCAGGAAATAAATTTAGTTACCGGTTGTACATGGGCTGAGATGCAAATTAACGTGAGGTTGAGAACATTACCTCAAGAGGCGAATTTCGTGTATTTGAACTCTGCTTCTACCACCTTCTAGCCCTTTGATCCTAAGTAAGTCACTTTCTCTCTCTGTGACTCATTTTCCTAATTTTTAGGAAATTTCTAAATTTTCAAATTTTTCCTATATTAACTCCTGTTAGCATTGTAACATAAGCTTAGGGGCCTAAAGCAACACAATTTCATCTTACAGTTTTGCAGATGAGAAGTCTATCAAGGGTCTCACTGGCTAAAATCAAGGTGTTGGCAGACTTATGTTCCATTTTGGTGGCTCTAGGGAGAGAATCTACCTTTTCACCTTTCCAGCTCTAGAGGCTGCCTGCATTCCTTGGCTTGTGGCTCCTCTCTTCATCTCTAAAGCCAGAAATGGCAGCCAAATACCATTTCATCACTCCGATCCTCTTCTGCTTCTCTCTTCTACTTTTAAGTAATCTTGTGATTATATCTGGTCCACCTGCATAATTCAGGCTAATCTCATCTCAAGGTCGTTAATTTAATTACATATGCTGTATCTCTTTTGCCATGTAAGGTAACAGTAATAGGGTACATTTTGCCTTTCCAATGTGAACATTTTGGTGGGAGACATTATTTTGCCTACCCTACCATCCCATATGATTTTTTGAGAATGAAATGAAACATGTCAGGCACTTAGAAAAGTACCAGACGTCTAATAAGTATTACATATGTTAGTTACTATTTATTTATTTATTTATTTATTTATTTATTTATTTATTTACGTTGGCCAGGCTGGTCTTGCACTCCTGGCCTCAAACAATCCTCCCACCTTGGCCTCCCAAAGTGCTGAAATTATAGGCATGAGCCACCATACCCAACCTGTTAGTTACTATTGAATTTTCATCAGAGAGTTATAGGATATTCCATTCAATTTCATCTTCTATCATACGCTTCATGAATATTTCCTGTTGTGGAAAACCCAGGCACTAGCAGTAACTCTGGATTCAAAAACACTGCAACATACATTCAGGAAGATTCTGTAGCTCTGAGACCGAATTGCAATCCTAGACCATTGGAAAGTGAATTTCCCCAGGAGAGACAAAATGGCTTTGTTGTCTCAAGAATTTTCTAAATTTGAGAATTCATTATTCACTCATTTAGTAAGCATTTACTTTTCTACTGTACCAGACTCTGCATAGATCTTTGCCTCAATTCACCTGTCAATGAGCTAGAAAGTTGATAGATCAATTCCTGGCTTAAAATAAGACCAATTATCAATGCATTCTGCTGTCAAGCTCAAATAGGCACAACTGTTCTGTGCTAGAGTAAAATCTAAGGTTGCAGAGAAACAGAGAGCATGTCAGTGCTGATGGAGAAGGATTGGTAGAAATAAGCTGCCAATATTGGGCGTGATAGTGTGTGATTGGGATTTAAAGTAGAATGAATAATGGCCACCAAATATATCAGGTCTTAATCCCTGGAACCAGTAAAGATTACGTTATTAGAAAAAAAAGTTTTGCAGATACAATTAAGTTAAGGATCTTGGCATTGGGAGATTATCCTTTATCATCTGGGTAAAGATTAAGTTCCATCACATATGTCTCCTCGTAAGAAAGGCAGAGGGAGATCCGATATACGCAGAAGAGAAGGCACTGTGACCACAGAGGCAGAGATTGAGTGATGTGTCCACAGGCCAAGGGATGCTGGAAACCACCGGAAACCAGGAAAGGAAAGGAAGAGATTATTCTCTAAGTGCTCCAGAGAGAGCACGGCCCAGCTAGCAGCTTGATTTGAACAGACTGAAACTGATCTCTGACCTCTGGCCTGGAGAAGCATCAATGTGTGAGCATCAGTGTCTGCTGTTTTAAGCCATGAATTTTGTGGTAATTGGTTACCGCAGCCACAGGAAACTCACACTGGAAGTATTGAAAAGGTGGGGAACTCAGATATTTAAAGGGAAGGAACGTCATTAAATCTAGGAAGAAGAAGCTTGAGTTGGTCACTTCTGAAGAAATTGTAGAGATCAGCTGGACTTGATAGAGGAGGAGACAAGACACGATGACCTGCAGCATGGTTGGCATTTTCAACCCCAAGAATTGAGAGAACCCAAGAACGGAGTGGAAGTAAAAGCAAGTAGAATGAAGGTAGCAGCTGAGACTGAAATTATCCCTCCCTACCCCGCTTTCATGTACCCTGGCAGTGGGACCACTGCTCCATGATAATGATATTGAAGAGTGAAAAGGACATGAACTTTTAAATGAAGAGTAATGAGATAGAAAGACATAAGAATTCTCGAGAAAGGTTTTAGGAGTAGTGTGGGATGAGTTTATATCACAAAATTAAGATAAAAAGAAGCAATTGAGTTATTCATGAAAGAGTTTGGAATCTATATGTTTAAAAAGAACTACCAGGGTTGCCATTCTTCTGTGGTTTTCTCACAAATTCTAGTCAATTGTCTGTAAATGAATTTACTTTTGTTTGCCGGATCTCTTTGACATCACACCAGAAAGAAACCACACACGAGGAAAAGCAGTAGTTCACCGCCCTGGAATCAGAGGTCTAGCATGGGTAGCCCAGGGCTGAGAAGGTTTCCACTTTTTCCTATCACTCATGTCAGGCCAGGGTGGGTAGGAGGTAGGGTCTCTCCATGCAGTGCATACCCCATTCTGCACCTTTCTAAACAGGTATGGCATTAAGAGCTTATTTGCTTTTAAAGGATCAGTGTAGCCATGAGTCTGAACTATTCTGATACACAAATACTTTTCAGAATGGGAAGTTTCTGTCTGATAAATGCCTCTGAAAAGTCAGATTTATCAGCCTCATTGCTCTTTTGTATGTGCTTTTGAGCTTGTGAAGGAAAAGGAGTGGATTCTCAGTTAAGACATATTTTCAACAGCGTTGACTGAATAGTTGTTATGGGCATAAACTATTCAATGCTTGGGGATACGGAGTTGAGGAAATAGGGTTCTTGTTCTTCAGACAAAAAAATAAGGTCTACAAGTTTAATTTATAACTAGACAATGAGAAGACAATCCCTTTCAAGTTGTGCAAAGACACAAGATGCCTACATTTTTTAAAGGACTATATAGAAATACTGCTCTGTGTGTATATACATATATACAGACAGATAGGTGTGTGTATACATATGCATATGTGTGTATATATGTATGTACATACATATATAGAAATCATAAAGACTATTTGCTTGATGTTGGCTAGTTTGCACACAGTTCAAATTTGCAAGTAATTCTTCATCCCCACTGGTTTCATTGCTATTCAGCATCTTGCCAATTTCCATTAAAATTCAAAGCCTGTCGTTGTGTCTTGCTGTTTAATTGTAGACTTGGGGCAACTAAACTTACGTTGAATGCTGAAGTTAGCAAACCTCCTAAGCTGATGAATGCACTTTGTTATATCCTGACACAAATATCTGAAATGTAATGAAACATTCTACACAAACAAGATCATAATCCTAATTCATATCTAGTGCTATTCACAAGAGAACACCATAGCTGCTTCATTTCTGAAACGAATAATATCATATTCCTCTAGTGATCAAGCAATCACCTCCAAGTGAGACTACAATAGAGACTGAAAAAATGTGAAACACTGTAGAACTTGAACTGAAATGTCAAAGTGCTCCTAGTAGATTTTGCACTTTAGGTAGTACATCTTTATTTGATGCATTCTCTCTGATTTCACAGGATTCATTTGCTCTATTTTGCTATGGCCTGTTATTAGACCATAGTGTTGATCTCTGAGTACTTTGCACATTTGCATCAAAACATTGTTGTAATCTAAGCACTTGAGCACATGGGTACCTTGACTATGTCTCATTTCACAAACGAAATGACACATTCCAAATCAAACCATCAGCAAAGGGATGGCAAATATGTGGTGGTCCATAGCTACAGAGAGTCACTACCTGAGAAAAAGATACAAGCTTTTACTTAATTCAGCAGTTTCATTAAATTCAGTCAAAAGATTCTTCCAAACACCCACTTATATGTGCTAAGTGGCAGGTAGTATGTGTTATTATTTTCAACAGGAAATAAGAAGGCTGAGTATCATTCTAAAACAGGATTTCAAAGGGAGACCTGGAAAAAGAACTGAATACATTTAAATCTCCATTCTCAACAGGACAATCATTTGGGACATAATTCTTCCTTTCCGTTACAGAACAATCCAGAAAAAAAGGTTGGGAAACAGATTGGTGAAGGTACTTAGTCACTCAAAACCTCCTAGATGTCAATGGTGATAAACAACAAATAAATGTATATGAATGAGAGTTCATATTTAACCAGCACAAGAGTTATAAATGAGGAATACAGTGTTAGGGTCCTAAGTATTCTGGTTAAGATGTTCTGGTACCATAAGTTTCTTACTAATCTTAACCAAGTCAAAGCAAATTCTGTAAATATTACTTATATTTACAGGCCACACATGGACTAGACATAACATATTTGTTGTTGGTTCACAGGGAGAAACAGAGGTTAACTATGATGGCCTATGGATATCTGGAAATAAGAGAAAGAATTTGTAAATCATGACAAAGGATAGCACTGCATTTAAAATCATTTATGATAAATCTACATTCAACTTCTCTTATTATTTCAAAACAAGGTTTCAAATTTACTCTTTAGATTGATACATTGGAGTTGGAAATAACCTTTGAAGATAAAGTAATAGTGCTGCTTCTGCACAGCCTTTCAAGGTTGTGTATGTGGGTGTGTGTGTGAGAGAGAGACTGAAATAGAGAGAGAGAGAGGGAAAGAGAGAGATTGATTTATATTTCCCTTTTTCAATATCCAATTTCTCACAAACTTGATGAAACTGGACAGTTGCACATTTTTTCAATTGCTAATTTTTGCCTACCTCAAGGACAAAAATCAAGTTATCTTATTGTTGTTTTAGTTTTCATTTCCCTGAATATGTTTATATGCCGTTTGCAGTGTCTTGCTCTTATATTTTTCCAATTTTATTGGTCGACTATATCTTGTTATTGCCAATATAGCAGGGTAATCGATATGACTTTTTTTGATATGATTTTAGCTGTAGCCGAATATCAAGGGTAAAATAGGCACAGCGTGGTCCCAAGTCCTAACGTGCAGTGCTAACCCCCCTAAACAGGACATGTGGAGGGTCTGAGAAACCAGCTCTGCTCAAATACACAATAAGCTCTGTGAGTAAAGTGGAGACACTGGCAAGATGGAGGTCTCTGGAGAGAATGGTTAGGGCACTGTGCTTGCGGCTACCCACTCCTGCCATCATGGGAATAAGTGGATGTGCCTCCCTTACTTTAAAGTCAAGCAGGAAACAAGATTTCAAGAAAACTTGAGAAAGCTTAAGATATGTTCCTGGATATTAAACAGCCACAGCAATGGGGTCTGACTGTTGCTGGAAGAAATCTAAAGGCTACAGGCTGCCTGGAAGTACAATGCAAAAGAGAGAGAGGGCTGTGTTGGGAGCCAGTTGTACTTTTAAAAATGGGGGGTTTGCATAGACCAGATGCAGAATCCATAATAGTGATAAGCAGCAGAATAGTGACCTGGTGCAGTGATATGTTTCTAAAACAGGCAGTAATTACTCTAATCTGAGGTGACTGACAGTAAGTCAGAACATGACTGTGGTATTAGCACTTTGCTTGTAAAAGACTGAGCAATTTGAAGTCTCCAGTGAGGGAACTGGAGAGAACAAGAGAACAAGCTGGTAAATGTGCATCTGCCAAGAACAAAAGGCTCTTATGACTGCTCTAAGACAAATAAGATTCTACCTGACTGTATGCTCTCATTTTCCTCCCTCCAAAATAGCAACTAGTTATTACAGGTTTCTCAGCAATAACTAGATAGGCCCAAATTAGATAAATAAAGATGTTTTAGTTGCAATAAGAATTTGGAATTTAGTGCTATACTGGACCAGAATTTTAAATGTCAGGAAGTTTTTGTGACTGAACAAGCACAAAAAGTGAGGACCTACCTGAGGTAACAACCGAAGGAGTCAGTAATTAGTTTGTAGAGCCAACTGGAAGTGGAGTAGAAGAAGAATAATAAGGCTGATTTATAAATTCATCCTCGTATATCTAACTTGTTTGGCAAACTAAATTATAAAAAATACATATTTTGCACGTATTTATCTTGTATTCATATACCTTATTAGTTCCTAGTTATTGTTAAGGATTTGATCTTTTCCAAGTGTATGACAGTATCATATACAATTAAAACTTTAATTTCTAGTATTTATGATTATTTTATTTTATTGTCCTATTGCATTAAGTAGAACCAGCAAGAGATTTTTGAGAGCTGGCAGAAGAGAAATCATGCCTAATTAGTTCACCATTTTGATGCCACTGGAATTTGCATTTTATAGTTAATGTAATATGTAATGATGATTTTTGTATAAATAGTTCATGTTTATAGAGCTCATATTTCAATTCACCCACAATTTTTTAATTAGAATTGATAGCTGAAGTTTATTAGACTTTCTTTTAGCATCTATGAATATAATGAGAGGAACTTTCTCCTTCATGTTTTTAGTATAATGTTGGGCTAAACTACGTGAAGAATAAATCCTACTTAGGCATGTCGTGTTCATTATCTAATGAAACACTGGAGTTAGTTGCTAATATTTTTATTTTGAATTTTTCAAGTGTGACTGAGCTGGTACTATATGTGTGTGTGTGTGTATGTGTGTTTGTGTGTGTGTATTTGTGTGCCATCTTGGTCATGTTTTGTTAGAATGGCTATCTACATTTTAATATTCTCTAGTTATTTTCTCATTATCTGTCCGATTTGCCACTTCTGGCCTAACTAAAAAAATGTAGGTGTATCTGAGTTTAAATGTGAGCTCTGCTATGCCAGTTATTACTTGTGTGAACTCTAGGGAATTGCTACCTTAAGTCTCAGACTCTTGAAAAGATAAGGTTTGTTGTGAGAATAAAATGAGAGAATGTGTGGAAAACCTTACAATCAAGCTTGTTGCGTAATGTGCTGAATAAATGATGGCTATCATCACAAATGCCCTTAGGGCATTTGTATATGAAACGTATATCTAACAACAATGATGTTTTAAAGGCTTTTATATTGATCTTTGAGAAATTCTTCTTTTAAGAAAGACAACTTTATAAACTCTGAGGTCCCTCAACCTATATACCTGGGGCCATGGCTAACAAACTCCTAAGTCAAACTTCCTTAAAATAATCTAACGATAATCACTTTCACAATTTTCAATTTATCCTGAAATATATTCTGATTGTCCTTGCGATGGTTAATATTGTGTCAACTTGATTGGATTGAAGGATGCAAAGTAGTGCTCCTGGGTGTGTCTGTGAGGGTGTTGCCAAAAGAGATTAACATTTGAGTCAGTGGACTGGGAATGCAGACCCACCCTCAATCTGGGTGGGCACTATCTAATCAGTGGCCAGTGCAGCCAGAATAAAAGCAGGCAGAAGAACGTGGAGAGACTAGACTGGCTTAGTCTTCCGGCCTGTGTCCTTCTCCCATGGTGCTGGATGCTTCCTGCCCTAGAATATCGGACTCCAAGTTCTTCAGCTTTGGGATTCGGACTGGCTTCCTTGCTCCTCAGCTTGCAGAAGGCCTATTGTGGGACCTCACCTTGTGATCATATGAGTCAATATTGCTTAATATTTCTAAACTCCCCTTTATGTATACACCTGTCCTATTAGTTTTATCCCTCTAGAGAACCTTGACATATACAGTCCTCAATAGGGACTTCTTCTTAACCCTGTTCATATATATATATTTTTAAAAAGTCTCATCTGTGACCCTGCAACTTCCTGCAGCCCTCGGTTTCGTTCTGTGATGTCCTGTTATTCCCCTAAGAGGTGACATGGAGACAGCGGGCTCCCCTGTGATTCCCAGCCACTCTTTGGGATGCTTGGCTCCATCCTTGACAAAGATTTTGCTCCAGGCACAGTGATTCATCCTAAAGCCAAAATATGCATGGGAGTCACTATCCAAATATTAAAATTTATATTTGAAAGAGAATTGCTGGTAGAAATGAGTGCTTATGCAAGGAATTTTGGTCACTTGGTAATCACATAACCTTCATAAGAACTCTTCTAAAGTAAATGTACTTTTTACCCTCCTGTTCTTATAAGGATCTAACATAAATAAGCAAGAAGTTCTGGCACTGTGTCAAGTAGACCGAAAACAAAATCCTCATGTAAATAAACATTGCTGTAATATGACCTTGAACTAGGCAGCTAACTCAGGAAAAAACAAAGGTTCTTCAAGAGAAGCAACTAATGCAAATAAGTTATACCTAATTAAAACTCCTAAATAATGAAAAAGTTGATAAACAATTTGTGCCAAGCAAAAATTCCAATGGACAGCAGTAATCAATGAGGCAGAAGCTTGTATTTTCCACTTCTTTTCAGACACGTTTTTGTCTGCTTTTAGAGCTATAAGTAGAGGAAGCCAGGGTATCTCTTACAAATATCAAGCGAGGTTTCAAAATTATTGACACAGATGCCCAGACCCTTTCCCAAACCATTATATTAGATTCATAGGCATCAATATAATTTAAAAGTCACCCAAGGTGTAGTCAAGGCTGAACTCTCCTTCTTTAAATTAACATGAAAGATGTGATAATACAAATGGTGTGTCTCTACTAATTTCTAGAACCTAATAATTTTAACACCCATTTCACCGCACTGTTCCATGTCTGATGAAACATGCAATTTTAATATACTCTATTCAAAACCTTTTATTAATTTTAAGTTGAATGCAAAGTTAGGGTCTCTTTGATTCCTTCTAGCAATCATGGCCCATGTGAAGTCTAATTTATAGACATACAAATGTGATCCTGAGAAAAGTCTTGGATTTTAACTTTAAGGAAAAATAGAATTTAGTACTTGAAGGCGACATTTAGAAATAGAAAGACAGATTGGGTTTGGGCCAATTATGACTCTCATGAAAAAGTAATACCAGTGCTCCTGGCTTAATACAGGCCACAGAAAACTGGAAGGGAGGTTTAGGATAGCCTCAGAAAACATATATATGTATTTTTTGATTTGTAATTTTTGTGGGTAAATAGTAGATGTATATATTTATGGAGTACAGGAGATGTTTTGATACAGGCATGCAATGCATTATAACCACATCATGGAAAATGAGGTATCGTAATTCAAATACAGAGTTTCCTTATTGATTATGTCTATGGTGTTTTCCCAACTGCTCTTTTTGTTGCTGAAATTGAATTATAGTTAATGGAATATTAAAGAAAGCCATAGGTTAACGGTACATCATTTTGACGATCATCACATCATGTGTACAGACTCAAAATGAAGAAAATGTAATGTATGCTCTATGCTTTGAAAACCAAATTAGAAGTCTATCTTCACTCCAAGGATCTTTCTGCCTGCAGAAATAAGGCTAGAACCTACTCTCTGAGCTAGGAGAACCGAGCTAGGAGAAAATAAAATCAATTTCACTCGGGAAGAATGGCTGATCTGTTTTTGTGTCCCTTTAACTCCAGCAGTTTAATAAATACTTGTGATTTAATGCCCAATGAAGATATTATTGAAGGAAAACCAAGCCTCAATCTCTTCTTGGCAAATGAGAAATAACTACTTGGAAATGTAAATACCAGTTCAATTAATTCCAATGTAAAGTGGACACCTGATGATATTTCAAATATGCTGTTATAAAGAAAATACTGAGTATGTTTATTTTAAAAGGATTCTAAATTTGTTTTAAATTATAAACTAGTTTTCAGTTATTCTGCCCTATTCTTCTATGAAATTCACAGAAATTATTGTGGCCATTTTATATTTGTTATTTCCCCCCATTTAAAATACGTTATGAAAAACCAATCCCTAATTTCTCATAGCTTATTTTATTATTTGAAGACAACTTTTTCTTATTTCTCAGTTACTTAAAACAGATATATTTAGTGTCTGTTATTTTATTTCCCTCAGTGATGCATATACAATAACTCTTATTCACTAATATAATTATTAATATATAATTTATAGAAATTTGACTGGCTCTATTATATAACTTTGATAGCTACAAGACTCATATTTATAAATTGATAGTTAAAAGGTATTCAGAAGAATGGTATTGAAATAATACTGTAAGAAATCATGGATTGAAGTCAAAGGCATTGCTACCTACATTTAAATCATTCATGCAGTGTTGTAAATGTACTATTTTGTGCATGTATATCAACCAAATTGTTGCAACACATAGGTCAGCATGCACACATAACAGAGCCCTTTCCCCTAAAATGGCATGCTTTTTTCTTATCATAATCTTAACTATTCAAACCTATTTATATTTAGAGAAAATCAAGAATATGTGTTTTTACAATGGATAATAAATAGTCTAACTGAGTTCAGTAGTTTTAAACATTTTATGTCTACATAAACTGGTACAAAGATGCCATTATCGGGGCAATTATCCTCTAGGTCTCCTTGTAATGAGGAGTTTACGCTGTCAAGTGTGGGAAATTTACAATCTCAAGTGTGGAGCTTAAGTGGAAAAGTCCTCCTTGGTAAATATAATGGATTAATTATGTTTTCCTGTAAGGAACCTATGAAATCAGGGAAGTCCAAGTTTGGTGTCCCCTTGGTATTTGGGATGAAAATTAATACTTCTTTCAATGGTAGTAGTTCTCCTTTGATTTAAAAAAAACTTAAGTGGCATATACAATAAGGAGATAAAAATTAAAAAGCTATTTAAATTCCTTACTTTATTATTTTTTTCTCATTGCATTATGTTATCCACCCCGAATACACTGTAAACATGGCATAAGGGGATAGTGGTTTACCAGGAAATCACCCAACTGGCCACCGATTGAACTGAAAAAAGTAATCTCTATATACTCTTATACTGGGTTCCAGGTCAAAGATCTGTGCTGATTTTTTTTCCAGTATCTAAACTGCTTAGCAAGTCAAAGAAACTTTGAGTTAGCCTAAGTTAAATTGTAGCAATAATAGACATTTTCCCAAAATAATTTACTATTAAGCATACATATTATTTACTACTGAGCATACATAATGCAAAATCCCATTATAGTAAACTCAAACAAATTCAGTCTCATATCTCAGAAGTCATAAAACCTAAGACTAGCAAGAAAAGTGTTCAGAGGTAGAAAGCAGTTGCCAGCATTGATTGAACATCGGAATGGTAACAGTCACTAGGAAATCAATGCTTGACCTTATAGTAGTTGCTTGGTGGCCAGGTTCCTAGGACTCGTCTTTCTGTAGGACACACAAACTGTCTTGTTGTCAGTGTTCTCTTTGAATCATGCCTCAGATTTTCTGCTGGCCCAGTGTTTTGATCATCTGTGTCCCTGAATTACAAATGCAAGACTTTCTGCTTCTTTCAGCATTCCTCACCCCTCCCACCTTTTCTATAGCAGTCCCCAGGAGCTCACCTTTTCTGCACGTGAAAAGAATACTCACTCAGTATAATCATTTATGTGAACCACCTAATTACCCTGCAGGATATGACTCATTTGCATATAATTAAATGTATTCAGTTTTAAAATATTTTAAATTTTCTTTGGCAACGTTATGATCTATTCATGGTCACTGAGCTATAGAATTTATTGCTCATTTGGTGTGGTTTTAGGCTTATAGCTAATCTTTGCTGAAGTATTTTAGATACAGGTAATAGAAAAAAAGCAATTAAGCTCCATATGGTGCCAAATTTCTTTTGTCCTTTTTCCAGTATTCTTCTCTGCCCTCAGAAAACAGGCGTCAGAGGTTGCTATCACATCCTCATTTCATCTTTGTGCCTCTTCTCTTTTCCTCTGCTCTCTTTACCTTAATAACCCATCTAGGACTTTCCTCCCTTCAGCACATTAGCAGTCCTTTTTATAAGGTCAAGCTTCACTTGTCGGTGTTATTACCTGTACAATATTAGTTTTACAAATGGCAAATGGAAAAATAAAGATCCTCTTCAACACAGAAGCCCACAAGGGCAGGAGTGCTTATGGCTTCAACAGGTCAAATTCAGACCCAGAAAAGGAAGAGGATTGGTGAATACATGTGAGGACTATGTTCAGGAAGCCAAAGGGTATGTGCTACTGGACGCCTGGGTAGGAATGTTCAAACTACTCTGAGAAAACAAAAGGACTGTAGAAAGAGTCTTATTTTAGTGCAAATAGTAATAGTAACAGGAAAGAAGACAGTTGAGGAGAGGGAGAGAACAGACGTGAGGCCAGCAGATCTGACCAGCATGACTCGGAGAGCAAGGAGCATCACTAAGCATGTTTCATCATGGTTTTAGTCTTTTGCCTGAAGCATTGTTTGTTTCTATTACATCATGCATGCCAATCCCCAAATTACTTACAAAAATTACTTCAAATATCACTATAACTAGGGTGACTATATAATTTATCCTCCAAGCTGGGACACCTTTGAGGATAAAAGAGGGTGCTATTAATATTTACACTGGAACAACTTGTGTGAAGCAGAAGTGTCCTGGCCAAACTCGGACAAACGATCATCCTAACGACTGTTCGTCTATACGGAAACATACACACGATTGAGGCTTTCAACAACAAATATGTATTAAGCACCTGTAGTGTGGCTGGGTGTATAATACAGTTGCATCTCTAATTAGGGGTGACCGAGTTCTAAAATTAGCAAGCAAGGCAGAAGTTAAATGTATCAAAAGTATTCTTGAGCACTTCTTAAACCTATGAATTTTTTGAAGATTAATGTATCATTTTAACACAGGTAACAGATCTAGTTTTTCCTCTAGCATTAAACCAATCAACCCCTGCCCCTACCTCACTGTATTTCAGAAGAAGTAGGAGACATGCATTTAGGGGGCGATGTGTATTACAATTTCATATTGCTACATCTACTGTACAGCAAAGTGTAGTCACTGTGTAGAGATGCTTATAGCATAAGGGATCCACAGAGCTGAGTCTGACAGTGGGGGGCAGGCCAATGCCTCCCATTGATGCTCACTCTGGGCACATGCTCAGATGTTCTGCCACCATTTATTCGTAAGTATTTCAAGTCCATATGTATGGTTGACTTTGAGTAACTTATGCATAATATGATGCTACTTTCAAAATTGAAATATATACTTAACTTGAGTAGTTAACTCTAGTTATAGGAAAAAGATGGCAACATAAACAAATCCTTATGATATCATAAGGAACACAAGGATTACGTAACTAGATATAGGGACTAGGAAGAAATAATAACTACATCTGCTTCAGGGGGATCAGTGAACGTGGACTTTCTCCTAATCTATGGTCAATGAATAGAAATTTTCCTGACAGTGAATCCATGAATTGTGGCTTGGGGAGACAGGGAGGTGAGCATATTGAAAGACAGTGAAATGCATGTAAAGAGAGCTCTGTCAAACTCTGTGGGATTTACAGTAAGAACATGAGACCTACAAATAGAACAAATACTGTTAGTTATCTATATCTTTCATTTTTAAATTGTTGTGAGAAAGAAAGAACCCTAATAGGAGACCTAAAATTAATCCATAGTGTCATATTGTAAAGACCTTCTGTGGACAAGATAGAAAGTGATTATTTAAATGAAATGTGTTAAAGGACAGAGTTAGTTTCAAAGATATAAGCCCTTTCAACTACAAAAAGCCTTTTTGTGTGTGTGTCTTCTATTTATTGCCACAAATATCAGGACACAAACTGAAGCCTCTAAAATGCAACAGTCTTAAAATCATGAAAAATACATCTTTGTATTGCTAACAATTGGGGGATTTACTAAAACCAGGAAGACCAGATACATGGAAAAGTAGTATAATCAGTGATTTTTGAGATTATACTACTTATACAGAGATCACTGTTTGAAAACATGTTTGTTGCACTCTCAACCTCACAAGACACCATTCCTTGAAACTGACTTCAAGACTGTGCATAAGAGCATCACCTTCCATAGAAATCTTTCAGCTTTGAAGCCCTGGCTAATGAAGAACATATATTTAAAGCCCGTTTATCATAATAACCATATAATTACAGAATTTAGCATTTTATTTAACCATATTTAATTCTATTTTACAGCTCTCTTACAGTATGGCTGAGCTTCTTTTTATTTTCTTTTTACCCTCTCATCCCTTGCAGAACAGAACCACCGATTTTATAATATATGATACTCTGGACTTAGCATGGGCAGTGCACTTTTCCCATTTTATATTTCCCAAATATTCAGTGATAAAATATAATCATTACATACATAGTGTACATTTCCATTGACGTTCAGGAAAAATATAATCTCCCTATATCACATACAGCTATTTGCTTAGGAAAAATTTCTGTGGGGGTACCTGTGTGTGCTTGAACACGCATACCTTGGCAAATCCAAAACATTTAACTAGGAGCAAAGAGTTATGGTGCAGAGTCTAGAAGACTACACTGCAAATGCCAGCAACTAACACTCCCGTGTCCCCTGACATCGTAGGAATTTACAGGGACGGGTTTAAGTCCAGAAAATGTTTCATTTCAGCTGACTGTCTCTGGTACTTGGTAGAATAATAATAAATTCCCAAGATCTGTTTTAGATGTGAACTCTCAGCCTGGAAGGACTTGTCCTACAAGATACAAATCACCATGCCATGCCCTTGTTAGTACTTTGCAAACGTCAGGTAATGTCAGCAACTCAGAAAATAGACAATAATACAGTACGCCTTCATCGGTGAAGCAAAATTTCCTGAAAAATTAAATTTTAGGTGATATTTAGAAATTTGCTGTTTTTCAAAAATTGTCACAACAGCTATCACAGTCTACGTTTGCATGTCGAAGCATTTCTAATCCTAGACCATAAATGTTTTGCTTAAAAACTCTTTATGTGTGCAGACCTTGCAAAACAACAAAAAACAGTTCTGATCTGATATGAAAACTCGGGGAGCAATTCCTCTAATTATAACAGCTGGGTAGGGAGAATTTCTGCTGGCATGGAAAAGAACAGACTTCTAATATGGCCATTTACAAAGGCAAATGTAAAGGTGAATGATTAACTTGAAAATACCCAATGGCAGAAACTGATTATGACTTGGGACTATTGGTGAAAGCACAACATGGAGACAGGAAAACACAGAGATATGACAGTGAAGGCATGCTGAGAGAGACAGAAACAATAAAATGAAGTATGAGACAGAAAGAGAAGGTGACTAGATAAAAGGGTAGTCAGGAGATAATCTTAGACTTGTAAACAAATGCTTATAAGCAAATAAAGAATGGCACCAGAGGCGTAAATGAGGTACTGTAACATGCTAGGAGTGTTTCAAGAACAGGAAAAGTCATTCTTTGTGTTGAGATGCAGTGGGATTAGGGGCAGTGGGACTGGAATGAATGGCTTCATAGATTATGTTGACAGAAAGCTTTGAATTCCAGAGAAAAGAGTCATGACTTTCCTTTGCAGGGGGTAGGTGGTGGCAGGGCTCAGTGCATATAACTATAGTCATATGTATAGTGAACATATCTGGTCGAAGTGCCAATAATCTGGCCAACATGCAACTATATATTTCCAATATTTTGCCACATTGTTCACTCAAAGTCCAGTGGACAGTTACTTTCATAGAAATTGAGTCTAACGTATTTGCCAAATGTATACAATTTATTAATAGTGCTACCATGATACCTAACATTGTAGTTTAAGTTTTAAAACTAGTAATAATTAGTGGAGGCTTCAGATAAAGAAATACTAATGTCTATCAATGAAATGAACGGAGTTAAACATCTTTTAAAAAAGGAAAAGAAAACATGTTTTGACCACAAAGCTCCAGGTGATTTTTTCCTATGGGCATATCACTTTGTTAACTGGAATACTACATTAAAAAAATTACTCCATCTTTTTTTAAAAAAAAAATCATCAGCCTTTATGAAACTCAGAAAACCAGAAAAATTTGTGAATTACTTGGTAGCATGTCAGCATATTAAGAGCTACTAAAAATGCAGACATTTTCCAGTTACATAAACTGACTCTCTGGAATGGAATGTGTGCAGTCTATATTGACTACACCCTCATTTCACTGCATTTTTGCCGACTCTTAAATGTTCCCCTCTTCTCTGTTGAAATTTAATCTCCTTGATTTCTTCAGTGATGCTGTGGCTAAGATGGAGAATGAAAAGAGTGGGCACATAGGATGACCTCAGCACAGCCAACGTTGATCTTAAAATTCAGATTTCTCCCTGATGGGATGACTACATGATAACTTACGTCTACATACTAAGATAGCCAGAGTGGCTGTTTCAGAATTTATTATATCAATGTTTTTAGTCCTGGCCAAGTCCTCTCTAAAGGCCTCCAGGTAAGTGTAAGTTCATGGCTTTAAAAGTGTATGCGAAATTGAGTTCATTCAGTGGAGAATGAAAATTAGCATTACAAAAGAATTATGTGGGAAGACAGAAGGGCTTAGAGGAGCCAAGTCTGGCAGATGGATTTTTCATAGTCAATTAATTGGGAGAAGAAGTCATGCAGTATAATGGAAAATAAATCTGAATTCTCTTCTGCCTTTTCAAGCGGGTCCTCGATAAATTCCTCATCCTTTCTAACCCTCAGATTTTTCATACCTCAATTGAAGAAGTTAAAACATTCGACCTATGATGTTCCTTTCCATTCTAAAATTCAACACTTCTACCTAGCCAACTTTGAGACAGAACAAAAGAAAATGACCTCCCTAGAAAACAGTACTAGAATTTAGGTTAGAAATAAAGAAGAAACACTCATCTGGGTTGAGAAAGTTAGTAAAACTATCCCTGTCTCTGGAGATCTTTACAAAGAAACTGTAGTTTTATATGCCTGGGGTCACTGTCAGTGATCACTGCCTCTGATTGAAGGCAGCTGAATGCCTATCAACACCCTCCTAGCTATAGCCCACTGAGACTCTCAATCTGTGTCAACTCTGTCTGCCTCTCTTATATGAGCTATAGGATAATTTTAGGTGCTAACATTAAGTATAACTTAGCTCTTTTATCTCTGAATCAGAAATGGGAACAAATGTAATAGACAGTAAACTAGTGAATGTTAAATATAAGACAACTGCATCTTTCTTTTTGTTATGAACATGATCGTGTGCATGTTTGTGATTAAGCATGTCTGTATAGACAAAAACATGATAATTAGCCAAGTATTGGGGTGATTGATGGAAATCAAGTTTCTGTTGAAGACTTCATACCATACTCTGTGAAATGAATGAAATAAACATTTAACCCTTTCAGAGAAACTCCAATTCTTGTTAATACATCTTCAAATCTACAGTTATTGAAGAATATCATAGGCTTTGCCTTAAGAAGAATCTCTTTAATGTAGTCCCATATAATAAAAAGCAGAATACAGTTGATCTCAGACTGAAGAAATCCAATGAAATTTAAAGCCTATTAAAAACATTAAGACATTTTCCAATCACAGGAAACGTTTAACAGAGCATGTAAAGTACAAACATCTGAGAGAAAGAAAATTATGATTAAAATGTAGTCTACCTTGCATTTAGTAGAGTAATGGAAACAACCAGTATTAAATGTGGTAGGAAAGCAGGTCTATTTGTCAACGCAAGCAGGGAACTCTCATCTTTATGAAGAAATTTTAAAATGGTTTAGACAGTTAGAAAACTACATTAATATTCTAAACTTAACATATTTCATTTAAGGAGGCAACCATTTTATACCTCTTGAAAGGCTTAGGATTATATTTTTTTAAAAATCAAGGAAATGAAGCATATTTAATATGCATAAATTTATATTATGCCATTTTATCTTTTCATCAACCCTGTCAAGATATGCATTTTACCTTTCATACTACTGAATACATGGATTCTTAGAGACCCAAAGGTTGAACAAAGAGGAAATAAAAAAAATTAGAACATAAGAGTAATCTTATATACCATCAGAATTACAACATAACTCTATAGACTCCTACTCCAGTTGTCTTTCCATTGCATTTCTATTTAATAAAATGTCAAGCTCCAAAAACCTAAAAAAGTGTAATGTAATAATTTAGTATCAAAAACAAGAGAAAGGAGGAGGCAAAAGAAATGAGTGACTGCCAAGGGAGACACATTCCTTCAGCGAGAATGAGGTTTAGATTTGTTATATGTTTTAGAGATGATTGGTAAATCCAGGAACTATAGGTAATTTTTCCAGCCACCGGATAACAGAAAAAGAGAGACTATAACCATGAAAGTCACTCTGGGCTGGAATAATAGTCAAACTAATTCTCAAATGGTTTGAGAAAATAGTACTAATATAAACCCAAAGAGAGAGGGGAAGACAAGGAGAGAAAAGTATTTGTAAACGTGGCAAAACATTAAACAATTACTGACCCTTGATGAAGGGTATAGAAGTTATTCTCAGTATTTTTACAACTTTTCTGTAAGTTTGAAGATATATAAAAATAAAAAAATAAAAGTCTGTTTGGAATTTAAAGAAACTCATACAAAAAAAATCTTCTGAATGTTAATAGTTTCTTTACTTTGCAAACCTGAAAAAATTAAAATGTTGGTATAAATGAAAAAAAGTGTATTGGACTTGTATTTTTCTTTTACTTTCTCGCTCATTTTTTGTATCTTCTGACCTCCTTTCCTCTCTTCCTTCCTTGCTCAGTTCTTCCAGCCTGTATTTTAAACTAGGACATTTTTGTAGTGCTGATTATTTGAATGTGACATGTGCCACTAGTTAGAATTTTTCTGTCTCTGTGTGTGGAAAAATCTATTCACACATCTATACTTTTAACAAATTGCAGCTTTGAGTAGTTTCTGCTGACTCCTGACATATGTTCAGCATTTAGAGTGGGAAAAGGGGGTTTTCTGAGGACTGGAAGGGACACAAAATCACCGTAAGCGACCGGAAACCAAATGCTTACAAATAACAAAATCAGGAGGTGTTTGCTTACAATTTTATTTAAATGGAGGAACATTTTTGTTTTACTACATTAACTCCCTAGTTGTCTACCATTAATTTTCATAAACATGGGCAGCCGCTTGTGCACAAAAAGTAGGAAGGTCTCCAACTCAAGCTTCTCCACACTTTCCTTCTCTAGGCACAGGGGCACTGATGTAGAAGATGCCGGATGTTTATACTTAGAATCCATACTATCTTTCAATGAATACGTTAATGATATTTACATAAAATGTATGACTTACGTATGCGACCAAATCTAGACAAATATGAGGAAACATGATTATTAAACAAGATAAACCTAGATCCAAAAAAGAAATGGATGAGAGAGAGATACATGGCTGAGCATAGTTTAGGTGTATTTTGGCCAAGCTTTCCTTTATGGATGGTATAGAACTCCATGCCTGATCCTGCATTGTTGAGAGGCAATTAAGTTCCTGAAAATGTTCCTCCTGGGAGTCATGAGCACCAGGTCAAACTCCAGCTCTCCCCCTAATTAACTGAGTGAACTTGGGAGACTCATTCAGCTCCTCTGGGATATCCACCATCATGAAAGGAAGATGTGGGACAAGGCTACCACCAAAGCTCTGAGATCTGTAGGCCATTCCAAATTAAACACACAAGTTAGAATTTTTTATAAATGTGGTTCCTTAATAAAGAAAAAAAGTATGAGATTTATAAGAAGCAAATATGAGAGAGGGAGAGGAAGGCAGGAAGAAGAGGAAGGGTCAAATAATCCATTATCCAAATGCAATGTAAGCAAAATAAATTCTAACTCAAGTGGATATAATATTTAAGTGTTCTGGCCAGGCACGCTGGCTCACACCTATAATCCCAGCACTTTGGGAGGCTAAGGTGGGTGGATCACTTGAGGTCAGGAGTTCGAGACCAGCCTGGCCAACATGGTGAAACCCTGCCTCTACTAAAAATCCAAAAAAAAAAAAAAAAAAAAAAAAAATAGCCGGGCATAGTGGCAGGCGCCTGTTGTCCCAGCTCCTCGGGAGGCTGAGATAGGAGAATCATTCTAACCTAGGAGGTGGAGGTTGCAGTGAGCTGAGATCGTGCCACTACACTCCAGCCTGGGAAACAGGGCGAGACTCTGTCTCTAAAGGCAATATATATATATATATATATATATATATATATATATATATATATATATATATAGAATTATATATTCTATATATATATATATATATATATAGAATTATATATTCTATATATAGAATTCTAGAATTATATATTATATAATTCTATATATAGCATATATATTCTATATATATAGAAATGGATATATACATTCTCTATATATTCTATATAGAGAATAGAATATATATAGAATATATATAGAATATACATATAATACATATATAGAGAGAGAAGATATATAGAGTGTGTATATATATTCTATATCCAGAACTATTGCCCAATAGATTTTTGCTCAATCTGAAATGCTAGAAGTCATGAGAATAATTTTCCCTTCTTCATATTTTACTTGCAACTTTCTAACCAAAACAGTTTCATTTATTCAGTCATTTCTTTCAACATGTTTTTGAGTCTCTGAGATGCAGAAGGTGTTACATATCATTTATGAGGGATAGGAAGTTAAATAAGATGCGCATTATGGATTGAACTGTGTTTCCCCAAAAGACATCAAACTCCTAACTGCTAGTAGCTATGAATGAATGTAACTATGTTCAGAGGTAGAGTCTTTAAAGTGAGTTGAAACATGACAGTACTCAGAGCCGTGCTTGACACTTAGCACTCATTTTAATTAAGTTAAAATGAGCTATTAGAGTGGGCCCTAATCCAATATGTCTGGTGTCTTTATAAAGAGGGACAATGAACACAGAGACAGAGACAGGCACACAGGCGGATTTACCTAGTTCTGTGGGATCTGCCATGTGATCATGACAGCAAGGTCAGGATGGTGCTTCTACCAGTCAAGGGATGCCTAAGATTGCCAGCAAACTCAGCATGGGAGAAGTATGGGTCAGATTTCTCCCCCTGAGCCCTCAGAAGGAACCAAGAGTGCTGACACCTCGATCTCGGGCTTCTGACCTTGACAACTGAGATGATCCATTTCTGTTGGTTACGCCACCAGGTTTGCGGTACTTTGTTACCGCAGTCCTAGCAAACTCCTACAACCAGTCACTTGCATTTAAGCAATGTACAATCTGGACAAGGAAATAATATAAAATTATCAAGTAATATTCTACTGCAATGGATTTAAGGGAGGTTTAAACAAGGCGATTCAAAAGCGAGGGACTTCAACCTATGCCTCTGGCTTCTTCTCATCCCCTTTCCTAGCTCGCCTTTCTCTCCTCCTCCTCGTCGTCTTCATCACTACTAACATTTTAAGAGCCCTTGCTAAGTGTAAGGCATCATTCTGAGTACTTTAATCTTTTAACTCATTCAATAGTCACAATTGAAAAGCCATCATTTAAAACCAAAGAAAACCAAGGCATTTGCTGGTATTTAAATAGTGACCTAAATGAAATTGTTAGTTGCCTATGAATATAATCAAGGACACCAAGCCCTCTGGCATTTCAAATATTTCAATTACTATCCACTAAGGGAAGTAGCCTCCTATGGTCACACAGCTTGTAGGTGGTGGAATCAGAGGCTCAGTCAGGTCAGCCGTGCCTAGGGCTGGGGCTCTCAAGGAACAGATTCTGCTTTTCTTTGGATAATCTGCTAGCGTAGAAAAGACTTTCCCAGTGGAAGATTAGAAGCAAAAATAAAGTAACATTTGAAATTACACTTATGCTACTGAGGTGTTTTTATTTTACTAAAATAATTACATCACAGGCTGGTTGCCATATCTATCAATATCACTGCAATTCTGAAATGCCAGCCACCGAAACACATGAGTGTTCAAAGAAAAGCTGACGTCAAGAAAACGTGGGTCTATGTACTTCAACTTTATTCATATCATTGTAATCCTTCCAATAAGACATTAATACATATCATAATTCCTAATTACCCACAAGCATGACAATATTTCTAATGGTAGAATTTTCAAACAACCTTCTATACTGAAGAATATGGGGTTTTTCTTATACATAACACTATTTTATCCTTTTCTTGAAGGAGGAAAAAAACAATCCCAAGTTACTTGCTGACAAAAGTCAATGACAAGACAGTGTGAAACAGTAACACCATTTGCGTATGTGGGGCTGTCTGCACAGTCATAACACTTGAGTGTGGATTTTGGGGTAAGTGCTTTTAAATACATCCTTTCTTTAAGTTTTATGACACTCTCTTAAAGGAAATGTCTTTGTCAGGACAGAAAATCAGGACTCAGAGATCCACAACAGACCTAATGACACATAAGAAGAATACTTGATGTCAAAACTCCTTATTCTTTCCCTACCTGATCCACCTTTCCCAGGACAAGGACCCATGATACCAGATACCTATGTTTCCCAACACGATATGCAAATAGATGTCTTGCTTAGTGGATAATAATTGAAATATTTTAAATGCCAGAGAACTTGGTGTCCTTGATTATATTCACAGAAAACTAACAATTTCATTTAGGTCACTATTTAAATACCAGCAATTGAAGCAAATTCCACCCTAAATCAATGTCTGCTGAATTAATGACTATGGTAAGGAAATTAATAATTTCCTTGAGGGAATCCTACAGAAATAGGCAGATACTTGGAAAGTGCTATTTATTTAGAATATTAAGGACTTAGGAACACCTTGCTTGATGCAGGTGTATAAGAGACACAATGAGAGAGATGGTTGCCCAGTCTTGTGATCACCTGAGAGTGTGTAGAATGATCACATAAAAAGATCAAAATAACTATGGGAGGTATGTAGGATACCCAATCTTGGCCCGCCACCTTGTTTCTCTTATTCTATTTCCAAGACAACCTTTCTGTCACCCCACTGTCTATTCTGGTTCATGGGGAAGTATCTGACCTCATCACCCCTTTGGGAGTGGCAAGGAAAGGGACTGACAGTCACTGAAAGAAGCAACTTTGACACTAACCTATTACCAACAAATTCTCTCTTCATAGTGAAAGCAATAATAATATACATATCTGATAAATCTGCACAAAAATACTTCAGTGTATTATTTATTTATTTTTATTTTCAATTTTTTTAGTTAGAGACAGGGCCTTGCTATGTCTCCCAGACTGGGGTGCAGTGGCATGATCATGGCTCATTGTCACCTCCAAGTGCTGTGCTCCTATGATCCTCCTCAGCCTCCCAAATAGCTAGGACTACAGGTGCACACTACCACACCTGGATAATATTTTAAAATTTTATTTTTTGTAGAGACAGGGTCTCACTATATTGCCGAGGCTGATCTGAAGCTCCTATCCTCAAGTGATCCTCCTGCCTCGGCCTCCCAAAGCACTGGGATTACAGGTGTGAGCCACCATGCATGGCCATATAAATATTTTGAATATTCCCACACATTATAGCCCTCACTACTAATCACTTTGGGGAATAAAAAAAATTACAGACTGATACTCAAGTATTCATTATATATATTTTAACTCCTCATCAAAAGAAAAGGATTCTCTATTAATTTTATTTCAAATTCATTATGTGACCTCAAAATTATTACATGCATTGACGGCTCTATTTTGATTTCAGTCTCAAACATCTCTGCACAACCATCATATTTGCTGAATCACTATTATATGATGAGATAAAAATGCTCATTTAAACTATCTATTCTACATTGCAGTACTGTTGAGATATGTTCCTAACGCAGGCAAACACAATGTTAGAAATTATTACATTTAACTCCATTTGCAGATATCTTACAGGTACTCAAACTGTGTGCGTACAATTTAGAAGAATCATGTGTTTGGATGGAATCTTTTCTTTATTTGAGATTATAACAAGTATGTATATGCATTTATGCATAATTATAAATGCTTATTGCTGTTATCATAATTTTAGTCTTCCTAAGATTTCTAAGAGTGATCCCAAAGTATATAAGAGAATAGAAACAACACTCATTCATTCCCTACTAAACTGATGTTTCATCACTGAGATTGCTCTATGGTATTAGAAGAACTGTCAGAGAGAGGAGAATACTGCTGCTCACACTAAACACACCAGGCTTACTGCAGAGCTGTTGAAATTCTGACTTGTTCCTCATGTGTATATGATGGACATGGTGATGTTTGCTGACCTAGTATAATTAATTGCCACCATTCTGTCAAAATGTAATCACAATATCTGAAGATTAAACGAAACATAATGGAGTGTTTTATGCATTTCTTGGAAAGCATTTCAAATGTCATCATCATGTTGTAAAAAGTCATTCAGAATTCTCAAGGTCACTCAGAGGCCCATATGCTTAAATAAGTGCTGGTCCTATTGCCAACTCTCATTCAATCTTTTGAGCTGGGCATTTTCTCCTCCCATGATACCTGTCCACCTATCAATCCTACTCTGTAACCTAAGAAATGAATTCCAGAAGTCATTTGCCTTTGAAGAGTTAAAAATATCAGAAGTTGTGAATTATAGATCTTACACAATAGCCCTAAGGATGGATTTTATTTTCATAGCCTCCACAAATGAGTGTGCAGGAAAATCCCTTAACTATAACAAAGAGAAAAATACCTATGAGTACATATCAGAATACCAAATTTTATGTGTGTACCCTTCCCATTGTGTAGGAAAGACTTTGTCTTATTAGTTCATGATTATATAATAATTGTACACAAATGCACACACACACACAACACATTTAAGAAACTCATTTTACTTTTCTCTAGTGGTATCACACCCACGCATTCTGCATTCAACCCTTCAGGTTATAGACTTATCCTTAACAAACTCACTTTGACGTGACATTAATGATAATAATTTCTTAATACATTAACAGTGACTCTGGGCTTTGGGTTTCCTACTTTTGCACAACCTGGGCTTTATGTGTCTTCATCTTCAACTTGCTGTTCTTACTGTCACCATTTCACATAATCAAGAATGAAATATATCACTTTTTAAATGTCAAAACTATTTTAAAGTACCAAATGCTTCTAGGTAAAACACTGACATCAATAGAAAATGTAATTAGACATTGAACAGAATGGTTAAGTTCATTTTAACATTCTACCACTGTATAAATTAGTATACACTAATTATTTGCCAGATATGAAAAGTTTCAGCAGACCCCTGGGCCAGTCTCTTTCTTGTTCAGAAAATGGCTGGAATATCTGATAATTGAAATTAAGTCCTGCTATGTGCCATATTCAACAGTATTTCCTAATCACTATTAGAAACATAATGAAGTTATTATTTATAAAAAAGTTAAAATTGCATCATATTTTGGACCTGATAGTTCATGGTTTGAAAAGTCTGAGGGATTTTTAATTGGCTTGAAGAACTGACCATGAAGCATAAAGTAAAATAAAGACTGGCTTTCGTGGCTCAGAGAACCAGAGTGTAATTTAACATACTTTGCATTTAAACAACCGCATATTGCTGACATGGTTTTCTTTTTATGGTTGTTGTTGTTATTGCATGGATGATGCATAAAAATTAATCATACCTTTGTCTGCATTCAAATTCCTACAAGTTTTTTTTTTTTTTAAGAACACAGGGGAACTCTTGCCCAATTCTTCTGTCTATCCACTTCAGTGTGCAAGCCTTCTTGTACAATGTAATTTTAAATTAAATAAAGTCTCACTGCTACTTCTCCTGAGTATCCATTTGGCTTTGCTAACTCTGTAAAACCGTCTTTCAAATGACTCAAACTACATTAGGAAAATAGCTAAACCATTTATGGCATCTGTGGAAAAAATTTCTTAATAATTTTTATTATTTTAATACAAGATTTCAAGTTAGAGTTTATTTCTCCATGGACATTAAAAGAATGCCTCTTACTTCCTCTCTAGGTAAAAATTGTCTAGACAACTTTTGAATGGTTTAAAAGTTGATTTCTGTTATTAATATTGCTAGAAATATAGATTTCTAATTGATATTTTTGAAAAATAGTGTAGAATTTAGGCATAGTGGCTACCATTAAATGGGAGGTAGAGTTATTCGACTGGCAATATCTATTACTATATACCAAGAGGAAGAATTTTATTCAATAATTACTACTGATAATTTTAATACAAAAATTATATTACCTCTGTTGATAACAATTTATGATTATAAAACAGGAAGTGAAATGTTAAATGGCAATATTTAAATAATAATGTGGTCGAGGCTATGACTTCTTCCAGAGTTGCATAATTTTGTTACCATTATTTTACCATTTAACACAACCGTAAGAATATGAGCACATTTTGATTACAAAGAAGGCACTTGCAAATAAATTTGCATCTTTGCATTGTAAGCATTTTACCTTCTATGCTTCTGACTTCTAATAAAACAGTTGTTTCTTATAACACAATAACTATACAACTCTCAAAGGTAATATATCATCATGTTACAATTTTATTCTATATTACCTATAAGCAAGAAAGACATTGATTTCTTCAAAGCTATGTCTGAAATACAGCTAGGAATCCGATACTTTTGAACCATAACACAGTATTGCCCACCATAGAAAATAATTTGCTGTGACAGGCATCTCTTTTGCACGTGGTCTACGGTATAGGTAATAGAAACAGTATTATAAAAGGTCCATAGTGGAAAGGCAGATGAGTTCATTGGAGATGTTTACATTAACGGGGAGTCATTAAGTATCAACTCTTTGTCATTGTTTCCTCATGAAGGGCACACACAGTTAATTTATTTCATAACATCAACAGATGCTTTTCTCATGGAATAAACCAATATTCACCAATTTATTGGGTTAGTACCATTAGACACTAGTGTCAGCTTAATAGTAAAGTAGAATGATGTTTCTTTTTTGCCCACATAATGATTTCTGCTAAATAATAGATAGGAGCCAGGATGAATGCCCAAATAAAATACCTCCACCTTGTCAGAGAACAAAAATCTAGTTATTCCTAAGCCTCACAAAAAATACGTTATTCCCATTCAGTCTCTACCTCAATTAGAACAGCAAATAGCAACCAATTATGGTGCTTTTGTATGGGCTGGGACATGTTTATTAACATGTGACTCATCTCTCTTTATTTAATATAGTGGAGTGGTCAAATCTTAAAACCAAGGTCTAACCCTGGACAAAACCCCTCAGAGATCTAATATGTTTCTGCTGAAAAGAACATTGTGCACCCTTTCAATGAAATTGCCTTCCAGGCTGGATGAGTTATCTGAACACCAACAACCAACATTTAGTGAAACCCTAAATAGCACAGAGCACAATATGTCTTTCCATAATGTAGTGAAGTCAAACTTAAAATGTAGTGAGCATGGAACTCACATCTGTAGAAACTCTTAGGTCCCACAAGACTGCATCTGCGTCTATCTTTGTCATCACTATTTTTCTCTAAGCTCTAGAATGTGTTAGATCAATTCTGGTGGACAGGTCATATTACCATAAAAATGTGGCCAATATTTTCAGTCAAATAAATACACACTATTGTTTCAATAGCTTATAGTTTTAAAACTATATAAAATCCATAGAAACAAACAACATAAAAAAGAAAAAACAATGAAAGTTATCACTGAGGGAGTTATTTTGCCAATTTTTAGTATACAACTTGTGAAGAAAAATGTATAGTTTGGCTTTTCAATAAGAATTGTTTTAGTTATTCCTCTGGAAAAAAAGAAAAAAGTTGTTTTACATATTTTTGTGAATTTCTAAAATAAATTATTTTTCTTATTAATTCCAAAGTGATTAAGAAATGGGATTAGTTATTGGAGCTGCATTGAGGATACTGAGAGAAATACCCCATATCTGTTCAGAGCCCAGGGTTCTCACAGTGCCTGACAGGTACCTCCCATACACTGTCCCTCCCAGAAGTAGGAAGAAGAATAATTATCTTAAAAAAAAAAAAAAGGAAAATAACTCAACTTGGATAGATGGTATATTGAGATTTCAGTCATGAGTCCTCTCACATGTGTGTATAATTTTTAAAGATGCACAATTTTGCTTCAAATTTTAATAGCTATAATAGCTATTAATTGTTGTTTCAATGTTACAGTTGATTTGTCATTTACCATATGATATATTGGCTTCCTTGGCATTTACGTAATTTGTTGCCATTTTTGTAACATGGAGAGTGAAAACAAAGAGAGAATACATTTTGAAATAGTGTTTCATCTATTGTTTTAGGCCTTCATGTTTTAGATCATCTTTGAAACTCCTTACATATAAAAATTATTTTCACCATCTACCACCTACCATGTACCATTCACAAATATAGCTAACCAAAATTTGAAACATTTTGATCAATATAAATGTTGTTACTATTTACAGTAGTTTATATAGTTTTTAACCCCCAGAGGAAATCAGGATAAAAATGCAAACTGCAGTGATGTTTATGACTTTCTTCTTTGACGCTGAAAGAAAATATAAAACCAAAGTATTTTGTGTCATTTTATGAACATGTAGAAATAACAAAGCTCTTTTTCTAATTATAATTATTAATGCTCTTGCTTTAAAACGTTCAAGTTTAAGTGGTGGCAACATTTACTAAAAATTAGGGTTTTATTTTTTCTCCCCTGAGATTCTCTCTTAAGTTAAAGACGACATTACCACTCACTTCATTAATGCAAATATGGCCATATTAGAATGCAGCCGTTGAACATCTGCCTCTGTGTCTGTGGATTTATCATGCTCTTTCAGCAAAGCAGCGTGTAAATAAGTACTTTTCTGCAATTTTAACTTGAGAAATTGACATATCTTCTTTGCTGACACTGAATTTTTTCAGCGGGGAAAAAAGACAAGTGATGTGCACAGTACATTTCATGAACATGAAGCCACTCGAGGAATAAATTAATAAAATGTACTGTGAAAATTGGTTTCACCTTAACAATAATTAATCAAGAAGTACAGATTAAAAACTCCCTACATAGCTGTCACTACTTGAGGAAATGGGACAAATATTTTCATGGAATCACAGATTCTGAGAAAAGATAGAACTCTTAGAATTCATCTAGTCAAAATGTCCTTCAATGGTTAACTTAACTGTTGTCTATTGGACTTTCAGGTTTTTGTTATTTTTTCTTTTTCAATTTTAAACCACAATTTTTAACTTATCTTTGAAGTCTTCGCACATGTTGTACAATAGCTGACAATGGAAGGAGTACAATAAATATTTGCTGAAAGAGCAAATAAATGAATTCATTAATATACACTTTGATACCAAGAGCTCTACTCCTCAGCATATATTTAAGTTATGAATATTGAGTTGAATGGTTTTCCACATATTTCTTGCAAACCCTTTTGTTAGTAGTTTGTGTGTTTGATATTTGTTAAGTAGGTCGTATGGTTTTGGTTGTAGTTAGGAAATACGTGTTATGATGGGCCCATATGGGAACAACCCACTGTCCACACTGGACATGGAGGACGAGCCACTTCTGTCTCATACTGAGCACCTTGATGTAACTGCTGATCACCTCTGGAAGGAGAAGGACATCTCCTCTAACCCAGAAATGGAACTTGTCTGGAAATCTCTGCTTAGATACAGACAAAATGAAGCTTCAGAGAAAACAGAAGGCTAGGGAAAGGAAGCGATTTATTAAATACAGTTTTATCTATTTTTATTGTTTTTTTTTAATCTAAAAAGCAACCACCTCTGAAACAATCCAGGTTGGTTGACATTGACAACCTGCTCCAATAGGATGCTCTTGTCATGCCCTTCAACTCAGCAGGCGCCTGCCAGCCCTGTTGTCGATGGTCTCAGGCTGATTTCTCCTTTGAGCTTTACGTGGTGCAGACTACATCTCTTTTTCAAGATTGCAAACCAGCCATTATTGGTTGAAAATTTAATGTCTTGCTTTCTTTCTATCATTTCTTATTTCATTTTCTGAAGTCTCAGCAGAAGTCTTGTCTTTCTCTATACCATCTTGGTGCTCGAGGAGACATTTCTTGTCCTTTTCTTCCCACAGACTAAGAGGAGTGACCACAACCAGAAGTTTTCTCTATGCACTCCCCAAAGGCCAACTCATCTGGTTAATGGAAAAGGTGAGCTCTATGTATGGTCATGTCATTCTGCTTACTCCTAGTTCAAGCCCTGAACTAGGAATTTATAAATTATAATAATAGTAATGACAATAATCAATGGTAGATATAAAAGCAGGCAGTTGAAAAGTCTGATTTGTGGGAAAGTAGTTTAGACCTTGGTCACCAGCACTAGACATGCCTGGGATATATATTCAAAATTATGATTCCTTTTTTGATTTTTAGAAATGGAGTCTCACTCTGTTGCCCAGGCTGGAGTGCAGTGGTGTGATCGCAACTCACTGCAGCCTGGAACTCCTGGGCTCAAGTTATCTCCCCATCTCAGCCTCCCAAAGCACTGGGATTATAGGCATGAGCCACTGTGCCTAGCCCTCAAAATTATGATTCTTGAGGCATGTTGAAACCACTTAATTGGAGTCTTGGATTCTGTTTTGTTAATATCTGAGATCAGGTCATTTTCAAAATCATTTCAATAAGTCTTATAAATATTGATGTTTGTGAACCACTATGAGAGGATCTGAAGCCCTGATATTCCCTTCATATATTATTAGCATCAATTTTGTAGAAACACAAGTTTTGAATTTAATTCAGCTAGTATTCTGCTCTATTATCCAGTATCCAAAATTGAGCATGTAGATTCTATATACTTATGAATCAAAATATGTGAGAAAGATTTCTCAAGACCTCATGTTATTTAATAAACTTCTTTGTAATATCTAACTTTATGCTGATGTCACTGACCCAGCATATTCATCTTTGTCTCACATGCAGGAAGAATAGAAAAACAATTACCATCTGTCACAGAATTGATTCTATCTGCACAGCTTTCCCAAGACAGCCCTGAGATGTGATCCTTCTAGGATCAATGAGCTTCATCATCATCCAATAGTCATTCCATGACTATAATCCACTTGGATGTCCTGTGGGCAAACTAAGCAGGTCCCTAACCAAATGCAGCATCTTACTCCATCCACCCACCCTGTCCTGCTTCTGGGCTTTATTTTCTTAGTGAAAAGCATCACAGCTTACCTAGTTCTAAGCCAGTCTTACCAGATGAGCTGTGACTCTGCTGTCTCCATACCCAGACAACCATGAAGTTCTTTCCACAGTTCCTCAGAAAACACTTTTAAATATCTCTGATTTTTTCCACCCCTTTAATTCAGAAGTTGCAGACACTAGTGTCTGCAAGGCACATAAACAAAGTCAACATATGTACAGAAACAAAGGGAGCCTGTGTGTGTTGTGTCTTCCTTTCTAAAATTAAGGAGTGGTTACCATGTGGCCACAGTAGTGGAGTGCATGCCTCACCTAAAGGCATTCAGATCACACAGAACCCCTGCCCCCACAGCACACATACACACACGCACATTATCCAAAAACAAGCCAAGAAAACGCAATGACAAATGTTTCGTAGTTTTCAAGCCTTATTTAGCTTTCTTTCTTAATTCAAGTTTTCAGTATCCTCATTCGGATAACTGCGGTAGATTTTAGACACTGCTGACATCCCTTTCCACTCATTCTCACTGTCACCAGTGAAATCCTCTGGAAGTTAACTATGATCATAGCGGTTTTCTTGTTTGTTTGTTCTTTGTTTTGCCTGAAATTCACATGAAGCAAACACAGCCATCACTCTAGAAGAGGACTTTTGGGAAGGGGAAATAGGTGAATGTGTCCAAGGGGCTAGAGCAGATAAGGTAATTTTGGTATGGTAGGAAACTGGGCTGAGCTTTAAGAGGGATGGTTTTGTTTTTCTACACCACGTAGAAAGTTAGAATCAGGAGTCAGGTGGATTCCAGGAACATGGTGGAGTAGGCAGAAAACAAGGTCTCCCTTTCTCTTCTTGTGATGGGTTTTCTTCATTTCCTTCCTTTTTCATCCTCCCATCCTCTCTCCTTTCTCTTCTTTTCTCTTTTCTTTCCACAATGCTGCCAAAGCATCTGACTACTGCTGTTCTATTATCTTCTTTCCTTTATATTTATTTTTTTTCCTCTTCTTTTTCTTAGGCTCTCAGTATCTTTTTCACTATCCACTCCAATGTCTCTCTTTATATTCCATAAAATGTCACTGGAATCTGGATAGTATCAAAGTAATTTATTTCTGTTATCTAGCTTCAACCTAACAAATAAAAAAATTGGATATTCCATAATTTCTGTTGTCCAAAAGATGATTTATAACTAGTTAAATGCAGTTTACTAGCTGTATTTGTTTCTCAAATTCTTTTCCTTTCCAGTTAGTGACCCTAAGTAGATAATGGCATTCTTGGACATAACCAATTACATTCTGTGCATCAATATTCAATGTCATGGGAATTACACGAATGCTGGATGTTGAAATTAGCATTAGGGGGAAAATTAGCTGAAGTATCATACTTGCTTTATTAATACTATAAATTATCTTGGCCAAGATACCAAGAAAGGATAATAGCCATTTCAACCTGGCAGATATATCCAACTGAACTCTAATGTGAAAGAAGTCACAGAAAAGCTTGATTAAAAAAAGAAATATTGTTAAAGCATGACAAGTAAAGCTTTAAAGTATGTGCAAATGTAAAACTGTTATTTAACATTTTATTAATATAAACAGAAACACTCATAATCGTGGGATAAATGTATATATAATTTGAGGAGAATGCATAATTCCAATGAAACATACACATACATATGAGAATTATATATGTGTGTCTATGTGTATATATATCCCCAAAAAGTGTTAGATATTGTTTGTGCAGAAAAACATGCATAGTGTCATAGATTGTTATAATAATTGGAGACATTAATAATCATCTCAAGTTTAATATACTTTTTATGATAAAGAAACCAACCTGTTCAGAGAGATGAAGAATAAAAGATAAAGAATAAAATAATTTCCATTCTTAAAGGGGCACCTGTGTGTAACTAGATGAACTTGGTATAGCTTTGCCTTAGTGCTCCCAGGGAGAATGAAAGGCTCTTCCCCAGGATGAGCAACCCTCAAATGCTGCCAAGGCCCTTGGTCTGCCTGCAATGGATGTTGATGGCCAGTGATGGCCACTAGAGCTCAGTTTATTTGATTAAGCACATGCACTGCCTGGTAGCAAACAACAACAAAACAAATAAACATAAAACCTGGGGGAGGAGGAATAGGAAGCCCTGCCAATGTCTGAGTAAATAGTGAACATTTTTATGAGAATCGGCATGTAAAGGTGTTACTCAGAGACAGGACAGGTGCTAGGGATGGGCAATGAATTCACGCAATACTCCATGAGTGTGTACTTACAGGTGAGGGACATGTATGTCTTTGGGTGTGTTACTCTTAGGGAAGATTAGAAAGACTCTGAAGGATGATAGGTACCATACTGATAAAACAGAGCAGTTGTATTTCTATACCCTAAACTTGAGCAACGAAGAGAGGAATAAATTTCAAGAGGAAAATAACATTGTTCCACCTTGTTTTGCTAGAATTATAGATCCTGCAAGAAGATGAACAGTTCATGGAAGCATGAGGTGGGTTGCTCGGATGCTTTTATGCCTGGGTGCTCTTGGAAAGCTAAGGACAGACGGAAACACAACTCAGGACACATCAATAAGAGAAGCCTGCTGGCACAGAGGAGGGCAGGTGAAACCACCTTTGTAGAAGAGGCTCATTTGAAAATGCTCCTGAAAGATATGATATCAGAACACTATCTTATGTAGAGTGGATAAGACTTTGATGATCTTGAAAATGCTTACTGAGGAATACATAGCATTTATCTTTCTTTCCTTGATTAAAGAACTTTCATATATACATATTTATCCTGTATGGATAGGTAGGAGAGGTGATGCCAGCCCACAGAGATGACCAGTCCCTATTCCAGAAGTTCTGAGTTGTTGCTTAAGTGAAGAAGTATGCTGGTCTGCTTTCAAACTTCTGTAAACTTCAGCTTAGTGGTAGAACAGTTAGAAAATCCAAATATTTAGTTTCAATGCCTGAGTAGTCCATTTACTGATTTTCACCAACTCTGTTACCATCACCTTGGTCTAACGTTATCACCGTCTCCCCCAGATACCATTGCAGCAATGCTTGTTGTGTGATTGTCCACAGTTGAAATAGTAACTTTAGAATAACCGGCAGAAGTGAGGGAGGGTGACCCTTACAAACTGTTGATTCTCGGGCCTCCCATTAGACCCACTGAACTAAAATATCTAGATGGTGATCCAAGGAATCTGTACTTTTCTTGGCTTTCCAGGTGATTCGCGTGAGCCCTAATATTTGCAAAACATGGTAACCTTGAATTTTCCTGGTTTATTTTTAAAATCAACATGAAAAAGGATTATATTTCTCTCCACTTATACAATCTGGTTAACAGATTCAGATGAGATGCTAATTTCAGGAGAACACTGGCACTTACGACCGCGAAGATGCCTGCACCTAGAACATGGAAGCACTGATGGCACCAGGAGGAAAATAATATTCTCATAAATGCCAGCCTGTGATAAAATACCAATAAGGAATCTCTATGCATTTTATGTAAGATTACCTTATCATTCAGAAAAATCAATCATACTAAAACCAGAATTGTAAACCCCATAATTAACTTGAAGGATTCAAGAGAAATCATGTAATCTGACAGATGAGGGGGCAGACTAGGAGAGATTAGGAAGTTTTAACACAGGTATTGGTTGTCAGATCCAGGACCCAGGTGTTCTGAATAAAGCCCAGAGATTTACTCATTGTATCATCAGTCTCTTTTACGTCCTTCTTTTTCTTCTCCATCTTTCTTATGCCAGAAACACATTCTCACTTCAACTATCCTTTATCCCTGCCCTGATGATGAATGACATTTTCCTTTCATTACCAGTTTTTCCTTATTGTTTACAATTTACATTCCAAACCTTAGCTTTCTACGGAAGATTTTCTTAGTCTTTCAAAGTCACAGGCTTGGAAAACAAACAAGCAAACAAAAAACTTGACTGCTTCTCTCAGCACTAGAAATAGTGATAAGTGGTTAAAGTACATTTTTGTTCATAAACATCATTTTAAACTGTCTAATTTTTTGGCAGAATTATTACTCTGACAGTTTCTATTCTGCGTCCTTGTAGCCCACACTGTACCTTCAATCAAATGGCTTGTATCCGACATTAAATCTCTTGTAGCACAATATCAAGTACCATATTGCAATCATTAGGACCACAAAAGAAATAACTATCATCATATTGAAGAAAAGATCCCCCAGAGAACAGGTGCCTTTAGCATTGGAAATGGGAACTTACATCTCAGTCAAGTACCTTTTATCTGTCTCCAGAAGGTGGAATTATCTGACACATTAAGTATCTTATTTGGATAGCAAAGGAGTATGAAAGTTACTTCCTGAAATAAAAATAGAGGAAGATACACCTCAAGTCAAATCACCGTTGTGATATTCGTTTACCAGAATTCAAATTAGATGACCTGAGTATTTTATTGACTACTTCTAAACCTATGGATCTTCAAAAAAATCAATTTCATATTAGACTCTAGTTTACACTGCACAAAAATTAAATTAACTTTTTAAAAAATTAGGATAAACTTAGAATGGATGACTTCATTTGTCTGATTTAAATCTCCATTAACTTCTTTCTTTAAATCTGAGCTTGACTGGAGCTGTCATTTTTTCAAAAATTTACTCATCTTAGTTCAAAACTTCTTAGTTGGGTTAACAACGTTTGTCATGGCTTTTAAAACTTAAAGCTTAAATGTTAAATGTAATAAATATAAAAAAAATTAATACCCATAATATAATATCAAACTTTTTCTTGACAAATTTTCTATTATTTTAATTTTAACTCAAAAATCTTTAAAGGAAACAGATTATGTTTGAAATTATACTTCTCAATAATTGCACTGAAATACAGTTTATTTCCTAGGTAACAATTCCCTAAAAGTTTTTCATTACATCATAATGTGTTTATAACTTCTTGTTAGAAAAGGTGTCAGACCATATTATGAAAAAATGTCTGGCACATAAAAGCAGTGATAATAAAACAGTTAAAAATGTAAGCTAATGAGTCATACTAACTATGCTCCAATCTTATCTTTTCTATCTACCACCTGAGTGACTTTGGGCAGATTCTTAAACTCTCTGTATATCAGTGTCCTTATTTTAATAATATTTGCTTATAAAAGGTTATTGGGATAATTAAATGAGCTAATACAGGTAAAGTGCTTAGAACAGTGCTAGACAGAGTGGATTGTACAAATATCATCACTATTGTTATTGTATAGATATAGCTATTATTTTATAGGATAATAATTGCTATATTGTGCTCTATATTACTATTTTAGTAGGCTCTCAGTAACAAATTATGGAATAAATACTTGCAGATAATTATTTGTACTGAAATATTTGAAGTTCAAATTTTTTTACATTGAAATAAACAGAGCAGTTTAATTAGGAGGTACTGATATAGATTCATAATCGCTTTTGGTTTTTATCCAAGTCCTCTTTCCAAAGATGGCTAAGACATACAGTGGCCTGGCCTAGGCACAGGAGATCCCTTAGGGTAGGGGCTGAGTGAACTGTGTCTCTTACCAGACTTTGGGTTCAGAACAAAGAGTCAAGGATGGGAAGAGGAGAACACCAACATCTGTAAGTCAGAGAATAAAGCCACCAAAGGGGAGGCCTGGAAGCCAAGCAACTGGAGAATCAGAAGGAAGAAGGGAGAGGAGAGAACAACGTACCCAGTAACAAGCCTTAAATTGTTCCCGGGACTCACCCTGGGCAAATGCTATTGCACGCAGTGACCCTCATGAGATCTGATTTCTGCATGCGGAAACCATATTTAAAATGCAGGGGACTGGACTTGGCAGTTAACACATTTCTTGTTTCTATTCCTACTGCTTAGCCTGCACCAAGCATAATCAATACTTTTATTTTAGGCTAAGACACATACTCAAAATGATATACCCTACCTTTAAAAAAGAATGGCATACATTTACAACCACATGACAAAAAATAAATAAATAAAAAGCAACTCTCTCAGCAGCACAAAGATAAAACAAATATTTCAATTTCCCTGTCATCAACATATGTATCAGAGTACAGCAATGTGATACAATTACTAACAGAAAGATAGAACTAGAAGCTACAGTAGACACTGCATCTAATGATGTTTAGGCCCCTAAAATATTACTTGGGAAGAAGATAAAGAAACAAAAATAACAGAGCAAGTTCCAAATCAAAAAGATTGAGCTGTATCTGAAAATAAAGCATCTCTAGAAAGTAATCCTTTTCGTATTTAATTTTTTCTAAAGGGAGCATAGGGAATTCTAGCTTGATCCTGCTGGCAACATGCTGCATATTCGTCTTGTGCGAGAGAACACAATTTGCATAATGTGGGACCCAGTTCTCTGTGTGGGAACACCCTTCAGGGAACTCAGAATAAGAAGAGCCAGCACTTTTGAGCTCAGCATGAAGGGAATCCACAGCGCAGACTTCATTTCCCTGTGACAGGATTTCCCAAATTGACTGAAGAAAATAGATTACATTTTCTGGGAGGCCCCCTGGAGAATGTTTCTGTTTAAGACACACACACACACACACACACACACACACACACACACACACACACGCGCACACACACAATATGTGTATATTTATCTATAGTTTTGTTGGTGGTGATATTTAACAATGACAGAGTTTCAACGAATTTACATGAGGATGACATGTAAGAGCATATTTTAATGCATTTAAGACTTTATCAATTTTTGCTCAAGGGATAATAGAAAAAAGCACCTTTAAGTCTTTACTGCTTAAACCTGTGGCAGAAATAAATTCTAACTACATTATATGCATGAATACAGCATATCTGAGTGCAAATCGGTTGTAAATAGAAAATATTTCAGAAGAGGTCATATGGCTAGAAAAGTGCTCAGCTTCCAATAAATATTACCACAAAACACAGAGGCTTGCAAGAAATACACATTTCAATATTATAAGTAGTTATTTTTTCAGTAAAATATCCACACAATTTGAATTCTTACTTTAGAAAATACTCTCCTTTTACTTTTCTCTTTTTTTAGAATTCATATTGTTTCTTTTAAAAACATTATAAGAAACTCTCTAAGATAAGTGCATTTCTAACTAGAAATACAAAAGATTAGATTCACGTGTATACTAGGTTATTTTTTAAAATATGGCAAAAGCACTATTTAAGACATAGTATTACACTTCCTTTAGATAAACTCATATTACTAAACACTGGTGAATAATAAACAGCTTCTAAGCATTCTCGCAAAGATCAAATACTAAGGCAAAAACTGGCAGAAACAACAGACATAGAACTTTCTTTTTGTTGTTGCTGCCATTGTTATTTTACATGCATTGAACGAATGGCCGAGATCTTTGGCGTCTTACTTACTGATGGGTAGAGGTAACCTTCTCCATTCATGGCTATATACAACCCTGTTTTCACTCCCTGGATGGCAACAACACGTAGTCCCACTGGTATGAGGTTGAAGAGTGCTGTGAAGATAAACATTGTCTATCATGAATGGGCAGGAAGAAGCAGGGCAGAGTGTAATTTTTTCTTTCTGATTTATTTTATTTAAGAAACATCATCTTTGCCAATACTTTCTAGAAATTCCAATTAAATAACTTATATTTTGCTTTATAAGTAAGAAGTTTCTGCTATGGGTAAAATGAGTACTTCAGCTTCAACCTTTAAATGTGAGCAGTCTTGCTGACAGCATTCTGAAGGGCTGATGCGACAATAAACAGAACCAAGCCTGTAATCGTGCCTCTAGAAACACTGTCTCTGACACCATTAGATACCAAAAGAAATCAACTGTGAAGTCTCTCAAAGAGCAGAATTTTAAAAGTCCAAGTCGAGTGTTTATTCTGACCCTTCGCACAGAAGGTGTGATTTGTCATTGCAATGAGGTCAGGCCAGAAGTTAAACAGGTGATTCCAAAACTAAATGACGGTGGTAGAACCAATATGATACGCCAGCGAAGCCAGGAAAAGATGTGCACCTGCCAAGGAGCTAAATTTAGAAAGAACTAATCAAAACTGAATGGCATGCAAATGTCAGAGAGGCTACTCATTTATGTTTCCATGTTTTGTTTCTTCTCTGTTGATAAAATGTTAAAAGCATTTTATATATTTTTGCATAGTGCAGATAGCAACGTTATAACATTAAAAAAACTTAACATCCCTTTAATGTATTTCCATGGCAGTGCTGCATGTTGAATGTTTAGTAGGTTTTCTTGCATCAGTCTTAGAGATAACTGCTTGATGATTTTGGAGATTTTATTATAGATACATTTGTAAGAGAACTATTAATTATTTACAGTGAGGTTATCTGCTGCTACTCAAGTCCTTCTTAACTAAGTCTAATTCTAAGCAGGACAGAACAGGAAATGAAAGCACTAAAATAGTGATGTAAGTGTAAGTACAGTATCCAAACTCAGGCTCTCAACTGTATTGCACAAAACCAAGTCATTTGAAAAATGTGGGCAATTTGGACTTCATTCCAAGGGTCTAAGTAGTACATAATTAAAAACAAACTTTACAAATTGTGTTATATTTAATTCTCAGGGACATGTTTCCTCCTAATAGGTTGAAGAAAATTACACCCTCTCTTCTGATTATTACAAGCTACTGTTTTCAAGATCCCAAGATGTCTGTGCTACACAAATATAAAAGGAAAACCTCAGGCCAGAGCCATGAATATTATCCCTGGAAAAATACTCAGGGGCATCTATGGTTAGTTGGATATTAGTTTCACTACGTAAACTAATATCAGATTTTCTGCTATAGGATTTTAGGGGATTATGTTATTCTTATGAAAGAATTAGTTTTTTTTCCTCATTTCCATTATTTAATATTAAATATAGATGTGGAGTTGTTGAGTACAGCTACCTGTGCCATTTGGCGACTCTCAGTATTCCTTCTTGGTGGGAGATGGCTATATTCACTCTTGTTTAGAACACCTGAACTGTACCATCTCCCCTTACATCTTGAAAGAATGGGCACCATAGAATAATTCCTGATTTATACACAAAATTTTGGAGGGAAAACCATAATCATATGACTGTCCACGCAAGGTACACTAACTTAATCAATTCAAATTTAATTATTCTAACTTTCCTCTTCTAACTTTCACACACTCAGAATGATATTTGTAGGTGCCACATATTTTATATAGGCCAGGTAGTATAATTTTAGAAAACAAATAGATCATGAATTCACCAAAATGATGTGGTTATGGGAAACATAAAAATTATATAAGATAGTTTAAAATGATCATACTGAAAAAATACTAGTGTTTTTCCCTTGTGTTTTGGTTGGGACCTGAATTATAAAATACAAGGTATTGGCCGGGCGTGGTGTTATCCCAGCACTTCGGGAAGCCGAGGCGGGTGGATCACCTGAGGTCAGGAGTTCGAGACCAGCCTGACCAACATGGTGAAACCTCGTCTCTACTAAAAATACAAAATTAGCCAGGCGTGGTGGGGCATGCCTGTAATCCCAGCTACTCAGGAGGCTGAGGCAGGAGAATTGCTTGAACCTGGGAGGTGAAGGTTGCAGTGAGCCTAGATCACGCCACTGCACTTTAGCCTGGGCAATGAGCGAAACTCCATCTCAAAAATAAATAAATAAATAAATAAATACATACATACATACATACATACATACATAAAACAAGGTATTATAATTTACAGAATGATAGTGGAAAGTGAATGCTTATGTACACTAAAATGTGGAGAACCATTCAGAGCTGGCCATGATGGAACCGGTACTAGTTAAAAACACAGATACCCACATTAATTGAGATATAATTTTATTTCTCCACTCTCTTTGCTTCTTACATAATTATAAGGCAATGTCACAAAGCCTAGGGGAGTAAGAATAATGGAGATGTTTTTGTGACTTTGTTCATTCATGGAACATTCTAGTTCTTCATATAACAGTGATTTTCAACTCTGGCCGCACGTTAAAACTAGCTGTGTTCATAACATAGAATGGCCAGGCTCAACCCCATACCTATTAAATCACAATCTTTGGGAACGGGTTTAGGACATAAGGAATTTTTTTGAAAAGCTCCTCAAATAACCCTAATATACAACTAAGGACGGTGAGAACTGCCGTCCTAAATCCTGTGGGGTGGTGGCCACTGAGTGATCGAAATATTTTACACATCAAGTTACCAGGTTGAGCATTTCTAAGGTGAGAGGGACTTTTGAGGTTTTAACATTACCATAGTTAATAGTGTATTGATATCTGTAGAGTCCTATTCTGCTTGTAGTAGCTATTGTCTGTCAGTAGGAACAATGAAGTTTAAGAGCACAGAAAAAATCCATGGCATCCCCAAAAGCAAAGTGGGGGGAAAGAAAACTCACCCACTAATAAAGTACCGTAGTTCATGGGGATGCTGACATTTAGAAGAACTTTAAATGAGAGTGGTAATGAGGTTACCTAGGTGCTCACTTCCTTTTGTGAAAGATCTTTCCATTATTATGGTAGTCAATAATAAAGCAGTTGACTTGCTACAGTATTTTCTCCACCAGAACCATTTACCCATCATCCACAATTTTTGTGCTACTTTTCCTTCCCAGAGATCTACATATATTAGACTGGAAACCCTTGGAGAACAGGGGCACCAACGTTTGCCTACCAGTGGGCCTTTTTCCCCTCTTCTTAATTCATCTGAAATTTTTAACAAAGGCAGTTTAGCAGGATGGTTCTGTCTTTTTTTCATTCTAAATATCCATATTTAGTGTGGGAAATGTATTGAACTCAATTCATGAAGATACGAAAGTTCAAGCCCTCAATTTTGTTATTTAGTGACTTTAACAGTGCTATCTGGGTGAGTTTTTGGTTTTTTTAAAATTATTTTTGCTAGTTATGGATAACTAACCCATGGTTTGTATTCAGGGAGTCATAAAAAATGGAAACATGTTTATGAATGATTATTCATAATGTTTATGTTCAGTATGTTTATGAATGATTATTCATAAACATGTTTCCATTTTTTATAACTCCCTGAATACAAACCATGGGTTGGTTATTCATAACTAGGAAACTATATGATTATTACATCACCTCTGTCCTCACAACAAAAGAGCTGTACTCTAAGTAGGACCTGACAGCCTTTCTAAAGCACATTCCTATTTTTAAAGAATTTTTCAGTGCTTACATTTTTCATAAGATTCATGAGACTATTGAAATGAACTAGAGAAAAGAAAATGTCTTTAAATTCATCCTAAGAAACACCGTTTTGCAATTTGCATAGGCCAGAGGACATAAAAATGAAGTTAATTAGTAATTTCCATTACTTTTATAAATCTGCTACGATTCTGCCAATTGTATTAAATTTTATAGTCATATAATTTGTAGAACCTTTTGAGGAGGGAATATTGATTTTACCCACTGTTTTTCTTTATTTCTTTGCAAATGTTGAAATAGTAACAAAACTAAACTAACTGGCTTACAGTGCACTTGAAATGCAATATAATGTCTCAGAAAAGCTGTGGACCAGAACTTTGCACAGGAATTTGAGCCCCTCGAGTGTGGGCATTATGATTTTCTTCTGATTTGCTTTTACAAAGGGGATCCTGTTTCATCTTTCTTCTCAGGACTGTGTCTCACTAGCATTTAGAGTGTCAGAAGAAATTTCAAGATTCGTTCTGAGTTTTTGCTCCTTCTACTGCAGATACAGAAGAAAAAAAAAAAACATATATTTACAGAACAGAAGGTGGAGTGTTTTTTAGTATCTCAGCTTTCCAGTTTAGTCTTTAAAATTATTCAGATAACCAGACCTGTATGTGTGCACATAATAAATCTGCACTTCCATATTTAGAAAGTGCTTATTCAATTCTGAAGCAGTATGCTTTTAAAAGGCAATGTCTAATAGACACTTCTCAAAATAATATTGATTCCTATCATTAAAGGTAACCAATTTTGTTGGCTCTGCAAAAATTACACAAAGAAAAAATGCTAGAGAAAAAACACATAAAACCTTTGTTTGAGTGAAATTATTTTTCACGTAGTCCAATAAAGCAATATATTTATGAAGCTATGGTGTATGTCCTGTCTTGAAAACTTTTGTCATAAAATGGATGGCATCAGTCTTTAGCCTGATGAATCTTTCAGAGTGTCATAGCTCACCTAGTGATCAGAGTTATGGGAAACTAGTTATTACGTTCTAATCCTCCCAGGCCAAACAAAATGAGAGAACACTGAAGACATCAGAAATTATGAATCGCTAAACTTTGTGACCTACACAACAGTAACACGTAAGAGAAAGGAAATGGTTTTTGTCAACAAATGGGTAAAGAGTTTAAGGGGAAAAGAAACTGAGCAGAGATACATGTATTAGCCTGAACCATAAGAAACTGACATCTTTTGTTGGTCAAAGATTGTCAACTACCAATAATCTTTGAAAGTTCAAACTAATAACAAAAGCTGCAAAAGTACATGTTTGGCATAAAACGCCTCCTCTTTCTTCTGTAGCTGAATTGTTTTACCTTCTCTTTTCCTATATCAAAAAGGAAATAAACTAAAAATAAACCAATAAACAAACATAAAAAGGAAAAATTTAAAAATAAAAAAGAGTGATATGAGACACAAAGAGAGTAAAGAGATTAGAAATTGACACGGAGGACAATGTAGATATACACAACAATTAAAAAGGAATTGAAGAAAAAATAAAAAGTGAAGCAATGCACAAAATACAAAAAGTGAACACGATGGCTGGAAAAATAATGATATTTCACATGGCAAAACGACATGTAAAAATAACCTATTTTGTATCGCTAACTACTGCCAGAATCAGTGTTACTGGCAATTTGATCACTGGAATTTAAAAAAGGAAGTGCTGAATTTTAAATTGAGCTGATAAAAATAAATAAAATAAAAATAAAAAAGGAAGTGCCTTCTGATTTGATTATGTGTATTATTCAAACCCTCACTTCTTTTCATGGAATGATGTTTATATGTGAAGAATAAGACATACATTAATGAAAAAATTCATATCTATTTTTGATCCACCGATAATGTTTCTTATGATTAAGTATTTCTAATAAAAATAGTTTTGCTTTTCACTAACTCCCCCAAACAGTAAAAAGTGTGCTTATTTTGGAACTAATATGCTAAATTAAAAATGAATCAGATGCCAATATAAACAGAAAATGGGAGAGCAAAACACAGACAGTTGAGTAAGGAGAGGCACCAGACGGAGAAATGTTATACATAAAGAAATAGGAAAAAGAACACAGACATTTATACAGTGGAAGATGTGTAGCTTTTTAATTAAAAATGATCACAGATGCAATTCTGCAAACACTTTGCACAATGAATTTCAAAGTACACAACCTTTATGTTTTTTTCTATAAGAAAGTTTTTTTTGTTAAATGCAAAGAATTTTAAATTATATTTCTATTATGTAAAAAAACAAAACAAAACTATTCCTTGTAGCTTTTGAGTTTCCACAGGCATCGTTAAGAACCTCAGAGCCTGATAAAATAATACATCCAAAGAAAACATGTAATTAATTTTTACCTAAATACACTAGTGTACTTACTTAACTTTTACAATAATAAGATTAAAAGTAACAGTAATTTTCTGGGTATGATAACTGTCTGAATAAAAAACAAAAATAGTAACATAATCATCTTTAAACCATAGGTTTCTTTGGTTACTCCATTAATATTTTCATCCACGTAGTTTAAATAAAATTGTAAATGGCATCCTAGTGTGTAACATTTGTAAAGATGAACCAACACGACCAAACATTTGCAAATGAATCTTAAAAAGTCATTTAAGTAGCAGTGTATCTTCTACCAACTATGTAACTGGTGGCCTGAGGTTGTCACTTACTAGAATTAGTGCTGTCATCCTTGGTTCCATCGAGAGCTCCATCGGGGTGCATTTGCAAGTAGTAGCCTTGCCTGCAATATAACCTGGTCACTATACCCTTGAGCTGGGGATCTGAAAGGCAAACATAGTTATCATAAGCCTCACAATGTGTCACCATAGTTTCCTTTATCTTTTCTGTTTCTCTTTCTTTTTTCAGAAGAGGACATTTTATACAAGTAGCATATTTTATTTTGTCTCTCAGATTCTTCTGTGTTTTATCAAACCTGCAGTATTCTATTTATAGAAGGTAAAGGAAATGCAGTAGTAAGCCACAGAAACAGGCTGTTTTATAAAACTGGTATATGCATATTTAAATTATTAATTAAAACTATTAAACTAATTAAGCTGTCAGTTTAATTATTAGTTTAAACTATAAACGAATTATTATAAACAATATTATCATTCATGATGGCAGGACAAGAATTTTGCAAACTGGTGACTCTCAGAAATTTTATTAAAAGGTTTTTTAATGGAGTTCTCCTTTTACTTAAGTTGACAAGTATTCCCAAAATTAAAAACAAACAAAACAAAAAATACCTATATTTTAAAAACATTCATACTAACATATGATACATATTCTTAGGAAAAGCCCCAATTTGGAGAAAACCCCTGGATGTGTGAAGGGTCATTGTTACTTCCATGGAAGTATCTGTGCTGCTTAGACATATTCACAGGAAAACGGAAAACTCTACTTGTGAGCTCAGGGGAAACACAGCAAACCCACGCATATGAGGTCAGCTCTGAGGCAATCAAATAGAGAAATTAGACAAATTAAACTGCTAAACTCATTAACTTGTATAACTAAAAAGGACAGTCAAGTTATACAATATGAAATCTGATTCTTTGTCAACGGGCATTGAGATAGAGGGCAGTGGAAGTTTATTTAAACAAAAAGGGAAATCATGTGGTAATAGATCCTCATTTGATGATTCATTGAAAAGACATCCACTCTAGTAATCCAGTGCTTCACAAAGAGTCAGTTGTACCTTTGAAAACAAATATTTGCATGTGGTTTTGCAAAAGCCATCCCCATCTCAGGGATAGATTGGATGTGGGACATCATAATCTTCACCATGGCAACTGGCATCTCTCCACAACAGCTGAATGGGCCATGCTAATGCAATCCGCTGTCGAAACAGTCGGACGTTACTGAGTAATGAAACCTAGCACCTTATAATCAATAGAAAAATTGTGGTCTTGCAAATAGGTGAAGACAAAAAAATTTTTTTGAGAGCTATCCTTAAGCTCTTTATTAGTCCTGAAGAAATTACAAAGAATTTCAGTATCTATTTCTATGCACATCATTTAAAACTGATCATTTGAGACGTGACTCCATTGTACCTAGACTTGCTTCATAGATGGTATAATATTGGAAAAATCCTTTTGGAAAATAATGCACGAACAGCAGATCATCACAACATCAGTGTGACTAGCTGTATTAGAATATGAAAGCTTTTAAAAGAGTAGGATTTTAAAAATAAATATCTAAGTGATTATTGCATTGCGTTACATATGTTCCTTATTCTGTAGTATATAACTTCCCAAATCACATAATTCTAAGATATGCACTAGTGGAAAAAAAATACTATTGTGCCTAAGTCTGCCCATCACCTGGAAGACCTGACTGGGCTAAGTACTAAAGACTTCTTCCTTAGTTTTGCTGTATTTTATTTATGCTCTTCACTGAAAATATGTAGCATGGAAAAGAAGCGAATAAAAGCAAAAAGAGTTAAAAACATGAAAAAGAGAATTTTTTATTATTCTCTTGTCAAGAAAAAAAATGAGAATATTAGTGATTTACAATTTTTCTGTAAAACTTTTATGTTCTGACATCACTTATTCCTAAGCAGTCTCCTATTTGAGCTACTCTGTCTTCTGGAGTTGAATTAACTAGATCAGGCGAGGCAGTGAGAAGCCACCTACCCACCCACTCACACGCGCCCTCATGCTTATACAGAGAGATTTGGGATTATGCCTCATTTTGGGTGAGGGAGCACAAATAAAATGTAAAATTATGTTTTTCTCCTTTAACTTCGAGAAAATACAACCAAATTGATTTTGATTCATCTGGTTACATATTGTTTGACGTTTTTCCTTTTTAGAAATCATAACGCCATTGATTCTATTCTTCTCAGGTGCCAGGCATTATTAGAAGCACATTCTATTATTAACTCTTGGATCCTCACCATTACCTTACTTAATAGAAGCCCACTTGGAGGATGAAGAAATCGAGACACAGAGCAATTAAGTAGTAATAATATGACAAAGGGTACATAACCAGTAAGTTAACAGCTGGAATCTGATCACTCAGCTCTGGACCCTGCCCACTTAACTGCTACCTAATGCAGCCTGTACAAGCGGAATAATTGAACTAAAATGTCTTCAACACTAAAAATAAAATGCAAATCAAATCTCTTTAAAAAACCAAAACCAACTTGTATTTTGAAGATTAACTGCCACTGTGTCTAAACCCAAATCCTGCTAGCCAGAGCTGAATTTGTGATTACAAAGCAGTAACGCAAAGGTTAGAAAGGATCAAAGATCTTGAAAAACCTCTTCTCAGATCCATCTCACTTTTCCATTGGCCACATTTCCAATACATCTCTGCCCCATTAAAACCTTACCAAAATTGCTAGTTCAGTACTATAAGTTTAAAACAAATGGGTTGCTCAATTCCTTTTGATGCATCTTCCGCATCTCTCGCTCTTTTTCTTTTTTTCTATTTTCACTGCCAGCCCCTCATTACCTCTCTTAG